>NC_000005.10:43273274-43905799 GCF_000001405.40 Homo sapiens
CTCACTGCAACCTCTGCCCCCTGGGTTCAAGCAATTCTCCTGTCTCAGCCTCCCAAGTAGCCAGAATTACAGGCGGCTGCCACCATGCCTGGCTAATTTTTTGTATTTATAGTAGAGACGGGGTTTCACTTTCACCATCTTGACCAGGCTGGTCTTGAACTCTTGACCTTGTGATCCACCCGCCTCGGCCTCCCAAAGTGCTGGGATTACAGGTGTGAGGCATCACACCCGGCCCAGAGTGCTCTTTTTAAATGGGACTCAGATTACAACCCTTTTTCTTAAAACCTTGCTATGTTTTCTCATTGCCCTATAGTTAAAGCCTGCATTTCTAAAGCAGTCTCCTGGCTTATCTGACCTTTTCCTACTACCAGGCTGATCTGGGGCCACCCCTCCTCATTCTGCTTTTCCAGAACAGTGGGTTCCTCAAGCACACACCTTATGTCTTGCCTGGGCAGCACACTTGCCAAGCTCCTAGGCCAAGTATGAGGCCTCTCTCCTCACTTCCTGGTCACAATTTAAGTGCCCTTACCCAGATAGTGCCTTTCCATTCTCTGTCTGTATCTCTTCTTAATAGGTGCTATGCTTGTAAGAAGGGATTTTTTTTTTAGTCTTTCTCTCATTGGACTGTGAGAATAGTGTTTATCTTTTTCACTGCCTGGTGTATAGTAGGTGCTCATTGAACATTTATTGAAAGAGCAGATTTAGAGATCTAGCTCTTCATGGAATAGCAGTTTCTACCACCTAGCGACAATGTGGAATACCAGGGCTTCTAAAGTGTTTAGTATGATCATACATTTATATTATGAGGCCTGCCTGTGGGGTGATTGCACATGAGGTGAGGCCATTGAGGCACCTAGGGCAGAGGATTTAAGGAAGCTTTCACCCTTACAATGCCTCTCCTGCCACACTCTAGACCTGGCTCTGGGAGGGAAGCCTTTGCTAAGAACCATGAAAGGAAAGGAGAAAAAGAAAACTAGGGTGGTGCTAAAGGGACATTTGTGATGGCAGCCTGACACCTACCACCTGATTCTTGAACACTCACTGTGGATAGAATGGTGTATGATGGCCACAGGGAGGATGGGGCAGCAGAGTGATGATACCTTAACTGACACCTGAGTCAGTAATGGGAGAACTGAGGAGAAGCAGTGGGTTCTTCTACAGGAAATCGAAGGGTGGAATTCATTAATCTAGCCCTTAAAACAACAGCTTACCCAACATGCTACACAAAACCAGGTTTCTGTTTCAGATAAATAGGTGAAGGGACTCTTAATCCTAAAGACTGAAAAGTAGAAAAGAAAGGGGAAGAAGAGTGCCTCAAGGATTGCCATTGGAGGTTCTTTTGCTGGGGCTGATTGCCAGCTGAGATTATTCAAGCCCCAGAGCAAACATTCTGCTCCTGCTCCCTTAGAGCTGCCCTCCCACCGCTCAGTATTGCCTCCTGCGAGGGGCGGGCTGGCTGCCGCAGACACCAGTGAACCCTTTTTCCATTCCAGAAGTCCCAGTGGACCTACTTTAATATACCAATAACACTCCTATTTTAAACTAGCTGTATCCATTTTCGTTTTAATAGTCCCAGTGCTAAAGTTTTTCAAAGCAGTTATTTTGTAAGTAGGTCAAACAGGTACTTTGGGATCCTGTTCTGTCTGTTTGCTTGCCAGGTAACCTCTTTGTTATCTAATTCAAAGTCTGGTACAGTTTGAACCAAAACAAAAAAGGAATGATGTTTCACTTTGGAGTCAAGATTCATTCATTTTCTAACATTAATCATTTTCGTTATACAGTAAGTCTATATTCATGATAAAAAATAGAAAATATGAATAAGCAAAACTAAATTGAAAGGAAAACCATCTGTGATCTGCCAATTAGAAAATCTCTATTCTAAACATTTTGGTAAATATGCTACCAGATTTTTATCTATGCAAATGTGTATCTGTATTTTTCCTCACTTGTATAGTGGACATCTTTTCATATTAATAAATAAGTTAGCATCATTACTTTTGATAGCTTCATGGTGTGAAATTATAAAATTAGACCTACCACACTCTATTTTAACTATCTCTCTTGCTGGGTACTTAAGCTATTCCCAATATCACAGAAGCCTTTTTACACATGCATCCTTGTACATGCATCAGATTCTTTAAGATTGCCAAAGGTGAAATGGTTGGGTCCCAGGGTGCAACTATTTTTTAGCATTTCAATACATAATACCAAAGTGCAATCCAGAACCATTGTACCAATTAATGCTCCCGCCAGCAGCACATTGCAGTGTTGATTTCCTCCTGGCCTCACCAGCACGCTGTCAACACTGGGTACTGGTGTGTCGTGTACATGACATTACATGCCAGGCACTGAGAGTGAAATAAAACAGTTCATGTTGGGAATGGGGCAAGAGAGGGAGATAAACAAGGGAGGTGACATCTACAGACCGGTTAGCTGAGATTACAGTACATTGGGGCTCCAAGTGCACAGAATCTGAACATCATGTTCATCCTAGGACAAGTGTTGCAGAGGCTTCCTGAAGAGGTTCATTCTGAGGCTTACCTTGAAGGATCATCAGGAATTAATGATGAGTGTATTAAGCCATTCTCGCATTTCTATAAAGAAACGCCTGAAATTGAGTAATTTTTTTTTTTTTTTTTTTTCTGAGACGGAGTCTTGCTTTCTTACCTAGGCTGGAGAGCAGTGGTGCGATCTCGGCTCACTGCAACCTCTGCCTCCCTGGGTTCAAGTGATTCTCCTGCCTCAGCCACCCGAGTAGCACAGGTGCCTGCCACCGGGTCCATCTAATTTTTGTATTTTTAGTAGAGATAGGGTTTCACCATGTTGGCCAGGCTGGTCTCAAACTCCCAACCTCGTGATCCTCCCGCCTTGGCCTCCCGAAGTGCTGGGATTACAGGCGTGAGCTGCCGCGCCCAGCCAAAATTGAGTAATTTATAAGAAAAAAAGGTTTTATTAGCTCATGATTCTGCAGGCTGTACAGGAAGCGTGGTGGCATCTGCTTCTGTAGAGGCCTCAGGAAGCTCCAATCATGGTGGAAGGTGGAAGGCACATCACACTGTGAAAGCAGGAGCAAGAGTTGGGGGAACATGCCACAAGATCCCATCACTTTTAAAGAACCAGATCTCATGTGAACTCAGAGCGAGAGCTCACTTATCACTAAGGAGATGGCCCAAGCCATTCATGAGACATCAGCCTCCATGACCCAAACACGTCCCACCAGACTCCACCTCCAACATTGGGGATTACATTTCAATGAGATTTGGGTGGGGACAAATGTCCAAACTATATTGATGAGTGAAAGCAAGAGTAAAGAACAGGGAAGGAATGATGGAGAGAATGAACCAGGTAGAGAAAATCTTCTAGGCATGAATGTTCAGCCCCTTTTCAGGGAGCAACAAAAAGTTCTGTATTGGTTGCAATGAAGGGTGCATGGGGCATTGGGGATGGTGGACAGGAATGATGGACAGTGAGGCTGATGAGATGAGCTGGGTCTCATCAAGAAGTTCTCTCCGGGCTTAGCAAAGGAGCTCTAGCTTTATCTGGAAACTTTCCTTGGGAGGCAGGACTTGGCATCAAAACCTGTGTGTGGAAGACTCACACCGATCCAAGGGAAGGGCACTGATGCTGGGCTTAAGCATTGCTTTGTCATTCCCTGATGAGCTCTCTCAGCTTGGGAACAGCCACTCTCTGTCTAGTAAAGGAAAGGAGCTGATCCAGGTCCTCTCCAGTTCTAACTATGCTCCTGTGAATTCTGGCACAATTTTTACTTTTTTTCCTTGCAGAAAAGGTGGCCATTAAGATCCTGGACAAGACCAAGTTAGACCAGAAAACCCAGAGGCTACTATCCCGAGAAATCTCCAGCATGGAAAAGCTGCACCATCCCAACATCATCCGCCTTTACGAAGTGGTGGAGACCCTATCCAAGCTGCACTTGGTGATGGAGTATGCAGGGGGTGGGGAGCTCTTCGGAAAAATTAGCACTGAGGGGAAGCTCTCTGAACCAGAAAGCAAGCTCATCTTCTCCCAGATTGTGTCTGCCGTGAAGCACATGGTGAGCAGGGGTGACGAGTGAGAACCTTGCTCCCATTGCACTGACACTGGGAGCACAGGGCTTTAGGTTACTAACCCTCAAGTGTCCCAGAGGGCTTTTGTCCTACAAAGCAGACAGTAGTCCCTTCTGAGAGTCAGAAGTCTGGCTGGGATCATGCTCCTTGCCTGTGAAGCAACATCCAGGGATGTCCAGTTACACGTCAACCTCCTAGCTTCTGCAGACATTGGCAGGAATCACTGGGAGCAGCTGATGAATATCACCCACTCCCTGGCCATACCCATTTCTCCAACCTCATCTTCCACTATCTGGATAGCTGGCTCCTCACTGCTTCTTGGTTTTGCTTTCCTACTTCTGTCTAGGATGCCCTCATATGACATCTCACATTCTAAATCCTATCCATACTTCATGCCCAGCTTGGTTCTCTCTCTCTCTCTCTCCCCCACCCCCCCTCTCCGTGTGTGTGTGTGTGTGTGTGTGTGTGTGTGTGTGTGAGAGAGAGAGAGAGAGAGAGAGAGAGATGTTCTTCAATCTCACATCAGTTATACTGATATTTTGCCTTCAGTAAGATCCCCTAGCTCTTATTGCCTCTGTGCCCAGTAGATTAACACTTGGTTGTGTCTTTCTTTTTTCCCTTCCTTCCTGCCTGCCTTCCACCCTTCCTTCCTTCCTTTTCTTCCTCCCTTCCTTTCTTTTCCTTCCTTCCTTCCTTCCTTTCTTTCTGTTTCTTTTTTTTTTTTTTAGACAGAGTCTTCCTCTGTCACCCAGGATGGAGTGCAGTGGCATGATCTTGGCTCACTGCAACCTCCGCCTCCCGGGTTCAAGCGATTCTCCTGCCTCAGCCTCCCAAGTAGCTGGGATTACAGGCATGTGCCACCATGCCTAGCTGATTTTGTGTTTTTAATAGAGATGAGGTTTCACCATGTTTGTCAGGCTTGTCTTGAACTCCTGACCTCAAGCGATCCACCTGCCTCGGTCTCCCAAAGTAGTGGGATTACAGGCGTGAGCCACCGTGCCTGGCCGCTTGTGTCATTCTTATTTTAGTTCTTTGGTTACTTCTTTAGATAAATCTGGACTCCTAATGCACACTCTGTAGTTCTCCCAAGAACTGGCTGTTTTGCTGCCTCCTTAATTTTGGCCGTATTGCGGGCCATACAGGAGGAACCTGACTTGCAGGCCTGAGTATCACTTTTACTACCAAAAGTTTTAGTCAGTCACCATCTTTACTCAGATCCCAGTTGAACGGATCTGTCAGAAAAGAGACACTTGGCTAGGGTCTATATTAGTTGAGAGGCTATTTCCAATTCACTTCTCAGCCTGCATGGTTGTAGGAGCAAGAACTGGGATCAGTGAGCCACAGTGAACCTCATTACATGCCAGGCACTGAAAAAGTCAGATAAAACAGTCCATGCTAGCAATGGGGCAAAAGAGGGAGAATTTGCAAGGGAATCTGTGGCCTAGAGGGCCCAAAATAGCAGTAGGGAAGGAGAGGAGGAAGAAAAAGAAGTGAGCCAGGGAGAAGAGCTTGACTGTAGTGGTGGTGGATGTTTCAGACCTGTGATATATGACCAATCATCATTTAAGTGGCTTTGGGCTGTGGTGAGCTTTCCCAGGGCCAGAGAATAAGCCAGACCCATACCAAGTAATAGAACAGATGGGCAAAGAGTCTTCCACATTCTACTTGGAAAAGTAACTTGGTGGGAGAACAGAAGAGAATCCAGCAATAGAAGGTACAGATGTTAGTCTTCAGCAGCTCTACTCCCTGCCATTTCTCCAACGCTCTGCAAACAGGAAGTGTGTTTCATAGCCATAGATCCACATCTTATTGAGTTTGTTTATATGCCAAGACCATGCTGAGCACTGTTCTCATCATACGTAGTTAGCGTCATATATAGTTCTCACCACAGCCTATGGTTATCAGTATCCCACTTTACAGAGAAGGAAACTGACATTCACAGTACCCAGCTGGTATAGTTGAACCTAGAATTGACCAGACTGTCCCCTCCAAAGCCTGGATTCTTATTCCAGGAGGGCCATCAGGAAAGCTGACAAACACAAAGCCATTTTCCAAGAGCCCTTGGGACTGAACAGGTCAAGGGTCCTCTGAAGATTGTCTGGATTCAGGATGCAAGGGTGGGAGTGGAGCATGTGCCCACAATCCACAGTGTGTTCTGTGGCTAGATCCTTGCCAAATGCAACCACCTCCCTTCGGCTGAATTCTGTAAGGATAAAAGAGTCCACCCCAAAAAGCATGGCCGGAAAGTCAGGGGAGGGCTCCAAGCCTTCCTGGTCAAACGATCCATCAGCCAGAAAAACCCATGTATGACCTCAACAACTAAGGATTACTGTTTCATTGTATTTCAGAATGTGTAGTTTCATAAGATCTGGGTCTGATTTCTGGTGTTAGTTTCTGAGTCCACATGTGTGGAACAGACTCCAACCCTTACCACATAGAATAGGAACTTTGGTCTATTTGGGGAGGTGTAGGCATTACATTGGGCTAAAGGTTATGACAGGGTTTGCTATCATGACTTAAGGTGATCCTCACTGAATTTGTTATTCCACCATCATTATCTCACTGTTTCAGAGCAACTGATACATTTTTTATTTTGACATTTTACTGTAAAAATGACTTTTCTCTATGTCTTCTTCCACAGCATGAAAACCAAATTATTCATAGAGATCTGAAAGCAGAAAATGTATTCTATACCAGTAATACTTGTGTGAAGGTGGGCGATTTTGGATTCAGCACAGTAAGCAAAAAAGGTGAAATGCTGAACACTTTCTGTGGGTCTCCTCCCTACGCTGCGCCTGAACTCTTCCGGGACGAGCACTACATCGGCATTTACGTGGATATCTGGGCCTTGGGGGTGCTTTTGTACTTCATGGTGACTGGCACCATGCCATTTCGGGCAGAAACCGTGGCCAAACTAAAAAAGAGCATCCTCGAGGGCACATACAGTGTACCGCCGCACGTGTCAGAGCCCTGCCACCGACTCATCCGAGGAGTCCTTCAGCAGATCCCCACGGAGAGGTACGGAATCGACTGCATCATGAATGATGAATGGATGCAAGGGGTGCCATACCCTACACCTTTGGAACCTTTCCAACTGGATCCCAAACATTTGTCGGAAACCAGCACTCTCAAGGAAGAAGAAAATGAGGTCAAAAGCACTTTAGAACATTTGGGCATTACAGAAGAGCATATTCGAAATAACCAAGGGAGAGATGCTCGCAGCTCAATCACAGGGGTCTATAGAATTATTTTACATAGAGTCCAAAGGAAGAAGGCTTTGGAAAGTGTCCCAGTCATGATGCTACCAGACCCTAAAGAAAGAGACCTCAAAAAAGGGTCCCGTGTCTACAGAGGGATAAGACACACATCCAAATTTTGCTCGATTTTATAAATTGCACTAGACTGCTTGTAACTAACCAAGATGATTGTTGCTGCTTCTAAATTTTTTTCAAGGACAACTTGAGTGGAGACATTTTTGTAATTTTTAAATAAACTTAAATTTGAGATATGCATTTTTTTTCTCCAAAAAGTCTATTAGCTCAGATTCTGGCTTGATTTGGGATCTTGTTTTATTATCAAATTTCAGCATTCATTCATTTAATCAAGAAATATTTATCCAGTGCCTCCTGTGTGTCAGGCACTATTTAAGGTGCTAGGGAAACAGCAAGAAATAAATAGGCAAGGTCCCTCCTCTCATGTGCAGGACGTTCTAGCCCAGGACAAAGGTACTAACAACTACATTTTTTAAAAAAGAGAAAGATCAGTGATAGATGCTATGCAGAGGATTCAAAAAGGGTGATCTGATATCAGAGGCTTGCTACTTTGGATTAGTCATTAAGGAAGGCCACTTTGAGTACATATAAGTTTAAGATCTGAATGAGAAGCAGGAGTGACTTTTACAAAATGCCAGAGCATTCCAGGCAGCTAGGGGTTTCAGACTCAGTTCCCCCCAAAACAGAGCCTAAGACAAAGGCTTCCATATAAAGTAGTTTATTTGGGAACTGATCCCAGAGCACAGGAGTGAAGGACAGAGGAAACAGGGAAAGCTAATACACAGACACATTAGCAAGTTAGCTAGTGCTACAGTTTCTGGTGCTTGGTTTTGCAGGATCCTCAGAGGAGCCTGATGAAACACATCTCAGGTGTCTGCCCTGGGTATGAAAGGGGAAAGCATTTAACCATAAGCTCTTGCTCACCGCTGATCAAGGGTGGCCCTTTGTGTCATCTGCCCTGCACTCCCAGATTGGGCTGTGTGAATGCCAAGTGGGTTCCCTAAGCTTCCCTTGCCTTCATGTCAGAGAAGTCTTGGAGCAGGAGGGAAGAGGTACACCACCAGTACGATACCTCCTTTCTTTGCCTGCTTGTCCACTGGCATGGGGAGCCCAAAGTGACCATGTGACACTTGTAGATTCCAATTCACTGGAGCCCTTATCAAGTCCCCTGATGAAAGCATCCCTGATCCCCTGGGAACCAAACCTTTTAATCTAGCCTAGATTGTAGAAAAAAAAAGAATAGAAATTAATCAAGTGAGTCACCAATTGCGTGATGGTGACAGGAGTCAATCTACTTCCACCTAGTGGTTTCCAGACCTGTGTTTTAATGATAGGGACATGTATCAGTCATTATTAAAGCATGTTACTGAATCCTGGAGGACAGCACCCCAACCCTGCAGGCTGCTGTCTCATCTCTGGTGTCTTAGCTGAGTCATTCCATTGTTCTACTCATGTTGGCTGCTTCTGATGTTGAGGTATATGGTAAGATGAGGGGATCCCGTTGTCATGTGCCCATTGCACCACCTCCTTTATCAAAAAAGTGGTCCTTGAGGCAATGTTTGAGATATCATGACAGTGAGTCAGTTATTCTCTATGTCTTAGTGTGCTTGTATGGAAAGACACATTGCAGGCAGAAAAGGCAAACCCATACCCTGAGATATCAATTCCAATAAGGATGAATCACTCCTGGGCCCATCTGAATTCATGACTCCATGGATCTGATAATGCCCAGCTCATACGTTAACAGCTCTGTTTGCCTAGTCCTCAGTATCTCATAATCAGGTTCTCAGCCTCCACTGGGGCCCAGTAGCACATCGGGAGTCTGAGTAGTTCTGTCGCAGGAAGCATGGCGTTACTACAGGATCCCACAGAGCTGTGCTGTTATCTCTTATTGGGGCTTTCCAGAGGCCCCACACTACACAGCCTGAGTAGCAGTTTGCTCAGAAGCCAAAATTGCTGCAATCTTTCTTTTATGGGATCCACTTGAAACTGGCAGCCGTGTTAAATGGGTGGGAGGAATACACCAGATACAATATATGTGCTTCCAAAGTCCAGAGGGACCTACTAAATCCTATGCCTCTATCTTAGTGTTAAGAGGTGGGAGGTGCAAGAAATTGTTCTTTACTATAGAAGAAATATCTAGGCATGCCTCAACTCATTGGTCTTCTAAACTCTTCATCAATGTGGCATGCCCCAGATTCTTCATAGAGTCTATAATCCACACCCTGGCACATGTAAGCCTTACTAGGGCATTGGTAATACTTGCCACTTCCTGATAGCCAATCCCCCTAGCATGCTCTCACAATATAGTGGGCCAGCATGATGTCCTGTAGAATGTCAAGATGATCAAGGTCCTTTTGGATTATATTGTGATATAGAGAAGGAGATTTAAGATTGTTTTGGGGCAATAGAGTAAATGAGAATCGCTCTCCATCCCAGAGAAATGTGAACTGCTTTTGATCCTCCTTTCTGATGGAAATTTAGAAGAATGAATTTGCCAAATCAATAGCTGCATATCAAATGCCAGAGGCTGCCAGTAAAGATACCACATCCAATATGGCAGCTACAACTGAGACTAGCAGTAGTCCACCATCATTCTCCATTATCCATCTGCTCTTTTTCAGAAGTGTAATGGTAACTTAAATGAGATTATGATGGAGCCCATTACACTTGCATCCCAAAATTTTTTGATGGTGACACTGATGTCTGCCATTCCTCATGTGGATTGCTCATGATTTATTAACATGGCCAGAAAGAGGTTTCCTCTTTCTCCCATAATGGTTGTTACTTCACAGGTCTAAGACCTCCACAGAGGTCTAAGTATATTGATCCCAAATATGTACTTAGAGGTTGGGAGAATAATTCCAAGGTGGGAACCATTATGTGATAGACTTTGGCCAGGACTCCCTTTATCATATGGTTTCCATAACCCCTCATCTACGTACAAAGCCATAATGGTATCCGGTTCTGAAAAATTCTGGGTATGTACATCATATATACTTGTGAAAGCAAGGCCTTTCCTCAAGACCAGTCCTCCTTTTCATTGTGCACTGGATCTGTAAATTGACTTAGCTCTGGAAGCTGATGAAGAGACCGTGATTTTCCCATTGTGACAGGCTACCTTAGCTTTATGCTCACCAGTTTTCCTTGTTTTTTCTTTATTTTGGTCATACAAGTCAAGTAACATAGTAGTCAGCTGTCTCCCAAAATTCCATGATTTATTAGCCATTGTCACAAAGCCCTGCAGATCAAGGCAGCCTGATTGATTTCCACTCCAGCCTTACTGTTTATTATATTGTGTCCACCTGGCCTCTGACATTTAAGTAATAATACATGACCTCTACCATTCTAGTCTCATCATCCCCACTGATGATATCATGCTCAATTCCATGGCAGCATTTCCTACCATCAACCCCTGCCTGCAATGGGCAGCCACCACTGAGCTTTTCTTACGTGCTGCTGCAGCCCTCACCAGTGCATTCTTTTTTTAAAAAAATTATTTTCTATTCATACAGAATTGTACATATTTATGGGGTACATGTGATATTTTGATACATGTATACAAGGTGTAATGATCAAATCAGGGTATTTAGGATACCCCATCACCTCAAACATTTATCATTTTTTGGTGTTAGGAAGACTTCAACTTTTCCAGCTATTTTGAAATATATGATAAATTATTATTAACTGTAGTCACCCTGCTCTGCTATCAAATAGTATAACTTATTCCTTCTAACTGTATGTTTGTACCCATTAACCAACCTGTCTTCATCCTCCACCCCTACCATCCTTCTCAGCTTATTAAGCACCATTCTACTTTCTACCTCCATGAGATCAACTTTTTAGCTTTATATACAAGAACATGTGATATTTGTCTTTCTGTGCCTGGCTGATTTCACTTAACCTAATGACCTCCAGTTCCATCCATGATGCTGCAAATGACATGATTTCATTTTTTTTTTTTTTTTTTTTTTTTTTTGAGACAGAGTCTCACTCTGTCGCCCAGGGTGGAGTACAGTGGTGCCATCTCAGCTCACTGCAACCTCCACCTCCCGGGTTCAAGAGATTCTCCTGCCTCAGCCTCCCGGTAGCTGGGATGACAGTCGCCTGCCACCACGCCCAGCTAATTTTTTGTATTTCTAGTAGCGATGGGGTTTCACCATGTTGGCCAGGCTGGTCTTGAACTCCTACCCTCATGTGATCTGCCCACCTTGGCCTCCCAAAGTGCTGTGATTACAGGCATGAGCCATCACGCCTGGCTGATTTTATTCTTTTTTATGGCTGAATATTCCATTGTGTTTATATACATTTTCTTTATCCATCCGTTGATGGAAACTTATGTTGGTCCCATCTCTGCTATTGAGAATAGTGCTGCAACACACATGGGAGAGCACAGGTATTGCTTTGATATACTCATTTCCTTTTCTTTGGATAAATACCCAGTAGGTGGACTGCTGAATCCCACGGTGGTTGTATTTTTAGTTTTTTCAGAAACTGCTATACTGTCTTCCATGATGGCTGTACTAATTTATATTGCCACCAACTGTGTATAAGAATTCCCTTTTCTCTAGAAAAATACAAAAAGAAAACAAAAAATTCCCTTTTCTCTGCATCCTCACCAGCATTTATTATTGTCCTTTTGATTAGTCATTCTAACTGGGGGTGGGATGCTATCTCATTGTGGTTTTGATTTGCCTTTCCCTGATAATTAGTGATGTTGAACATTTTTCCACTTACTTGGCCATCTGTATGTCTTCTTTTGAGAAATGTCTTTTCAGATCCTTTTCCCACTTTTTAATGAGATTATTATTATTATTATTATTATTATTATTTTTTGCTGTTGAGTTCCCTGTATATTCTGGATATTAGTCCCTTGTTGGATGAACAGTTTGCAAACCAGTGCATTTTACATTGCCTTAGTGAAGGCAATGTCTTCCTGAGGAACATAGTTAGACGGTTGTTCAGTCTCACATAATGAATCCATTCTAACATTCGCACCTCCTGGAACTTTCCAACTCTTTCTTCAATACCATACCAAGGCAGTTCCACCATCTTCACCTCATTTACTGTGTGCCACAATCATAGCCAAGCCTCAGCAGCCATCCCAACAGAATATTATGACCAAATTCAGGTGTTGTTCACTTCTAAGTCATGGGTAAACATTCCTATAGTAATCTTTTTTTTTTTTTTTTTTTTTTGAGACGGAGTTTCACTCTTGTTGCCCAGGCTGGAGTGCAATGGCATGATCTTGGCCCATTGCAACCTCCCGGGTTCAAGCAATTCTCCTGCCTCAGCCTCCTGAGTAGCTGGGATTACAGGCATGTGCCACACGCCCGGCTAATTTTGTATTTTCAGTTGAAACGGGGTTTCTCCATGTTGGTCAGGCTGGTCTCAAACTCCCGACCTTAGGTGATCTGCCTGCCTCAGCCTCCCAAAGTGCTGGAATTACAGGCATGAGCCCCTGTGCCCGGCTCCTATAGTAATCTTTCTTATCCCGCCTTATAGTCTTCCCTCAACTTCCACCTTTGGCTTAACACCCTCAAAATCATTCACACACATTTCCCCCTGGTTCCTGACAGTATGTATCAGGTTCTGCAGTTCCTTCAGTATCTACACTATTTTCCCCGAGACGGAGGTTGTATTTCTCCACTCAGGCTCTACTGAGAAGTCACCCTGGTTCTTGGTTTGGAGAATAATAAGGGTTCTGGAAGAGAATGTGGAGGTCAAGAGCTGCCTCACTGGAAGCCTTGGCAGGGTCTTCAGGCAAGGGAGCATGAGCTGCTTCTGCCAGCCCCACACTAGGAAAATCCAGGTTTGCAATATTTTCAGGGTCATCCACTGTATTACTAACTTAGGTCTCAGTGTCCTATTCTCTTTTTGTCAAACCTAAACTTTCATAAAGGAAAATTGTCAAGACTTAGTATTTTCCAACCTTACAACTAGATACTGGGCCTATTTCAGGTAGTTTTCTCTCCACTGCAGGAGATAAGGCTCTCCTTCAACCTTGCCTTAAACTGACAGTTGGCTGACTTGAGCCTGTTATTTTGTTTTCCAGGCTTCCAAAGCAGTTAATAAAAGCTGGCCAAGTCCACAGACTTTATCACTGCCCCTCTACTGTTCAAGTGCCATAGGTACTACAGGATCCAATGCTTCATCTTCTACCTACACCTACAGATGACAGTGTCAGTGGTGACTGTGCTGCTCCTGCATGCCACAGGCTATCACCACTCTGCTTACCAACACTGCACCAGTGTTCTCCTGATGTCATCACAAATTCACAAACTTAGTGGCTTAAAACAACACAAATGTATCATCTTACAGCTCTGGGAGATAGAAGTCTGACATGAGTCTCAGTGGACTAAAATCAAGGTGTTTCCAGGGCTGTGCTCCTTTCTGGAGGCTCCAGGGGAGAATCCATTTACTTGTTAACTTTCTAGAGGCTGCCTGCTTTCCTTAGCTCACGGTCATCTTCCTTCATCTTCAAAGCCAGCAACATTGCATTTCTTTGGCCAACCTTCTGTAGTCGCTCTCCCTTGACCACCAGCCAAGAAAGGTTCTCTGCTTTTAAAGACCCACATGGTAAGGCTGGGCTTACACAGACAATCCAGGATAATCTCCCCACCTCAAGGTTCTTAACCTTACTCACACCTGCCTCAGACACTTAAGGTAGCATATTCAGATTCTGGGAATGGGCAACTTTGGTAGGGGTTGGGAGGGCATCATTCTGCAATGAGGTTTTTGTCATTTGGTGAGTAAACCAGCTCCAATCTCCCATCCTGAATGCCTGCTTTCTAGGGCCATTCTGGGTACCAATCGTCTTAGTTTGGATTCCCCAAAAAACAGAGCCTGAGAGAAAAGCTTGAATGAAAGTCATTTATTTGAGAAGCGATCCCAGGATGCAAGAGAGATGCACAGGAGTGAAACAAAAGAGGAAAGCCAATATAAGGATGGTTATTGCCAAACCCGCCACAGAAGTCTCCTCCTCTTTTGAGGAGACTTACGAAATGCATTTCAGAACTGTCTGCCCAGGTGATGAAAAGAGTAATCAGTTATCCACTAGCAACTTTCCACCTAGGTCAAGGATGGCCCCATGGGCACCTAACTCCCCTGCACCTTTGGGCTGTGCAATTGGGAGTACCAAACAAGTTCTGCAGACATTCCACGTCAGGGAGGCTGAAGTGAAAGGTATACAGCTAGAATCCAAAGAGAGGTACTATCATATTCTCTGAGAACCTGGTCAAAGACTTCATGGAATTAGTTACCACAGCAGTGACTGGAGTAGAAGGCAGGGCAGAGAAGATCTGAAGTGGGGCCCAACATTTCTGATGCGTAGATCAAAGGCTTAAGGCTGGAATAAACTCAGCATGTTTGAGGAATGCAAGAGAAGGGAGAGTGGGTGAAGACATACTAAGCCTTGGTGAGTATGGTACTGAGTTGAAGCAGGAAGAGATCAGATCCCACAGGAGTCTGCAAGGCTGAATAAGGAATATACATAGAATGAATAGTGCTTACTACTGAATAAAGTAGTCCAGGAAAGACATTCTTTTTAATATTAAAAGATAAAGCCCCAATATATAACCCATCTGAGGATTTCTAATCATAATCTTCAGCATCAAATTACTGCCTTTATAACATAGTTTGGGGAGATGAAAACAAAAATCACAGATCAACTATTTTCTCCCACTACCAGCAAAGAAAAAATGAGGAACCTATGACTTAAGAGCAGTTGCTAGAAATTTTAAAGAAAGGGTTCACTTTTATGTCAAGATCAGACAACTTTAAATTATTTAAAGATCCTGTTACCCTTGCTCTGTTGACTGCCACTTCAGTGTTTCTTTCAGGACACTCCAAACAGCAGACAAGAGATAAAGTGTTTCAACTGTGTCACAAGAGGACAGAAAGTGGCTGTTTGCATCTGTTTGGGTCTAGTGTCAACCTCAAAGTTACTCATTAGTATCCATAAAAATAAAAACTTAGGACAAAAGGTTAAGTGTACAAATAGAGGAAACACACATTCCATAAAGGAGAGGGGGAAAGATTGAATTCTTAAAGCCATACTAAATAATATCCTACAATGTGCAAGCAGAAGTGACCTTAGAGAACGCTAGCCTCTAAATGACCCAGAAAGTAAATTATGACTAAGTATGAAAGCCAGACATGACATGATGATAAAATATGAGCTGATCAGTATTAGAAAATATATAATTTGGTTTATTTCCTAATTCATAGAATCCTAAGACTTGATGGTGCTCTTAGGGATCATCTAATCCAAAATTACTGCCAATGCAGGGATTCCTTCTATAAAACCCCTGGGGATCACTAGCAACATGGGACTTTTAGGTTGGAGACTCTAGCTGGTAGTGGGCAGTTCTACGTTCACCACTAAATTTGCTCTTATTTGATTGCCAGCCCTTAGTCTTAGCTTTTTTAAGGAAAACAGTAACTCATTTCATAAATATTTATAGCAAAGTCTATATATGCTTGCCACGCAATTTGAGAGTTAATTTCTTTGTTTCAAGTGTAGGAATAATTATCAGTGTAAATTCCTCCATTCTAGATGAACAGCTCCTTAAAGACAAGACCATATATCTTGTACATTTTCAAATTTCTGCCTTAAACAGAGCACCTTGCTTATATTAGGATTTCAAATGTTTGTGAAATGATAAATGAATGGAATGAGTGAACGAACTGAAATGAAATTAATGCCCATATTTAAAAATAGAATATTAGCTGATTTCTTGCCGAAGTTGTTAGTTCAAGAGTGAAAAAGAATACTCAAGTATCTGAAACATTTCTCTAAAACTTTATTTCAAAGTTATTCACCTCACCGTTAATAAGGTGTATGATTAATGCTCTGTGCCAGTATTTGCAGGCCTGCCCATTGCCGGCAATGGACTTTGAGAAAACCCATTTCCTGGCACCCAAAAGTTAAATTACTCTTTTCAAAACATACCGATCTCCCCAACACTTGCAAAAGTATTACATGCACCATTTTGCCACCATTCTTTAAATCAGAACTTACATTATTAATCTACATCAGTGAATGTTAAATGAAGTCATTTTAACAAATTATGACTGTACAAATCAAAATACTACTAGTTAATATTAGACAAGAGTATCTTACAAACACTACTATTACATATTACCTTGCAATCTGAAACATTATATTTCATATTTGTGTATATTTATTTTAGATAACTGAAACTTCACAGAATTTAACAGCAAATAAAGTTTAAAAAATTTAGTTCTGTACATTAGTTCCAACTATCCCTATTTTACAATCTATAAGGCTCATGTCATAGTTCAGCACCAAAAAGATCTACACAAAACTGTTTAACCAATCTTCTTATCTATCCTGTGTGATAGTTTTGTTTGTTGTTGTTTTTTAAGGTAAAAGTCCTACTTCAGACCTTGAAGTGGAATACTTCTAGTCAGACTAGGTAAAAACTTGGGTCATACCTTATTTTCATTGAACAGATACCAAAAAAAAAAAAAAAAGGAAAAGGAAAAGAGCTGTGTTACACCATGAATTTAGGTTGTCAGCCTCTATGTTGAATTTATAACACTGAAGCATCAGAAATAGCCTAATAATGCCCTGCCCCTATTCTTCCCTTCCATTTTAAATTTTTAAAAAAGTAACCAGAAAAATGTTTCATTTATTCTTTAAAATAAGGTGCAAAGAAGGACTGCAACAACAAACTCCCTCATCCACACCTCCAATAACATCTCACTGTTGTTCAGCATAATCTACCATGAACTGATTCAGGAGCACACCTAGAGCTATATTCACAGCTCCTGAATGTACCATGTTTTCTATACCAGAAGCCTCTTCAATGGCAGTGTTTCTCTGTTCAGAGGTCATTACAATAACTTTTGTCACTGCTGGCCTGGACTTAACATTCCAGATTCCAGAGCCAGTGTTTTATTGTCCCAGCTCTTTTCTTCCTCTTTAGGATTTATCAATTTTAGAAAAAGGGCATGTTTGTTTTGCTATTTTCAAAGGGTTTGTGCGTATCACATTTTACCACATTTTACCCCAATTTTACCACACTGGGGAATGTTGTCACATTCCCCAAGCTAGAAATGTTTTCCAAAAACCACAGGTACTTTCTGTAATCTTGTTGTTCAAAGTACAAAATTCTTACATGTTAAAAAATTTTTTAATTGGAGATTAGTACCTCTGCTTTCTTCTGACAGAAGTACACAATTCATTATACCATGTTTAAAAACCAAACATCATGCATACAAATGGCCAAAGAGGTATGAAGTTTTACAGAGCCCTTAACATCATTCGAGTACATTTGGCATTGGCCAGACCACAACAGGAAGCATGTCAGCAAATAGAGCAAAGAGACTTTCCCAAGTACACGATAGTCATCCAGGCTCCATGTCAGTCACATAAAAATTTACATAACATGTAATCCTTTAAAATTATCCCCAGATATCCCATTCCTCCAACTGTTCCCATACCCCCACCCCATGCCCACCCCACCCTGAAGTCTTGCACCTCACAGAGTATCTTAATGTTCCCCATTACTAATGACAGCTGCTTCAGGTTCTGCTGCTGTGGCAGGGAGTCTTGGTACTTTCTTGGCAGGGCTTGGAATATGCTAAAATGAAAGGAAAAAAGTTGATGGCTCTTATGATTCTTTCCCCCACAAGAATCATGGCACCAATTAAAGTTTCTGTAAAGAAACTTAATAAAGGACAACTCTGGAGAAGTTTATGCTAAATATATATTTTATATAACTTTTCATGAAGGGAACTCAATATCCATTTTTCACCTTATGGTGAATTTAGTATACAATTATCCATATGGGGGGGAGAGGAAGCCTGCCACAGAGACCCACCACGTAACAGTATTTTACTTGTTACGTCTTGTATTTGCAACTCAAACAGTGGCGGTTTGACTTGCTACCTAATTTGTATAATAGCAAAAAGCAAGACTATCCATTTACCAAACTTGTAGTAAGCAGATAAATAAGTAGTTTCAAGGTTATAAAGTCCTTAGTTTATAACCTGGCTTTAATACTTACTACCTATAATCCTGGGCAAGTAATGTAACTTCTTGGAGGCTCATCTCTAAAGGGAGGACAGTATCATTTATAAACTTCAAGGAGGTTGTTGTAAGGATTAAATAAGAAAACGTAAGTAAAGTGCCTAGCAGGTAACAGGAATTCAAATCATAGCTATGATTGTTACTTCTTGACAATTTGAGGACAGATTTTGACCATGATCTGGGATGAGATGTGAAAGGATCCTTGTCCCTCTACTCCATCTCTCACAAAGACACACACCACAAATGAACCTTCTCTCTATATCAGTCTTCCTTTAAATCCTGGTATCATTAATAAAACCTAGTATTTACTGTATATTCTTTTTTTTTTTTTTTTTTTTTTTTGAGATGGAATCTTGCTCTGTCGCCAGGCTGGAGTGCAGTGGTGTGATCTCAGCTTACTGCAACCTCTGACTCCCTGGTTCAAGCCATTCTCCTGACTCAGCCTCCTGAGTAGCTGGAATTACAGGCACGTGCCACCAAGCCCAACTAATTTTTGTATTTTTAGTAGAGACAGGGTTTCACCATGTTGGACAGGATGGTCTTGATCTCCTGACCTCGTGATCTGCCTGCCTCAGTCTCCCAAAGTGCTGGGATTACAGGCGTGAGCCACCGCACCCGGCCTTTACTGTATATTCTTAAAATATTAATAATTCAAATGCAAAGCACTTTATACAATTGGAAATAGTACAGCTAGAATCTACTCCCAGAGCCCTTACTCTTCTTTACTGACATTTATTTATGTTGCTAAATCCCAGTTAGGTCTCCTAAACCCTAAGATATGGAGATGGGAACTCTTTTATTTACCTCAGTTGCTATGTTTGAATGCACAAGTCCTACTCCTTCATCCAAAGTGTCATCATTTGGAGTGGGACGCCGAGCGTAAGTTCTTCTGTGCTTTTCATCCACCCTAACTAAGTACCACGTTCCTTCAAAGAGTGAATCTATTGAACCCTGGGGAATATAGTTGACTAAAGGAAAGGGAGAGAATATCTACAATTAGTTATGATATACAATTCATCTGGTAATAAAGCTAAAGATAAGTTTCATATATCCCAATAATTTTCACTGACATCAGATTAGTACTGAGTAAAGTCTTGATATCCTTATCGTATATGTAGCATCCTTAATGATATCAGCCCTCCAAATGGGTTAACTTAAAGAACATTTAATATTTTTACCCAAATGATGGGTGTCCTCTCTGAGCTTCATGTTTTCAGCGAAGACATCTGGTGCCACACCAGTTCTTGAATCAAGCCTTGATTTAAGATCACATAAACTTGCTGTTATTTTATCAAGAGCAGACCCTAAAATAGTGAATAATTCAACATTAAAAGATTTTTTTGAAAAATCATGTCCAAAAGAAGCCTAAGTAAAATGTTGCCAAATGAGGCAAAACAACTTTTCATTTTCATTAAAACTACTGGCTACTGATTAGTTAAAAGATAAGATGATACCTATTTGACAAATCTCCTATGATGTCAGACTAGAAATCTATTATTGAGTATCTGCCACTAGACAAGTTAGGAAACAGGCATAATTTGAAACTATAAATAACTTGTCTACAATTAATCCATGGTACAATTATTTTATTTTTATTATTTTTTATAGAGATGGGGTCTCACTATGTTGCTCAGGTTGGCCTTGAACATCTGGCCTCAAGCAATCCTCCCACCTCAGCCTCCTGAAGTGTTGGGATTATAGGTGTGAGCCATTGCACCTGGCCCATGGTATAATTTTAAAAAGTAATGTCAAGTTTTCATCAGTTTATCTCTACATTTTTGCTCTTTCCTGCTCAGGGAAAGCACAAAAGTGACCTTAAATATAGCCAAGACCATAAGCCTATAAAAATTAGATAACTTAGTCCTATCCTTTATCCAGATAAGGTAGAATTTTTTTTTTTTTTTTGGATAGATTTTTAGGGCAGAGAGTAAAAACCTACTGAAAGAAGTAATGAAGACTAAAATATTGTAATGATCTGTGGGACAGATTCAGGTGCTCACTTGAGAAGACTGCTAAATCAACTTCCCCAGAGTAGTTCTCAATACATTTTTTTTTTTTTTTTTTGACAGAGTCTCGCTCTGTCACCCAGGCTGGAGCACAGTGGTGTGATCTTGGCTCACCACAACCTCCCTCTCCTGGATTCAAGTGATTCTCCTACTTCAGCCTCCCAAGTAGCTAGGACTACAGGCATGCACCACCTCACCTGGCTAATTTTTGTATTTTTAGTAGAGATGGGGTTTCAGCCATGTTAGCCAGACTGGTCTCGAACTCCTGACCTCAGGTGATCTGCCCGCCTCGGCCTCCCAAACTGCTGGGATTACGGGTGTGAGCCACTGTGCCTGGACTCAGTTCTCAATACATTCTTGTTGAAAGATTCAGCACTTACCCGGTGTAGCATCTTGTGTGACTTTAAGAGAGTACAGAGTGGCAGCCAAACCAGAACCATAAGAAAACACTCCAATTCTCTTCCCTGCTAATTGCTGAGGTGAGTACCTATGTAGGGTGTAACAATAGTTCAGAAGTTTAACTGATCCAAAGCTACAGCGTGTGGGAAGCTATAAAAGTAGCAATAAAAATTTAGGCTATAAGTAAAAGTAGAATCTAACTTAAAGTTTTAAGGATCTAACTCAAAGTGTTAATATTGCAGTAGGGAATATAACTTAGTTTTAATATTGCAGCATGTGAGTTTTCATCTTGTGGGGAATGACAGAGCTTGTGAAAGTCATGCCACAAAACAAGTTACTTCATCAACCAGGTATTTATGGTTCAACTGTAGGTCAAGAATTAAAAAACCATGAAAACAGAAGCCAGGAAAGCCAGTATGAAATTAACAAATACTTCTGGAAGAACTGTAGCCTCAACCCATACATCTTTCAAGTCAATGGACAATAGCAGATTAGAGAGCCTCAAGATAAAATTTTCTGTGATCTACCACCAACATGCTTGACACTAGATTTGGTCTTAGAAATCTAACATCTCCCAAATAAGGGGAGTTAAGTAGTAGGTGAAATTTATACTTACTGTGCTAGAACAGATGCAAGGGAACCATATACTGAAGATGTGTACATATTTCCATTTTGATTTGATACAAGTAAAGATGCCTTTGTTTTCTGACTGAAGAGTTCAGAGCTAGCCTTCATAAATGCCTTCTCCACATCTCTATCAAAGTAGGTGTCTTCTAATTTAACATCCCTGAAAGATTTATTTTACAGTTTTACAGTGTTTAAAGCCTATGTTTTTATTACACTAAACAGCAGGCCTAATTAGGATTCAAATCTTTAAGTGTATATAATTGTTTTCTCATTTATTAAAAGCCAAGTAGCAGCAATCTAATTGCTATAGAAATCATAACAGTTGTATATATATGGTTCTTTTTCTCAAAAGTTTTCATAATCAAGTTAAGCCTGCTTGATTTGAATAGGTTAAAAGACGCACTGTAGCTTTATATTTATATTCACTTATATTGGCTTCAATGAATAGAATATTCAATCAACTGAATATTCATCAACTGAATAGAATACTATTTCAAGTCCATAATAATGTTTATTTAGTTAGAAAAGTCATGGTATTACAGGAGCCAAGTTTTAAAAGTCAAGTATAATTTTATCAGATAGAGAAAGGACACACAAGAGACACAGGGAGAAACAGAACGAGTTGAACACACATAGCATGCTAGGGAGCCTAAAGTGAGAAAAAGACAGGTGGAGTACAAAAGCTGACTTTAGCTGTGGCAGTGTGCAGGATGGAAAAGGGCATGGGGGCAGGGGTGCTGAGAGAGGTAAGGAGTTAAGAGGCTGCTGTAGTGAATATAGGCCCTTGTGCAGTTACTTTATCGTGACAACATGAATGGAGCTGAAAGAAATAAATCAGAAAATCTGAATAGAAATGTCTAAAGAATTTGTGCATGTTAACTACCACCTCTCTGGACTTAGATTCTTCACTGACTGAGACACACAGATTAGACTGGATGACTTCTAAGATTCTTCTGACTCTCAATTTCTCAGGTCTGTACAAATAACAGCTTAACAGATATTAAAAATGCTCTAATATAGAAGGAAAAAACTCATAATAGCTCCTCTTACCCAAAGGCTTCCAGGCCACTATAGATACTATTTTTATCTCTATTCTGGTCATTAAGGAAGTCATTCAGCAACATCCGAGCTAGAGATTTCTGAACCAGTTTACAATATGGTGAGTGAAAGATCATGAAGCCAAAATCATTCAAGGTAAAATCTTTATCATTTCCCTCTGAAAGAGAAGTCCAAGGAAACTATGAAATTCATATAAGCCATGAAATTTTAAAGTTTGACTTTAGAATAAAGCTAGGATATTTGTATATGTTTAAACAGCAACCACAAATACACTGTATAATGAAACCTCTCTATACCTTAAAGTATACATTTAAAAAGACACTCAAAGATGAAACAATATGTACTATGTCACTAATTTTCAAATTTAAGATTCATACACATTAGCAGGTTACATAATCAATTTAGTGGGTCAGGATTAGTATTTTTTTTAAATAAAAGAGTATTTTAAAAAACAAAATGCAGTAGAAAAATAGCAAACTGAATAACTTGCAGCAAGGGTAAGTAATGTCATGACATTTTTGTTTCAGTCTGGCATACACATACAATGTAACATGTACTTCTTACTGTGGGTCCTAATAAAAAAGTTAGAAAACCACTATTCTGTTAATATATACTGCAAGAATGCTTCTTATCCAGAGCGACTAAATTCACTGATATTTGTCATTGAATATGATTTTTAACCCCTTCTCATAACCTCTAAAAAGCAAAGTTGGACTACAGAAAAAGTATACTTTATGTAATAATGTGTTATGATAGCATTAACTCAAATACTGTCCTTTCAGTGCCTCAACAAATTTCCAGATTAATGATAACAGTAAAAAAACAAATACAAATTCACAGGTCAAGTGCAAAAAGATTATTTTTGGGGTAAGATCACTTTAGTAATTCATTTTCATTAGCTTTCCCTGAATCACAGCTGTAGTCCAAAACCTTGTTAAAATACCTCTCTCAAAAGATGAACAAAATTCAACTTACCTTCTTTTCTCCACTTTGATTTTCTTACAAGGGGTAAACCGACCTAAATATTTTTGCAGAGATACACCTCAGTTCCAAAGTTTACCTCTTCTAGTAAATTACACTTTCCCAGAAACTATGGGAAAATGTTGTTTGGTGAATGAGGAATTAATGGTAAAAGGATATTAAATGAAGAATGCCCACAAAGTAGTTGCCTACCAAAGATACCTAGTACATTAGACTGCTCTCAACTCATACCAAAACCAAGGAAAATGGGTAAAACTTACCTTTCTGCCACTGGGCATGGATCTTTTTGCAGTAGACAGAATAGCAGCGGTCTAATGCACTGAGGTAGCACTGTATGGAGAGTTTTCCATCTACTATAGGATATTCAGATAGCATATCAGGCTTGTAAAAATCATAGGCATGTTGCATATGTGTCCCACGAAGCCCTATTAGAACCAAAAAGGAAGATGTCTATATATTTCTGCTTCTTGATGTCTGTATGTTAATAAGTATACTGCATTATCTAAGGACCTTCCTTAACTATCTGATCAATTCTCACCACTTACAGTAGAGAAATCGCAAGCTGAAGCCAATATAAGTGAAATGATACATAACAGTATCCATGGACAGTCCTAAGACTCCTTTGGTATACAACTTTCCATGTCAGTTTCATAACTCTAACAGTTCACAGTTACTCTACTACACTGAAGACAAATTAAAATTGCCAGTGACTATCAGCAAGTTACTATTTATCATTTGAACCCTACATTAACCCACTTCTCTGTAAAGTGGGGATGACACCACCTACCTCATAAAACTGCTATGAAGATTAAATACAGGCCAGGCATGGTGGCTTACGCCTGTAATCCCAGCACTTTGGGAGGTTGAGGGGGGCGGATCACCTGAGGTCAGGAATTCGATGCCAGCCTGGCTAACATGGTGAAACCCTGTTACTAAAAATACAAAAAATTAGCCAGGCATGGTGGTGTGTGCCTGCAATCCCAGCTACTCAGGAGGCTGAGGCAGGAGAATCACTTGAACCTGGGGGCAGAGGTTGCAGTGAGCCGAGATCGTGCCATTGCACTCCAGCTTGGGCAACAAGAGTGAAACTCGGTCTCAAAAAAAAAAAAAAAGAAAAAAAAACATAAATATGATAACACACATAAAGCTCTTAGCAAGTAGTACCTGCATTTAATGACCATTAAGTAAGCGACAGCTCCTACTTCTATTTTCAAATTTCTCAGCATATTGTGCTAAAAAAAACAAAAATGCTTTCCCAAGCACTTACCTCGTTCAAAAATTAAAGGAGCATTTGGCCCAATTAGCAGAGCTACTGCTCCAACTCCACCTGTAGGTCTAGCATTTCCTGTGGCATATACAGCAATATCTCCTGCAACTACCAGGGCATACCGTCCTGAAAAATATTTTTTGTTATTTCACAAGAAGGAATTCAACACTATAACCAAACATGGAAACTGAAGTCTGTTATATTTTCCCCAGAATATGCTTTTCCCTTCTTTGATAAAGAAAGAAAATGCTCTAATTTTTTTTTAAAATTCATCTGCCAAGGCTCTGTCATCCATCTGACTAAATTTTGAATAGACCATTTGTCCTACAAGATAAGATAACCAATTCACAATTCGGATAATGACAGACAGGTAAAATATCTTTCTTAATATATCCAAACAAGGACAAATTACAAAAGTTTGCGTATTGCATTAATTAAAGTGTCATCTGGGTCTATTGAACCTTAGAAAAAAATTTTGGGGGACGGCGGGGAATAGGCATGTAACATACCATCCCAAGAGCTGGACTCAATCCAGTTAACAGCATTGAAGACAGCAGCTGTGCCTCCATAGCATGCATTAGTTGTGTCGATTCCTTCTATATCTGTATTCCCAGACTCTTCAAACAGCTGCATCAAATTAGTCTTCACAGACTTTGATTTGTCGATGATTGTCTCTGTTCCAACTTCCAGCCGCCCAATGCAATCATAGGAAAGGTTATTTCTCTCCATAAGATTCTGAACCACAGTCATGCAAAGAGAGTTAATATCTTCTCTATCTGTGCAGAAGCCCATCTTGGCCTGGCCCAAGCCAATGGTATACTTTCCAGCATCTACACCATCATATTTTTCCAACTCTGCTTGATCAACATATTGAGAAGGAAAATAGATCTCAAGGGCAACAATTCCCACATCTTTTGGCCAGCAAGCTTCTGCATTCAAAGGAAGTGATCCAGGCATGGTGAAAGAGCTTTAGAAAGGAGAAACAGAAAAAAAATTGTTTTAGGTTATAAGTTGCTGGTTTTCAACTTTGAAATTGAGAAATAGATATTAAGAGTTTAGCAATCACCTGAAGTATTAGTTTCTTTAAGTTTAGTATTTAGGGCACTCAATTGTGTACATGTGAAGTAGCAATTATTATATGAATGGAATATTATCATTTAAAATTATAGTCTTTTAGAAAGGCTTCCATTTTATTCAAAATTGGGCATCTCTAGATTTAAAACATGATTATTAGAGGTAAACAACACTCAAATAAGATTTTCTACATTGTAAAGAACTGTAAGATAAAATACAATGATAATTTAGAAATATGGCTGACAAATCAGAATTACCTGACCACCCGAAAGTTTTAATAAATTAGGCCGGGCGTGGTGGCTCATGCCTGTAATCTCAGCACTTTGGGAGGCTGAGGCAGGCGGATCACAAGGTCAGGAGATCGAGACCATCCTGGCTAACATGGTGAAACCCCGTCTCTACTAAAAATACAAAAGAATTAGCCGGGCGTGGTGGCAGATGCCTGTAGCCCCAGCTACTCAGGAGGCTGAGGCAGGAGAATGGCGTGAACCCGGGAGGAGGAGCTTGCAGTGAGCAGAGATCATGTTACTGCACTCCAGCCTGGGTGACAGAGCAAGACTCCGTCTCAAAAAAAAAAAAAGAAAAAGTAAAAATCAATCAATCAATCAATCAATCAATCATGTATTCATCATAGATAAACCAGTCCTCTTTTAAAAAAGGGACTAAAAAGTAGTGTCTAGATTTACTTACCAATAGCAACAAAAATCACTAGCTACTCAAGACCATTGTTGGGCATTTAACTTACCAGAGCTTCAGCTTCTTTAACAGGTTGTATTAGTCAGGAAAAGAAAAATTACTATAGATATTTCAAACAGAGGGGAGTTTTAATGCAGGGAAATAGCTACAAACTTGTTGGCTGGGCTGGAAGAACAAAGCGGAAAAGGTGGTTCTCTGATCCCATGAGCCTGCACTCCTGCTGAAGCTGCTGGAGCTACAGTACTAGTACCTCTGCTGCTGAGCTGGAACCCAGAGACCCAAAGTCCCACTGTTGGTGCTGCCACTGACAAGAACAAGAGAGGTACCTTCTTCCCACCTTCTAATATTTCTTGAGTACTTCCAATATTTCTTGAGTACTTCCATCAGCCCTCTAACCAGAACCCAGATGGCATAAGAACCAATGAAATGTAATTGTGAGGCTTTGAAGAGTGGCACAGCTCCTCAGTTTTAGAGAAAGAATCCTAAAACCTAAAATTCTACAACTCAATTTCCTTTTTAGGTATGACATCATTGGATGGTGCTACTTAGGTGGCAGAATTTCATTGACCCAAAGGTCTTGGGTTATGAGTTACCTGGGCCGAACTGATTCATGAACATTCTGTATGACTTGTTTGTCAACCCATCACTAATTTGATACTTAAAAATGAAAGTCAAATCCTGTATTTATGTCATTTGTCCTCTGCTGCTCTGCAATTAAAGGTCTTAAGGGGCCAGGTGCAGTGGATCATGCCTATAATCCTAGCACTCTGGGAGGCTGAGGCAGGAGGATCACTTGAGCCCAGGAGTTCAAGACCAGCCTAGGCAACATAGCAAGACTCTGTCTCAACAAAAAAAATTTTTTTAAAATGAGCTGAGCATGGTGGTGCATGCCTGCAGTCCCAGCTACTAGGGAGGCTGAGGTAGCAGGATCACTTGAGCCCAGGAGTACAAGGGTGTAGTGAGCTGTGATTGCACCACTGCACTCCAGCCTGGGTGATGGTGAGACCTTGTCTATAGAGAAAGGAAAAAAAAAAAAAAAAAAGAAAAGACTTAAGGGATACCAGTTGTATCTTCCTTCCAAACAGAAGAATCTTTTTTTTTTCTCATTCATCCAACCAATGCCAACATGTTACATACTAAACATTAGGGATGCTTAATGGGAGACTTCCTTATCCTCTCGAATATTCACTATTTTATGGGACAATAAGAGAAAAACACATAATAATAAACAGGTAACAACATTGAGAACCACATTATATAATGGAGAACTACCTAACCCAGCCTGGTGGTAGGGCAAGGAGTGTTAGGAAAAGCATCCTGGTTATAGGGGCCTGACTTGAGCCCCAGGAATGGGTAGGAGTAAGCAGTAAAGCACTGAAGAAATGGAGGGTAGTAGATTTTCAACAGAGTGGACACCATGAAGAAAGGCAAGCTACAAGGAATTACAAAAAACTTTACTTGTCTATTGGAATGAAATGTGAGCTGAGTGGATCAGGTAAATAATAGATTAGAATAACTAGGTAAGGGTTAGGTCATGAAGGTTCTGGTATGCTGATGTTGAGGGCTTCAAATTTATCATGAAGATAGTAAGAAGCCATCGGAGAGTTTAAGGAATAACATGGTGATATTAGTTGTCAGGTCAGTGTTTTTCCAACTCCGGAATCAATTTAGTGGATGGCAAGCACACATTTAAAAAAATGAAACAGAAAAGAATACAAGATATAAGATTGCATGGCACAGGGTAAATGTAAAGATTTTTCTTGAATCAACCTTTTGTTTTAATTATTCATACATATATAAAGTATACATAAGTTGCAATACAAAGTGTATTTTTACTGGGGGCCACAGTCAAAAAAGTTTGACAGCCACTGTTTTATCCTCACTAATGCTGTTTTACAGTCACTGGTGCTGTGAATGGATGAGTTAGGAAGCTGACATGGCAGTCCAGATAAGACATGGGTCATGAACTAGAGCATTTACTACATGTGGAGCGAAGAGGAACAGCCTCCAAAAACATGGAAAAAGCAAAAGAACTGGCAGAAACTGTAACTGACTAGATGTTAGGGAAAGAAGAAAATGTATACAATGACTTCCAGATTTCCATCCTCAAGTGTTTTATGACTTGACAAGCACACTGTCAGATACACTAAATGAACAGAGATCCTCTCCACTTTGTTCTACTCCACTTCTTCCACACAAACCCTGTTTACTTTATGCCCTTTTCCCTGGTAAGTGGAGTTCAGCCAAACCAGCGCTCAGAACCACCACTGAGGAAGTGAAGAGATCAAGCTCAGACAAGCTGCTTTCGTTCCTGTCATTTCACCAACATCTCCATACATTTTTCCAGTTTGGTTTTCCTATCTACTTCCTTCCTATATGGGACTTAACACAAGATTCTTAACTTTCATGTATGCAGTTTATACTAGAAAACACACAAAGAGAACTACACTGAAGTCAACATTAAGGATAAATGCTAAATACTACCCAATCTTTCCCCATCTTACAACTACTTACCTACATAACCCTCCCTCTACCCTTTACTCTCAAATTATTATATTCTTTATCCAAAAACATTTAGTGCTTTCTTCAACAACCCACCTCGTGCTTCTGCTTATTGAAATCCTTTATAGCCCTAGATCACATAGGTCACATTTTACCCATGAAACCTTTCTAAATTACCTTTTGCATTTCTTGCCTATCCTTCTACATCATCATACTTCGTCAATTAAAGTCACTTTTTTGGGTAACATTTCAGAAATTGGGATTCCTCTTACAATTGCTATCAGACAGAAGCCAATTATGATGTTGTCATTGCTTACACATGGGAAAATAACAAAACTGCCAGCATGACATTTGCATATGACAGTCAACAGCCTGAAAGAAATTCCCAGAAATGATACTGGAGCATTCATTTCACCCTCTAGGAACCAAATGGACTGGGAAGGAAGTAGAAGATGGGGAATCCCTAAGCAGCAGTCAAAGTAGGCTGGCTTTGCATAATTGCAAAGCTGAAGGCCAGCACCAAAACCTTCGCATTCTTTTTTGGGATCTTGAAAGGAATGCTACATCACCAATTCTCTTGGCGGCACAGAGGATGTTTAACGGAAAATTACAGGTATTAACAACTCTGACTCCAAAAACAATTCAGAAGGCAGACTCTAAATATGTGAAATTTAGCAATTCCTTATGTGTTTTTTCACTTGTGTTTTCCATCTTATTGAATGTGCAAGTGACATATGACAAAAATCTATGTCTAACTCTAAAAGAGCTCTTTAAAAAATTCTAAGTAATCAAAAAAGCATTGTATCTTAATTTAATTGGCAATGAAGCATCTTAAATTTATTACATCCTAGATTCTTTAGATAGTACGAAATATAGCATTCAGTGCTTCAACTGTGTTACTTCCCAAATATCTGCCTGAATTATGGATTGAAATGTCTGGGTTTCCCCACCAAATTCATATGTTGAAGCCTTAACTCTCAATGTGATGGCATTTGGAGATGGGGCCTTTGGAAAATAATCAGGTTTAGATGAGGTCATGAGAATGGGGCCCTCATGATGGGATCAGTGCTCTTATAAGAAGATAAAACGAGAGCTTGCTCATGCTGTCATACTCTCTCTATGCCATGTGAGGACACGGGCAATCCAGGAGGAGAGCCCTGATCGGGAACCAACCACGCTGGCACCCTGACTTCCAGACTGCAAACCTATGAGATCATAAATGTCTGCTGTTTAAACCACCTACTCTATGGTATTTTGCTGTGGCACCTAAGCAGATTAAATAGTCTGGTCACCTCAACTAAGTCCAAGCTCCTTAAGGTCTCCTCATGTCTTAGACTACTGTATGGCCCATTTTACCAGACATAGCATATATACCGCTGCTACTCAATTCCACAATGGAAAGAAAAACTCCTAAACACAACAGTCTACTTCCGAATTATATCCTCTTGATTCCTAAATTACTGGCCATATTTTTGTATTCAATACAGGAAAAACAATGTCATCACCAACATTCAGGGACAGGGGCATAAAGAAAGACTAAGGGAGGCTCATTCTTGTTAAGACCTAAAGCTGAGGAGGGTAAAGATAAGGCTTTTACATTCCTACTCCATTCATCTTCAACTCCTTTCCTGTGTCTACAACTCAGATGGAGGACTACTGATTTTCTGGATATGAAGCACTTGAAATGTTCTACATCCATCCTCACTCTGAGCTTCAACAAACTCTCCCCATCAATTTTTTGATAAAGTTGGTGCCCACTTTGCTGAATTTGAAATGAAAATATAAAAGGGCTGCCTAATATGCCACTAGGCATGGATTCTAAGTTTATAGTAAAATAAGATACTGGATAGTCCACAAGAAAGAGCCCTACAACTACTGTTATCAGAAAAAGACTAGTCCATAGGCTTATAAGCTCCTACATATGATCTCTTAAGTCACCAAAGTAGGAGTAACCACCTTTCCAGCCTTTCCCACAAGGCTACCCTTTAGATTCTTTTCAACTCTTCAAACTGCTTTAAATATGCTGAAGACAGTATGGTCTTCCTTGCCTGGCTCAGTGGTTTTTAACACTATTGGAAATAAAGTGAACAGGGAATATATCTTTTTGAAGGTATAAACCAGTTTGCAATATACTTGTACTCACTAATAAATTCACTTTAGTCTTTTAAGAGCATCATGTAGCAACACTGGCAATATATTTAATTATCCTTATAATGCTTGTACAATTCTCTATAAAAAGTTATAATGCAAGGCTTCCATTTCAGAATTAATCTGTATTTGTCACAGTCTGACCAGCTCTGATCAATTCTTTGTATTATAGTACTCCTAAAATAAGATACAACTCTATGACTCCTAAATGTCCTACATTAAATACATGACATGTTTCATTTGAAAACAAACAAAAAACGTAGGTTAACTAAAATAACCCACATACATCAAATGGAAAGTGAAACACAATTCTGACTTTGATGGAAAAAAACATTTTTACATTGTCCAAGTCAGTCAATATTACTCATTCTCTGAGGGTTTCTGACAGCCAATGTGTTTTCCATTATGTTCTTGGTAAAAAGCCATCTAATCTGAAATATTTAGCCTTTGGTTCAAATTCAGAAAGAGAGTGATTAAGTTGACAGGAAAATTAATACAGAGAAATAATTGCTTTCATGACATTTAGAAGAACAGAAAGTTAATAGTTTCTGGTCTCAAATGTTACTTTTTTTTTTGAGACGGAGTTTCGCTCTTGTTGCCCAGGCTGGAGTGCAATGGTGTGATCTCGGCTCACTGCAACCTCCGCCTCCCAGGTTCAAGCGATTCTACTGCCTCAGCCTCTCAAGTAGCTGGGATTACAGGCGGGTGCCACCACACCCAGCTGATTTTGTATTTTTAATAGAGATGGGGTTTGACCATGTTGGTCAGGCTGGTCTCAAACTCCTGACCTCAAGTGATCCACCCGCCTCGGCCTCCCGAAGTGCTGGGATTACAGGCGTGAGCCACCGTGCCCAGCAAATGTTACTTTTAACTATCCTATTGAGCATGTGCTCTTACATTGTCCTTTCAAATGCTCTCTGAAATAGGCTAGATATAGTTAGATATAAATTAGGGAAAAAAAGACTAGCTACAGGTCTGAGGTGCTCACATTATGGTATTCACTCTTTACCCTACCAGAGAATAGAATATTCTGGTTAATTCACTATTTAAGAATAAAGAGGCCGGGTGTGATGGCTCACACCTGTAATCCCAGCACTTTGGGAGGCCGAGGTGGGCGGATCACTTAAGGTCAGGAGTTCAAGACCAGCCTGGCCAAAATGGTGAAACCCCCTCTCTACTAAAAATACAAAAATTAGCTGGTTTTGGTGGCGGGCAACAGTAATCCCAGCTACTTGGAAGGCTGAGGCAGGAGAATCACTTGAACCTGGGAGACGGAGGTTGCAGTGAGCCAAGATCTGAGCCAAGATCGTGCCACTGCACTCCAGCCTGGGTCACAGAGTGAGACTCCGTCTCAAAAAAAAAAAAAAAAAAATTTAAAAAATTTAAAAAAAGAGATAAATCACAAAAACTTTCAAGTAGAACATAATTTTAAAAATCTGATGGTTAAAAAAATTACGTTTTTAATTTTTTACAGATAATGCATTTTATTATTTTCAGAGTACTATATTCACCATAAAATAAGTCTAAAGAGAATAATGAGGACTCTGTATTTATAATAAAATACACACATTTTCTTTTTAAATTCTATCCTTAAAAAAGGCGAGAAAAGGCAACTTTCAGAGAACTTTGTAAACCTTTCAAGTCTTCCAACAAAGTAGTACCAACAGAGGACTAAAGTCTTAAATAAGTCTCATTAAAGTGAAGGCTCACTCCCTCTGGTGGACAAAAGAAACTCCATATGCTATTTCCAGAATCAGTAAAGCAAGATAAGGAAGCCTTGTTAATGTTTTCTGAATGCTTCCTGCCTAGAATACATAAAAGACCTATATAGTTATTCTGAGAATAAATCTGGAAATGAAAGAGAACTGGAAAGGGGAAAAAAGGGGGAGGGAAACTAGCTGATGATACTGGTGCAAGGGAAGTCCTAACCTAGCTCCTCAATGGCTGTGTTGGGGAAGGACTTCAGCATCAGTCTCTCCTAAGTGAGCTCTGCCTCTGCTCTCTTCTCTGTCATAGGCCAACAGTTTTTTCCAAACTGCATGTCTAACCATTGTCAAGATGCTGCAGGTTGAGCATTCCTAATACAAAAATGCTAAAATCTGAAATGCTCCAAAATCTGAAACTCTCTGAGCACCAACATGATGCTCAAAGGAAATGCTCATTGGAACATTTTGGATTTTGGATTTCCAGATTAGGGCTGCTCAAATGGTATGTTTTCTCAAATATTCCAAGACCCAGAAAAATCCAAAATCTTTAACATTGCTGGTCCCAAGCATTGTTCAGATAAGGAAAATTCAATTTATATTTCAAACTGCCAAGTTTCTCCTCTATTATTTAGGCTTAGCCTCTCTGCATTAAACAAGGAGCTTTTGGAGAGCAGGAACCGTGCTTTGTTCATTTTTGTGTCCCCGGTACCCAACCCACTGTTTGGCATATGGTAGATGCTAATGTTGAATAAATGAAATGGTACTAGACTTCTAATCTAAAGTCATTAACACCCATAGGAAATCATAATCTTGAAATACAAAAAAAGCAGAATTGTAAGAGAAGCACTCCCTGACAATATGAGAAAGCAATGGCTGCAAATAATTAGATTACCAGTTGAAACACATTTGAAATTACTGTCCATTCTCACATAATTTTTTTTTTTTTTTTTTTTTGAGACAGAGTCCCACTCTGTTGCCCAGGCTGGAGTGCAGTGGCGCAATCTCAGCTCACTGCAACCTCCGACTTCTGGGTTCAAGCGATTCTCTTGCCTCAGCCTCCTGAGCTGCTTGACTTACAGGCACCTGCCACCAAGCCTGGCTAATTTTTTTGTATTTTTAGTAGAGACTGGGTTTTACCATGTTGGCCAGGCTGGTCTCAAATTCCTGACCTCAGGTGATCCACCCGCCACAGCCTCCCAAAGTGGTGGGATTACAGACGTGAGCCACTGTGCCTGGCCCATTCTTACATAATTTTAAACATTCATCCACAGCCCAGATACATATCTTTTGAGGCCATAATTTAAAAAGCACTAATGGCAGTCATGTTTACCTCTGATTGTTTCTGATTAAGTAGTCCATGTAATTACATTTTATTATAAGTACTTTTTCTCTTATGAGTGAACACTAATTTTTAAAATTTGTTTCTAGATTTTAAACATTAGTCTAATAAACATAAAATTAGTTTCCTGAAGCATTAAAGCATTAACAGAATTTTAAAGATGAGGTAGAACCCTAAAAGGGGTTTTAAGAACATATGGCACAAACAAATCGTTATTTTCTCTAGGATACCAAGTTTCCTCCTTCCATTAGAGAGGAATACTTTCCTTAAGCAGCATGACAGGATGTCATACCTGTGTGAAGGATAGAGAACTGCAGTCTCCAGGTCTGTCACTGTTTCCTCCTTCGGGCACTAGGAATTTCAAACAAGAACTGCTTTTAAAGTTATAAATCACTACCCAAATTCAAATACTAATGAATCCAATTCAAAGTGAGTTAAAATAAGCAATTCCTTATCCAATTACATTATGCAGAATAGAATTTGACATTTGCTTAGAAAAAATCATACTTAAAGCTTATAGAACATTTTCCCCCTTATTTTCATAGCCCTTATAGTGAAAGGTTCAGTCCTGGTAATAAACGGATATAAGAAGCCTACTATTGCAGGAAGGAATAAACAAAAAAACCTCAAGGAAATAAGAAGCCCATGTCACCAATTGAGGCTTTAAACCAAGGTTTTCAAGAATTGGGGGAAAGGAATATAAACAAGTTGTAATGAGTTAGCAAATTTCTAGAGTAAAGAGATATATGCAGTCAAGAGCCTGCACTGCATGTAACAGATTGTGGCTTTGGCAGCAATTCTGGACCTCAGTTTCCTCATCTATAAAATGAAGCTAATACAGTTGCCCTCCCCAGATCATTGTGAAGGATTGCTGAGATGATAAAATATGTGAAGACACTTTGTAACACAAAGCACCAATACACTGACTATTACCTTAGTTCTTATAGTTCTTATAAGTGTTTTTCAAAGAAAATAAAGGTATTTTTTCTAGCAAGACCTAATCATTTTCAACACTGCCACCTTCACCCTCCCAACCTTTTATAAAGTGATTTTCCCTCTTACTGCTTATGTTAAAAAATTAAGCATTTAGACAAAGGAGCATTAAACATTATTATGTAAATTAAGTAGAAATAATTTGCGAAGGTGACTGGAACATATTCTTCAGTCCATCTGTTTTGAAAGACTGATTGTTACTTGAGATGGCAACTTCTATGTTTAACACAGCATACACCATTTCCTCTGCTCTCTATTTAATTACTGGCAAATTTAGCATCTGCCCTTAATGGATTCACTGGTAACTACATTCGGATGTTATTAATATTTAATAAAGCTTTACTTTTTTTACATAATTACATAATTTAAGAGCTCTTCAGTCGTAGCGCCTTTTACTTCATTAACTAAGTTTACTACCCACCTACGCCCCCCTGCCCCATAAAAAGAAATAGATCTTGAGTTTTGTAGGCAAAGAATACTACAATATTCCAAAAATGTCTCTAATTAACTGTAATTATACATACTTTGAGAAAATAACCTATCTTTGTTCTTTATTATCTCAAATTATGCCTTTGTCTTCTGCAAATTAAGCAGACCACAGAGACCAGTTCTTGAAAAACAAGATTCCTTCTCCATGTTAAGACTACTTAAATAATAATATTTCTTCTTGATGTTCATGTATGTATATGCATTTGACACTACTTGTATCAAGGAAATTTTCCTTGAACTGCCTATATTCTGCCTTTCCTTGCACTGCCTATATTCCCTCAAATTTTTTTTTTTTTTTGAGACAGGGTCTCCCTCTGTCACCCAGACTGGAATGCAGTAGCATTCCAGTCACTGCTCACTGTAACCTCGACCTCCCAGGCTCAAGTGATCCTCCTGTCTCAGACCCCGCAAGTAGCTGGGACTACAGGCACATGCCACAATACACAGCTGATTTTTGTATTTTTTGTAGAGATGGGGTTTTGCCATCTTTCCCAGGCTGTTCTCCAACTCCTGGGCTAAACCAATCCACCCACTTTGGCCTCCCAAAGTGCTGGGATTATAGGCGTGGGCCACCTTGCCTGGGCCCCTCTTTCTATTTTGATTACTTAAATTGGAGAGGGATGTTAGGTGGGAGAGACACAGAGAACAAAGAAGAAACAAATAGAAGATTCAGAAAGGATTGCTGTGCTACTTAAGGATTTCTCTATTCTGGCTAAACCAGTATTGCCAAAGTCTCAAGCAGATCACAAGCTTATTTCTAACAGGTCTTTTCAGAGTAAGTGACAGAGGGAATCAACATGGGTCAAGAAGCAGTTAATGAATGGCAAGTAGCCAGGCAGGTTACCACAAAGCAGGTTTGCAGACTCATGGGATGAAATATAGGCACTTTGAGTCTGGCAAAGACTAAAACACAAGAATGATAAGACTGCCTAGGGCCAACCAGATTTATGCAATGGTAGTTTCTTCTGGAGTTTACTCAGTGTTCTGAATACTTCCTTCTGGCTCCCTCCTTAGCCTTGATTCAAAGAAGTGGTTGGAGAAGTTCATTGCCTACACATTTTGGTATGTAAACTATAAAATATAAACAGTTACCTATTGATCTTTCTCATTGTTACAGGAGATAAATCTAGGAAATTAAGAACAAGTTGGCAACCTTTCCTCCTTAGGAGCAAGCAAGTAAAAACTAATGTTAAGAAAGACTTGCTCAAACCTGTACACTCTGGTATAGTTCTCCAAGTAAAAAGCATGGACATCCCTGCCTCCTCCCAGAGTTACTGGTCTGCGTATCAGAGATTCTACTCATCTTCAAGGCCCTGTTCTAAGTCACCTCTTCCTGGAAGCTTTCCTCGATAAATCACACAGAAAATAAGTTTTCTAATCAGGGACCTGCACTTCTACAGAGGTAGGTCATTCATACCCAAGTCTACATAGCCTACTCTCTATGGAAAACTAGTTATGGGCAGTCTTCTTATCCATACAGGATTCCTACACTTCTTTTGGGAGAGGGGCTATATATTTTGATTTTTTGAAATCCCTTTGAGACCTTGAAGTAAAGGGTACTCAAATGTCACATTTTTCAGTGGCTGAATTTGGAGTTATAACTACTAGAGGACAAATCTTTTAGATTTAATACTTGTAGCAGCCCTCAGTAGTAAGTGCTTTCTGCTATCACTTTTTAATTTTTTTTTTAATTTATTACTGCTCCTTGCAGAGCAGGGCTACTCTATATGTAGTGTGTCCAGAGTAGCCTGCTATCAGTTTTGAGATGAGCTGCAGCACCATAATGTCTAGTTTAAAGAAACTGGCTCTTTACTGCTACTGTTCAAGGCATATGGTAGGTTTCAATTGTTCCCAGATTCCAAGGTGAAAAATGTAAGAAGCCCATATGGAATCAGAAAACATTTGTTGGTCTTACAATCATTCCCATATGCACCCACAACTAAAAACCCTGCAAAGATGAAGACAACACTTCAGGCTTTCAAAGATTAGCCTCTCCGCTACTGGTGTAACTACACCCAGTTGACAGACATTAAGTGAACATCAACACACGCCATGCATTAGGATGAAGAGATTAAGAGTCTAGTTCTAGCCAGGCATGGTGGCTCACGCCTGTAATCTCAGCACTTTGGGAGGCCAAGGCGGACGGATCATTTGAGGTCAGGAGTTCAAGACCAGTCTGACCAACATGGTGACACCCCATCTCTTCTAAAAATACAAAAAAATTAGCTGGGTGTGGTGGCACATGCCGGTAGTCCCAGCTACTTGGGAGGCTGAGGCAGGAGAATCACTGGGAGGCATAAGTTGCAGTGAGCCGAGATCACGCTGCTGCACTCCAGCTTGGGCGACAGAGCGAGATTCTGTCTCCCCAAAAAAAAAAAAAAAAAAAAATCTAGTCCTATCATTAGGACAGGTAATATGTATCCCACCTTTTAAATCTATACTACCTTCTTGAAAAACATAAAAATATCACACATCCTTCTATGATATTTGGTTCCACAGTAACCCAGCATAAAATTATAAGGCTATATTCCTTTCTAAATGAAACTAATTGGAGATTCTGATATGTAGCAAAACAAACTTCTCCAGCTACATCTCATATCCAATTCCACTGGATTATGGAAGATCCAACCAGGTTTTAAATGATTCTAGAGGACACAGGAAACTGATGTTACAACAATATCGGGTTTTTGCGTTTATTTCTTCTGAGAAAAGCTATCTAAAATCTAAGTCAAAATCTCAAAATCAATCCACAGTTAAAAGAAACAAGATGTAAAAGCAATCTGGAGGGATATTTAAGATGAAAAACAAAATTAAAACAAGGCCCAAATGATGTGGCCTATGGCTCCAAACATAAAATATCCTTTTACACTCCCTCCCCACAGCGTAAGTCAGACCTTCTGAGTGCTGGGGTTACTGATGATTATACTAGAATTGAGCTGAACTAAAGTAGAACCGAATAAAGGGCAAACTTACAAACTTAGGTGAGAAATATCTACAAAGGTAGACACAAAGAAAGCCTTTCTCTCTTCCCATAAGGTATGCTATCCCTGCCCCCTTCTTCACACAAAAATAACTGCAATTTTAAAATAAAGTTTAAAGAACACAAGCTGCTTAGGTGTCTCAAGTGCAAAGAACTACTGACACGGATAATGTTAACGACTTTCAACTGCCTCTCATCTAATAGTATCTGTGCAATAAAGTCCAAAACACATCTCAGAAGGAAAAATCTGTTAACTCTAGGAGCACTTCCATTTGTCTTAATTTTGTTGTTTATCTTGTCATTGTTTTTCATATTCATGCCTAAAACAGAGCAAATGTTAGTTAGCAGCAACCAGAACACATCATCCTACTGCAGCAGGTGGCAAGAGCATCCTCGGGAAGGTGGGGAGCTGCAGCAGAGGTGAGCAGTGAAAGCAGCTACTGATGCCTTAAGGCTAAGGCCATAGGGACAAGCATGACAAACAGGCACAACCTCACATTATTTGTTCCCCAAATCCCTCCTCCAGAGTGGATCAGAATAATCGTTTCTCTACCACTGGTCAAGGCCAGACGTGGGTTTTCAAAGACTCCATATACTTGCTTTGAAATATCCTTAGCTTAATCCAAAACCTATTTGTGGGAGGACTCTGTGAGTGCCTGCCCATTACACTGTATCACCTAAAGCTGGTCCCGAAGGTATTAGTAGGAGAGAGATGTGGGATTTCAGAACACCAAGGAAGCCTATTTTTTAAAACGTAGACAAAAAAAAATATGGAGGCAGGAAGGCGGGAGGCAGTGATCTATGAGATTTGAAGCAAGTACAGACTGAGCCCCAGTACTTAGCCAGGTCTAAATCACGGTTGTGAACGCTTTCTTGCACCTGAGCTGAGGAAGAAAAGTAATGCTACCCACTTCCCTTCTTTCCATCAACTCTATATGTGGCAGCAGGACACACCCCCTGCGAACCTACCAGCCTCCGTCTAAAGAGGATCTTGCCCATCCTTTGGCGTCCACCCTTAACCAACGCTCTGGAAACGCCTTGGTAGCCCAACTGTCTTCTCTCCCCCTCCTGACACCCCCCACTCACCTCTAGGCGGTCACAGCTGCCTCTCTGGCACCTCCAACTCCTCTGTCGTTAGAATACCTAGACCTCAACGCCCTCTCGCGTTCTCCCCTCCGCGACTCGCCTGTGTTCTCGGATCTTCTCAGATCCGCTACGGTCGGCCTCAGGTCCCTCACGAGGGAACCCCCGCCCGGCCCCGCTCACGGTGCCCCATCCTCCCGGGCAAAGTCCACGCCTACGTCCTGACCCAGAGCCCCAGCTCCTTCGGGCCTAGTCAAGGACACCGCCTCTGTCTGGCCCACACCCCGCCCGCGGCACCTCCGCAGCCCAGTTCTACTCCCCAGCGCGGGACACTCACCAAGCGTGACCGAGCGGCAGCAGAGGAAAGGGAGTGAGCCACGAAAGGACAGTCCGCGGCGCCTCCCCTTCGCCACCAGCTTTATAGCCGCCAACCCACCCGACTCCGGCACCGCCGAGAGTCGCTGGGAGGCGGGACGGTGGCTCCCACAGCCAATCGCGGCCGGTAGAGTTGCCCGGCAGCGCCCGCCCCCCAGTCCGGCTTCTACCAATCAAAAGGAAACTAGAGGCGATGACTCGCTAGGATTTTCCCTCGTGGCTGGAAGGGCGGGGAGAAGAGGCGGGGACAAAGTCTCAGGGCCGAGGAAGTGGTGTGAGAGACTGACGTGAGGTGGCACGAGAGCCCAGTTGCCAATGACGGAGCTGCGAGATACGGCGAGAGCCAACGGGAGCGGAGTGAGAGGTTCTCCGACCAATTGGGACTAAGTGAGAGGAGATGCGGGCCAATGGGTACTCCGCGTCCCACCGCTGGAGAGATGGTCAAATGTGGGAGGCGAGGTGGTCCCAGCTTGGGAGTCTGTCAGGTTGCCTAGCAACCAGAACTAGGCTTCACCTGAAAGATTTCTGAAATACTGTACTTGATTTGAATTCAGTCTTAACGTTTTCTAGCAAAGTGTGCGTAGATTGCAAATTGGAGCAGAATACTTCACCCAGAACTTGTATATGTGTAAATAGTCTAAATACCCGATTTGTAAATACTCAAATATTGTCTCCTTTATTCAAAACTACCTTGACTTAAAGAAAACAGAACAAACAAAAGTGCTCTTGAGACAAAGCTTTCTAACTAAACCTAAAACAAAATGGTTTCAGGATTAGGCATCCGTGGGGAGGGTGCAGAGCCTTGCCTGTGAAGGGAAGTTGATACTGAATTCAAGGATTTTTGCCAGGCCATGCACTCTGAGGAAAGGGACTCCATTTGGCCTGTTGCCCACTGTATCTTCTAAGCTTCATATGTGGTACCTGCCAAGTAAAAGGCTGTGGAAAGGCCACGTAATTGTCGGCATAGTAAATCCATCGGATACGGACTGCCTAACTCCCCCAGCAAATAGAGAGGAGCAATTCAAGCTAGAGGAATTCACTGAAACACTATTTGGGGGAATCCAAAGGAGGACACTTGTGGCTTTGCAATAAACTCTGCCTCTATCTGGTCAGAGAGAGAAGCCATAATACTTAGCTTTGGTGGGGGACCATGAGTGAGGTTCGGAGTTGTTTGTATCTCTCCCCATCTCAATTTAATTAACAGGAATGCTATTGATAAGGGGTCATTGGTAATTCTGTGATTCACACAATTATTGTTATGGGAGATTCTTTTAACCACTATAGATGCTAACCTAGTAAGACACATTCTCAGCAGCAAAGTGGCAAAATATATTGGAAATGGAACCACTGTGAAGTGGTGGCATAAATGACTTGGGGGAAGAGGACCACTCAGTAATGATTTCCATTCCACAGTATTGCCCATGACTCACTTCATATGTATGTAAAGTAACTAGATAGTAAACAGAGAGAGAGACATTGCCTGATTATGATCAACAGCAATTTGGGGTGGGGTAGGAGATTAAAATTCTTGGCATATTGGAATATGCTGAAAGGCAGTAAGGACAAACACAAGAAAGAAGATACAGTTTTGTCGTTAGGAATCGCAAATAATTCCAACTCCAGGAGTACATAATGGGAAATGATTAGCCAGACGGTCATGAGAATGACCATCTTACACAACCGGAAATTTCTACAAGGAACAGACCGTCTTTTTGATCACGTTAATCTTCAATTAAGCAAAGTGAGCATGATTATTGATTACTGGGAAGCCAAGCAATGGAGAACAAAAAGGGTTAGTAATTAGATACAGAAGATCTTGTTATAAATAAAGTTTCCATGCTGCAAAAGAAATAGCAGTCGAATATAAAATTTTCTTTTTAATTCTCAGCAAGGCAAGGTACTTCTATAGAAGGGTGCACCCTTACAGATGGAGCAATGGTGAGTGCACACTTGGACGAGGGAGGGAAAGGGGTTCTTATTCCTGACGCACGTGGTCCCCACTGCTGTGTCGTTCCCTTATTGGCTAGGGTTAGACTGCACAGGCTAAACTAATTCCGATGGACTAATTTAAAGACAGTGATGGCGGGAAAAATGGTTATGAAATGAGTCAGGGTGAAGAATGAATTGGAATGAGTCAAGGTGGAGTACGTAATCAGAATGAGTCAAGGTGGAGAATGAGTCAGGTTGGAGTAGGTAATCAGAAAAGGTTGCTTTACTAGGAAGCTACGTTTAAAAGTAGAAGGCAAAGAATGGAACATACTGACATATTAATTCTTTGAAGAGAAATTTAGAATTCATATTTAACAACTTCCTCCTCTTGCATTTTTCTTACAGCTTTCTCTTCAAACTTATTTAACATGTCTTGATTTAGTTGTTCTGCTTGATTTTCCAAAAGAAGAAGCTTTTCTGGATGAGGTGGAGGATAGTTAAGGGAGGTTTTAGTAAGTACCGTTTCTATGAGCCTCTGCACCAACCCACAGATGCATGGTATGACACAGCACCTGACAAGAATAAGTACACCTATTATGACTATGAGGGAGGTAAGAATTGGGGCTATTATTCCTTTCCATTTACCGAACCACTTTTCTAGCCATCCTGTAAAGGGATCATTTACCCGTGAGTTGCTGGCTAACTCATTGGATAGAGCAGTCAGACCTCACAATGCCTTTGTTATACTTCCATTAGGGGTGGCGTTGTTTGGGATGAAGGTGCAACATTGAGTTTTAATCATAACGCAAACTCATCTTCTTTCTGCTAATATCATGTCTAAGGCTATCCTATTTTCCCAAGCCATCTGGCTAATAGCCCCTAATTGCTCAGCTATTCCTTTAACAGCATCTCTAGTGTAGTTAATACATCACTGTTGGTTGTAATAGATGTCGTTTAACCAATCTGCATTTTTATTAATTGTCACCCACCAAAATATTGACTCAAATCCTGCAGCTATTTGATTTCGGGCTTTAAATTGATCTCGTATTCCCTGTGGGACTCCAACTGCATCTAAATAGACGTGAGAGTCGAAAGACCCATAAGGGGCTTCTCTCGCTTTATGATGTCTTATTTTTCCTTCCTCTGGTTGATAAAATGCCAAGGTGAAAGGGATAGCCAACTGGACTAAAGCACAAGTGTCACTCCAGTTATTCAGCAGAGTGTCTAGTAAAGGTCCACCACAATACCACCACACATCCACTCAGGGATGAACAAGGGCTGACTGGTAAGCTCTTAAAAATTCTTAAGCTTACTTCATCCCTCCAGGTCTCCAAGGAATGCTAAGTTTCCTTCCTGTTGTGAGACACACGAAGTGAACTTGGTGTTGGGAGATGGAAGCTGAATGGCCCTTGGGGGCGACCCACAGGGTGTCAGACTTCGGGATATAGTAGAGAGAGAGCTTGGCACGACTTGTTACCCCAGGCTGTAGAATCCTGGAAAACAGCTACCATGCAGCCCATGCCGAGTCGACTGGAGGACCACCTTAGTGGAAAGGGGACAATCTGGGCCTCTGGCCTGCTATGTGCACAAGCATAACAATTGCTTTTGTTTAATGTGTGGATGGAATATTTGATACATTCCACCCAGGCATTTATATCTTGGTATCCTGTCTCAGTTGCCAAAGTTTGTTTTAAGTCTTTAACTTCTACCATCGCTATCTTGGCCTTGTCGGTAGATGGAGGAGGAACAATGGTTCCGTTGTGAGAGGTTTTGGAAAAAGGCTTAAAGGCAGGTGCAGGTGGCAGGGGATCAAAGAAATGCATTTCAAGGATCCAATAGGGTCTGTCCCTGACATCTAGCCCACATGCCATAAAATCGGCTTAAAGAAGGGAACTGGCTTAGAAAAGGGGAAGAACTTTGGGGGCTCAAGATAATAACCTATATAGGATTGCACTGGTTTAGCTGACAGTTATTGGGGGCTGTCCGTTTAGTAAAATGAATGTGTGGTTTTAGGAAATTACAAAAACTGGTCAGGGCAGTCCATCCTTGCTCTTTGGTGGTCCACAGAACGTTGGACCAACTACAGCATAAAAGCTCTGTGTCGGTGGGGGCAAGACTCCTGGTTGCCACTGGGGTCTTTATCAAAATCTCCCCGAATTAAATGGTCCCAATTCACTAATGCCCAGTATGAGGAGAGCCAGGAGGGACAGAGGTACTTTTCTGAAGTAGAGAGCTGCCTTTGACTTTACAAATCCCCACACAGTATAACAAGGCAAGCATCAAATGCAATAGTTTGAGGCGAAATTGACTTGGTTATGTTAATAACTAGATGATCAGCGATAGAACGAGGAAAGAAGAAAGTTAATAGAATAGATGAAAGAGAGTTAAATTCTTCTTAGCTTTAGTTTGGTAGGGTTTTCCCCTGGGACTATGGCCACTACTCTGGAGGGGGTGGCACTTTCTTGACCCGGGTGTGGTAAGTCCATCCTCTCTCTGCTGTGCGGACTGCAGTTTCAGTAGTTAGGAGCACTAAGTAAGGACCTTCCCAGACTGGCTCAAGCATCTCCTCTTTCCAGCTCTTGATGAGGACGTGATCCCCAGGCTGATGTTGATGCACCGGGAACTCCAAGGGCGGCACCTGTGCTAATAGACCTTTAGTTTTAAGAGAAGAGAAAGTAGAAGCTAGACCAAGCATATAATTTTTAAGGAATTGATCTTTTGTTTCAAAGGTAGGAATATCAGCAGTAGAGTGCAAATAAGGTAATCCATAGAACATCTCATAAGGAGAAAGACCAATGTCTTTCCGTGGTGCAGTTCAAATTCTCAGCAGGGCAATAGGAAGACACTTGGTCCATGGCAATCGAGTCTCTAAGACTAATTTGGTTAAGTGGTTCTTTAGAGTCTGATTCATTCTTTCTACTCTCCCTAATGAGGATGGGTGTCAGGGAGTATGGTATTCCCATCTAATATCTAATGTTTGGGATAGCTTTTTAATAATGTGTGTGGTGAAATGAGTTCCATTGTCTGAGTCAATATTTTCTATTAGTCCAAACCTGGGTACTATATTTTCAATTAGGGCCTTAACTGCATTATTGGCTGTTGCATTTGAAAAGGGAATAACTTCGACCTGGTGAGTGAGGTGGTCTACTATCACTAGTAAATATTTCAGACGACCTGTTGGAGGCATTTCTTTGTAATCAACTTGGATACTTTCGAATGGCTTTAAGCCTGGATTCCTTCCCCCGAGTGGTAATATTTTTGTAGTATGTCTATTAGTTTTCTTACATACTAAGCAACTATCTGTAACCTGTTTGGCCAGGGTATAAATTCCTATACAACCATAAACTCTGAGAATGGCATCACATGTGGCCTGGGGCCCCCAGTGGGTCCCCTGATGTAGTTGGGATAAGACTTCCCTCATAAGGGGTTTAGATAACGTTTCTCTCTGGTCTGGCAGTATCCACTTTCCTTCTGAATTCTCTTTAGCACCTATTTTTATTACTTTCTCTTTTTTGGTGGAAGAGAAAATGGGGATTATGGTAGGAGGAGGGAGGTAGGGAGTTAAGTGAAAAATACACATTCAAAAGACACAGCAGCCTGCTTGTCTACCTGATCTGCTAGGTTATTTCCTCGACTTTCAAAAGAAAGAATTTTCTGGTGTCTGGGAACATGGACAATAGCTATTTCTTCTGGCAACCGAAAATTATTCAATACTTGGGTGATCAGCTCCTTGTGAACAAGGTCTTGACCTTTACTATTGATGAGACCTAGTTCAGTCCAAATTTTCCAAAACATATGGGTCACTCCAAAGGCATACCTGGAATCTGTATAGATGGTTCCTTCCTGGTTCTGTAAGTACTTTAAGGCTTGGCTGAGTGCAAGCAGCTCACACGTTTGAGCAGACGAACTGTTGGGCAATTTTCCTGATTCTATTTCTATGAGAGTTTCTCCATCAATCACTGAATACCTACTGTGTCTTTTTCCCTCAATCACCCCGGAAGAACCATCTATGAATAAGTGCCATCCAGTCCAGAAGGGGGTTTCTTCTAGGTCTGGTTGAACCTTTGTATGGTAATCAATTAAATCTAAACATGTGTGTTCCCCCCTTAGATGTGGATTCCTTGTTAAGAAACCTGCTGGGTTGAGTGAATTATCAGTAGTCAATGTTAAATCATCCTTTTCTAACAGAATGGCCTCATGCTTTAAGATTCTTTATTCAGTAGGCCATCTCCCTGCTCTCTGGTAGTTCTAACTCGGTGAGGCGTGCTTACTGTCAATTTTCCTCCAAAGGTTAACTTTCTGCTTTCCCCGACTAGTATTGCCATAGCCACGATGGACTGGATGCATTGAGGCCATCCACGAGTGACTGGGTCTAAGACCTTTGATAGGAAGGCTACGGGCTGCCGGTGGCATCTGTGTTCTTGAGTCAGCACTCCTAAAGCTACCCCACTGTACACATTAACAAAAAGGTGGAATGGCTTTTCTAGGGAGGGTAAGGCTAAAACAGGCAGTTATGAGCCTTTCTTTCCTTCAGCTTCTCGACTTGATCAACTTCCTCAGAAGTCCACAGGAGACGGTTAGGCTTCTCCTGGGCAAGTTTTTGATATAACAGTTTACTGTGCAGTGCTTAATAAGTGGCAGTATCTGACTAACCCTAAAATTTTCCTGAGTTCTTGTTTGTTTGAGGCAAGGGTAGGGACACAATTCCCTCGATTCGTTTAGGCCCTATTCTTGGCTTGCCTGCACTTATTAAGTGGCCTAAATATTTAACTTTCGGCTGTACATGCTGAAGCTTTCTTTTTGGTACTTGTAGCCCCTCAAACTGCAGATGGTTAAGCATATGTGTAGAGAAGTCAGTTACTTTCTCGCTATCTTCACCAGATATAAGAATGATGTCCACTTACTGGAGAAGGCATATTTGTTCTGGGATGACAACTTTTTCTAGTACTTGTTCTAAAATTTGGCCAAAAAGATTAGGGGAGTCTGTGAACCCTTGGAGCAAGACTGTCCATCGATATTGTTGTTTCTGCCCTGAGTGGGGATCCTCTCACTCAAAAGCAAATATATCTCAGCTATCTTCAGTCAGGGACCATACCCAAAAAAGCATCTTTCAAATCTATTACAGTAAACCATTGATGATATATGGAATCTTGCTAAGAATGGTATAAGGACTGGGGACAACAGGGTGGGTAGTCTGGACTATTTGGTTGATAGCTCCAAGGTCCTGTGCTAGCTGATATGACCCGTCTCATTTCTTTACTGGCAGTATTGGGGGGTTATAAGGGGACATACAGGGCTCAAGAAGCCCATCCTTAATAAGGCCTTCGATTATAGGTTTCAACCCTATCCCACCTTCTAGGGGAATAGGGTACTGCTTCCTTCTTACTACTTCTCCCAGGGTTTTTAGCTTGATGTGGATCAGAGGGACTTGGAGTTTCCCTTGGTTTCCTTCTTTGGACGAGACATTAGGATTAATATATTTTTCATCTGCAGTGGTGAGTGTCAAGTGCGTCCGTGTGAAGAGAGTCCACCAACAGGCTTTGTGTGAGCAACAAGGCTGTCTTTGTCACTTGGGGGCAAGTGGGCTGAGTCCGAAAAGAGAGTCAGCAAAGGGAGATAGGCATGGGGCAGTTTTATAGGACTGGGTTAAACAGTGGAAAGTTACAGTTAAAGGTGGTTATCTATTGTCAGCAGAAGAGGGGGTCACAAGGTGCATGGTGGGGAGATCATAAGACTCATTGTCCCGAAGAAGAATGTCACGAGATTGATTGATCTGTTGGGGCAGGGCAGGAACAAGTCATAATGGAATATTGTAAGGTTGGTCAATCAGTTAAGACAGGAGCTGGCTGTTTCACTTCTTCTGTAGTTTTGGGTTGCCCTAGACTTCTTGGCTCCTGCAGGCCACCTGGACGTATATGTGCAGATCACAGGGGTTACAATGGCTGAGCTTCGGCTCAGAGACCTGACATTCCTGTCTTTTTATTTATAAAATATAAAGTTATAAGAAAAGATAAAGAAAATATAAGTTTTATTGGGGATTATTGGGGTTGGAGTGATGTTTCTTGGGACTGCTTTAACGTGACCAGGGACTGCACGGACACCTTAAAGAAAATTTTTCAGCAAACTATCGCAAGGACAAAAAACCAAACACCGCATGTTCTCACTCATAGGTGGGAATTGAACAATGAGAACACACGGACACAGGAAGGGGAATATCACACACCGGGGCCTGTTGTGGGGTGGGGGGAGGGGGGAGGGATAGCATTAGGAGATATATCTAATGTTAAATGACGAGTTAATGGGTGCAGCACATCAACATGGCACATGTATACATATGTAACTAACCTGCACGTTGTGCACATGTACCCTAAAACTTAAAGTATAATAATAATAAAATTTAAAAAGGAAAAAAAAAGAAAATTTTACAATGAGTTACAAGGAATAGAAATTTAGGCTGTGCGGAGATCTTGGGGCAGAGGATGGTACCATGGGGTTGTTAAAAGTGGCATTTGTCATATAGAATTATTGGTGATGGTCTGGATGTGGTTTTGTATGAATTGAGAAACCAAATGGAAGATGCAAGGACCGAATAAGAGAAGGAGAAAAACAGGTACCAGGGGACTAAGAATAGGCAGGAGCCAAGACACCCAGTTAGAAAGTCTGCAGGTGGGTCCAGCATAATTATTTTCCTGGCTGGCGAGTTATCTTTAAGTTTTTCATGTTGTCATATGCCAGGCCGGATTGGTTTAGATAAAAACAACATTCTTCATTTAAAAATATACAGTCCTCCATTTTCAGCAGTGAGTAGGTCAAGGCCTCAGCGATTTTGGAGGACAACTGCGGCTAAGGAGTCAACCTGGGCCTGAAGGACTGATAAAGTTTGTGATATTGTAATGCTAGTAGAAAAGTAGAAAAGTAATTAGAAAGGCTACGGAAGGTTGTGACAGAAGTTGAAATGCCTGCTATTCCGGCTCCAAGGGCAATAGTAGAAGCAGAAAGTCCTAACCGTACAAGTAGAGGGGTTAGAGGAATAACTCTTCTCTGTCTGGTTGGTGTCATGAGGGGGACAGGAAGTTGTTCGGTCCCATTTGCAAATTGAATGTTGGGAATAAGAAAAACTAGTGTACATTTACCTGTCCAATTAGCAGGTAGACACATGTAGATGGAGGAGACACAGAAGAAGAAGAGGACTTCTGCAAGGCAAAATTGGAAATGCAAAGTGAAAAGATGAGAAGGAGTAGTAAAAGAGGTGTCTTGTACCCAGACTCCTAAGGCTCCAGCTAGGGCGGCAGCCGTCAGAGGTTGTAATGGGGACTGATGGGGTAACTGTGTAGACGGGGAGATTCGATTCTCATGATGTATGAGAAAGTCGAGTGTCTACGAGCAAACTTTCACTGTTATTTACGGGGCTGGATATAAGTAAATAAGAAGAGGGCCTGGGAGGATAGTCTGAAGAACAAGGGAAAGGTAGCCAAGGATGGAGTGAAATGCACAGTAAATGTCTTTTTTTTTTTTTCATTAATCTAGGTTAGATCTGTATTTATTTTTCTTTTCTTTAAAATATATATACATATATTTTAATTATTATACTTTAAGTTCTAGGGTACATGTGCACAACGTGCAGGTTTGTTACATATGTATACATGTGCCATGTTTGTTTGCTGCACCCATTAACTCGTCATTTACATTAGGTATTTCTCCTAATGCTATCCCTCCCCCATCCCCCCACCCCAAGTCAGGCCCCGGTATGTGATGTTCCCCACCCTGTGTCCAAGTGTTCTCATTGTTCACTTCCCACATATGAGTGAGAATATGCGGTACTTGGTTTTCTGTCCTTGCGATAGTTTGCTGAGAATGATGGTTTCCAGCTTCATCCATGTCCCTACAAAGGACATGAACTCATCATGTTTTATGGCTGCATAGTATTCCATGGTGTATATGTGACACATTTTCTTAATCCAGTCTATCATTGATGGACATTTGGGTTGGTTCCAAGTCTTTGCTATTGTGAATAGTGCCGCAATAAACATACATGTGCATGTGTCTTTATAGTAGCATGACTTATAACCCTTTGGGTATATACCCAGTAATGGGATGGCTGGGTCAAACGGTATTTCTAGTTCTAGATCCTTGAGGAATTGCCACACTATCTACCACAATTGTTGAACCAATTTACACTCCCACCAACAGTGTAAAAGCGTCCCTATTTCTCCACATCCTCTCCAGCATCTGTTGTTTCCTGACTTTTTAATGATCGTCATTCTAACTGGTGTGAGATGGTATCTCATTGTGGTTTTGATATGTGTTTCTCTGATGGCCAGTGACGATGAGCATTTTTTCTTGTGTCTGTTGGCTGCATAAATGTCTTCTTTTGAGAAGTGTCTGTTCATATCTTTTGCCCACTTTTTGATGGGGGTTTTTTTTTCTTGTAAATTTGTTTAAGTTCTTTGTAGGTTCTGGATATTAGCCCTTTGTCAGATGGGTAGATTGCAAAAATTTTCTCCCATTCTGTAGGTTGCCTGTTCACTCTGATGGTAGTTTCTTTTGCCATGCAGAAGCTCTTTAGTTTAATTAGATCCCATTTGTCAATTTTGGCTTTTGTTGCCATTGCTTTTGGTGTTTTAGTCATGAAGTCCTTGCCCATGCTTATGTCCTGAATGGTATTGCCTAGATTTTCTTCTAGGGTTTTTATGGTTTTAGGTGTGACATTTAAGTCTTTAATCCATCTTGAATTAATTTTCATATAAGGTGTAAGGAAGGTATCCAGTTTCAGCTTTCTACATATGGCTAGCCAGTTTTTCCAGCACCATTTATTAAATAGGGAATCCTTATCCCATTTCTTGTTTTTGTCAGGTTTGTCAAAGATCAGATGGTTGTAGATGTGTAGTGTTATTTCTGAGGCCTCTGTTCTGTTCCATTGGTCTATCTCTCTGTTTCGATACCTGTACCGTGCTGCTTTGGTTACTGTAGCTGTGTAGTATAGTTTGAAGTCAGGTAGCATAATGCCTCCAGCTTTGTTCTTTTTGTTTACACTTGTCTTGGCAATGCGGGCTCTTTTTTGGTTCCATATGAACTTTAAAGTAGTTTTTTCCAATTTTGTGAAGAAAGTCATTGATAGCCTGATGGGGATGGCCTTGAATCTATAAATTACCTTGGGCAGTATGGCCATTTTCACGATATTGATTCTTCCTATCCATGAGCATGGAATGATCTTCCATTTGTTTCTGTCCTCTTTTATTTCATTGAGCAGTGGTTTGTAGTTCTCCTTGAAGAAGTCCTTCACATCCCTTGTAAGTTGGATTCCTAGGTATTTTATTCACATTGTAGCAATTGTGAATGGGAGTTCACTCATGATTTGGCTCTCTGTCTGTTATTGGTGTATGGAAATGCTTGTGATTTTTGTACATTGATTTTGTATCCTGAGACTTTGCTGAAGTTGCTTATCAAGTTAAGGAGATTTTCGGCTGAGACGATGGGGTTTTCTAAATATATAATCATGTCATCTGCAAACAGAGACAATTTTACTTACTCATTTCCTAATTGAATACCCTTTATTTCTTTCTCTTGCCTGACTGCCCTGGCCAGAACTTCCAACACTATGTTGAATATGAGTGGTGAGAGAGGGCATCTCTGTCTTGTGGCAGTTTTCAAAGGGAATGCTTCCAGTTTTTGCCCATTCAGTATGATATTGGCTATGGGTCTGTCATAAATAGCTCTTAGTATTTTGAGATACGTTCCATCACTACCTAGTTTATTGAGAGTTTTTAGCATGAAGGGCTGTTGAATTTTGTCGAAAGCCTTGTCTGCATCTATTGAGATAATCATATGGATTTTGCCTTTGGTTCTGTTTATGTCACGGATTACGTTTATTGATTTGTGTATGTTGAACCAGCCTTGTATCCCAAGGATGAAGCCAACTTGATGGTGGTGGATAAGCTTTTTGATGTGCTGCTGGATTCAGTTTGCCAGTATTTTATTGAGGATTTTTGCATTGATGTTCATCAGGGATGTTGGTCTAAAATTCTCTTTTTTTGTTGTGTCTCTGCCAGGCTTTGGTATCAGGATAATGCTGGCCTCATAAAATGAGTTAGGGAGGATTCCCTCTTTTTCTATTGATTGGAATAGTTTCAGAAGGAATGGTATCAGCTCCTCTTTGTACCTCTGGTAGAATTCCGCTGTGAATCCATCTGGTCCTGGACTTTTTTTTGGTTGGTAGGGTATTAATTATTGCCTCAATTTCAGAGTCTGTTATTGGTCTATTCAGGGACTCAGCTTCTTCCTGGTTTAGTCTAGGGAGGGTGTATGTGTGCAGAAATTTCTCCATTTCTTCTAGATTTTCTACTTTATTTGCATAGAGGTGTTTATAGTATTCTCTGATGGTAGTTTGTATTTCTGAGGGATCAGTGGTGATATCCCCTTTATCATTTTTTATTGCATCTATTTGATTCTTCTCTCTTTTCTTCTTTATTAGTCTTGCCAGCAGTCTATCAATTTTGCTGATCTTTTCAAAAAACCAACTCCTGGATTCATTGATTTTTTGAAGGGTTTTTTGTGTCTGTATTTCCTTCAGTTCTGCTCTGATCTTAGTTATTTCTTGCCTTCTGCTAGCTTTTGAATGTGTTTGCTGTTGCTTCTCTAGTTCTTTTAATTGTAATGTTAGGGTGTCAATTTTAGATCTTTCCTGCTTTCTCTTGTGGGCATTTAGTGCTATAAATTTCCCTCTACACACTGCTTTACATGTGTCCCAGAGATTCTGGTATGTTGTGTCTATGGTCTCATTGGTTTCAAAGAACATCTTTATTTCTGCCTTCATTTCGTTATGTACCCAGTAGTCATTCAGGAGCAGGTTGTTCAGTTTCCATGTAGTTGAACAGTTTTGAGTGAGTGTCTTAATCCTGAGTTCTAGTTTGATTGCACTGTGGTCTGAGAGACAGTTTGTTTTGATTTCTGTTCTTTTACATTTGCTGAGGAGTGCTTTACTTCCAACTGTGTGGTCAATTTTGGAATAAGTGCAATGTGGTGCTGAGAAGAATGTCTATTCTGTTGACTTGGGGTGGAGAGTTCTGTAGATGTCTATTAGGTCAGCTTGGTGCAGAGCTGAGTTCAAGTCTTGGATATCCTTGTTAACCTTCTGTCTTGTTGATGTGTCTAATATTGACAGTGGGGTGTTAAAGTCTCCTATTATTATTGTGTGGGAGTCTAAGTCTCTTTGTAGGTCTCTAAGGACTTGCTTTATGAATCTGGGTGCTCCTGTATTGGGTGCACATATATTTAGGATAGTTAGCTCTTCTTGTTATGTAATGGCCTTCCTTGTCTCTTTTGATCTTTGTTGGTTTAAAGTCTGTTTTATCAGAGACTAGGATTGCAACCCCTGCTTTTTTTTGCTTTCCGTTTGCTTGGTAGATCTTCCTCTGTGCCTTTATTTTGAGCCTATGTGTGTCTCTGCACGTGAGATGGGTCTCCTGAATACAGCACACTGATGGGTCTTGACTCTTTATCCAATTTGCCAGTGTTGTTTCTTTTAATTGGGGCATTTAGCCCATTTACATTTAAGGTTAATATTATGTGTGAATTTGATCCTGTCATTATAATATTAGCTGGTTGTTTTGCCCGTTAGTCGATGCAGTTTCTTCCTAGCCTTGATGGTCTTTACAATTTGGCATGGTTTTGCAGTGGCTGTTTCCAGTTGTTCCTTTCCATGTTTAGTGCTTCCTTCAAGAGCTCTTGTAAGGCAGGCCTGGTGGTGACAAAATCTCAGCATTTGTTTGTCTGTAAAAGATTTTATTTCTCCTTCACTTATGAAGCTTAGTTTGGCTGGATATGAAATACTGGGTTGAAAATTCTTTTCTTTAAGAATGTTGAATATTGGCCCCCACTCTCTTCTGGCTTATAGAGTTTCTGCCAAGAGATCAGCTGTTAGTCTGACGGGCTTCCCTGTATGGGTAACCTGACCTTTCTCTCTGGCTGCCCTTAACATTTTTTCCTTCATTTCAACTTTGGTGAATCTGACAATTATGCATCTTGTGGTTGCTCTTCTTAAGGAGTATCTTTGTGGTGTTCTCTGCATTTCCTGAATTTGAATGTTGGCCTGCCTTGCTAGGTTGGGGAAGTTCTCCTGGATAATATCCTGCAGAGTGTTTTCCAACTTGGTTCCATTCTCTCTGTCACTTTCAGGTACACCAATCAGACATAGATTTGGTCTTTTCACATAGTCCCATATTTCTTGGAGGCTTTGTTTGTATCTTTTTATTCTTTTTTCTCTAAACTTCTCTTCTTGCTTCATTTCATTAATTTGATCTTCAATCACTGATACCCTTTCTTCCACTTGATCGAATCAGTTACTGAAGCTTGTGCATGTGTCACATAGTTCTCATGCCATGGTTTTCAGCTCCATCAGGTCATTTAAGGTCTTCTCTACACTGTTTCTTCTAGTTAGCCATTAGTCTAATCTTTTTTCAAGGTTTTTAGCTTCCTTGCGATGGGTTCAAACACCCTCCTTTAGCTCAGAGAAGTTTGTTATTACTGACCTTCTGAAGCCTACTTCTGTCAACTCATCAAAGTCATTCTCTGTGCAGCTTTGTTCCATTGCTGAAGATGAGCTGTGATCCTTTGGAGGAGAAGGGTCCTCTGGTTTTTACAATTATCAGTTTTTCTGCTCTCGTTTCTCCCCATCTTTGTGGTTTTATCTACCTTTGGTCTGTGATGATGGTTACCTACAGATGGGGTTTTGGTGTGGATGTCCTTTTTGTTGCTGTTGATGCTATTCCTTTCTGTTTGTTAGTTTTCCTTCTAACAGTCAGGTCCCTCACCTGCAGGTCTGTTGGAGTTTGCTGGAGGTCCACTCCAGACCCTGTTTGCCTGGGTATCACCAGCGGAGGCTGCAGAACAGCAAATATTGCTGCCTGATCCTTCCTCTGGAAGCTTCATCTCAGAGGGGCACCTGGCTATATGAGGTGTCAGTCAGCCCCTACTGGGAGGTGTCTCCCAGTTAGGCTACTCGGGGGTCAAGGACCCACTTGAGGAGGTAGTCTGTCCGTTCTCAGAGCTCAAACACCATGCTGGGAGAACCACTGCTCTCTTCAGAGCTGTCAGACAGGGATGTTTAAGTCTGTAGAAGTTTCTGCTGCCTTTTGTTCAGCTATGCCCTGCCCCCGGAGGTGGAGTCTACAGAGGCAGGCAGGCCTCCTTGAACTGCAGTGGGCTCCACCCAGTTTGAGCTTCCTGGCTGCTTTGTTTACCTACTCAAGACTCAGCAATTGCGGATAATCCTCCCCCAGCCAGGCTACCGCCTCGCAGTTCAATTTCGGACTGCTGCGCTAGCAGTGACCAAGGCTCTGTGAGCATGGGACCCGCTGTGCCAGGTGCGGAATATAATCTCCTGGTGTGCCCTTTTCTAAGACCTTTGGAAAAGCGCAGTATTTGGGTGGCAATGTCCCGATTTTCCAGGTACAGTCTGTCACGGCCTCCCTTCGCTAAGAAATGGAAATCCCCCAACCCCTCGTGCTTCCCGGGTGAGGAAATGCCCCGCCCTGCTTTGGCTCACCCTCCGTGGGCTGCACCCACTGTCCAACCAGTCCCAGTGAGATGAACAAGGTACCTCAGTTGGAAATGCAGAAATCATACCATCTTCTGTATCAATCACGATGGGAGCTGCAGACTGGAGCTGTTTCTATTCAGCCATCTTGGAAAGGACCTTAATGCAGGGTAATGTCTTAAAGGAAATGAGAAGTTTTAAGAGATGGGCTAGTGGCTGTAACTTACATGGAAGAGGTTATGAAAGGACGATAGAATGGAATGATTCTGTGAAGCTGGAAGGAGATATTTTCCTTGGTCTAAGAACCATTTGCCTTGAGTGGGGAGGGATTGATAGGTGGAAACTTCTGTGGAAGAGTAAGTAGATGTGACTGATGAGAAGGAGAAAAGCTGGCCATGAGGGACAGAAGTAGGAATACTGGTTGCTCCTTTAGCTGTCTTATCAGCATAATTGTTGCCTTGAGCAATGGGGTCTGAGGCCCTTTGATGGCTTTTGCATCAGTATAAATATTGATGCATAGTCCCTTTGCAGGAGTGAAGGCCCAAGTTAGGGCAATGAGTTTGGCTTGCTGAGAGGTAGTGGAGGGGGGCAGAGTGGTAGCCTCAATGATAGATGTGGAAGATACTACAGCATAGCCTGCCTTTGCTGGTGAGTGGCGATTAGGCCTGGTGGAACTGCCATCAATAAACCAAGTGTGATCGGGGTGAGGAACAGGAAATAAAGAAATATGGGGAAATGGAGTGAATGTCAGGTGGATCAGAGAGATACAGTCATGGGGGTCAGGTGTGGTATCAGGAATAATGTGGGGGCCAGCCTAAAACAGTAAGGTCAAGTTGTTTGGATAGAAAGGCTACAGGGCATGGTCCCAGCTCTTGTGTAAGAATTCCGACCGCACAGCCCTGCACTTCGACTGTGTGTAATGAAAAAGGGTTGGGATGAGTTAGGGAGAGCTAGTGTGGGAGCAGCTTCTAGGGCTGTTTTTAAGGAATGGAAAGAGGAGTGGGGAAAGGATTTAGGATCTATGTGGTCAGCTAGGTTTTATTTTGTGAAATTATGTAATGGTTTAGTCAGGATGGCAAAACCAGCTATCCAAAGGCGAAAGTACCTAACCATGCCTAGGGAAGAAAGGAGTTGTTGCTTTGTAGAAGGGGTTGCGGTTTGGGAGATTAGCTGGACATGATCAGCAGGGAGAGCACATGTGTTTTTATGAAGAATTATGCTGAGATATGTAATGGATGAGGAAGAAATTTGGGCTTTGGAGGGAGATATGCAATATCCTTTGGAGAATAAATGTTGAAGGAGCAGGAGGGTATGTTGTTGAGAAGACTCAAAGGAGATACTACAGAGTAGAAGGTCATCAATATATTGAATAAGGTGAGAAGCAGAGGGGTGGAAAGAAAGTAAATCATGAGAAAAAGCTTGGCTGAAGTAATGAGGGCTGTCCTGGAAGCCTTGTGGCAGTACAGCCGAGGTAAGCTTCTGGGACTGATGGGTATCAGGGTCAATCCAGGTGAAAGCAAAGAGAGGCTGAGATCAGGGGTGCAGGGGAATAGTGAAAAAGCATATTAAGATCAAGAATGGAATAGTGAGTTGTGGATGGAGGTATTGAGGACAGAATAGTGTACGGGTTGGGCACCACAGGGTGGATAGGCAAAACAATTTGGTTGATAAGGTGCAGATCCTGAACAAACCTATAAGACTTGTCTGGGTTTTGGACAGTAAAATGGGGGAATTGTAAGGAGATTTTGTAGGCTTTAGAAGCCCATGCTGTAGTAGGCGAGTGATAACAGGCTTTAACCCCCTTAAAGCATGCTGTGGGATGGGATACTGGCATTGAGTCGGGTAAGGGTAATTAGGTTTTAACGGGATAGTAATGGGCATGTGATCAGTTGCCAGGGAGGGAGTAAAGGTGTCCCATACCTGTGGGTTAAGGTTGGGGGATACAAGAGGAAGATGTGAAGGAGGCTTTGGGTTGGGAAGAAGGGCAGCAATGAGATGTGGCTGTAGTCCAGGAATAATCAGGGTAGTGGATAATTTTGTTAAAACATTTCCACCTAATAAGGGAACTGGGCACGTGAGGATAACTAAAAAGGAGTGCATAAAAGAATGTTGTCCAAGTTGGCACCAAAGTTGGGGAGTTTTAAGAGGTTTAGAAGCCTGGCCGTCAATACCCAGAACAGTTGTGGAGGCAAGGGAAACAGGCTCTTGAAAAGAAGGTAATGTGGAGTGGGTAGCCTCCGTATTGATTAAGAAGGAGATGACGGACTTACCCTCCACTGTAAGAGTTACCCAAAGTGTCTGTGATGATCCAGAAGGCTTCTGAGGCGATCAGGCAGTAGTAATCTTCAGCCGCTAAGCCGAGAAGATCTGAGAAAGAGTCAGTCAGAGAGCCTTGAGCTAGAGTTCCAGGGACTCTGGGAGTGGCTGCTGGGTGAGTTGGACAGTCCAATTTCCAATGGGGTCCCACAAAGATGGGACTTGGCTTAGGAGGAATCCTGGGCTGCGGGCATTCCTTGGCCCAGTGGCCAGATTTTTGGCACTTGAAGCAAGATCCTTGAGGAGGAGATCCTTGAGGAATGCCTGACCACTGCAGTTTAGGTGTTTTGAAGTTCTTGTGTGCTGGAGATGTAGCTGGGATTTCTCTCACAGCAGAGGCACATAATTGCAACTCAGAAATATGTTACCGTTTGGCTGCCTTTTTTTTTTATTATTGTATACATTGAAGGTGAGGTTAATGAAGTCCTGTTGTGGAGTTTGAGGGCCAGAATCCAATTTTTGGAGCTTTTTCTAATGTCAGGAGCAGATTGAATAATAAAATGCATATTGAGAATAAGACAGCCTTCTGGCCTCTCTGGGTCTAGGACAGTAAAGCATCTAAGGGGTTGTTGCCAAATGGGCCATGAACTGGGCTGGGTTTTTATATTTTATGAAATAGAGCCTAAATTCTAACTGATTTGGGAGAGGTCAGATGAAGAAAAAGGAGCATTAACTTTGACTATGCCTTCAGCTCCAGCCACCTCTCTAAGAGGAAATTGTTGGGCAGGTGGGGGATGGCTAGTCATGGAACGAAACTGTAAGCCAGACCGGGTGTGAGGAGGGGAGGTGATAGAAGGATTATAGGGTGGGGGAGCGGAGGTTGAGGAAGAATTGGGACCTGGCTTGGCCTGGCAAGGAGCAGCCCGGGAAGGAGGGGAGAGGTCGGATGGGTCCGTAGAAAAGGAGGATTTAAAGGACTCAGAGCTTGGGGTGGAGACTGAAGGAACAGACAGGAGAGAAAGAAGAAAGATTTGGGATGAGTTGCATTGGGAGCAGAGACTAGGGAGGGACCAAGGTGTAAAAGAAATGTCTGGACATCAGGCACCTCAGATCATTTACCCATTTTTTGACAAAATTATCTAGATCTTGTAGGATGAAGAAATCAAAAGTGCTGTTTTCTGGCCATTTAGAGCCATTATCAAGTTTGTATTGGGGCCAAACGGTGTTGCAGAAGAAAAGAAGATGCTTAGGTTTTAGATCAGGTGAGAGTTGAAGAGGTTTCAAGTTTTTAAGAACACAGGCTAAGGGGGAAGAAGGAGGAATGGAGGGCAGAAGGTTGCCTATAGTAAAAAGTTAAGTTTAGGGAAAAGGGGAGTAGAGACATGGAGAGAGGGGGATGGTACTTGTCACCCAGAGGAGGTAGTCCTTGCCACCAAAGTGGAGGATCAAGGCAGGCATCCCTGTGGTGATCGAACACCTCTGGAATGATGGTGAATAATCAGGCAGGCATCCCCACAGTGATTAGACACCAAGGGAAGACTGTCTTCCTGAGTCCATGACTAGAACCAGAGTTTTGGGTTCACAGATAAAATGTGTCTCCTCTATCTCTACCAGAAAAGGAAAGGAACTGAAATTAAGGGAAGGGAGAGATTGAAGGGTGGTGCTAAAAATGAAAGGAGAAAGAGGTTGAGGGATAGTGAGAGAGGTTGGAGAAGAGAGTAAAAAGAGGCCGCTTACCTGACTTAAAGTTGGTGAGGTGTTTCTTGGGCCAGTCTGAAGACCTGAGGTCATAGGTGGATGTTCTCACGGAGCAAAGAGCAGGAAGACAGGGGATTGATCTCCCAAGGGAGGTACCCCAATCTGAGTCATGGCACTAAATGTCAAGCATGTCTGTGTGAAGAGAGTCCACCAACAGGCTTTGTGTGAGCAACAAGGCTGTATTTCACTTGGGGGCAAGTGGACTGAGTCCAGAAAGAGCATCAGCAAAGGGAGATGGGGTGGGGTAGTTTTATAGGACTGGGGTAAGCAGTGGAAAGTTACAGTTAAAGGTGGTTATCTATTGTCAGCAGAGGAGGGGGTCACAAGCTGCATGGTGGGGAGATCATGAGAATCATTTTCCAGAAGAAGAATGTCATGAGGTCGATCGATCAGTTGGGACAGGGCAGGAACAAGTCATAATGGAATGTCGTAAGGTTGGTCAATCAGTTAAGACAGGAGCTGGCTGTTTCACTTCTTTTGTAGTTTTGGGTTGCCCCAGACTTCTTGGCTCCTGCAGGCCACCTGGATGTATATGTGCAGGTTACCGGGATTACAATGGCTGAACTTTGGCTCAGAAGCCTGACAGTGAGTAAGTTTAATGAGGTGAGGAATCCTCTTGGGCTGACTTGTAGACCTATGCCCAACTTTAGCATTAAATCCTTCCCCAGTAAATTAATTCCTGCTTCAGGGATTAACAAGAACTGAATATAAGTTGAGTGATCCTGGTATCTAACTTCTGTGCTTTATAATATTTTTGCTCTACATCCTTCCCCTTTAACCCCAGAGACTAAAAGTTCCTCTGAGGAGGAGACAACATTAGATGGGAGGAAACAAATAGAGGAGCGAGCAGCCCCTGAATCAACTAAAAAGATGATAAGCTCATGTTTAGGTCCCACCTCCAAATTTATCAAGGGCTCCTGGTGGGACTCAAGATAAAAGAGACAGAGCCCCTGAGCCCCCTATTCTTCCTTGAAAGTCATGAGTGGAAGGGCTTCTTTCTCCTTTCTTAGTTCAGGACATCTCTTGAAGTGGCCTGTTCTTCCACATCTATAGCACCTATCTTGTGCTTCCTCCCCTTAATTCTGGGATTCTTTAACCTTGCTCCCCCATACTCTTTAGGGGGGCTGGTAGACAAGGACCTTTATCCTCCAGATGGAGGCTGGGATCCTTTAAAAGAGGTTCGGACCCTTTATAGTTTCTGGCTCCCTGGAAGCTCTGTCTAGAAGTACCTGGGTTTGGAGCCATCTGTTGGAAGGTGAAAACCTAAGTTTTGTCTTTTCTTTCTGTTTTTCTTCATCCTTTTTCATGTATACTTTCTGAGCTTCCCTGAGAAACTCATTTAGGGGGCAGTCTTCCCAATTGTCTATCTTTCGTAACTTTTTTGAAATGTCTGGCCAACTTTTAGTGACAAATTGGAGTTTTGACATTCCTTGCCCAAGGGGATCATCCAAACTGAGGCCTGCAGATTGCCTCATTTACTCCCTCAGTCTGTCTAGGCATCTCACAGGCACTTCATCCTTTTCCTGTTATATATCAAGTGCTTTAGAAAGATTTTGGGTTTGGGGTACTGATTCCCAAATTCCTTTTATTATCATCTCCCTTAGGTCCTGCATATTTTCCTGGTGATCTGCATTGTTATTGTCCCACCAGGGGTCTCGGGCAGGGAATTTCTCGTCCGTGGTAGGAACATTTTCACTGGGAGGGTCCTCACATTCCCAAACTACCATAGCAGCCCTAAGAATTATACTCCTTTCTTCCCCTGAAAAGAGGATGCCCAAGATGAACATTAACTCGACCCAGGTATATAACTGAGGTCCTAAGAATTGGTCAATTTGGTCTGCCACTCCATAAGGGTTATCTAGTAGTGGTTTAAGCTCCTTTTAAAAATTCCAGACTTCTGAACTGGTTAAGGGAGCATTTACAAAGCCAACGGCCCCCCCTCCTTGTGGTACCTCTTTCAAAGGGAAGAAGGTCGGGGCTGACCTCTTAGGTACAGAGGGAAATGGGAAATTCTGAATATCTTTTTTATATTGTTCTACCTCATGCTGGAGTCCTTTTAGAGAGGGGTATTTAGATTGGGAGGGAACAGGCTGGTGGGATGGTAATTACCAAGAGTCAGGGTTATAAGGAGGAGGGATAACATGAGTAGAGGGGGAATTTGGAACAGGATCTGAGGCAGCAGTGGCTGTCTGAGGGGAAAGATTGGGGACACTGAACAGGGGAAGGTAGTCTAGGGGATCCCATGTGCTGGAGTCTTTATGCATGAGAGCTGGCTCCTCTGACTTTTCATTTTGAGGTGCCAGATTGGGTTCTTCCTTATTTGTTTTTAAGGGAGAAAGGAGGGCAGGTCCTTGCCTCCAACAAAGGGCATAGCCTAGTTCTTCTTGAGATACTGGACTTTTATCATTAACATATCAGATTAGAAGCTGACACATTACATCCTCATTCGACCCAAACTTTGGCAAGAAGATTGAGGGTTTGAGGATGGGCCCCTGAGTCCAAATAAAACAGTAATATTTTATCATTTGTTGCTTTTTCCTATGTTTAGACCTTTCATTATCTTTCCAGTGTTTTCGCATGAGACCTAGGGGGCTATCCGGGGGAATATCTTTGTTACCATCTTTGTCCCCCTTGCTCCCTGTCTTGCTTGAGGGTATATCCCATCTTGATGGTTTTGGGGTAACGTTCAAGGTTCAATTTGCCTTACTGGAATTTTCTCACCTTTTGGGGTGAGGCTTAATTTCTCCAGCTGTAAATTTCTTGCCTTTTGGGGTGAAGCTCAATTTCCCCCACTGGAAATTTCTTGCCTTTTTGGGGTGAGGCTCAATTTCCCCCACTGTAAATCTCTTGCCTATTCTACTACTGGAGGTTTGTGTGAGGTTCAATCCCCCCCAGTAGGGATGTCTCACCTCTTTTTAACCTCTAAGCCACCCTGACCAAGGAGTACTTCACCATCCCTGCTGCGGTTTTCTTGGTCCCAACCACCAAGGAAATACTTTACCGGCTCCCACGACTTCTCCTTCCTTGGTCTGTGCACAGAGTCATTGCTGCAGTATGTGAGGATCCTTTAAACTAGGTTGCTGGCCAGTTCATTTTTTTTCACGTTGCTGAGAGCTTGGGTTATTCCTTGCACTGGGTAGGTTCTGATTTCTCACCCCTGAGGCTGCCACAAGGGGCAGGGTGCACACCTCCTCATGAAAGAGAACCAGAGACCATCCCCAGAGGGGAATGTAATCCCAGATGAGCCCCCAAATTGTTATAAATAAAGGTTCAGTGCCGCAAAAGAAATAATACTCAAATATAAAATTTTCTTTTTAATTCTCAGCAAGGCAAAGTACTTCTACAGAAAGGTGTGCCCTTACAGATGGAGCAATGGTGAGTGCATACTCAACAAGGGAGGGAAAGGGGTTCTTATTCCTGACGCATGTGGTCCCTACTCCTGTGTGGTTCCCCTATTGGCTAGGGTTAGACCACACAGGCTAAACTAATTCTGATTGACTAAGTTAAAGAGAGTGATGGGGTGAGTGGTTTGGGGGGAAAAATGATGATGAAATGAGACAGGATGGAGAATGAATCAGAATGAGTCAGGGTGGAGAATGAGTCAGGGTGGAGTAGGTAATCAGAATGAGTCAAGGTGGAGAATGAGTCAGGTTGCTGTAGGTAAGCAGAAAAGGTTGCTTTACGAGGAAGTTACGTTTAAAAGTAGAAGGCAAAGAATTGAACATACAGACATATTAATTCTTTGAAGAGAAATTTAGAATTCATATTTAACAATCTCAGTTGAATTAAAAAAAGCAGTCTCTGGATTCTATGAAATATTAATATATAATAGTAGATTATAACAGGCTACACAAATGTCAGCTATGGCCCATGCAATTTAGGGCAAAGTATACATATATTTACTATACAAGGGACTGCTAGTTTTTTGAGCCATGATTTCACACAAGCACAGTAAAGCCAATGTCATACCTGAATCTGCATTTTAAGACATGTTAAAAGATATTTTTTATGTATTGTTTCTAAATTTAATGCCAAATATATTATTGGTTAAGCGTTATAGATGCTATACCTCTATGGAGGTGCTTGTGTGTGACCTCTGCTGTCCAATAAGGTTAAGAACTAGCTACACGTAGCTATTGAGCACTGGAAAGGTGGCTAGCCCAAAGTGAGATGTGTTGTCAATGTAAAATATACACCAGATTTTAAAGACTTGATAAAAAAAATTATGTCATTAATAATTTTTATATTGATTACATTATAATGATAATATTTTAGCTATACTGGGTTAAATATTTTGTTAAAATTAAATTTATCTGTTTCTTAAGAGGTTTTAAATGTGGCTATTAGAAAATGTGAAATTATACATGTAGCTCACATTTATGGCTCCTTTCTGTGCTAGAAAATAGGATTGCATAATTGGAAGATATAGACTGTCCTCAAAGAGTGCATAGTCTAAAGAGTGGAAGAGAGGGAAGGAGAGGAAAAAAATAACAGCAAGGGGCTGGGTTTCATACTACAACTCAAAAGCAAAAAGTAAAAAGGCACCAATCTTTATTTTTTTGTAAGGAGTCTACACTTCACAGCCTCTATCTCACTAAATAATGGGAAGAAGGGGGTGGTGTGGGAAGATCCTCAAATTTGCTAATTAAAGGTATTTCCATCTTTCTGGTTTAGACAGCCTTATTTTGCCTAAATATTCAGTCAATTCAAAATTTAACTCCCTGTCAGGGCTGTTTCTCCTCCAGCCTTCTATGTGGCAGGATGACATCTGGGTTTTTTTTTTTTTTTTTTTTTTTTTTGAGATGGAGCCTTGCTCTGTCGCTCAGGCTGGAGTGCAGTGACATGATCTTGGCACACTGCAACCTCCACCTCCTGGGTTCAGGCAATTCCCCTGCCTCAGCCTCCTGAGTAGCTGGGATTACAGGCGCACGCCACCATGCCCAGCTAATTTTTAGTAGAGATGGGGTTTCTCCATGTTGGTCAGGCTGGTCTCGAACTCCTGACTTTGTGATCCACCTGCTTCAGCCTCCCAAAGTGCTGGGATTACAGGAGCCAGCCACCATGCCCTGCTGACATCTGGGTTTTATGGAACTTACTGGGTTGATGTTATATCAGAAGAGGGGGCTCGGCCCTACATGTGGGTTTTTGTACTGGCCCTCTGTGGACCAGGCCCCTGTTTTGGCTTTCTCTGTGCTGCACAATCCTAAGGCTCACCAGAGCTTTCATTTGATGCCCTCATCTGCCCTATAACAGCCCTCAGCTACTGGCTTACTGAGCCCCCTTTGCAGCAAAATTCCTAAATCCTGCCAACCAGAATTTCATCTGTCTCCTTTCCTCTGTCTGACATGAAGAGCTTACGTAGTCCTTCCATGCCACTCAGGGGCTGAGGGAGGCTCAGGGCCCTGTGGATTCCTGACTGCACAAGGACACTAGTTCTACTCCACTGCTATGCTCCAAGACAGGCTTGTAGTTCCCAAGAAGATATTCTCCTCTCTCCAGGTCCCTGGAAAGTTTTTAATGAGAAATGGATTGAAAACTCCATTGATTTAGCATTCTTACTGACAACCCAGTATTGTTTCCAACCTGCTATCTTCTTGGGTTTTACCTCTTTTCCTTCTTCTTTCCCATTTCACCCCTAAAAGCTTTACTACCATGGAAGGATGCATAAAAAGTATTTTTAAAATAGCACAATTAGCAATTACAATATAGTTCAGGTGCTATACAAAGAAACATGCCCAAAGGATAATGGAATTCAAAGATGTATCTAATTCAGCCTAGGGGTAAAGAAAAGCTTCCCTGAGCAGATTCATAAATCTTTATTGAACACTACAGTGTACCAGGCACTGTTCTAGGTTCAGAGATTATATGTGGTGAAAAAGAAAGATACAATTTCTGATCCAGTGTAGCTTAGTGGTGGAAGGCAGAACATTATGTAAGAAAAATAATAAATGAGCTCTTCAGGTAGTGATGATCCTATGAATAAAATAATGCAACTAATGAGATAGCAGATGACTGTGGGGTAAATATGTGCATGAGGTGGTTAGGAAAGATCTCTCTGAAATAGTGACACTTAAGCTGAGACTTGAAGGATGAGAAGCAGCCAGTCTATGAAGCTCTGTGGGCAGAATGATGCAAGAGAAGGGAACAGCATGGGTAAAGTCCCTGAGACAGGAACAGGCTTGGCCTATTTGAAGAACAGGAAATAAAGATCCATGTGTCTGAGCTGAATTTTGAATGACTAACAGGAGTTATCTGGGTTGTGGACCAAGGGACAGGAAGAAGAGGACAGGGACGGGAAGTCATTTTAGAGAAGGGGATCCATAAACTGCACAAAGTGGGAACTGAAACTTTATTCAAGAATAATAAAGTGGCCAGGCACAATGGCTCATGCTTGTAATCCCAGCAGTTTGGGAGGCTGAGGTGGGAGGATCATTTTCACTGGAGGCCAGGAGTTTGAGGCCAGCCTGGCATGTGAGACCCCATTTCTTGGGAAAAAAAAAAAGAGTAATAAAGTTGAAGCTGTTGTAACAGTGCAATCTCCCTTGTCCTAGAGTAGGTTGCAATGTTTTTTTCTGTACCATTGGGAAGTAAAGGAATGAGTTCAATGGAGTGTTCTTCCCTCACTAGGATCCTAAGTTTCTTAGTTACCTGCTAACTTGTAAATATTTGAATAATAGCTACCATTTTATTGAGCACCTACTATTTTCTAGGTGTCTTAGGAATATTATCCTACCCACCATCCTCCAAGTAGATATCATTCCCAATTTACAGTTGAAGAACCAAGCCTCAAAGAGCTTAAGTAATTTGCCCACAGTAAATGGCAAAGCTGGGTTTTAAACCCAGGTCTGTGCCAAAATTCATGCTCTTTCCACTATTCTATGTACCATAAAAAACACAATTATGTCCAGAGATTAGAAAGGAAAGATGGGTAGCTTCACCTGAGAGGCCTCAGAGGACAGAACTCATTTCCTTGAGGAAGTGAATATGCTCAATGATTTAGTGCTTGGCTTTGTGGGCTCAGAAACAAACTCATATCAACCAAGCTTATGATGCTTATTATGATTGGATCAGAAATCAAATATGATTTCCTGGAAAAGTATAGACAAATAAAATATGTAATCAAGAATGTAGAATGTCGATTTACAAGCAGGTTTTAAAAAGCACTTTTTAGGGCCAGGCATGGTGGCTCACACCTGTAATCTCAGCATTTTGGGAGGTCAAGGCGGCAGATCATCTGAGGTCAGGAGTTCGAGACCATCCGGCCAACATGGTGAAACTCCGTCTCTACTAAAAAAATACAAAAATTAGCCAAGTGTGGTGGCAGGCGCCTGTAATCCCAGCTACTTGGGAGGCTGAGGCATGAGAATTGCTTGAACCCAGGAGGCGGAGGTTGCAGTGAGCTGAGAGTGTGCCATTGCATTCCAGCCTGGGTAACAAGAGCGAAACTCTGTCTCAAAAAAAAAAAGCACTTTTTAAAGATATTCTTGACACATGCAGTTATGTTCTAAGATTAATAATGTGTTCCTGTATGTGGAAAAAAGTGCAGGAGTTCTAACTCTGGTGGCTTCTAGCCTAGCAAACTAAATGCTACTATGCAAAAGTCTTTTTATAATATTAATTTTTTTTATATTCTAACCTAACCTCGCTTTCAAAATGAGTCACAAATTGTAGCAAATATTAAGATAAATAATAACTAAGGGGCAACATGCCAAGAACTATCAACATTGTTACCAAAGCTGAATACTAAAGAAAAAGTGGGGGGTAGGAAATGGAAAGTTTGGTTGCCATTTTGAATATTGGCTTGAGCCACAGTTTCTGAGCTGAGAAAAGGATTCTAAATCCCCGCACCCACATATTGAATACTTCTAGTTTTAAAAGGTAAAATGAATCATTTGTTGAGGGGTGGAGCCAAGATGGCCGAATAGGAACAGCTCCAGTCTACAGCTCCCAGTGTCAGCGACGCAGAAGACGAATGATTTCTGCATTTCCAACTGAGGTACTGGTTGCATCTCACTGGGGATTATTGGACAGTGGGTACAGGATAGTGGGTGCAGTGCACTGAGCCTGAGCCAAAGCAGGGCGAGGCACTGCCGCACCCGGGAAGTGCAAGGGGTCAGGGAATTCCTTTTTCTAGCCAAGGAAAGGGGTGATGGATGACACCTGGTAAATTGGGTCACTCCCACCCTAATACTGTGCTTTTCTGATGGCCTTAGCAAATGGCACACCAGGAGATTATATCCTGTGCCTGGCTCAGAGGGGCCTATGCCCCCGGAGACTCGCTCATTGCTAGCACAGCAGTCTGAGATCAGACTGCAAGGCAGCAGTGAGGCTGGCGGGGGGGAGCCCGCCATTGCCGAAGGTTGAGTAGGTAAACAAAGCAACCAGGAAGCTCAAACTGGGTGGAGCACACTGCAGCTCAAGGAGGCCTGCCTGCCTCTGTAGACTCCACCTCTGGGGGCAGGGCATAGCTAAACAAAAGGCAGCAGAAACCTCTGCAGACTTAAATGTCTCTGTCCGACAGCTTTGAAGAGAGTAGTGGTTCTCCCAGCACGCAGCTTGAGATCTGAGAATGGACAGACTGCCTCCTCAAGTGGGTCCCTGACCCCCAAGTAGCCTAACTGGGAGGCACCCCCTAGTAGGGGCAGCCTGACACTTCACATGGCCGGTTACTCCTCTGAGACAAAACTTACAGAGGAACAATCAGGCAGCAACATTTGCTGTTCACCAATACCCGCTGTTCTGCAGCCTCCGCTGCTGATACCCAGGCAAACAGGGTCTGGAGTGGACCTCTGGCAAACTCCAACAGACCTGCAGCTAAGGGTCCTGACTGTTAGAAGAAAAACTAACAAACAGAAAGGACATCCACACCAAAACCCCATCTGTACGTCACCATCATCAAAGACCAAAGGTAGACAAAACCACGAAAATGGGGAGAAAACAGAGCAGAAAAACTGACAAATCTAAAAATCAGAGTGCCTCTCCTCCAAAGGAACGCAGCTCCTCACCAGCAATGGAACAGAGCTGGATGGAGAATGACTTTGACGAGTTGAGAGAAGAAGGCTTCAGACGATCAAACTACTCCGAGCTAAAGGAGGAAGTTCGAACCCATGGCAAAGAAGTTAAAAACCTTGAAAAAAGATTAGATGAATGGCTAACTAGAATAACCAATGCAGAGAAATCCGTAAAGGACCTAACAGAGCTGAAAACCACAGCACAAGAACTATGTGACGAATGCATAAGCCTCAGTAGCAGATCCGATCAACTGGAAGGAAGGGTATCAGTGATGGAAGATGAAATGAATGAAATGAAGTGAGAAGAGAAGTTTAGAGAAAAAAGAATAAAAAGAAATGAACAAAGCCTCCAAGAAATATGGGACTATGTGAAAAGACCAAATCTACGTCTGATTGGTGTACCTGAAAGTGATGGGGAGAATGGAACCAAGTTTGAAAACACTCTGCAGGATATTATCCAGGAGAACTTCCCCAATCTAGCAAGGCAGGCCAACGTTGAAATTCAGGAAATACGGAGAACACCACAAAGATACTCCTTGAGAAGAGCAACTCCAAGACACATAATTGTCAGATTCACCAAAGTTGAAATGAAAGAAAAAATGTTAAAGGCAGCCAGAGAGAAAGGTCGGGTTACCCACAAAGGGAAGCCCATCAGACTAAAAGCAGATGTCTCAGCAGAAACTCCACAAGCCAGAAGAGAGTGGGGGCCAATATTCAACATTCCTAAAGAAAAGAAAAGAATTTTCAATGCAGAATTTCATATCCAGCCAAACTAAGCTTCATAAGTGAAGGAGAAATAAAATCCTTTACAGACAAGCAAATGCTGAGAGATTTTGTCACCACCAGGCCTGCCCTAAAAGAGCTCCTGAAGGAAGTACTAAACATGGAAAGGAACAAATGGTACCAGCCACTGCAAAAACATGCCAAATTGTAAAGACCATCGAGGCTAGAAAGAAACTGCATCAACTAACGAGCAAAATAACCAGCTAACATCATAATGACAGGATCAAATTCACACATAACAATATTAACCTTAAATGTAAATGGGCTAACTGTTCCAATTAAAAGACTCAGACTGGCAAATTGGATAAAGAGTCAAGACCCATCAGTGTGCTGTATTCAGGAAACCCATCTCATATGCAGAGACACACATAGGCTCAAAATAAAGGGATGGAGGAAGATCTACCAAGCAAATGGAAAACAAAAAAAGGCAGTTGTTGCAATCCTAGTCTCTGATAAAACAGACTTTAAAACAACAAAGATCAAAAGAGACAAAGAAGGCCATTACATAATGGTAAAGGGATCAATGCAACAAGAAGAGCTAACTATCCTAAATATATATGCACCCAATACAGGAGCACCCAGATTCATAAAGCAAGTCCTTAGAGACCTACAAAGAGACTTAGACTCCCACACAATAATAACGGGAGACTTTAACACCCCACTGTCAATATTAGACAGATCAATGAGACAGAAAGTTAACAAGGATATCCAGGAATTGAACTCAGCTCTGCACCAAGCAGACCTAATAGACATCTACAGAACTCTCCACCCCAAATCAACAGAATATACATTCTTTTCAGCACCACACCACACCTATTCCAAAATTGACCACATAGTTGGAAGTAAAACACTCCCTAGAAAATGTAAAAGAACAGAAATTATAACAAACTGTCTCTCAGACAACAGTGCAATCAAACTAGAACTCAGGATTAAGAAACTCACTCAAAACCTCTCAACTACATGGAAACTGAACAACCTGCTCCTGAATGACTACTGGGTACATAACGAAATGAAGGCAGAAATAAAGATGTTCTTTGAAACCAATGAGACCATAGACACAACATACCAGAATATCTGGGACACATGTACAGCAGTGTGTAGAGGGAAATTTATAGCACTAAATGCCCACAAGAGAAAGCAGAAAAGATCTAAAATTGACACCCTAACATCACAATTAAAAGAACTAGAGAAGCAAGAGCAAATACATTCAAAATCTAGCAGAAGGCAAGAAATAACTACGATCAGAGCAGAACTGAAGGAAATAGAGACACAAAAAACCCTTCAAAAAATCAATGAATCCAGGAGCTGGTTTTTTGAAAAGATCAACAAAATTGAAAAACCGCTAGCAAGACTAATAAGAAGAGAGAGAAGAATCAAATAGATGCAATAAAAAATGATAAAGGGGATATCACCACCGATCCCACAGAAATACAAACTACCATCAGAGAATACTATAAACACCTCTATGCAAATAAAGTAGAAAATCTGGAAGAAATGGATAAATTCCTGGACACATACACCCTCCCAAGACTAAACCAGGTAAAAGTTGAATCTCTGAATAGACCAAAAACAGGCTCTGAAATTGAGGCAATAATTAATAGCTTACCAACCAAAAAAAGTCCAAGACCAGACAGATTCACAGTCGAATTCTACCAGAGGTACAAAGAGGAGCTGATACCATTCCTTCTGAAACTAGAAGCATTCCCTTTGAAAACTGGCATAAGACAGGGATGCCCTCTCTCACCCTCCTATTCATCATAGTGTTGGAAGTTCTGGCCAGGGCAATTAGGCAGGAGAAAGAAATAAAGAGTATTCAATTAGGAAAAGAGGAAGTCAAATTGTCCCTGTCTGCAGACGACATGATTGTATATTTAGAAAACCCCATTGTCTCAGCCCCAAATCTCCTTAAGCTGATAAGCAACTTCAGCAAAGTCTCAGGATACAAAATCAATGTGCAAAAATCACAGGCATTCCTATACACCAATAACAGACAAATAGAGAGCCAAATCATGAGTGAACTCCCATTCACAATTGCTTCAAAGAGAACAAAATACCTAGGAATCCAACTTACAAGGGATGTGAAGGACCTCTTCAAAGAGAACTACAAACCACTGCTCAATGAAATAAAAGAGGATACAAACAAATGGAAGAACATTCCATGCTCATGGATAGGATGAATCAATATCATGAAAATGGCCATACTGCCCAAGGTAATTTATAGCTTCAGTGCCATCCCCATGAAGCTACCAATGACTTTCTTCACAGAATTGGAAAAATCTACTTTAAACTTCATATGGAACCAAAAAGGAGACCACGTTGCCAAGACAATCCTAAGCAAAACAGAACAAAGCTGGTGGCATCATGCTACCTGACTTCAAACTATACTACAAGGCTACAGTAACCAAAACAGCATGGTACTGGTACCAAAACAGAGATATAGACCAATGGAACAGAACAGAGTCCTCAGAAATAATACCACACATCTACAACCATCTGATCTTTGACAAACCTGACAAAAATAAGAAATGGGGAAAGAATTCCCTATTTAATAAATGGTGCTGGGAAAACTGGCTAGCCATAAGTAGAAAGCTGAAACTGGATCCCTTCCTTACACCTTATACAAAAATTAATTCAATATGGATTAAAGATATAAATGTTAGACCTAAAACCATAAAAAGCCTAGAAGAAAACCTAGGCAATACCATTCAGCCATAGGCATGGGCAAGGACTTCATGTCTAAAACACCAAAAGCAATGGCAACAAAAGCCAAAACTGACAAATGGGATCTAATTAAACTAAAGAGCTTCTGCAGAGCAAAAGAAACTACCATCAGAGTGAACAGACAACCTACAGAATGGGAGAAAATTTTTGCAATCTACTCATCTGACAAAGGGCTAATATCCAGAATCTACAATGAACTCCAACAAATTTACAAGGAAAAAACAAACAACCCCATCAAAATTGGGCAAAGCATATGAACAAACACTTCTCAAAAGAAGACATTTATGTAGCCAAAAGACACAGGAAAAAATGCTCATAATCACTGGCCATCAGAGAAATGCAAATCAAAACCACAATGAGATACCATCTCACACCAGTTAGAATGGCGATCATTAAAAAGTCAGGAAACAACAGGTGCTGGAGAGGATGTGGAGAAATAGGAACACTTTTACACTGTTGGTGAGACTGTAAATTAGTTCAGCCATTGTGGAAGTCAGTGTAGTGATTCCTCAGGGATCTCATGGCACAGGTATACTTATGTAACTAACCTGCACATTGTGCACATGTACCCTAAAACTTAAAGTATATAAAAAAAAAAAAAGCTAAAGAGCTTCTGCACAGCAAAAGAAACTACCATCAGAGTGAACAGACAACCTACAGAATGGGAGAAAATTTTTGCAATGTACTCATCTGACAAAGGGTTAATATCCATAATCTACAATGAACTCCAACAAATTTATAAGAAAAAAACAAACAATCCCATCAAAAAGTGGGCGAAGGATATGAACAGACACTTCTCAAAAGAAGACATTTATGCAGCCAACAGACACAAGAAAAAATGCTCATCATCACTGGTCATCAGAGAAACGCAAATCAAAACCACAATGAGATACCATCTCACACCAGTTAGAATGGCAATCATTAAAAAGTCAGGAAACAACAGGTGCTGGAGAGGATGTGGAGAAATAGGAACACTTTTGCACTGTTGGTGGGACTGTAAACTAGTTCAACCATTGTGGAAGTCAGTGTGGCGATTCCTCAGGGATCTAGAACTAGAAATACTATTTGACCCAGCCATCCCATTACTGGTTATATACCCAAAGGACTATAAATCATGCTGCTATAAAGACACATACACACGTATGTTTATTGCTGCACTATTCACAGTAGCAAAGACTTGGAACCAACCCAAATGTCCAACAATGATAGACTGGATTAAGAACATGTGGCACATATACACCATGGAATACTATGCAGCCATAAAACATGATGAGTTCATGTCCTTTGTAGGGACATGGATGAAGCTGGAAACCATCATTCTCAGCAAACTATCGCAAGGACAAAAAACCAAACACCGCATATTCTCACTCATAGGTGGGAATTGAACAATGAGAACACATGGACACAAGAAGAGGAACATCACACACCGGGGCCTGTTGTGGGGTCAGGGGAGGGGGGAGGGATAGCATTAGGAGGTATACCTAATGTTAAATGACCAGTTAATGGATGCATCACACCAACATGGCACATGTATATATATGTAACAAACCTGCATGTTGTGCACATGTACCCTAAAACTTAAAGTATAATAAAAAATAATAAAAGGTAAAATGTATGATATAGTAAATATGAAAACTTTAATATTTCTTGATTTAGATATTTCTTTCTTGGTTCTTCTAGTTTAAATGAAGAAAAACATTTATTGTTGTATTAACCTTTTTGTTTTGTGGACTTTAATTCTTTAAAAGTAGAACTTTGTGTTTCATCTCTCTGCTGAATATGAAGGTGCTACAGGATACAAAATCGTGGGTTTAGGCATGACCTGTTTTGTTTGTTTTTTTCAGATGGAGTCTCACTTTGTCAGTCAGACTGGAGTGCAGTAGCACGATCTCAGCTCACGGCAACCTCTGCCTCTCGGGTTCAAGAGATTCTCTCAAGTAGCTGGTATTACAGGTGCCCGCCATCACACCTGGCTAATTTTTGTATTTTTAGTAGAGATGGGGTTTCCCCATGTTGGCCAGGCTGGTCTCAAACTCCTGATCTCAAGTGATCTGCCCCCCTTGGCCTCCCAAAGTGCTGGGATTACAGGCTGAGCCACCGCACCGGGCCGGCATGACCTGTTTTAATCCGTGCAAACATGTGGCTACTTGCACTAAAGCAACAAATAGTTGTAGTGCATATTTGCCCTTTTTTCTCTTGACTTCTTAGTATGTGGATCTCTTTTCTATATTTAGAGAATTCCCTATGAACATTTCTTGCTGTCTTCCTTCCACAATAAGAAGATGGGAGCAACAGATAATCACTTTCCCAGATCACCTAACAGTTGGAAAGAAAGCACATGACCTGGGTTCAGCCAGTCAGATGCATCTAAGTGGGACTTTGAATCTGAAGCTAGTGTTGGAAAGAAGCAAGCCAAGTGGACAGTTCTTTCTGACAATGGCTGCCATAGCTGCCCTGTCTGTTATCTAGGGGCAAAGGGCAAGAGAGTATTCAGGACCAGTGGTACAAGCCACAGCACCAGCATCCTGCAGAGGGAATAGGTCTTTCCTGACTGGCATGATTATGGCTGCTGTGCTGAATGACTAGCAACCCTTCCTTTCTGCCCATTTTCTAGACCTGGTTGTTCAGCCTTCTTAGAAATTCTGAGATGCCCAGTATCATTTTAATAAATCCTTTTTCTGCTTAAACCAGTCGGAATTGGTGTCTGATACAATGGCTGTCTAACTATGTCTAACTATGTCTATGGTTGCACCTTTTGAAATTTCCGTACCTAATTTATGTTAAAAAAAACCATACAAATGAATGAACAAAAATCCTTTTGTCATCTGCTGCCAAGGTGCTGAGTTCTTCCGAGGAAGCTAAAGCTGACTTGGAGTGAGGCCGTCACTTGATCTGACAATGAGCACCACTCCCAGCAGCATCAGCCCCGTACTCACCTGCACCATGGACTCTGTCTCTGAGCTCACCTGCATCTACTCAGGCCCCATTCTGCATGTTGAGGGTCTTATCTTATCATGGAAGATAAGATAAATGCCACCATTAAAGTAGCTGGTGGAAATGTTGAACCTTTCTGGCCTGGCTTGTTTGCAGAGGCCCTGGACAATGTCAACATCAGGAGCCTCATATGCGCTGGAGAGGCCAGTGGACCTGCTCCAGCACCTGGTGCTGCACCAGTGGGAGGTCCTGCTCCCTCCACCACTGCAGCCCAAGCTGAAGAGAGGGAAGTGGAATCAAAGAAAGAAGAATCCGAGGAGTCTGATGATGCATGGGCTTTGGTCTTTTTTGACAAAATCTCTTTTGTAACATGTTCAATAAAAAACCAAACTCTTAAAAAAAAAAAAAACACAACCTGTAATGTTATTTCGTGACCCATATAGGCACTAGGAGACTATGAACACGGGATTTTAACTGATACGTGTTATAATCCAACTATGCCTATGTCTTTTTTTATACATCCTTGTGAAATCCAGAAAAGTAATATGAAAATGGCATGGACCTTGTTGAAGGGAGTGGCACATAGAGAGCATCACTGTAAAATACTCCTGGCATCTCCATACCCACTTACTCTCTCCTTCTCCTAGAGGAAAGACTGATTTACCTAATTTAAGGGTTGGAAGAAGAAACCAGGAAGCTGTGGCCCCAGCCCATTCCCTTCCATCTTGGGAGCCACCACCAGACTGCATGAGCTGTGTTGACCTTACCATGTAGTAAGCTTGGAGTACCAGCCCTGCCCTTCTGAGCTTGTCCTGGTGCACCCTTGCCTGTGCCTGAGAGGGTGAGTCTGCAGTTCAGAGGTTCAGCATTAGGAAGCTCACTATACTGTACACACCTAGATCATGTCCTTTACCTTGACTCTTAGCAGGAATATAGGCAATACTTTAGTCTTACTCAGCAATCGTTTAAGAACTTGACAGGAGAAGAGGACAGTTTTTAAATGTAGCACTGGCAGACTCAAACAGATTTATACAAATTATTCCATTTGTACTTTCAAAGTAAAATTCTAGGCTGGGCGTGGTGGCTTACCGTGTAATCCCAGCACTTTGGGAGGCCCAGGGCGGGTGGATCGCTTGAGGCCAGGAGTTTAACAGCAGCCTGGCCAACACGGTGAAACCTTGTCTCTACTAAAAATACAAAAATTAGCCAGCCATGGTGGCATGCACCTGTAGTCCCAGCTACTCGGGAGGCTGAGGCAGGAGAATCACTTGAACCCAGGAGGTGGAGTTTGCAGTGAGCTAAGATTGCGCCATTGCACTCCAGCCTAGGTGACAGGGGGAGACTCCATCTCAAAAACAAAACAAAACAAAACAAAAAATAAAGTAAAATTCTAAAAATTTAATGTGTATCAAGTTTGCTACTTTTTTCTTCTTCTCTCCGTCTGAATCCAATCAGGAAAGAGGAAACACATAGTAATTTAAACAGGAAATGTTTAATATAAAGAATTAGGCACTAAATGATGAGATTGGTGTACCTACATTGAGTAGTCAAGAGAGAATTCTAAAGAATACAGGAATAGCAGATATAAAGAGCAGCCACTATCCCCAGGTCTCTTAGGTGAGATGGAGCATCCAAGGAAAAGCCCCCACACTGGGCTGAGAGCCAGACTTTGTTGGAGAGAACTTGGCTGTGGCTCACGGAAAGGCACAGAAGTCACTATGGTGGCATGTCCTCTGGAATTTGTGGAAATTTATCCTCCAGGGTGCTGGGGAAAATTGTTGGGGCTCACCAGAGGCGTTGGGCTACAAAGCTGCTCAAGACCGGGGGCTGGTGTTGAGAAGGGGAGTGCTGCTGGCCTCTGGGGGCTACTGCCTCGTCCCACACCCCACACACTAAACTCTTGCAGGAGCCTGCTGAGAGAAGCACAGGGAATCAGAAAGCAAAACCCCTTTTTCCCTCTTGCAATGTCTTTCTAGAACCCCTCCACTGACAAAGCTTAACATTGTGCCAGCTGGCAAAGGAAAATCCTTTGAAGATCCCAGAATTGTTTTCACAGTACAGGGAAATTAACAGAGTGAATTTGAAGCTGAGATGACACAAACCCATAACCAATACCCCTAGATATTGATTTGGCTTTATTTTATGGTGGTATTAAGTTAATTGTATCTTCTGACACTAATATCCACTTTTGAAAATTCAGAGTAATCCAGCACTGAAGTAGTGAATGTCCGTGCTTACCCAAAGGCCTCTTCCGGGAATCTGGAGTTGAATTTTTGTATTTTCTGTTGTTCCCATAAGGAATATTGAGATTTTTTTTCTTTTCCAATAGCTGCTTATGTACTCAGACGATACTGATAGGTTCTGCTAGATTTTTCAATCACTCTTTTATTTCCTTCCCAAGAAAATCTTGCTCCTGTTGTTTCCTCTCTTAGGCTTCCTATTCTTATGATTTTTTACAAAGTCCATGTACTATCATTTCAGTCAGTTTTCACAAGGGAGTAAATGTCAATGTATATTCAATTCATATTTTTACTTGGAAGTCTCTGTCCTGGTTTTAGGTGGCTCGTCTGCTAAAGGAGGTAGCCCACCTGCTCTTATCCTGAGAAACTGTTATCAGTCCATGCTGCCCCCAACTTCATAGAGCACATGTCACATTCTTAGGAGTCCCATGGAAGCCCCATTCCATTTGAGGGAAGGAAATCAAAGCATACCTCTCTCCAAAGAAAACTTCCTCACCTAACTTGTCTCTTGAGCACTCCTCTTTCAACTCACTCAGGGTTCAACCAGAGAAACCGAACCAACAGGAGATATATAGTCAAAGATTTACTGCAAGTAATTGACTTACACAGTTGTGGGGACTGGCTAGGCAGATCCTGAAAGCAAGCCATCAGGAACAGCAGGCTGGAGCTTCAGGCAACAGCTGCAGCTGCACTCCACATGTGGAATTGCTTTTTCTTCAGGGAAGTCTCAGCTTTGCTTTTCAAATCTTTTCAACTGGTTGAATCCAGCCCATCCAGATTATCTAGATAATGTCCCTAATGGCAACTGCTATGAACTTTATGTCTACCAAATTCCTTCTCAGCAACACCTAGATTAGTGTTTGATTGAATAACTGGGAATTGTAGAGTAGCCTAGCCAAGTCGACCCATAAAACTGACCATCACACCCTTATTATGAGTTGAGTGTTTTTAGAATTGTGAATCCAAACCAATGCTTGAGCATTTCCTTTGAAAATTTGCATCTCCAGCATTTCTTACAACAAATAATATTTTTCCAAAAAGTGACCCAGAAGTTGGAAGAAGCTCTTCACAAATATGATAGTGTTTAATGACTGGACATTGGATTGTGAACTTTTTTCAGTTCAAGGATAATTTCTACAGCAGAATAAAAACTGCTATCAAAGAGCTATTGCCAACTATCAATGGTGATACAAGGATGTTTTTTGTTCAACTGAAACCCAGCTGAATTTATAATTATGTAGGAAATAAACAGTTAATATGGTTATATAATAGAAACAGTACCACACATTGTAACTAAATTATACTATGTATGCCTACACTACCACTGTAACGTTTGGAATAATGATTATACTATTTGCCTTATTGCTTTTTGAAGTATGGGTATTTCAGTGCATACTTTGTAGACCTCAAAACCCATGAAGGGTCTCAAAGAAGCTGGCTGGATAAAAGCCTGCTGCGAATGCCTTTTTACTCTCATAGATTGGGATTACCTGAATTCAACCTACTCTCTGTTTACAAACTCCAACTAGAGCAGCTATGCGATCTTATGCCTTTAGACTCTTGGTTTTTCATTTCTCCCTGTCCCTCCCCGACCTTTTTAAAGTAAGCCACAGCTTTTCTGATTGAAAGAGTGAAAGGCCAGTGCATATAATGACAAACTGATGATAACCTCATATTGACAGTAGGGGGTGGGGTGGGGTGGGGTGGGGGTGGGGTGGGAGGATCAACTCTTATCAATTTGCACAGCAAGTATTATCTCCTGATAAGATGCTGGTAAATGCAGGGGAGTGAGACTCATTGCTCATCTTTGGATATGAAGTCTATTAGGGAAGAAATGGTGTCACTATTCCGTTAGATGCTACAGTAGCATAGCCTCTTCACCCAGGCATCCCAAAAGCTTGGCGAGAAGATTTCAGCAAACATGTCTTACAACATGAGGAGGAAGAGTCTAAATCAGTCAGGGGATAAAAGTACCGAATCATTGACAACACACACTCGGCTTTTAGTTCTTAGGAGGGTTTTGTTTTTGTTTTTAGCTTGAAGATTTTCTTTTAAAATTCAGTTTTTTTAAAAAAATGGATCTACACTGTTTAACTGATGGAGACTCCACTGTGATTCACTCGTTTACTTAAAAACATTTCAGGGATGTCTGTAAATTTCAGTGTTATATGTCATGAAAAGTGGTGTGGATTGATCTAAGGAGGGACCAGAAATAACTTTTGCTCTTCCAAATACTGAAGGAAAAAAGATAATTGATTTATACTGTGTTTTAAAAAAAAAGTATTGATAAGCCCCCCAGGACATTTAACCTTAAAATTTATTTTAAATATATTCTTTTATTATTATAAGGGAAATACAGATGGCTGATAAAATACCAAAAAGATGCAAAAGCAGCTTAATTTTAAAAGCACAAAGAGATTCTGGCTTTCAGTGCCACAATCTCAATGTTTTTATAGTTGCTGAATCACTAATGTGATTATTGAGTTTACAGATTTAAAAACTGTCACTGTTAAAGCATCTACTCTTTTTATGAAGTCAAATTTATGCTGCCTCAGCAATCCCTGGGTACTGACATGGTAACACGGAAGCAAAGAGGTCACTTTGAAATATTGGTGAGTCACGAAGATTAAAGAAAAGGATCAGTTTGCAGATACTCATAAAAAGAAAGGGTTATTGAAAGAATTACTGAACAGCACATTTACTCTCTAAAAAGTAGTTTCATATGGGTTGAATTTTTAAGATCAGATTATTATAATTTTGATATTTGGTCAAAATTTTGTACCTTAGGTTATTTAGAGCCAGATTTAACATCATGAATATTATGTGGCTTTGTCTTTACTACAGATATGTGGGACTGTAACCAGATATATTGTTCTCTAAAACTTGTTGATTGCAAAATATGGTTCTATACACAAAACCCATATGTATATATAAATGTTAATTTTGCAGAAGTTTGGAAATTATAACCATAGCATTTAAGTTTGAAGCTGTATTGGACAAATAAACACCATGTTTTTCAAATGATTTAAAGATTACTTTTATTTGCCTCTTAAAAAAAAAAGAAAGAAAATCTGCATCTCATCCTGACACTCACTTTGGAACTTTATACTTACCACACTAGGTTAATTTCCATATGTAGCATCTTGATGATCAGGATAAGAGAGTATTCCAGACTAATGGGCCTCCTGTTTGTAGAGTTTCCTGAAGTTCCTAGCTCACCTTCCTCTTGCTCCATAACTCACTGCTCAGGACATTTCCTGGCCTTCTTTGTTCTTTTAAGAACAAAGTTCTGCAGTTATGGCCTAACCCCTATGCATGTCTCATACCTCTTGGCTCACATTTAACCATTCTTTTGGCTATGCTTATGTTGTACTGCTTCAGCCTCACATTCTCATAGACCGCTTTGGATTTCCCAGTGTGTTCCCACCTCATTCAAGTGACATGCCTTCCTCCAATCTAGCTTATGTGCTCCCTCTACATTGTGGGTATAGGGTGGCTCTACCTTCTCACCATTCTGAACTGGAGAACAGCAAGCCAGTTAAAGTCCCACATCTTCTCTGCTAGTGGCACAAACCAGGCATTCCTCATTTCTTAGGGAATTAAATACCAAAGCTACAGCCATCCAAAGTCCTTTGTCCATAGTATCCTGGCCTATTCTTGCAGAATTTTCTTACCAAACCAAATTATTTGCTCTTCCTCAACTTCAATCTATATATTCCCACATTTCTGACTTGACTTTTGCTCTTCTGTCTAGAATGCCTTGCCACCCCATCTCTACCCACCAAAGTCTCACCCATCCTTCAAAACCCACTGCAAATGATACCCTGCCCATGAATCCTTTCTTGATATCTTTGACTGGATGTCATGTCACCTTTCTCACCACCTTATACCTCTTATGGCACATATACTACTCTTGCTTACATTATAGTTATTCCACATATTGGTGTTATTTCTCTCTCATCCCTACATTGGAAGCTCCTTGGGGACAGGTACTATTCTTGCTCATGTTTCTATTGTCTTCAGCATCTAGCACAATGCCTTGCCCAAAGTAGATGCTTAAATATTTTCTGAAATAAATGTAGTTGATCTGGGTAATTATTTCCCTAAAAATTATGTGTGATAAACTGCACATATAATCTCTAAAGCAGGAAACATGGCTTTGAGCCTGCCCTTTTCAACCTTACATTTTCCAGCTCTTGTCCTCTTCATCTTTAAAATGAGAGATTTTCCAATTACTTGCCACATTCTTAAGTTCTATGATTTTTCAATATCTAAAATAAGAATACTCCTTGTTTTCACAGTTCCAAAGTAATTTTACTCTGAGGAGAGACATGGTATTTTATCCAACTGTTTGAATTGCTGAGGTGATAGTAAGTAGGTGGGACTGGTACGACTGCCCTACCTGTCCTGCCCTGTCTTGCTTTGCCTGGGGCAGCTTGCCTACAAGAATGATTACAGGTGACATGTGAACAAATGAAGGGAAAGAAAAGAATTAAAGGGACCGAGCATGGTGGCTTATGCTTGTAATACCAGCACTTTGGGAGGCCAAGGCAAGTTGATTGCCTAAGTCCAGCAGTCCGAGACCAGCCTGGGCAACATGGTGGAACCCTGTCTCTACTAAAATACAAAAATTTAAAAATGTATAAAAATTGAAAATAAAAATACAAAAATCAGCCAGGCATTGTGGCATATGCTATGGTCCTCACTACTCGGGAGGCTGAGGTGGAAGGATCACCTGAGCCCAGGAGCCAGAGGTTGCAGTGAGCCATGATTATGCCATTGCACTCCAGCCTGGCTGACAGAGCCAGACCCTGTCTCAAAAAAAAAAAGAATTGAAGGTACTGTCTTGAAAAGAATTGGTGAACTGGCATTTCTAGGCCTTGAAGAAAGAGAGGGAGAATGTATCAATGAGTGAAATCAAAACAAAAAAGACTTCTAAGGGGATGTGAGAATTGGATTAAAGTATTCTTTGATTTTTTAAAAATACACTTTTAATTTTAGAGTAGTTCTAGGTTTACAGCAAAATTATGAATGTTATACGGGGTTCCCATACACTCCACACCCCGTTTCCCCAGTTGTTAATATCTTACATATGGTACATTTGTCATAACTAATGAACAAATACTGACACATTATCATTAACTAAATTCTATGCTTTTATTCAGATTTCCTCTGTTTTTACCCAGTCTTTTCTTTCTGTTCAGGACCCCATCCAGGATACCACATAACACCACATTATTATATCATCTTAGGCTGTGGCGATTTCTCAGGCTTTCCTTGTATTTGACGACCTTGGCAGTTTTGAGAAATGCTAGTCAACTATTTTGTAGAACGTTCCCCAACTGGGGTTTGTCCAATGTTTTTCTCATGGCAAGACTGGGGTTATAGATTTTCTGGAGGAAGACCACCGAGGTTAAAGTGCTATTCTCATTAAATCATACCAAGGGTACATACTATCAACATGACTTATTGCGGTTGATGTTAACCTTGATCATCTGACTAAGGCAATGTTTACCAGGGTTTTCCACTATAAAGTTACTCTTTTCCCACTTTCTATACTGTGCTCTTTAAAAGGGAATCACTATGCTCAGCCCACACTTTAAGGGCAGTATACCTCTGACATATTTATTTATTTACAGACAGGGGTCTTGATCTGTCACCCAGGGTGCAGTACAGCGGTATGATCAAGGCTCACTGAAGCCTTGAACTCCTAGGCTCCAGTGATCCTCCTGCCTCAGCCCTACCCTCCCTGCCCCTACCCCATGTAGCTGGGACTACAGGTACATGCCATCAAACCCAGGTTTTTTTTTTTTTTTTTTTGAGACAGTCTTTGTTGCCCAGGCTGGAGTGCAGTGGCACGATCTTGGCTCACTGCAACCTCTGCCTCCTGGGTTCAAGTGATTCTCCTGCCTCTGCCTCCCAAGTATCTGGGATTACAGGCATCTGCCACCACGCCTGGTGAATTTTTTGTATTTTTAGTAGAGATGGGATTTCACCATGTTAGTCAGGCTGGTCTTGAACTCCTGACCTCAGGTGTTCCACCCGCATCGGCCCCCCACCCCACTACCTGCCAAGTGCTGGGATTATAGGCATGAGCCACTGTGCCTGGCCTATTTTTTCTTTTTAGAGATGGATCTCACTATGTTGCCCAGGCTGGGATTACAGGTATGAGCCACCATGCCAAGCTGACTTTATTTTGTAATATCCCCCAGATTTATCTTGTTTTTCTCACAACCTCATTGTCACTCTGGCCTATCACCTCTCCTCCTCTCTTCCATTCCCTGATGTAGCAGGATTTCCCCTGTGACAGATGAATTCCTATGAAAAAAGCATACATTTCTCTCTACCTCCCTTCTATAGAAATATGGCATTAGTCAGCTACTACTGTAAAACAAACCACCCCAAAGCTCAATGATTTAAAACAGCAACATTTATTTGCTCACCTCTGCAGGTTAGCTAGGGGTCAGCTGATCCAGAGTGGGTTCAACTGAATGGCTCTGTTCAAAATATGGGTCTGGCCAGTTTAGATCTGTGCTGGGGTGTTTTCATTCTAGGACCCAGAATGGAAGGAGTTGCTACCCAGAGTGGAGGATTCTTATGGCAGTGGCAGAGTGCAAGAGGGCAAGCACCACTGCACAAATACTCTCCAAGCCCTCCTTTGCATCACATCTGCTAACATGCCAAAGTTAGTCATGTGGTCAAGTCCAAAGTCAAGGCGAGAAGAAATACACTCTGTTTTTGTGGGAGGAACTGCAAAGTCACTTGGCAAAGGGTGTGCATACAGGGAAGGACAAAAAATTGGGGCCAATGATTCAGTATACAGCAGACCATCGTAATAGATTCCAATTTCAGTGCAGGGAAGAACCAGTTCTTTGACACCATTCAGGATAGTGAAGCCAGTCAGAAAAGATTAAGAGTTGTTGTCATTGATCTTCTGCCATGGCATTGGGGAAGTAGGCTTGGTGGAAGGTGAAGCAGAATGGGAAAACAACAAAAGCAAAAACATGATCAAGCTCCCAAATTCTTCTCCTTATTTCCAAAAGTTGTGGTTATACTTTATTTTTTACTCTGTGTTCTTTCTCTTACTCTCTCCCACCCAGGTCTCTGATGTTCCTGAAAGAAAGGGGGGGAAAAAAAAGGGAAGGGGAGTGTAGGCTACAACATTTTCTCAAACTACTCCCAAATCCAATCTAAATCAATGAAACAGAAGCCAATTTCATGCTGTGAAAAAAATAACTGATGTGACTGCAAGACAGGGGCATGTTATTTTAATGCTCAATTAAGATATCTTGTAATTCCACCAAACTAACTGTCAAAAATTTCCTTTCTTCAGTGTGACACTCCCACCTCCACCCAGGGCCCAAGGGTATTGTCCCAGCTGTGCTCAGGGACAGGCCTTGTTTCTGCTGCCCTGTCACTACCTCAGCTATTAATGACCCACATTAACTTGCTGCTTTTAGAGGCACAGATGTCTTCTGTTCTATTAGTGACAGCCCCTAATGTCACCACTCACGCCTTGTGAAGATACAGCTCTCCTCTTAGCAATTCGTTCTGAAGCACAATACAGGCCCTTCCCCAACTTCCACAGCGTGGCTGAGGCAAAGCTGTAATATTTAATAAGTGCTCAAGTGTGTCAAAAGACAAATTACAAAAAATTTAGTTGAAATATCTTAATTGGCTTTTGTTTGGAATTCTAGAATCAGGCAACACCTCATTGTACAAAGTAGAATGAGTGTTGCCATGAGCTGAACAGAGGAAATTGGCTTTATAGACAGAAAAGGTCATAAAAAAGCAAAAACAGAGAACAAAAAGCAGATTGGTCATTTCAAAATTGCTTTCCTTATAAAGGTTAAAGCAGAGGGGACTTGCTTATGTCAGCCAAAACTGGCCTGTTTGAAGATTTGGCTATCTTTCTCTCTTCTCGTTTGTTGGAAGGTCAGATAAACAACTTAGTTTCCGTTTGGTGGAGTGGAACTTCAGCAAAAGTAACTTCATTTTGGTTTGATCTGTTGGACCTAGTGCAGAAGACCAGTCCAAACCATTGGTCTTCAATAAATTTTATCCAGCAACTGCTGGGAATTAGGTCTTCACCAAAACGGAGGTAATAGTTACTGAGCAACTCTTATGTCAAGCACTGTGCTTTATATTAAATCCTCACAATCTTTTAAGCAAATTTAAAAAATATATATTTACAGATAAACAAACCAATGTTAATTACAAGGATTTTAATCAAGGTCTGTCTGACCAAAATAGTCCCATACTTTTTCTACTAAAATCATTTTTGCAAAGATTATGACAGCAAGAGAGGTCTAGCATGACTGACTCTGTCTTGCTTCTAGCTTCACAGGCTGACTGTCCTCACTCACTCCTGGGCAAAAGCCAAGCTAACTATGAGAGGAATTTAGTTTACAGTTTAGTTATAAAGCCAGAATAATAATAATCCCTTCCTAAAACTGATCCCCTCCTTGTTCAGGGACTGAAACCATGTTTGTAAGACTAATGAAAGGCCACAAGATTAGGATTATGAAAGGGGCCTGAATTCTAATAAAATGTAGGTATAGCTAAATGATAAGCTCCTGAGACAAGCTCGGTTGTGGAGACCCTAACCCAGCGGTGCTAGAAGAATTAAGAGAAAGACACAGAAATATAGTACAGAGTCAGAATCAGGGGACTCATAGCCTTCAGAGCTGAGAACCCTGAACAGAGATTTACCCACATATTTATTAACAGCAAGCCAGGGATAAGTATTGTTTCTATAGATTATAGATTAAATAAAAGTACTCTTTATGGGAAACAAAGAGATGGGTCGAAATGAAAGGATGGGCTCTGGCTAGTTATCTGTAGCAGGAACATATCCTTAAGGCACAGATCTCTCGTGCTATTGTTTGTGGCTTAGTAACACCTTTAAGTGGTTTTCTGCCCTGGGTCGGGCAGGTGTTCCTTGCCCTCATTCTGGTAAACCCACAACCTTCAGTGTGGGTGTCATAGCCATCATGAACATGTCACAGTGCTGCAGAGATTTTGTTTATGGCCAGTTTTGGGGCCAGTTTATGGCCAGATTTGGGGGCCTGTTCCCAACAATAAGCAGCCATTGTTCCCCTAGATTGTTTTTCTATAATACTTTACTGCTCAGGAGTCATGTGGCCAGAGATCACAAGATTTGTAACTTCCTCAATTGCTCCTATACATAACATCAGTATTGTAAGACCTAAGACTGGTCTTTTGAGATTTTTTTCAGACTTTTGCATTCTGGCAACTGAATGACACCCCCCAGGCCTGTGACTCATGACTCAAAATCAGTCCCATGGCCCCCACCTAGAGGCAGATTCAATGCATGAGGACCATTTTCCACATCTCTATGATTTCATCCCCAACTAATCAGCAGCACCCATTCCCTAGTCCCCTGCCCACCAAATTATCCATAAAAACTCAGGATTCAGGGTTCTCAGGGAGGCTGATTTGAGTAATAATGAACTCCTGTCCTCCCACCTGGCTGGCCTTGTGTAAACTAAACTCTTTACTGCAATAATGCTGTCTCAGTGAACTGGTTTATCCATGCAGCAGATAGGAAGAACCCTTTGGGCAATTACACTACCGGGTAATCCTGCACAAATGAAAACTCAAATGTCAACATTGGCTTTAAGAAATAATATTCTCCCTTGGTCCCCAGACCCACGTAAAAAAAATGAAATAATATTAATATTCATTTTTATCACATGATTTTTTGGGGACTTTTTTTTAATTTTAGGTTCAAGTGCAGGTTTGTTATATAAGTAAACTCATTTGTTGTACAGATTATTTTGTCAGCCAGGTACTAAGCCTCGTACCCAATAGTTATTTTATCTGCTCCTTTCCTTCTACCCACCCTCCACCCTCAGGTAGGCCCCATGTCTGTTGTTTCCCTCTTTGTGTCTATGTGTTTACAGCATTTAGCTCCCACTTATACGTGAGAACATGTGGTATTTGGTTTTCTGTTCCTGCATTAGGTTGCTAAGGATAATGGCCTCCAGCTTCATCCATGTCCATGCAAAGGACATGATCTCCTTTTTTTATGGCTGCATAGTATTTCATGGTGTATATGTACTAAATGCAAAATGATTTGCATTTTTCTAATGATTAGTGATATTAAGCTTTTTTTCATATGCCTATTGGCCACATGTATGTCTTCTTTTGAAAAGTGTCTGTTCACATCCTTTGCCCACTTTCTAATGGTTTTTTTCTTGTAAATTTGTTTGTTTCTTATAGATTCTGGATATGAGACCTTTTTTTCTTCAACTTTGAAGTTCAGGGGTACATGTGCAGGATGTGCAGGTTTGTTACATAAGTAAACACATGCCATGGTGGTTTGATGCACAGATCATCCCATCACCTAGGTATTAAGCCCAGCATCCATTAGCTATTTTTCCTCATGCTCTCCCTCCCCTGGCACCTCCTGACAGGACCCAGTGTGTGTTGTTCCTCCCCATGTGTTCTCATCATTCAGCTCCCACTTACAAGTAAGAACATGCAGTGTTTGGTTTTCTAGTCCTGTGTTAGTTTGCTGAGAATAATAGCCTCCAACTCCATCCATGTCCCTGCAAAGGATATGATCTCATTCCTTTTTATGGCTGCATAATATTTCATGGTGTATATGTACCACATTTTCTTTATCCAGTCTATCACTGATGGGCATTTAGGTTGATGCCATGTCTTTGCTATTGTGAACAGGGCTACAATGAACATGCACATGTATGTATCTTTATAATAGAATGACTTATATTCCTTTGATAGCCATTCTTTCTGGAGTGAGATGGTCTTTCATTGTGGTTTTGATTTGCATTTCAATATGAGACCTTTGTTGGATGCATAGTTTGCAAATATTTTCTCCCATTCTGTAGGTTGTCTATTTACTCTGTTGATAGTTTCTTTTCCTGTGCAGAAGCTCTTTAGTTTAATTAGACCCTATTTATCAATTTTTGCTTTTGTTGCAAGTGCTTTTGGCATCTTCATCATCAAATCTTTGCCAGGTTTTATGTCCAGAATGGCACTGCCTAGGTTGTCTTCCATGGTTTTTATAGTTTTGGGTTTTACATTTAAGTCTTAATCCATCTTGAGTTGATTTTTATATATGGTGTAAAGAAGGGGTCTAGTTTCAATGTTCTGTATATGGCTAGCCAGTTATCCCAGCACTATTTATTGAATAGGGAGTCCCTTCCTCATTGCTTATTTTTGTCAGCTTTGTTGAAGCTGATCAGATAGTTGTAGGTGTGTGGCCTTATTTCTGGGCTCTCTATTCTGTTCCATTGATCTATGTGTCTTTTTTTTTTTTGTACCAGTACTATGCTGTTTCAGTTATTGTAGCCGTGTAGTATAGTTCAAAGTCCAGTAAAGTGATGCCTCCAGCTTTGTTTTTTTGCTTAGGATTGCCTTGGCTATTCAGGCTCTTTTTCGGTTCCATATGAATTTTAAAATAGTTTTTTTTAGTTCTGTGAAGAATGTCATTGGTAGTTTGATAGAAATAGCATTGAATCTGTAAATTGCTTTGGGCAGTATGACCATTTTAATGATATTTGTTCTTTCTAACCATAAATTTGGAATGTTTTCCGCTTGTTTGTGTCATCTCTGATTTCTTTGAGCTGTGTTTTGTAATACTCATTGTAGAGATCTTTCACCTCCCTTGTATTCCCAGGTATTTTATTATTTTTGTGGCAGTTATGAATGGGATTACATTCCTGATTTGCCTCACAGCTTGGCTGTTTTTGGTGTATAGGAATGCTAGTGATTTTTGTATGTTGGTTTTGTGTCCTGAAACTGCTGAAGTTGTTTATCAGCATAAGAAGCTTTTGGGCCAAGACTATGGGGTTTTCTAGATATAGAATCATGTCATCTGCAAAACTTTTCTACCTCATTTACAATTTAATTATATTTATACAAATATTATTTACCCCATAGTTTTCAGGTATATATAGTTTATAAAACATGGATTCACTTATAGTTACTAAGTTGTGTGTGTGTTTTAAGTAATAATTGCTAACTCCATGAAAATGCATGCAAGATTGTTAAAACTAATATTTTACTTGAATTATTTACATAGCAGTCATTGTGAATATGTTTGCTCTGGAAATAAATAATATCTGCTGTGTCTTCGTTACCTCTGATTTCTTATACAGCAATATGGAGAAATTGGCCTGATTTTAACATTCGATTTGGAGAACTAGAAATGCTGAGTTTCTCCTTTTACACCTGAAAAGTAACTTGAGCCCATTTTGGAGTGAGGAGCTATTTCTGATGTAAAAGATTGATATATATACATACCAAGTGGTTCATCCAACTAAAATAAGATTTGTTCAGGCATGTCCTTTCAGGGAATCAGAACCTTGCAGTTGTCACCCGTGATCTACATGATTCAGATACCTGAAATAATATCTTATGCAACCAGTATGATTTGTTCTACTTACTTGGGGTGCACATACACTAACATTTATTTTTCCAGTCAATTCATTGCAAATCAGTTTACCTTTATTTACAAGAACTAGAGTATTTCCTTTTCAAGGTCTCTTTATGTCCTCCACCTGATAGTCCAAGAATTCAGTCCAAAGCAGGGCACTTTTGTTTTCCAGATATGAGGTAGAGAGATTTGAGTCTACCAGCATGGTTGCTATGGTTGCTGTGGTTGCTACCACAGTGTTATGTTACTGAATTCTAGATCCTGAATTCTTTAGCATCTTTTATGATGAACTATTCACTGAGCACCTTCCACATACAAGATAGTGGGCTAGGCACCAGGAATACAACAGGAAACACACTAGACATGGCTCTGCCCTCACGGGGCTTTTCTAATACCACAGTTCAGTAGATGATGATATCCTTACTGGACCAGACACACAACCAACTTCATTTACTCCAGAATTGGGCTCCACAGTTGCAGCTGTCCTGGGAAGCACATAGGCTCAGATTCCATACCCTGAGTGGTAAGGTCTTGAGCATTTTGGCTCTTAATCACTCACTGAAGTAGAAAGAATCCACCTCCTTGCCCAAGCACTGAGTCCCTGGTGTCAAGCCCGAGTGACCAACTGAGAATGCACTTGCCCTTCAGGTGAGTTTCCCTTTGTGGCAATTGGTGCCTTGCCTGCCAGCTGACTTCAGGGGTTTACCCTGACAGGTTTCCCTATCTCCAATTTCAGTAGCTCAGATTAGAGTGTTGGTACCTCTTTCCCAAAAAGCTCTTGCTCTCTGATGTTACCTACATACCTCTTTTCCAGAATTTTCATAGATTAGTGGAAGAAACTGCTGCTAACCCATAAAGGGGGAGAGGAGAGGATCATCTTATGGCAACCTTTGGGTTTACACAACGAAATAGAAGCCACTGAGGAAAGCCTTCACAGAGCAATTGAGACTAGTGAATCATCATCCCCAATTGACTCCCTGCATCTGCCTAGAGAAAAAGAAAAAGTGGCTAAGATAATTGAAACAATAACCTGCCATCAGATTTGGGAGAGGGACAGGGATAAAACTCACTGCTCAACTTCAGCAAAATCTTATTTATATATCTTCTTTTCTTTTTCTGCTTTTTAAAAAGTGAAAGCAAGTTTACTAGCAAAGTAAAGGAATAAAGAATGGCTACTCCATAGGCAAAGCAGACTACAAACCTTATTTTCTGATAAACATTGTGATTTTTTTTTAAAACCAGAGCAACACAGAGCAAAGTGATGCTCTTGGAGGAAAAAAGGAAAGGACAGTAATTTTCCACAAAAGCAAAACTATATATGTGTGTGTGTGTATGTACATGTACATGTGTGTGTATGTATGTGTATTGTGTAGAGTGTTTTATATGTTTATGCCACTGTATTTTTTTGAGTATGCTAAGTACCCTGATTTGATCATTATACAACATATATATATCAAAACATCAAATTGTACCCCATAAATATATATAATTACAATGTGTTGATAAAAATAAAGAATTTTTTAAAAATATCAATTTGTACAAAGATAATAGATTTCTGGCAGCCTTATGGTATATTAATCTCAAAATAATTTTATCATAGAATGTAATTATTTCAGTTCTAAAAAAAATGTTAATTTATTGTCTCATTGATCTAATATTGACAGTGGGGTGTTAAAGTCTCCCATTATTATTGTGCGGGAGTCTAAGTCTCTTTGTAGGTCTCTAAGAACTTGCTTTATGAATCTGGATGCTCCTGTATTGGGTGCATATATATTTAGGATAGTTAGCTCTTCTTGTTGCATTGATCCCTTTACCATTATGTAATGCCTTTCTTTGTATTTTTTTATCTTTGTTGGTTTAAAGTCTGTTTTAACAGAGACTAGGATTGCAACCCCTGCTTTTTTTGTTGTTTTCAATTTGCTTGGTAAATATTCCCCCATCCCTTTATTTTGAGCCTATGTGTGTCTCTGCATGTGAGATGCGTCTCCTGCATACACCACACTGATGGGTCTTGACTCTTTTTTTTTTTTTTTTTTTGAGATGGCGTCTTGGTCTGTCACCAGGCTGGAGTACAGTGGCGTGATCTTGGCTTACTGCAACCTCTGACTCCCTGGTTCAAGTGATTCTCCTGCCTCAGCCTCCCAAGTAACTGGGATTACAGACATGTGCCACCATATCCAGCTAATTTTTGTATTTTTAGTAGAGATGTGGTTTCATCATGTTAGCCAGGATGGTCTCGATCTCCTGACCTTGTGATCCACCCACCTCAGCTTCCCAAAGTTCTGGGTTTACAGGCATGAGCCACTGTGCCCAGTGGTCTTCACTCTTTATCCAATTTGCCAGTCTGTGTCTTTTAATTGGGGCATTTAGCCCATTTACATTTAAGGTTAATATTGTTATGTGTGAATTTGATCCTGTCATTATGATGCTAGCTAGTTATTTTGCCTGTTAGTTGATGCAGTTTCTTCATAATGTCGATGGTCTTTATAATTTGGTATGTTTTTGCAGTGGCTGGTATTGTTGTTTTTTTCTCCCCCCCATATTTAATGCTTCCTTCAGGAGCTCTTGCAAGGCAGGCTTGGTGGTGACAAAAATCTCTCAGCATTTTTTCCTTCATTTCAACCTTGGTGAATCTGACGATTATATATCTTGGGATTGCTCTTCTTGAAGAGTATCTTTCTGGTGTTCTCTGTATTCCCTGAACTTGAATGTTGTCCTGTCTTGCTAGGTTGGGCTAGTTCTCCTGGATAATATCCTGAAGAGTGTTTTCCAACTTGGTTCTATTCTCCCCATCACTTTCAGGTACACCAATCAAACATAGGTTTGGCCTTTTCATGTAGTCCCATATTTCTTGGAGGCTTTGTTCATTCCTTTTCATTCTTTTTTCTCTAATCTTGTCTTCACGCTTTATTTCATTGAGTTGATCTTCAATCTCTGATACCCTTTCTTCCTTCCACTTGATTGATTTGGCTATTGATACTTGTGTATATTTCATGAAGTTCTTGTGCTGTGTTTTTCAGCTCCTTCAGGTCATTTATGTTCTTCTCTAAACTGGTTATTCTCATCAGCAATTCCTCTAACCTTTTTTCAAGGGTCTTAGCTACCTTGCATTGGGTTAGAACATGCTTCTTTAGCTCAGAGGAGTTTGTTATTACCCACCTTCTGAAGTCTACTTCTGTCAATTCATCAAACTCATTCTCCCTCCAGTTTTGTTGCCTTGCTGATGAGGAATTGTGATCCTTTGGAGGAGAAGAGGCATTTTGGTTTTTGGAATTTTCAGCCTTTTTGAGCTGGTTTTTCCTCATCTTCATGGATTTATCTACCTTTGGTCTTTGATGTTGGTGACCTTTGATGGGGTTTCTGTGTGGACGTCCTTTTTGTTGATGTTGATGCTATTCCTTTCTGTTTGTTAGTTTTCCTTCTAACAGTCAGGCTCCTCTTCTGTAGGTCTGCTGGAGTTTGCCGGAGGTCCACTTCAGACCCTGTTTGCCTAGGTATCACCAGTGGAGGCTGCAGTTTCTTCCTCTGGAAGCTTCATCCCAGAAGGGCACCTGCCAGATGCCAGCTGGAGTTCTCCTGTATGAAGTGTCTGTCAGCCCCTGCTGGGAGGTGTCTCTCAGTCATGAGGCATGGGGGTCAGGGACCCACTTGAGAAGGCAGTCTGTCCCTTAGCAGAGCTCAAGTGCTATGCTGGGAGATCTGCTGCTCTCTTCAAAGCCAGCAGGCTGGAATGTCTAAGTCTGCTGAAGCTGCACCCACAGCAGCCCCTTCCCCCAGGTGCTCTGTCCCAGGGAGATGGGAGTTTTATTTATAAGCCCCTGACTACCGGCTGCTGCCTTTCTTTCAGAGATGCCCTGCCAGAGAGGAGGAGTCTAGAGAGGCAGTCTGGCTACAGCGGCTTTGCTGAGCTGCTGTGGGTTCCACCCAGTTCGAACTTCCCAGTGGCTTTGTTTAAACTGTGTTTGTGTTTATGCTTTGTTTACACTGCATTTGTGTTTACACTTTGTTTACACTGTGTTTGTGTTTACACCGTGTTTGTGTTTACACTTTGTTTGCATGCCCACTCAGGCCTCAGTAATGGTGGACACCCCTCCTCCCACCAAGCTTGAGCACCCCAGGTGGACTTCAGACTGCTGTGCTGGCAGCAAGAATTTCAAGCCAGTGGATATTAGCTTGCTGGGCTCTGTGGGGGTGGATCTGCTGAGCTAGACCACTTGGCTCCCTGGCCTCAGCCCCCTTTCCAGGGTAGTGAACAGTTCTCTCTCACTGGTATTCCAGGTGCCAATGGGGTATGAAAAAAAATCTCCTGCAGCTAGCTTGGTGTTTGCCCAAATGGCCGCCCAGTTTTGTGCTTGAAACCCAGGGCCCTGGTGACATAAGCACCCAAGGGAATCTCTTGGTCTGCGGGTTGTGAAGACTGTGGGAAAAGCGTAGTATCTGGGCCGGAGTGCACTGTTTCTAATGCCACAGTCCCTCACGGCTTCCCTTGGCTAGGGAAGGGAGTTCCCCAACCCCTTGTGCTTCCTGGGTGAGGGGATGCCCCACCCTGCTTTGGCTCACCCTCTTTAGGCTGCACCCACTATCTAACCAGTCCCAGTGAGGTGAGCCGTGTACCTCAGTTGGAAATGCAGAAATCACCTGCCTTCTGCATTGATCTTGCTGGGAGATGCAGGCCCCACCCTGCTTTGACTCACCCTCTGTAGGCTGCACCCACTATCTAACCAATCCCAGTGAGGTGAGCCATGTACCTCAGTTGGAAATGCAGAAATCACCTGCCTTCTGCATTGATCTTGCTGGGAGCTGCAGGCCCTAGCTGTTCCTATTTGGCTATCTTGCCCGCAACTACCAATGTATGTTTTATATAGGAATTCTGATTGTCTCTCACTTTGTTAGCCCATAAAGTCTAGAAATGGGCATTTCTGATATTTCCCATACAAATCTTCAAGTCACTACCCAGAACTGCCATGAAGTTAAGCAATACAAATAAGGTAGGCCTGCTGGAGTGCTGCTTGCTAGGGTATGTGATGGGGTGCAGTGAAATGGTCAGGCTTTAACACCAGACAGAATCCTCTGCTGGATTCCAGGCTCCACCACTTAAAGGGTTTGGCTCTGACCAAATTGCTTAATCTCTCTGAACCTTGATTCTTCCTTTTGTAATACGTGGGAGGAAAAATGACTCTCAGGGTTATTGTGAGGACTAATCATAATATTTCTGGTATGGTAGGCTGGTAGTTGCAACAAAAGAGCAATTATTATTGCAGTTTGGAGGAGGTAGTTCTCTCCTTCACAAAATTTTTGCAAACTATAATGTATCTGAAGCTGCTAGTTGCCCGCAATATCCTTTTTCCCCATCTTTCTCTAATAATAAAACAACAACAGTTTTGGCTGGCAGGTGGCCACCAGCTAAGAACTATATTTCCTTTTTCTCTTGAGGTTGGATGGTCATGTGGCCATGCGGCTAACTGCTGGCCAATGGAATATGAGGGGAGGTGCTATATGCAACCTCTGAGTCATGTACTTTAAAGAAAACAACATTTCCTTTCCCATTCCCATAGCACTCATCTTCCCTGTTATGGGTTGAATTGTTAAAGTCCTAACCCCTACTACCTCAGGGTATGACTTTATTTGGAAATAGAGTTGTTACAGATTTAATTAGCTATGCTAAAATAAGGTCATTAGGGTGGGCCCTAATCCAGTATGACTGAGGTCTTCATATAAAGGGGAATTTTGGACACAGAAATGGACACATGTTGAAAGAAGATGATGTGAAGGGACACTGGGAGAAGCTGGCCATCAGCCATCCACAAGCCAAGGAGAGAGGTGTGGGACAGAACCCTCCTTCACAGCCCTTAGAAGGAACCAACCCGGTTGATACCTTCAGACTTCTAGACTCTGAAACCGTGAGACAATAAATTTCTGTTGTTAAGCCACCTAGTTTGTGGTACTTTGTTATGGCAACCCTAGCAAACTCATACAGCAAGTAAGCCAAGAAGACAGGAGAGTGTCTTTGAGAGGTGGGGTGGGGGGCAGGGGGAGAGAGAAAGAGAGAAAGAGAGAGAGAGAGAGAGAGAGAGAGAGAGAGAGAGAGAGAGAGAGAGAACCAGTAAGACAAAGTCACAATCTTTTATAATTCATTAAAAAACTGACATCCTCTCACTTTTGCTGTATTTTATTTGTTAGAAGCAAATCACTAGGTTCAGCCCACACTCAAGGGAAGGGGATTGCTTAAGGGCCTGAACACTAGAAGGCAGGGATGATTGGGAACCATTTTAGAAGATTCCCCACCAGGCTCATTAGTTGGTTAATTTCTAGTATACCTAAAGCTGATCTTAAAAAATTGAGACAAAAAGTAGAAACAAATTGAGAAAGTACATTCTTGAAATAAACAAAATTGATGTTTCCTGATATGTATGTTATTTTATTTTTTAAATTTTATTTCTTTTCTTTTCTGTTTTTGAGATGGATTCTCTCTCTGCTGCCCAGGTGGGAGTGCAGTGGTGGGATCTTGGCTCACTGCAACCTCCGCCTCCCAGGTTAAAGCGATTCTCCTACCTCAGCCTCCCAAGTAGCTGGGATTACAGGTGTGTGCCACCACACCCTGGCTAATTTTTGTATTTTCAGTAGACGGGGTTTCACCATGTTGGCCAGGCTGGTCTCGAACTCCTGACCTCAAGTGATCCACCCACCTTGGCTTCCCAACATCCTCCTGCTGGGATTACAGGCCCACCACTGTGCCTGGCCTTGATATATATTTTAAGTGTCCACATGTGGCAGCTAGACTCCAAAGATGACCTCCAATGAATCTTACCTCCTGGTATACAGTCCCTTCCCAAATGGAATCTGCCAACTTGTTTTAATTAACTGAATGTGGCACAAGACCTGGCAGCTTCCATGTTTGTACTTTTGGGAACCCTGAGTCACCATGAAAAAAGTTTGGCTACTCTACTAGAGATAGTATGGGAAGAGACCACATGGAGAGGAAAAGACTCTGAGATATGGAGAAAGACTAGATCCTGTGATCCCAGCACCCTGTGGGGCTCAACTTTCCTGTCATCCCCACAAAGTGCTAGATATGGGAGTGCAGCCATCTTGGACTTTCCAGTCCCAACCATCTGACTGTACCCACATAAAAGACTTCAAGTGAGACCAGTATAAGAACTGTCCAACTGAGCCCCAGCTAACCCAGAAAATTTTGAGAAATAATAAATTACTGTTGTTTTAAAGCACTAAATTTTAAGATGGTGAGTTAGACGGCAATATATAATTCAAATACCAGTTAACGAATACATAAACATGTGTTCAGTGCCTCCTCCATGCTATGCTCCTACTTTCTCACACATCATATCGCTTAATCTCTCAACAGTCTTATGAGGTCATGACTACGCATATCAATGCACAGACAATCTGTTGTCTCTTGGTGGTTGGCATGATACACCCAGGAATGGAGCAATATTGCAGACATCTAAATTTTATTACTCCTGCTTCTTCTAATATCTTTACCTGTTTACATACTCAGGAATTTATGGCACCTGGGTTAATAATAAGACAGCTGCCAATGTATTGTGTCCTAGATCACTCAAATGGATCAGGATCTCCCTTCTCCTTCTGAGTTATGTTGCACTGGGTCACTGGGTCACTGGGCCACTGGGCTAAGCACCTTCTTGAGAAGGTCTGATTTTCCATTCACAGAATATGAATCCCATGTCCTCTGGATGTATTCCAGAGTTCTTTTTCTTCCTTTATCTCTCTTTCTCTCTCTTTTTTTTTTTTTTTGAGACAGAGTCTTGCTTTGTTGTGCATGGTGGAGTGCAGTGGCGTGACCTCGGCTCACTGCAACCTCTGACTCCTGGGTTCAAGCTATTCCCTTGCCTCAGCCTTCTGAGTAGCTGGGATTACAGGCACCCACCACCATGACCAGCTAATTTTTGTATTTTTAGTAGAGATGGGGTTTCACCACATTGGCCAGGCTGGTCTCAAACTCCTGACCTCAAGTGATCCACCCCCTTTGGCCTCCCAAAGTGCTGGGATTACAGGAGTGAGCCGCCATGCCTGGCTTCTTTCTCTCTTTCTTTTCTCCTTCTTCTTTTTTCTTAATCTGCTTAAGTTGTCAAAGTTTAATATATATGGAGGAACATATAAGTTACAGCCTGATTAATTTAGTTGTATAACTACACCTATATCAAGCAACAGAACATTACTAGCATCCCCAAATGCCCATCTCTTCCCTCCTTCTAGTCACTACCTTCTCCCCAGAGTAACCATTATCTTAACCAACAGCATAGCTTAGTTTCACCGGTTTTTGTACTTTATATTTATAGAAACGTGTGGAATGGATGATTCCAGCCTCCAAAATTGTCCCCAGTGATCCTCGACTTCTGGTGTTCATGCCATTGTGTAGTCCCCACCCACATGGTATCAGATTTGGTCTGTATAACCTACAGAGACAGGATAAGTCACTTCTAATGCTAGGTCATAAAAATTCTGAGGCTTTCTCCTTTTGCTGTCTCTTGGATCACTTTCTCTGAGGGATTCAGATGCTATGTTGTGAGAATACTCAGACAGCTCATGGAGAGACCCACATGAGGCCTCCTTCTAACAACATGTGAGTGAGCCATCTGAGAGGGGAATCCTTCAGCCCCAGTCAAGCCTTCAGATGCCTGCTGCCCCTGCAGACATTCTAACTGCAACTTCATGAGAGAGCCTGAGCCAAAACCATCCAGCTGAGCCACTCCCAAATTCCTTATCCACAGACACTATGAGATAATAAATATGTGTTGTTTTAAGTCGCTAAGTTTTGGGGTAACTTATTATACATTAATGGATAACTATCTCAGTCTGTTTATGTTATAAAGGAATAGCTGAGGCTGAGTAATTTATAAAGAAAAGAGGTTTAGTTGGCTCACCATTTTGCAGGCTGTACAAGAGCACAAGCATCTGCTGCTTTTGAGGATTTCAGGCTGCTTCCACTAATGGTGGAGGGCAAAGGGGAGCCAGTGTGGATCACATGGTAAGAGAGGAAGCAAGAGAGTGGGGGAGGTGCCAGGCTCTTTTTTTAACAACCTGCTTTCCAGATTAGTAACAGCATGGGAACTTATTCAGTACCACAAGGATGGCACCAAGCCATTCATGAAGGATCTGCCCTAATGACCCAAACACCTCCCATTGGGCTCCTCCTCCAATATTGGGGATCTAATTTCAATATGAGTTTTGGGGGGCAAACATAGCTAACTGTAGCAATAACTAATACTGGCTCATTTGTATCTGGTCTTGTTCTATCAGCATTATGCTTGTGAGATACATCTGTATTATTTCATGAGTCGTTGAAGAGGACTCGTGTCCTTTAGACATCCTTTCTCATTAACACAATTATATTCTTTTTGTTTTGTTTGTTTGTTTGCTTGAGACAGAATCTTGCTTTGACACCCAGGCTGGAGTGCAGTGGGGCAATCTCAGCTCACTGCAACCTCCGCCTCCCAGGTTCAAGGGATTCTTCTGCTTCAGCCTCCTGATTAGTTGGGATTACAGGTGTGTGCCACCATGCCCAGCTAATTTTTGTATTTTTAGTAGAGATGGGGTTTCTCCATGTTGGTCAGGCTGGTCTCAAACTCCTGACCTCAACTGATTCACCCACCTTGGGCTCCCAAAATGCTAGGATTACAAGGGCGAGCCACCATGCCCAGCCAAATGTTATATTCACTATATGCATATAATATTTTGAATTTATCCATTCTACTGTTGATGGACACTTAGGTAGTTTCCAGTTTGGGGGCTGCTATGAACATTCTTTTTTTTTTTTTTTAGAGCTGTTATCTGACTTTATTTTATTTTTTGAGACAGAGTCTTGCTTTGTTGCCCAGGCTGGAGTGCAGTGGTATGATCTTTCCTCACTGCAAACTCTGCCTCCCAGGTACAAGTGATTCTCCTGCCTCAGCCTCCCGAGAACCTGGGATTACAGTTGCACTCACCACCACGCCCGGCTAATTTTTGTATTTTTAGCAAAGATGGGGTTTCGCCATGTTGGCTAGGCTGGTCTTAAACTCCTGACCTCAGGTGATCCACCCACCTCGGCCTCCCAAAGTGCTGAGATTACAGGCGTGAGCTACCATGCCCAGCCTGAACATTCTTATACGTGTGTTTTGGCGAACATATTCACTTAACTAGATATTATTAATACCCACATGTGGAATTTCTGGGTCATAGCATAGGTATATGACTAGATAGTGAAGACAGTTCTCCAAAATGATTTTATTAATTTGCACCTCCTCTCACACACATAAAAGTTCCAGTTGCTCCACATCCTTACTAACGCTTGATTTTTGTGTGTGTGTGTGTGAGATGACGTCTCACTCTTTTGCCCAGGCTGGAGTGCAGTGGCGTGATCTCGGCTCACTGCAACCTCCGCCTCCCTGGTTCAAGTGATTCTCCTGCCTCAGCCTCCCGAGTAGCTGGGATTACAGGCATGTGCCACCACGCCCGGCTAATTTTGTATTTTTAGTAGAGACGGGGTTTCTCCATGTTAGTCAGGCTGGTCTTGAACTCCCAACCTCAGATGATCCACCTGCCTCGGCCTCCCAGAGTGCTGAGATAACAGGTGTGAGCCACCACACCCGGACTAACACTTGATATTTTTATCTTTTAAATTTTAGCCCTTCTGATTGGTCCAGGGTAACTCTCCAAGTAAAGAATCAACAGGGCATCATCTCCTTTCTTCATCTTTTATAATCTCCAAGGCCACTATGTTCCCACATTCTTTCCAAAACTGACTTTTCTCACAGATTGTGCCATTTGTCTTCACTGTGGCCTGCGTTTAGCAAAGTTGGTCTTCCAGAAGCCGTTTCTCCTGTCCTACCTACTGTGCAAAGAAGGTTTTTTAACACACTGATGCATATAATTATGGCCTGGAAGAAAAATGAGCAGAAATAGAGATATGTCTATCTTATAGACAGGCTGAGGGCATGAAAAGTCTGATATTAGGAAAAGCTTGGAAACACTGGAGCCCAGTCACACTGGCTTAATTTAACATAGTTTCCTAGGCCAGGTCTTGGCAGAATTTAACCCTCAGTAGCCTTCTCATTTTTCAGTAGAAGTTGGTCATCTCAAGAGTGCATGACTGCTCTGTGGTGTTTTGTTTTCATTGTAATTGAGCAAATAAGATGTCACTTGCCTACATATATTTATCAATAAATATTTACTGAGTGCCTACCATGTGCTAAACACTGGATGAAGAAAGGAGATGCTGTACTGTTTTGATAAGTTTATATGGAGGTAGAATGGCAAGTATAGAGGCTGCAATATGCCAGTTAATCAGTTATCTGTCAGGAATAGTGAGGAAGAGCATAAGCATGGCATTAGGATGGAATGAGCTTGGAGTCACCCACATTTACCAGAGGGAAACAATGATTTTATCATTGTAAAAACAGTGTGCTAGAATTGTCAAAAGAACATCGAATTAGCTATGTAATTGTGAAACATATACCATAGTTCTATTTATTCTGTGATAGTATAAAAATTCAAGGCTGGGTGCAGTGGCTCACGCCTGTAATCCCAGCACTTTGGGAGGCCAAGGCGGGCGGATCACGAGGTCAGAAGTTCAAGACCAGCCTGACCAACATGGTGAAACCCCATCTCTACTAAAAATACAAAAATTAGCTGAGTGTGATGGTGCACGCCTGTAATCCCAGCTACTCAGGAAGCTGAGGCAGGAGAATCGCTTGAACCTAGGAGGTGAAGGTTGCAGTGAGCCGAGATCGAGCCACTGCAATCCAGCTTGGGCGACAGAGTGAGACTCTGTCTCAAAAAAAAAAAAAAAAAAAATTCAGATCTCACAGGGATGCGTACTAATACTACATTTAGGTCATCTTTGTCCTCCTCTCATTCTCTAGTTAAGCTTCAAAGAATGAGTGAAGCATTTTAGATTGTCTGCTAGCCATCCCAATTTAGATTGAAATAGTGAAGTTTAATGGCATTACCCAGAAAATCCATTTTCTACAAAATGAAAGATCTTTTTCTTTTCTTTTTTTTGAGATGGACTTTCACTCTATTGCCCAGGCTGGAGTGCAATACTGCGGTCTCAGCTCACTGCAACCTCCACCTCCCAGGTTCAAGCAATTCTCCTGCCTCAGCCTCCCGAGTAGCTGGGATTACAGGTGCCTGCCACCATGCTCAGCTAATTTTTTGTATTTTTAGTACAGAAGGTGTTTCACCATGTTGTCCAGGCTGGTCTCAAACTCCTGACCTCGTGATCCACCCACCACGGTCTCCCAAAGTGCTGGGATTACAGGCGTGAGCCACTGCGCCCAACCAATAGTCTTCCTATTAAAAGGAGTAAAAATGCCACTGCACTCCAGCCTGGGGGACAGAGCGAGACTCTGTCTCAAAAAAAAAAAAAAAAAAAAAAAAAAGGAGTAAAAACTCATCTACCAATCCAGGGTAGCCAGAAACAGAAGCACCCATCAGAAACAGACAGAAAGCTAAAAAAAAAAAAAAAAAAAAAAAAAAAGCCATTGCCAACTGATAGAAAAGTCATTGCCCACTTTTAGGGATCTGGAGGCAGACATTTTGAACTCATTTTGAAGGGCACAGCCCTCCCCAGCAATGCAGTTGACGTGAATGCTGTTACTTAAAAATCTTAGAACTATAAAGAGCTTCATATGCACAAGTGGTCATCTCAAGATTTCAAGTGACTGATAAAGGCAAGAATAGTAGGCTATATAAAGAACTTGGGGCCGGGGATGGTGGCTCATGCCTGTAATCCCAGCACTTTGGGAGGCTGAGGCGGGCGGACCCCGTCTCTATCAAAAATATAAAAAATTAGCCGGGTGTGGTGGTGTGTGCCTGTAATGCCAACTACTCGGGAGGCTGAGGCGGGCGGACCCCGTCTCTACCAAAAATATAAAAAATTAGCCGGGTGTGGTGGTGTGTGCCTGTAATGCCAACTACTCGGGAGGCTGAGGCAGGAGAATCGCTTGAGCCTGGGAAGCAGAGGTTGTGGTGAGCTGAGATTGTGCCATTGCACTCCAGCCTGGGCAACAAGAGCGAAACTCTGTCTCAAAAAATTGAAAGGGCTCCTATGATTAAGTCACTATCACATGGATAATTTCCCTATCTTAAGGTCAACTGATTTGTGACCTTAATTACATTTGCAAAATAACTTCACTGCAGCACCTAGATTGGTGCTTGGGAGGTATGTCTATACCAGGGCAGAAAATTTAGGGGTCATCTCAGAATTTTTCCGACTACATTGGTTTTCAATTTTGAAATCTACCTTAGATTCTAGACCAGTTGTTTTCAACTGGGGTTAGAGGAGATTTTTATACCCCTCCCCAGGGGACATTTGGCAATATCTTCAGACATTTTTGGATGTCATCTGGTGGGTAGAGGCCAGAGATACTACTAACCCACCTAGAGTACATGGGAGAGCCCCCCACAACAAAGAATTATCAGCCCAAGATGTCAGTAGTGCCAGGATTGTGAAACCCTGCCCTAAGCAAAACAGGAAAGACAATTATTACTATAGTGCAGAGTTAGAATTATCAACATCAGATATGTAAATGTAAAAGTATAGCTGATGTGACATAACATAGGAGGATAGTGTCATAAGACCAACAGGTTCATACACCCACTGTGCAGTAACAGACTGATACATTGAGACAGCAGAGTTTGCAGCAGAGAGTTTAATGATTACATGGTGCTGAGTCAGGAGGTAGGAGGAGATTCTTAAATCTCTGAAGAGTTCTGGGCTGGGGTTCTGGGAGGCAAGGGGCTGGAAAATTTGGGCCACTGATTGGTCAGGGTAAGGGAGATTGAATCATTAGGATATGGAAATTGCATTCTTTGATGATTTAGCTTCTGGTAGGGTCCTTCAGACCAGCTGACATCAGTAGTTTCATCAGTATGCAGGACCTGAAAGAATGTCTCGAAGGGAAAACTTAGCATTTCATAATGTTCAAGCTGTTATCTATAGAGCAGTTAAGGGGAACTATAATCTTGTAACAGACTCCACATAATTCTGAAGCAATAGCCAAACAACTATGAGGAAGGGGTCAGCAAGCAAAGTGACCTAGTGATTAATGCTGAATGTGGTGCAAGCTTGGATTATTTATGTTTCTCACCCTCTCTTCTTCTCTGATTAATTTTATAAAGTTTATAGGAACAGTTTCAATAGGAGGAAAAGGAAAGGAGTATGGAGTACTATGTACATCTTACATAAAGCCTAATACGTAGGCCAGGTGCAGTGGCTCATGCCTGTAATCCCAGCACTTTGGGAGGCCAAGGCAGATGGATCACTTGAGATCAGAAGTTTGAGACCAGCCCAGCCAACATGGTGAAACCCCGTCTGTAACAAAAAATACTAAAACTAGCCAGGCGTACTGGCGCACACCTGTAATCCCAGCTACTTGGAAGGCTGAGGCACGAGAATCCCTTGAACCCGTGAGGCAAAGGTTGGGGTGAACTGAGATCCTGCCACTGCCCTCCAGCCTGTGTGATAGAGTGAGACTCTGTATCAAAAAAAAAAAAAAAAAGAAAGAAAGAAAGAAAAAAGAAAAAGTTATTTTAAAAAGACTAATAAATGGAAGACAAGTATATTATTGAAAGTTACAGAGATAAAGAAAAATAATTGTAATGAAACATCAAGCACTGGGATGAGGAGAAAGAAGGGAAGAGATAAGCAAAGAAATGATACTTTAAGCGTTTCATTTGAAATCACAGAAGTAACCACTAGAACTTAAACTTTTTTTTTTTTTTTTTTTTTTTTTTTTTTTTTGAGACGGAGTCTCGCTCTGTCGCCCAGGCTGGAGTGCAGTGGCGCAATCTCGGCTCACTGCAAGCTCCGCCTCCCGGGTTCACGCCATTCTCCTGCCTCAGCCTCCCAAGTAGCTGGGACTACAGGCGCCCGCCACTACGCCCGGCTAATTTTTTGTATTTTTAGTAGAGACGGGGTTTCACCGTTTTAGCCGGGATGGTCTCGATCTCCTGACCTCGTGATCCGCCCGCCTCGGCCTCCCAAAGTGCTGGGATTACAGGCGTGAGCCACCGCGCCCGGCCAGAACTTAAACTTTTTAAAGGATTAAGAAAGCTAGGTGCAGTGGCTCATGCCTGTAATCCTAGCACTTTGGGAGGGTGAGATGGGAGGATCGCTTAAGCCCAGGAGTTCAAGACCAGCCTGGGCAACATAGTGAGACCCTGTCTCTACAGAAAATAATAATTTTTTAAAAATAGCCAGACATGGTGGCACATGCCTGTAGTCCCAGTTACTAGGGAGGCTGAGGTAAAAGGATTGCTTGAGCTCAAGAGGTCAAGATTGCAATAAGCCCAGATTGCTCCACTGCACTCCAGCCTGGGCAACAGAGCAAGACCCTGTCTCAAAAAAAAGGATTACAAGATGTTGCCTCAAGGATAGGTCTAGGAGTAGGGAGGATAGGGTGGGAGGATGTTATTTTTATTATAAATTCTGCTGTACTTTTGATTTTTTAAATCGCACACCTATATTACTTCAATAAAAATGTAACTTTTCAAAAAGAAAACTTAAAGGATTAACGAGGTGATTTACTCATAATACAGTAACTCATGATATAGTAACAGTATTTACTCTTAGTACAATAATAGTACATAGTACAGTAACAGTGATACAATAATGTTTTACTAAGCACATGCAATAACCTGTAAAATGTAATTTCTTTAAGAATCTGGTTTTGGCCGGGCGCGGTGGCTCACGCCTGTTATCCCAGTACTTTGGGAGGCCGAGGTGGGTGGATCACAAGGTCAGGAGATTGAGACCATCCTGGCCAACATGGTGAAACCCTGTCTCTACTAAAATACAAAAAAATAGCCAGATGTGGTGGTTCGCACCTGTAGTCCCAGCTACTTGGGAGGCTGAGGCAAGGGAATTGCTTGAACCCAGGAGGCAGAGATTGCAGTGAGCCGAGATTGCACCACTGCACTCCAGCCTGGTGACAGAGCAAGACTCCATCTCAAAAAAATAAAAATAAAAATAAAAATAAAAAAAATCTGGTTTCCCAGGCACACTATCTTCAGACAAAGTTCAATTATTTGCGTGGCAGAAAAATCAGTTTTTAAAATATATCATGTAAACCTACTGTCATTCATAGCTGCCCAACAATTGTGTAGAATTGCAGATCGATCTAGTAAGAAGAAATAAAATGGAAAATAATTCAAGTTGTTAGTTGAAAGAATTAGACACCAGTGTTTTGGTATCTTAACTTTTATTAATGTTGGTTATCACGGTTAATTAATTTAAAATGGAAAATAATTCAAGTTGTTAGTTGAAAGAATTAGACACCAGTGTTTTGGTATCTTAACTTTTATTAATGTTGGTTATCACGGTTAATTAATTTAAAATTGTGGTTTATTAATATTTTAAGTTACTCTCATATTATATTTTATTAATTTTTTCTTATTTAAAAAGCTTGTCTCTGCCACTTCCTGTGTGACCTGGGCAAGTCATTTTACCTCTAAGAGCCTCAAATTTCCTCATCTATAAAGTGGAAATATAAATACAAAGCTTGCAGAAATGTCAGGAAAATAAATAAATTAAATGCTAAATAGTCAATGAGGGATATTAGGCAAAGGCCAGTTTTGGTGGCATTTTAACCTATGGAGACTCAGTGCCTCTGTGTGTCCCATTATCACCTCCAAGACATCCTGGCAACACCACCGCTTGGGACTAGCCAGCAGGGAGGCCCAGGACACCTGCCACCTGATAAAGTGGCTCCTGCTCTCTATTGGCTTCTTATGAACACTACTGGGCTCTTACCTATCTATCTTGAAGCCTCTATGGACAAAAAAGAGGCCAAAAGAGGAATGGCACAATGGTATCAACTCAAACGTGTGAGCCCGGCATGGTGGCTCACGCTGGTAATTCCAGCACTTTGGGAGGCACAGGCGGGTGGTTCACTTGAGGTCAAGAGTTTGAGACCAGCCCGGCCAACGTGGGAAAACCCCGTCTCTACTAAAAATACAAAAATCAGCGGGGTGTGGTGGCTGGGCGCCTGTAATATCAGTTACTTGGGAGGCTGAGGCAAGAGAATCACTTGAACGCGGGAGGCGGAGGTTGCAATGAGCCGAGATTGTGCCACTGCACTCCAGCCTGGGCAACAGAGTGAGACTCTGTCTCAAAAAAAAACAACCAAACAACAACAAAAACGTGTGAGAAGGGTGGAATAGGAGCTAAAAGATGTAGGCTCCTTGTTTAGGCAGAGCGTAAAATCACCACACAGAAGGCCGAACTCTGGGCCCCTAACTAGTGCTGCTCCAAGAACTGACTGGGGGAGGCAAAAGGTTCTGGGCAGAAAGGCAGGCTTTTTGTTCTTTTCAGTATCAGAAAATTTCAATCCAAACAACGGTAGCTACTCAAACTAGACGTTTTGAAGTTATATTTAGTTTAAACTATTCTATTTAGAAAATAAACCCTAATATTTATGAACTCTAAATGACAAAATAAGTACACGAATTCACGTAGGAAATTCTTAACCAAAAACATTAAACCTGAATTTGATCACAAGAAAATAATTAGGCCAGGCACTGTGGCTCACACCTATAATCCCAGTACTTTGGGAGGCTAAGGTGGGAGGATCGCTTGAGCCCAGGAGTTTGAGATCAACCTGGGCAACATAGTGAGACCCTGTCTCTACAAAAAATAAACAAAATTAGCCAGGTGTGGTGGGTATGCACCTTGATCCCAGATACTCGGGAGGCTGAGGTGGGAGGATTGCTTGAGCCCTAGAAGTTGAGGCTTCAGTGAGCCAAAATCAAAATTGTGCCACTGCACTCCAGCCTGGAAGACACAGCAAGACCCTCCCTCAACAAAATAATTTTAAAAATTAAAAAAAAAAGACAGAGGAACTTTCTTAGATTGAAAGATATTAAAGAAAAATAACAATTATTTGCAATATGTATGTCAACCTTGATTGATTACTGGAGTGAAAAAAAAACTACATAAAATGCTCTCTAAATAGTTGGGAAAATTTGAATATGGAATATATTAGATGAAATTATTAATTTTTTAGGTATAAAACTGATAAGGTGATTATGTAGAAAAATGTCTTTATTTTAGGGTATGTCAAGTTATAACACCAAAAAGAAACTAGGGGTGAAGTGTCATGATTTTTGCAACTTATTTTCAAATGGTTTAGCAAAACAAGATATATTTTAAAAGTTATAATATTTTATATAGAAACACATACAAAGAGAGGAGAGAGAAAGCAAATGTGACACAATATTAACAATGATTAATATTGTGGTGAAAGATATATAGATGTTCATTGTACCATTCTTTTAACTTCTCTGTAAGTTTGGAAAACTATAATTAAAAAGTTGGGAGAAGTTATATCTATATGCTCCTCTTAAAATATTATATGAAGATATACACTATCATTATTATTATTATTTTTAGAGACAGGGTCTCATTCTGTCACCCAGGCTGCTCACTGCAACCTCAAACTCTCCCAGACTCAAGTGATCCTCCCACCTCAGCCTCCCATGTGGCTGGGATTATAGGCAAGTACTACCATGCCGGGCCAATTTTTTTTTTGTTTGTAGAAATGAGGTCTTGCTATGTTGCCCAGGCTGGTCTCAAACTCCTGGTCTCAAGTGATCCTCCTGCCTCAGCCTCCCGAAGTGCTGGGATAAAAGGTGTGAACCACCATACCCAGCCAGTATTATCTTTTCATTTCATTTTCCAGTTGAGTATATTATTGGCTACATTTGCATACCGCACAATTGTTCATTTTTTAAAAACCAATATTTTGTTTTGTTCTGTTGTCTACAATAAGGAGAATTCAGATGATAAACTTACAACCAATCATGGCCAAGTCCACTTGAGGAATTGTCTCTGTAGATTTATCTGTAGACTCTCTAATAAGGAGTTTTATGGCCGTATGTTTCGTGTTTCCCCTGATGTGCCCTGTTACTGTTCCTCTTGCCATGGTGTTTCTTCCTGTGGCAAACATTTCCTTTACCATTTTTCTTGGCAGCTTGCACTTTCATCCACTGCTTAACAGTATGGTTGTGCGGGCTGACACAGATTCTTCTGCGCTTGACATGAAGGCTGTTAGAAAAGGAAGCAAAAGAAAGTCACTGATATAAAACATATATAAATAATCACTTAGTGACTTACATGCAGCTCCCACTTTGGGACACTGTATTCCTAGAGACTAAATTCAGACTAAATTTCTGAATTAAGTGTAGAAATGAAGTGAATTCTAAAGCTGAGCACCACAAGGTTCAATTTTGACTTTACAAACACTGCTGCCTGTGGGTCCTCAGATATCATCAGAGAGTATTAAAAGAAAGAGAAGGAGAAGAAGGAATTGGATGAGGAAGAGAAGAAGGAGAAAAGGAGGGAGAAAAAAGAGGAAGAAGAAAAGGAGGAAAAGAGACAATAATAAAAACCAAGTGAACCCAACAAAACCAATTCATCCTCACAGCCCATCTCAAACACATCCTTAAGGTTTGTTTGAGATTTTTCTGATCCGTAAGGATTTGTAGATTCTCTCAGCTAGATGCCGTCTTTTTTCCCCTCTGATTCTCCACGGTGAGAGTTATCTCTTTTCTGGCACTTACTTTATTCTGTCTTTTATCTGAGTACTTGTCTCATCTTTCCTACTGGAGTTATGCTCCTTGAAGGAGGAATAGTCTAGAAGTGTCTTGAAAACGCCTTATTCAAAACTGAAACTAATTTAAAACTTAAACTTAATTTAAAACTTAAATTAACAAAACAAAACTAAGATATTCTAGGCATTTGTTAACATTTTAATATGATATAGATCTATGCCACAGTTCAGAATGTGCTTTCATTTTCATTTTTCTTTTCTTTTTTTTTGTTTTTGGTGAGATGGAGTTTTGCTCTTGTCACCCAGGCTGGAGTGCAATGGCATGATCTCGGCTCACTGCAACTTCCGTCTCCCGGGTTCAAGTGATTCTTCTGCCTCAGCCTCCCGAGTAGCTGGGATTACAGGTGTGCACCACCACACCTGGCTAATTTTTGTATTATTAGTAGAGATGGGGTTTTACCATGTTGGCCAGGCTGGTCTTGAACTACTGAACTCAGGTGATCCACTCGCCTCAGCCCCCGAAGTGCTGGAATTACAGACATGAGCCACTGCACCTGGCTCATTTTCATTTTTCTATATGAAGTTTTCACAGTGGGCTGGGAGAATGCTACAGCATGCACAGTTTCTGGTAACTAGAATAATTTTTTTTGTTGAAAAAGATATTGGTGACTTCTAATTTCCTCATGAGGGGTCATCAGCTCTTACCAAATGTCACAAATCCTGCTGGCTCTACATATATAGTATTTCCGTATCCAGATAAATTGAAACTTCTGACCCTGTTATTCAGGGAAAAAACAGAGGTGGGGTAGAGAATAAGCTGCTATTTTTCTAGATGACGCAAGTTGAATCTTTTTCAGCTAATGTAGGGACTACTGAAATGGGAGAAAAGTGGGGAGAATCGGGGGAAAGTTACAAATGAGCTTTAACATAATAAAGCCAGCATATGGGGAATATTAATTTGAAAGAAGTGGAGCATCTTAATAAGAGAATAATATATTCCCTATGTGTATTAGATAGAGAGTCTTAAAAAAAAACAAACAGCCTAATTCTCACTATGGTCAGTTGGTTTGCTATCATAGGAGAAAACGTGGCTGTAGCACTGTTGCGTAGGAAACAAAAACAAACAAACAAACAAACAAACAAAAATCTGGCACTGAAGCTCCTACCCTTTCCAGAGGACTAAAACTCTTGCCTCTCCCTGTGATGTCAGAAAGAAACTGAGCAGATAAAGATTTTAGTGACATGCAGGCTGGGCACGGTAGCTCACGCCTATAATCCCAACACTTTAGGAGGCCGAGGCAGGAAGATCACCTGAGGTCGGGTGATCGAGACCAGCCTGGCCAACGTGGTGAACCCCTGTCTCTACTACTAAAAATACAAAAATTAGCTGGGCATGGTGGCACGCACCTGTAATCCCAGCTACTTGGAAGGCTGAGGTAGGAGAATCGTTTGAACCAGGTAGGTGGAGGTTGTAGTGAGCTGAGATCATGTCACTGCACTCCAGCCTGGACAACAAGAGGGAAACTCCGTCTCAAAAAGAAAAAAAAGAGAAGATTTCTGTGACATGCAGATAAGCCCATAAGTTACACAGGAAAGACCTACGATTCAAGTCCATTATAAAAATAAGAGAGATGGGATTCAGGGAGGGGCATTGGCACCGGGGCTGAAGGAGAGAACCAGATGGAAGAGATATAGACAGAGGATTCAGAAAGGTGGAGGACCATAGGAAAACAGGCAACAACTAGCATGTGGGCTTTTTCAAAGACTTGCTGGTGAGGCAACCTCTCAATGTAATTCAACTGGGGAAAAAAATCAGCTACCAGAATACAGCTCCCAAATCTGAGATCCCATGATGTTTTAGAATCCTAAAGTTTAAAAACTTCTTAAATCTCTACTTGGATCCCATGTATTTTCCACCAGGATAGAAAGAGATGAAGTAATGTTGGAAACGGGGCTGGCCTATTCCACATTCCTTCCCCTACTCGCAATTCCATAGTATTCTGATGGGCACCAATCCCCACCTTCCCAACGGTGAGTTTGTAGGTGGAGAGTTTTGACTGTAAGAAATCCTGAGGCCAATCCCCCTTTTTTTTTTTCTTAACCCTCAGGAGGATAGCTGGAGATAGTCTGATGGACGTAAAGGGGTGGCCCTGCCATAGAGATTATACCTTTAATATCCCTTAAACTTTATTTCTTTACCCATTCCTCTAAACACAACAACGCCTCACAACCACATCTGAAAAACTACTCAAGCCTTCCAGATAATTCTATTTAAAAACCTCAAATTTTCTCACAACAAAAAATGTCTGTTTGATTCAAGAATCCTCAGGCCTCTGCCCAACATAAACAACTTTTTTTTTTTTTTTTGAGACGGAGTCACCCAGGCTGGAGTGCAGTGGCGCGACCTTGGCTCACTGCAGGCTCCGCCTCCCGGGTTCACGCCATTCTCCTGCCTCAGCCTCCCGAGTAGCTGGGACTACAGGTGCCTGCCACCATGCCCGGCTAATTTTTTTGTATTTTTAGTAGAGACAAGGTTTCACCGTGTTAGCCAGGATGGTCTCGATCTTCTGACCTCGTGATCCGCCTGCCTCGGCCTCCCAAAGTGCTGGGATTACAGGCGTGAGCCACCGCGCCCGGCCATGATAAACAACCTGTTATTGTATTTATGTTCAGAAACATTCAGAAGCTCATTAATGAAGTCACTGTAGAGGAGTTTGAACAAGAAAACTGCTGTCTCAGGCATCAAAAACTACAATGACCATTTATAAGGTATAAAACATAGGACCTATTTCTAGGCAGAAAAGAAAGAAGCCTAGTAAGTTTACCGTACGTTGACTTATATTAATTAATTGTTATTAGTAATACATGCTACTTGGGAATTACATTTCCAGTGTTAGCAATGCTTTCTGCATCTTAAACACTTTCTCAAATCTTAAAGTCTTTATACCCAGTCAGGGATAAGGGACTACATTTTAGATAAGTAAAGACATGCTCCATACTAAACTAATCTGAAAACAAGAGAATCTTTATCTATTCTTGTTGAACATCAGGAAACACAACAGACAGGATCTGTAATTTATGGTTAAAAAAATACTACAGAATTAAATTTAATTTTATTTGAGATTAGGTCATAACAACTCTGTATTTTTCAGCTTTCTTAGCACAGAGAGGTCAATTTACAAATTGTGCTTGAATAAAGTAAATATTTTTAGATCCAACTGATTGGCTTCCTAGTTCCTCTTTAATTAAAATTGAGTCCTTTTTAAAATGAAGACTTATGTTTCTGATTATATTTTCCCTTATCACAGCAAAACATCATTTCTGTTCCTATGCCTTTCAGATCTCTGACACCTGCTTATCCCAAAGAAACATCCCTGAAAATCCTGTTACCAATACCTTCCCTGGATAACCTCCAGAATCTCTTATACACCCACAGAAACTTCCTCTGTTTTTTTTCTCCAAGCCTTTCTGGGAGTCCTATTGGAGCCCTTACAAGCTTCAAGCTTCAAGTCTGAGGTGATATGTGCCAATAAGGTGGAAGGAATTGAGAGGAGTTGAAAATTTGGAGTTTCTCAGAGCAACTGGAGCAGGTTCAGACAGATTTAGTGCAGCTGTGTCCACTTGACACAAATATCCAGCTGTTTCTAACTACCTAGAGCATTGTCTATCCACGCATTGTCTATGAATTTTTTACTTTCCAACTATTACCAACAATATTCTTTAAGATTAAATAAAAGACTGGTAGAATCTTGGCCAGACATGTACCAAGGAATTTTTCAAAGAAGTTGGGAACTTGGAGCACCCCTCAGAATCCTCATTGGTATGTAGCCCCTGGAGTGCCACAGATGATGCTGGTTCCCAATGACTAAACCACCTGAGCCAATGGAGCCACGTGGTGGCTTGAACTGAGGAGATGCTGAGAAAATTCTCAGGCTTCTCCCTTCTCCCACAAAGACACTCATGCTTAATACAAGTTTGAATCAAGAATTGTTTCCTCCCCTACATCTGACCCTGAGTGTGACCTTTAAACTTTATTTGATCTCAGAAACTTTGAGAATCTTATAAAACCTATGGACCCTCTAAAAATGCTCACAGGTTCATACACAAAAATTTCAGGAAGTTCACAGCCCCTAACCTGATGAAAGTCTATCAACAGACATCTTACAAACTCTTCCTCTGAACTTTTAAGAACGCTTATCTTGGAGCAGTTTTTCCTCAAAATTGAATAATGGATAAATCCCTCTGAAAGGGGGGAAAATATATTTCAAATTCCAGAGATCATCTCAAATCATTAAGATGATCTGCAGAACCCAGCTGGATAAAGAGTCCCCTTGAGACTCTAGGCAGACAGAACCCATTTTGTCACCACTGCATCCCCAGCATATAGAACAGTGCTTGGTGCATAATTGTTAATTCATAAATATTTGTTGAATTCACTGAAAGAATAAGGTTTCTGAGTGACTCAGGAGCTCAGGCATAAGCAATGGGTTTATTTATAGCCCAAAGAAAGGAGCACCAAATGACTCACTAGCATCACCTGGAGCCACAAATGGTGTTAAAACCAGCATGCCAGGGAGATGCCTGATACTCGGATGCAGTAGAGTTTGGAGAGGGTATTTTATGGTTAGTCCCACCACTGCTTTAGAATGACATTGGAGGTGTACAAGTGTTCTGAACTAAGAGACCTGGGTTCACATCCTGTTTCTGCAATTCACGAGCTGTACACAAGTGAACCGTGTAACCTGAGTCACAGCTTTCTCCTGTGTATGATTGGGAGATCATTTATGCTTTCCTCACAGCATTGTTGTCAGAATCCAGATTTACTAAATACCAATGCAGTTCAGATGTTAGAGCCTCCATAGAAATGTTAAGTACATATACAAACAAAGCTTTTAATAACTGAGCCAGGGGCAGGGGTGGGAGGCTTCACTGTGAACCAACACCACAGAATCAAAAGCAGAGATTGGATTGGCATTTCTGATTGGATTGCATATAGCACTGTGACAGGTATAGATATTTCCACGCTTCTTTTTGAACCTTTTCTTTTGTTTTTCTTTGCCTTTTTGTTGTTGTGGTGGTGGTGGTTTTTTGAGACGGGATTTAACTCTGTCACCCAGGTTGGAGTGCACTGGCATGAGCACGGCTCACTGCAGCCTCGAACTGGGCTCAACGATCCTCCCATCACAGCCTCCCAAGTAGCTGGGACTACAGGTGCATGCCACCATGCCTGGCTAGTTTTAAAGTTTTTTGTAGAGATGGGGTCTCACCATGTTGCCCAGGCTGGTCTTGAACACCTGGGCTCAAGCGATACCCCTGCCTTGGCCTCCCAAAGTGCTGGGATTACAGGCATAAACCACCACACCCAGCCTAACTTTTTGAACTTTATAATATGCTCCTGATGAATTCATAAAGTAGAAATGACAGCAACCCATATACTAAAAAAGGTTAAAAGCCATGAAATATAACAGAGTTATCTTTTGTTTGGGGTTTTGTTTTGCTTGGGAAAGTCATGAACACTTTTTGGTGACTGGGGGAATTTAGTCCTAACCACAGCACTACAGGGTGGAAGTAGATGGTGTGCTGGTATGGGGCTCAGGACATCTTTGGACAGAGAGACTATGAATTTACTCCAGGGAGCCTGGGGCCTAATGGACAGAATATTTACTCTTCCCTCCCTTGTTTGGATGATTGTTTGTATGTTGTAATCAAGCAAAGCCTTTCCAACCTATTATTCGTTGGGCAGGGAAATAATCACTGTGCAGGTTTAGACCTCCCGGCTGATGAGCACTCACATGACAGCAGCCAAGTCACAATCCCCATCAGCTCTCTGGATGCGACACATATTCACTCTTTCCAGGAGCCTTCTGGAAATATGATGTGAAACCTCCGTGCAACAGCTGGAGGCAATGGGAAGTATGGCTAAAAGAAGAAAAGAAAGAAAATGTTAAATTTTACGGTTTATAGAACACTGGCATGGTTCTCATTTTAAAGATTTCAGAGAAACAATGTTAATCCACACAAACAAGGGGCAAACATGGCTTTGTGAATACAGACTTGGGGCAGGACATGTTCCCACTTTCTGGAATTTAAGCTATATTTGTGAAAGAGAAAATGTAAATTTAGGCAAAGACACAAAACAAGTGAAAGAGATGAAAAGAGTTACAGACAAGGATTCTGGTGGTACTGCAGACTGATCAAAGATGAAAGGAGTGAGGTCAACACGGTGTTTCATGCATTTTGGAACTGGAAAAGCATCATTCGTTCAGCAAACATTTATTGATTGCCCATTCTGTGACAGGCCCTGAGCTCTGCATTCAAAGTTGAAATAAGGCATAATCTGTCCTTGTGATGCTTAATAGTCCAGTGGGAGGCAGGCCATAATAATCCCAACACAGCAAAATAAGTGTTAAAGAGTTATGTTCAAAGGGTTATGGGATTATACATGAAAGAAGCCAGATTCGAAAGGCCATACTGTATGATTCCCTTTATATGAAAGATCCAGAATGGGCAAATCCATAAAGACAGAAAGTAGATTAGTGGTTGCCAGGGGCTGGGGGGCTAAGGGATGGAGAGGGACGAGTGAAAGGAGGGGACACGGAGTGACTGTGAACAGGTACAAGATCTCTTTTTGGAGTGATGAAAATGTGCTGGAATTAGATATTGGTGATCACACAATTCTGTGAATATATTGAAGACCACTGAATTTTATACTTTAAAATGGAGAATTTTATGGTTTGTGAATACTGGTTGTTCCTACATTTATTAATGCATTTATTTCCTAAAACTGTTTCTTTCTTTAGCTATGCTGTGCTGCCTAAGTCAAACTCTTAATATCCTGAACAAGGTATTGGATTTATCACGTATCCACCCATTCATCCACCCATCTCACTATACGTGAATCACTACGCTAGACCCTGAAGGTAGAAAGATGAAGCGTTACTAGCCTCAAAGATTAGCTGTGGCCCAAGCAACTCTAATAGGAAACATACTTTCAGAAGCATGGTAGCAATTAAGAATCACAAGAAAATCTGTGTGTTTAGGAATTTGAGTTATCTGAGTGCTGATATCAATTCAAACAGTCTTAAGCCAGAAGAGTACCGGGGGCCTATATATACTTAGTAAACTGGATTGCATTTCTCAAATATTAATATAAACGTAGGATGGGCTCAGCTGGAGATCACTTGATCTAAGTCACATTAACTATAAAAAGGCAAGAAGCAGGCCAGCATTTATTACATGTTAGTAGGTGCAACTAGTGCCCTCCAGAGGAAGCAGAAAATATAAGAGGCCAGGAAACAACTTTGGAGAGAACATGGGAAGTTAGGCAATGGAGAATGTAAACTGGGTAGTTCCGAATAGGGCAACTGTAAAATTCTGTTAGATAACATCGCCCCCTAGAGGTTCCCTCCTGCAGCCTCCTGTCAGAATAGTTCCATTTTTAAAAAGCCATCAGCTACTTCCCTTTATTTCAATTATGACTCCAGAATTTCTATATAGGAGAGATTTTGGTGTGTCAATTAGGCTGAAAAAGATGATTATGTGACATTTCTTCAGCATTTACATAGTTTTGTTCAGATGATACTGAACAATGGTTGTTGGAGAGGTTGTTGGGGAGGCAAGCTGATAAGAGGTCGGGGAGGCCAAAACCTGTTTGCAAAGACCACCTTGGTCAGGTATATAATGGAAAATAACCAGCTTATGTTCCAGAATTGGAGTTCACACAAACACAAACCTGTATGATGGAGAAGGGGTTCCCCTGAAGAGAAATATGTGACTATTACTGAAAATAAGAGAAGTCTTGCAGAGTGGGCTTAATAAAGCAGCGGAGTCCAGAGGTATGAATGAGCAAGGATCTGAGGTATAATGCAAGACTTTGCCTGATCCACCCCCAACTGCCTCCCTAACCCCTCCTAGAGGTGCTCCCTTTGCTTTGGGAAGGGCAAAGCCCAACAGATCCATCTGGGAATTTCTCTGAAAAGTGATTTGTGAGATCAGCAGATGCGTTTCCCAGCTGGCCTGAGAAGCAGGCACTGAGGTCAGCTCTCTGGAGAAGTGGGCAACCACCAGTGGGTTTCAAATGGATCCAGAGCAGCTGCCCAACAGAGGAACCACAAAACTGGGAGTAAGGGTTCTGATTATGCAAGGGATCATCCCTCCTACACTATCAGGTCAACTTCCCCCAGACTCTTAGAGGGAAAGTACCCTTCTCCAGGACCCACTATTTGAGAATTGTCAAGAATATTTGGATTGAGAAATCCTGCAGCAACTTTGTAATTACTGCCAGGCAAGAAAGTGGGGACCCAGAACATCACAATTTCTACTCACCAACCAGTGAAGCCCAGAGTATAGGAGTTCCATGGGTAGCATCTGATGTGTCTATGCAGTGAATTGAAATCAGTATTTAAATCATATTTGAATCAGTTTGCTCTGGCATTTTTGAGATTGTATCAACTTTTGCTCCATTAAAAATAATGGTGTGCTTCTGTAGAGTGTGTGTGAAAGAAAGTAGGGGGAAAACATTTCTAACATAAGAGAAAATGTGGCAAGGGCTATGTGATAAACAGAATGGTATCTGGAACACTGAAAGGCAGAAGCGATAAATTATAGAGACTTGGGTCCATCTTTATCAAGGTGGTGGCATTTGAGCTGAAAATGTGAAAAATGGATAGAATATGAATAGGGCAGTAAATATAGAGGAGACAGTGGGTGTAAAGATACAAATGTGGAAAAAGGCAGATTCATGCAAATTTGGTTGGAATATAGAATTTATGAATGTAAGTTGTAGGAGGATGACATGAAAAGTATTTTGAGGCCAGACAGCTTTATATTTTATACCAATAACACGAGTTCAGTAACCTCTTTCTATGGAAACTTTAAAAATCAAGACATGACAATTCACCTAAACTAATACTTCTGTGGAAATGTAGATGTGAATAAATAAATGATGACTTAACTACTATTCCCCTTTCCTTGTGAAACATTTCAACACAGAGGAACTACCAAGAATAATAAAAACACCTATATACTCATCACCCAAATGTTATTAATGTTAAGTCTTTTCCATATTTGCCTTCAGTCTTATTTTTAAGTAACTGTTTCCAGTACTTTACTGTTACAAGCAAGGCTACAACAAACATCCTAATGATAACAGACATTGTTTGAGTTCTTACTGTGTGCCAGGCACTAGTGTAACTGCCATGTGTGAATTAATTTAAATAATCTACACAGCAACTATATGCAGAAGAAAGTATATTAATCACCATTTTATAAATGGGTAATAATATGCAGAAAAACTACATAACTTCCCCGAGATCAAAGGGCCAAGAAATAAATAGTGGGGCTGGAATTTGAATACATACATTCTGGCACTTTTTAGGCCTTTTGGTTATACTTTATTTGCTTTTCTAGATGTCTCCTTGGGGCTTGTGTGAGAATTTCTCTACAGCAGTGGTTCTCAAACTTTAATGTGTATCAAAATCAAATACCTCTCTTACCTCAGGTTTCTGATTCAGTAAATCTGAGGGGAGGCTTGAACATTTGCATATCTTATTATTTATTTATTTATTTATTTATTTTTCAGATGGAATCTTACTCTGTCACCAAGGCTGGAGTGCAGTGGCGCGATCTCGGCTCATTGCAACCTCCGTCTCCGGGGTTCAAGAGATTCTCCTGCCTCAGCTGCCCATGTAGCTGGAATTAAAGGTGTGTGCCAACACGCCTGTTTAATTTTTGTATTTTTAGTAGAGACGGGGTTTCACCATGTTGACCAGGCTGGTCTTGAACTCCTGACCTCAAGTGATCTGCCTGCCTCGCCCTTCCAAAGTGCTGAGATTACAGGTGTGAGCCACCATGCTGGGCCAATATTTGCATATCTAATAACTTCCCTGGTGATGTTGATACTGCTAGTCCTGGAACACATTTGGAGAACCACCGTTCTTGAAAAACAGATTTACACATGGAATTGCTAGGTTGTAGGATATATGCATCTTTAACTATATTTCATACCAGCAAATTGCTCTACAAAGTGATTATACCAATTTACACTCATACCTGCAGTTGATGAGAGTTCCATTTCTGCACATCCTCAACAACTTTTCATAATGTCGTTTTAAAATGTTGCCAATCTGATGGGGTTGAAATTGTACCTTAATGTGGCTTCATTTGTGTTCCCCTACTGGTAAGTTATTAATCATTCACATTTTCTCTTTGAATTGCCAAATCTTATTTTTGCCAGCTATTTTTTTACCTTGATTTTTAAAAAATTATTTATAAGAACTCATAAAATATTTGGGATACTTATCTCTTCTCAGTAATTAGAAAATATTTTCTCCCCCTTGGTAAGTGTATCTTTTAACTTTGAAGTATTTCCTTACAGTTTGCCATTTATGTCTTATTTAGCAAATCCTCCCATAGTCAGATATCATAAAAATAACATAATAATAATTTTGTTTTAAAAAGCAAAGCTTTTTTACCCCTGTAATTTATTTTTTATAGATTGTGAGTCAGAAAAAAAGTTTTTGCATGAGAATACCTATTGTCTCAGAACTATAGTGGTAAATGAAATTTTTTTCTCCATTTACAAAGGGCAAAGAAACCACTTCCCCCTTTATTCCATACTTTTTAAAATGTATGTATTTTTTACTTAAAAAGTCTTTTCAAAAGATGGGGGTCCTGCCATGTTGCCCAGGCTGGTCTCCAAGTCCTGGACTCAAGGGATCCGCCCACCTTGGCCTCCCCAAATGTTGGGATTACAGGCATGAGCTACCACCACACCCATCCCTTTCTTCCGTTTTTTTTTTTCTTTTCTTTTTTTCTGAGGCAGAGTATCACTCTGTTGCCCAGGCTGGAGGGCAGTGGCACAATCTCGGCTCACTGCAACCTCCACCTCCTGGGTTCAAGCGATTCTCCTGCCTCAGCCTCCCAAGTAGCTGGGACCACAGGTGCCAGCCACCATGCCCAGCTAATTTTTGTATTTTTAGTAGAGGTGAGGTTTCACCATGTTGGCCAGGTTGGTCTTGAACTTCTGACCTCAAATGATCCACCCACCTCAGCCTCCCAAAGTGCTGGGATTACAGGCGTGAGCCACCGCGCCCGGCCTCCTTTCCTCCATTCTTAAGATGAGGTTCTTTAAAGACATAGTGTATCTTAATCTTTACTTTTGGATTGAGATAAATCTCTACAAGGATTAAGCCCACTCTTCAGTTTTTGTAATAATAGCTATATATATCCAAGGCCAAGGGCCAAATAACCTCCAGATGTATTTTTAAAAACACCTCTGGATTTAGCTCAGGGTCTCTCACAAGACGTGTAGAAACTGTCACAAGGTGTGACCCTTTTATCTTTTGAGGAGGTGAGAAGTTATTCTTTCTTCTGCTATGCTATATAAAATTCTGTTCCAATTTCATAGTCACTTTTGTGCTGCCGTACATGCTTGTAAATGTGTTAATGCTTACTCAGTAATACTTTTTTTTCTCTTCTGTATTGGTACAGAGGAATCTTTCATTGGCAGGATTGTTCTTTCCATAACAGAACCACCCCATCTCACTGATATGCAGACACTCCTTAAATCTTCAAGTTTACACATACACATAGGTCTGCTTCTGGGCTTTTTCTTCTGTCTCATGCTCTACTTATTGATCTCTGCATCAATTCCACATGTTTCAACTAAGACACTTTTTAATAAATCTCAAAACTTGATACAATAAGTCTTCCCACTCAATTTATTCTTCAAAATTGTCTTGGCTGTTCTTGATCCTTTACCTTTTAGATAAATTTTAGAATCAGTTTGCTTAGTTCTTTAAGAATTTCAGGAATTGTGGTTGGAATTGCACTAAGTTTACAACTAAGATCTGAAATATATTGTCTTCCCATTCATAAATATGGAATTATCTCTCTATCTATTCAGATTTTCTTGGTCCTCCAAGATCTTTATGAAGAAAATGATAAGATAATGTCGTATATCTTAGATCTATATTTAGGTACCTTATATATTTTGTTGTATTGTGAATGAACTCTTTAAAAATACTTTTTTCTAATTAGTTAATTTTTATGTATAAGAATTCTATTGATTATTTAATGTTGCTCTTGTATCCAGCAACCTTGCTGAATTTTTTTATTTTTAATAGTTTGGAGTAGATACTCCAGTTTTACAGGTAAATCGTCATTTTCATCTCTTTCTTCTCAATTCCTGTGTAGGAAATAAAGGATTTTTCTCTTTTAAAATCTGTTACTTTGCTAAATGCCTAGAACAGTACCTAGCCCATTGAAAGTTTTAAATTGCTGCGGTGGATTAATCTATTTTCTTCCTTGCCCTCCTGGGATAAACCATACTTATTCATAATATATTAATTTTTATATATTGTATAAGATATGCTATTTATTAAGATTTTTGCACCTCTGTTCATAAATTAATCTATACTTTTATACCCTGTTACCATCCTTCCATGTTTTGGGTATTAAGGGTATGTTAATCTCAACAATGCATTAGGTAGTTTTCTCTGTTCTTCCATCCTTTGAAAGAGTTTGTATAAGATAAAGATTTTCTGTTCCTCCAATTTTTGGTAAAACTTAAAAAACTATCTAGGCCTGGTGTCTGAGGAAAGATGTTTAAGTTGGATTTGTTATTGGCTTACTTGTATATATAATATATATATATTTACATATATATTTATATATTTATTATTTTTCCAAGAAATTGTTCATTTTATCCACAATTTCTACTTTATTCTCACAAAGTGTCATAGCTTTATCTCACTGTATTTGCAGTCATGGCTCCTTTTTTAAATTCTTAGTGTTTGAAGTGAAGGTTCCTGTGCAAAGTAATAGTTTAAAAGTTTGAGCCAGGTGTGGTGGCTCATACCTATAATCCCAGTACTTTGGGAGACTGAGGTGGGAGGATTGCTTGAGGCCAGGAGTTCAGGACCAGCCTGGGCAACATAGTGAGACCCTGTCTCTACAAAAAATTTAAAAGATTAGCCAGGCGTTGTGGCCCACCTACTTGGGAGGCTAAGGCAGGGGGATCACTTGAACCCAGGAGTTGGAGGCTTTGATCCTGCCATTGCGTTACAGGAAAGGGGTCCCCATCCAGACGCCAAGAGAGAGTTCTTGGATCTCGTGCAAGAAAGAATTTAGGGCCAGTCCGCAGTGCAAAGTGAAAGCAAGTTTATTAAGAAAGCAAAGGAATAAAAGAATGGCTACTTCATAGAGCAGCCCTGAGGGTGGCTGGTTGCCCATTTTTATGGTTATTTCTTGATGATATGCTAAACAAGGAGTGGACTATTCATGCCTTACCCCCCGCCTTTTTTTTTTTTTTTTTTTTTTTTGAGACGGAGTATCGCTCTGTATCGCTCTGTTGCCCAGACTGGAGTGCAGTGGCGAGATCTCTGCTCACTGCAAGCTCCGCCTCCCAGGTTCACGCCATTCTCCTGCCTCAGCCTCCCCAGTAGCTGGTACTACAGACGCCCGCCACCACACCCGGCTAATTTTTGTATTTTTAGTAGAGACGGGGTTTCACCGTGTTAGCCAGGATGGTCTCGATCTCCTGACCTCGTGATCCGCCCGCCTCTGCCTCCCAAAGTGCTGGGATTACAGGCGTGAACCACTGCGTCCAGCCCATGCCTCCCCTTTTGAGACCAAATCGGGTAACTTTCTGACGTTGCCATGGCATTTGTAAACTGTCATGGCGCTGATGGGAGTGTAGTAGTGAGGGCGACCAGAGGTTACCCTTGTGGCCATTTTGGTTTTGGTAGGATTTAGCCGGCTTCTTCACTGCAACCTGTTTTATTAGCAAGGTCTTTTATGACCTGTATTTTGTGCTGACCTATGTCATCCTGTGACTTAGATGGGAATGCAGCTTAGTAGGTTTCAGCCTCATTTTACCTAGCTCCTATTTTAAGATGGGAGTTGCTCTGGTTCACTCGCCTCTGACAATTGCATTGCAGCCTGGGCGACAGAGACCTTGTCTCTAATAATAAATAAATGTTTGGCTCTAAGCTTAGAAACAAAGCATTCAACTCATGGGTTAAAGAGGAAACCACAAAATCTTATTCTGGAAAATCGTAAAAGTACTATTTATTATAATGGGTGGGGTACAGTTAAATTTAGCCCTAAATGCATTTATTTAAAACACATACACGAAAAAAACGTGTGTTCAACTAAAAACCCGGAAAAGGAAAATCAGAGGAAACAAAGCACGAGAAAAAAAGAAAGAAAGAAAGAAAGAACGAAAAAAGAAAAGCACGACGTTATGGCGCTTTGAGGCTGTCGCGCTACTGGTATCTGTAGTCGTGGCTGCCGTGGACCAGGAGAGACTGAAGTGGAAAACAGCGGGCGGTAGCCGAAGCAGAGAGCAAGGAAGAGCGCGGGAAGTGCAGAGCGACAGCAACAAGAAAGGGGTGGCGCGGGACGTCGTTTACCTGGGCGACGTCCAGCCGCCCTTCCCGCCTCTGCGCGTACGCAACCTGCTTGGCGCCACTGACCTGGTGAGGAGGCTTCTTTAAGGCCGTGGACGGTTCCTACCCGCGCGCGGAGAGGACCGACGTGAAGAAGCTGCCAAAGTATAACAAGTACTACGCGAAGGGTAGGTAGGGTGGAGTCCCAGGCAGCGCGTGACGGCCGGATGCCCAGACGCGCACGTCGCCCGCAGGCGCACGCCTGGACCCGGGGGAGCCGGCTGGGGCGCCCAGGACCAGGCCTAGCCTACCGCGGGCTGCCCTTCACAGAGCTGCAGGAGAAAACGTTGTATTGTGCACGCATTCCCTAACCCTTACTAGTTTTTTTTTTTTTAATTGATCGGCCAGCTTTTGATGCGGGTATGTTAAAATCTCCCACTGTTATTGGGATTATGCCAGTTTTTTTTTTTCTTGCATTTCTGTCTACTTATGTGATACAACACTTGGGGTTATGTTTTCAGACGCCCAAGTACCCTCCTGGTCCACAGCCAGAATTAAAATGAGGCACGAGCCTCAGGTGCAGAATTTAAGGGACCGCCAAAAGAACTCCGTAATGAAGATAAGCAATATTTGGATGCAATATTTTTAAAAATAAAAATTAATGCAAAAAAGTCTATGATTAGTAAAATGCTGCAATTTTAAATAAAAACAAAATCTGACTGCATTTTCACGCCTCGATCATCTCTCTTGCCTCACAGGAGTCTGGGCCCTAGAGATAGCTTTTCTGTGAAGTGAACTTTTTTATCTTTCGGTTAAGATTCCTCTATTTCTACTATAACTTTTTGCTTAAATCATATTTTTCTGTTATTGACATTGCTACACTAATCTTTTGGTTTGTATTCATTTATTCTCTCTTTTTTTTGCGTTTTTAAATCCTTTTTCTTTGCTTTTTATTCTTTCTGTTGGAAAGGTATTTTCTGTATTTCCTTTATTAATATTTTTCTACTAAAAATTTAGGCAGAGTTGGGTCAAGAAAAAGCTCCCTTGGGAAAAATGTCTACAATATCTAGTACCGACATGTTTCTTTTTGAATCGTAGAAGTGTGTTATTTTACTAATTCAAGTGATTGTCACATCAGTAAAATTCTAGAAGCATTTATAGGGTGCTGCCTGCATTGTATCAGTCTTTGTAACAGACACCGAGTATATAAGAATTAATAAGTCATAGTACCTGCCCTCAGGGCGCCTACAATTAGCAATTAGCAGACTTTTTTTTCTTTTTTTCCTTAGATAAGATCTTGCTCTGTCACCCAAGCTGGAGTGCTGGAGTGCAGTAGTACAAACACAGCTAACTGCAGCCTTCACCTCCTGGCGTCAAGTGATCCTCTTGCCTCAGCCTCCCGTGTTGCTGGGACCACCGGTGCACACCACCATGCCTACCTAATTTCTTTATTTTTTTGTAGAGATGGGACCTCACTTTGTGCCCAGGCAGAGCAGACATTTTTCTAACATTGTCTCATTGGACCTCTCTGCTGTATTTAACACTTACCCATTCCTTCCTTGAAAATTTCCATATTCCTAGTTACTAGTCTCTTCTAATATTCTGAATAATGAGAAATTACAGCTGGGCACAGTGGCTCATGCCTGTAATCCCAGCACTTTGGGAGGCCAAGGCAGGAGGATCACGAGGTCAGAAGTTCAAGACCAGCCTGGCCAAGATGGTGAAACCCCATCTCTACTAAAAATACAAAAAAATTAGCCGGGCATGGTGGCAGACGCCAGTAATTCCAGTTACTCAGGAGGCTGAGACAGAGAATTGCTTGAACCCGGGAGGTGGAGGTTGCAGTGAGCCGAGATTGTGCCACTGCACTCCAGCCTGGGCGACAGAGAGGGACTCCATCTCAAAAAAAAAGAAGAGAAATTACTTTCTCTGCCTCTTGAATGCGTCCTCCTTTGCCCTCTCCTCAATAGTTAGCATTCTGAAAGTGCCATCCCTAACCTACTGCTCTTTTCTTTCCACATCTCATGTTTAAAATTTTTACTATGTCAGTAACTTCAAAATGTGTTTTTTTAGCTCTACCCAAATATTCTGATGTGTATCCACCTGCCATTGAATATGCACTTGGATATCCCACAGGCACCCCAAACTCAACAGAGCCGCAACTGAAGACATCATCTCCTGCCACTTTAAATCTACTGTTTTCCTTTTCTCATCTCGTTTAATCACTTTGTACTGTTATCCAAGTGTAATTCCATCTTCTGCACTCCCATGGCCAGTCAAACTCCTGTAGATTGTATTTTCCTTAACACTTTTCAGATCTGTCTCCTCTTTCTCCTTGTTACCACTCTTAGTTCAGGACCTTATTAATTGACTTCTGGACTGCTGAACCTCTCAGTTGTCTACTTTCTTCCAATTTTGTCATTTCCCCATTTGAATCTGAGGTCCCACAGTACCTTGTGCTTTCCTATATCTTAGTCTTTACCATGTATGACATTAAGAGTCTATATGACTGTCTTTTGACTGTAAGCTCCCACAGGGCATCTTTGTAACCCCCCACCACATAGCACATTGTCTGGTATTAGTGCTAAAAAAGTTTCTTGGACTGAACTAAGCTCCGATCTTATCAGTGTTTCATTTTTATCTTGTTTTAAGGCTTTTAATGTCCAAAATATTTTTGCTTTTTTTCTAGGAATAGTATTTTCAGTTTTTGGTCAAGCTCTTATGTCCCAAATTATCTACAATTACACAGTGCTTTTCATAGGTACCATCCCTGCACATTGAAGTAATAAGGGGTCAGTCAATATGATAAATCATTTGTTCACTATATGTAATATTGTAAAGATGTTTTTAGTATCTGATCAAAAGCATTCCTATTTGTCTTATTATGGTGTTATTTCTTTTCTTTTTTTTTTTTTTGGGAGACCGTCTTGTTCTGTTGCCCAGGCTGGAGCGCAATGGTGTGATCACGGCTCACCGCAGCCTTGAATGCCCAGGCTCAAGTGATCCTCCTGCCTTAGCTGCCCAAGTAGCTCGGACTACAGGTGCACCCCACTATGCCTGGCTAATTTTTAAAATTTTTTGCAGAAACAGGGTGTTGTATGTTACCCAGGCTGGTCTCAAACTCCTAGCCTCAAGCAATCCTCCCACCTCAGCCTCCCAAAGTGCTAGGATTATAGGCATGAGCCACTGCACCTGGCCTTATTCTGGTGTTATTTCTATTAGTTTTGGATTATTGTCATTATTATTCCCAGTATTAAGTGTATGGATGATTTTCCAGGAATGTGAGTCCCTGTTTTGGTTCTGTCTATGATACAGTTTTAGTCACTAGAGGGCTGTAAAGATCTCTTAGTGCTCAAGAACTGTTGGCACTACACATCAAATTTGTGATACAAAAGTTAGATTCTGGGTTTTGTTATTGTTGGAGAGTGGGGTCTCACTCTATTGCTCAGGCAGGTCTCGAACTCCTGGACTCAGGCTATCCTCCCACCTTTGTCTCCCCAAGTGCTGGATTACAGGCGTGATCCACTGCGCCTGGCAGATTTTGGGTTTTCAGGAAAGGATCTTGCTATTGTAGAGACGTGAACAGCTTCCTCTTACTTGGATGTGTTGTATAGGATCTCACTACTCAAAGTGTGGCTCCCAGAGCCACAACAATGGCATCACCTGGGAGCTGATTAGAAATGCAATTTGAAAGGCACTGGTACTATATATAGAACACAGCAAAATAGAAACAGAGTAAAGAAAGGCACATGCAATTATTGGAGAAAGGATTTGCAGACTAAAGATAAAAATGATATAAAAGATTCACTTAGCTGCTAGCAGTGTCTCAAGACTGAGTGCAATTTAAGAAGGGCAGGCTGGGTGTGGTGGCTCACGCCTGTAATCCCAGCACTTTGGGAGGCCGAGGTGGGCAGATCATGGTGTCAGGAGTTCGAGACAGCCTGACTAACATGGTGAAACCCCGTCTCTACTAAAAATACAAAAAATTAACCGGGCGTGGTGGCAGGTGCTTGTAATCCCAGCTACTCAGGAGGCTGAGACAGGAGAATCACTTGAACCTGGGAGGCAGAGGTTGCAGTGAGCAGAGACCACGCCACTGCACTCCAGTGTGGGCAACAGAGCAAGACTCCGTCTCAAAAAAAAAAAAAAGAAAAAGAAAAAAAAGGCAACACATAATGTTCAGAATGTGGTTAGAACACATCTCTCCATTCTTGTGGACCTCACACCTTAATGTAGCCAGATCATGCAGTGGGTGCCAACAGATGACCACTGCTGTCACTAAGTGGGCAGGTAGGACTCACTAATCCATGATATATGGAACTGCTATTCCCAAATAAAGTCCTGCCAGGTACTTTTTGGAACCCTGGGATAATGTTTGGGGGCATGGAGAGTGGATGGGGATTTTTCTTTGCTTTAACATGATACAGACACTAGAGTGGTCAGGGGATAGTCTTGAAGGGGTTTGGATAATTGTGTGCCATAAAAACATCCTGAGAGGCTTTGTAGCATGGTACTTAAGCATGTGGAGACTACCAGGTTTAAATTATCCTTCTGCTAGTTACTAGCTGACCTTGGGTGAGTTAACTCTCTGTATCTCAATCCTTTTTTCTGTAATATGGGGGTGGTCCTAGCATCTACCTCAGGGTTATTGTGAAGATTGCATGAGTTTGTACATTTAAGTGCTTAGAACAGGAGTGACAAACAACACTCAATAAATGGAAACAAAAAGGACATATGTGGGCCAATATGCAGTACAGTCCCTGGCTCATAGTAAGTATACAGGTGCCCATTAAATGTTTGTGGAATGTGCCACTTGTTTATTTATTTTCCCTCAGTTTCAAACTCACCCTTAATTTCCTGTTCTATGAAATTGAGATGGGCCCTTAAATATTTTTCCTTGGCTAGCTGGAACGTTGTTAAACTTTATCTACAGAAGATATTGAAGGGACATTGCAGGAAGAGGGGGTTTTCCTTCCTGGCTCCAGGGTTCTCTCATCAGGTTCCTGTAGACCCAGCTTCTGCAGTGCTTTAGCTTCAGTGCATGGCAACTAGCAGCACCCCTACAGGCAGGTTTGTAGCCCAGCATGTCCAGTGAGATGCTTCCCTGTGAAGGACTTTCCCCTGCAAACTAGAAGGTGGATATCCAGCATGTTCTGCCAGTACAGACAGGTGACTTTTCTGCCATTTGTTGAGCCATGGCTGGATCTCAGCTGGGGAGGGTAAGGGTGCAGGAATTCTTCCTTGAGTGATTTGTTTTAGCCCTTGGAATATCTGCTTTTCCTACATTCCTTAAAATTCTCTTTCTTTCTAGCCTATCTCTTGTTATAGTTAATAATTTGTTCATATTAAACTTTCAAATTATCTGGTTTCTGTCTCCTAATAGGACCTTGATTAATATTAATAATAAATGAATAAATGAAACATTAACATTCCCAATTGTTCTGGGAAGTTTAAATGTTTTATGTAAGATGAAGATGCAGATTTTCAGAATTAACTTTTTGTGTTGAATAGATATACTGTTATCTATGATTAAAATATGTGTTAAGACAATATGTAGATTGTGATCCTGTTTCTGTTCTAAAAAATTGGTGTGTGCCGGTTCCAAGATGGCCGAATAGGAACAGCTCCAGTCTACAGCTCCCAGCGTGAGCAACACAGAAAACGGGTGATTTCTGCATTTCCAACTGAGGTACTGGGACCATCTCACTGTGGCTTGTCAGACAGTGGGTGCAGTCCATGGAGCGTGAGCTGAAGCAGGGCAGGGCGTTGTCTCACCCAGGAAGTGCAAGGGGTCGGGGAATTCCCTTTCCTAGCCAAGGGAAGCCGTGACAGACAGTACCTGGAAAATCGGGACACTCCCACCCTAATACTGCGCTTTTCCAATGGTCTTAGCAAACGGCACACCAGAAGATTATATCCCATGCCTGGCTTGGAGGGTCCCACACCCACAGAGCCTCGCTCACTGCTAGCACAGCGGTCTGAGATTGAACAGCAAGGCGGCAGTGAGGCTGGGGGAAGGGCGTCTGCCATTGCTGAGGCTTGAATAGGTAAACAAAATGGCCAGGAAGCTCGAACTGGGTGGAGCCCACTGCAGCTCAAGGAGGCCTGCCTGCCTCTGTAGACTCCACCTCTGGGAACAGGGCATAGTTGAACAAAAGGCAGCAGAAACTTCTGCAGACTTAAACGTCCCTATCTGGCAGCTTTGAAGAGAGTAGTGGTTCTACCAGCATGGAGTTTGAGATCTGAGAATGGACAGATTGCATCCTCAAGTGGGTCCCTGACCCCTGAGTAGCCTAACTGGGAGACTCCTCCCAGTAGGGGCCGACTGACACCTCATACAGCCGGGTGACCCTCTGAGATGAAGCTTGCAGAGGAAGGATCAGGCAGCAACATTTGCCATTCTGCAATATTTGCTGTTCTGCAGCCTCCGCTGGTGATATCCAGGCAAACAGGGTCTGGAGTGGACCTCCAGCAAACTCCAACAGACCTGCAGCTGAGGGTCCTGACTGTCAGAAGGAAAACTAACAAACAGAAAGGACATCCACACCAAAACCCCATCTGTACGTCACCATCATCAAAGACCAAAGGTAGACAAAACCACAAAAATGGAGAAAAAACAGAGCAGAAAAACTGACAAATCTAAAAATCAGAGTGCCTTTCCTCCTCCAAAGGAACGCAGCTCCTCACCAGCAATGGAACAAAGCTGGATGGAAAATGACTTTGACAAGTTGAGAGAAGAAGGCTTCAGATGATCAAACTACTCCGAGCTAAAGGAGGAAGTTCGAACCCATGGCAAAGAAGTTAAAAACCTTGAAAAAAGATTAGATGAATGGCTAACTATAATAACCAATGCAGAGAAGTCCTTAAAGGACCTGATGGAGCTGAAAACCACAGCACGAGAACTACGTGACGAATGCAGAAGCCTCAGTAGCCGATTCGACCAACTGGAAGGAAGGGTATGGTGATGGAAGATGAAATGAATGAAATGAAGTGAGAAGAGAAGTTTAGAGAAAAAAGAATAAAAAGAAATGAACAAAGCCTCCAAGAAATATGGGACTATGTGAAAAGACCAAATCTACGTCTGATTGGTGTATCTGAAAGTGACGGGGAGAATGGAACCAAGTTGGAAAACACTCTTCAGGATATCATCCAGGAGAACTTCCCCAACCTAGCAAGGCAGGCCAACATTCAAATTCAGGAAATACAGAGAATGCCACAAAATACTCCTCAAGAAGAGCAACTCTGAGACACATAATTGTCAGATTCACCAAAGTTGAAATGAAGGAAAAAATGTTAAGGGCAGCCAGAGAGAAAGGTCGGGTTACCCACAAAGGGAAGCCCATCAGACTAACAGCTGATCCCTCAGCAGAAACTCTACAAGCCAGAAGAGAGTAGGGGCCAATATTCAACATTCTTAAAGAAAAGAATTTTCAACTCAGAATCTCATATCCACCCAAACTAAGCTTCATAAGTGAAGGAGAAATAAACCCCTTTACAGACAAGCAAATGCTGAGAGATTTTGTCACCACCAGGCCTGTCTTACAAGAGCTCCTGAAGGGAGCACTAAACATGGAAAGAAAGAACCAGTACCAGCCACTGCAAAAACATGCCAAATTGTAAAGACCATCGATGCTAGGAAGAAACTGCATCAACTAACGGGCAAAATAACCAGCTAGCATCATAATGACAGGATGAAAATCACACATAACAATATTAACCTTAAATGTAATTGGGCTAAATGCTCCAATTAAAAGACACAGACTGGCAAACTGGATAAAGAGTCAAGACCCATCAGTGTGCGCTGCATTCAGGAGACCCATCTCAAGTGCAGGGACACACACAGGCTCAAAATAAAGGGATGAAGGAAGATCTACCAAGCAAATGGAAAACAAAAAAAACAGGGTTGCAATCCTAGTCTCTGATAAGACAGACTTTAAACCAACAAAGATCAAAAGAGACAAAGAAGGCCATTACATAACGGTAAAGGTATCAATTCAACAAGAAGAGCTAACTATCCTAAATACATATGCACCCAATACAGGAGCACCCAGATTCATAAAGCAAGCTCTTAGAGACCTACAAAGAGACTTAGACTCCCACACAATAATGGGAGACTTTAACACCCCACTGTCAACATTAGACAAATCAACAAGACAGAAAGTTAACAAAGATATCCAGGAATTGAACACAGATGTGCACCAAGCAGACCTAATAGACATCTACAGAACTCTCCACCCCAAATCAACAGAATATACGTTCTTCTTAGCATCACATTGCACTTATTCCAAAATAGTTGGAAGTAAAGCACTGCTCTGCAAATGTAAAAGAACAGAAATTATAACAAACTGTCTCTCAGACCACATGCAATCAAACTAGAACTCAGGATTAAGAAACTCACTCAAAACTGCTTAACTACATGGAAACTGAACAACCTGCTCATGAATGACTACTGGGTACATAACAAAATGAAGGCAGAAATAAAGATGTTCTTTGAAACCAATGAGAACAAAGACATAACATACCAGAATCTCTGGGACACATTTTAAGCAGTGTGTAGGGGGAAATTTATAGCACTACATGTGAACAAGAGAAAGCAGGAAAGATCTAAAATTGACACCCTAACATCACAATTAAAAGAACTAGAGAAGCAAGAGCAAACACATTCAAAAGCCTACAGGAGTCTAGAAATAACTAAGATCAGAGCAGAACTGGAGGAGATAGACAAACAAAAAACCATTCAAAAAATCAATGAATCCAGGAGCTGGTTTTTTGAAAAGATCAACAAAATTGATAGACCACTAGCAAGACTAATAAATAAGAAAAGAGACAAGAATCAAATAGACGCAATAAAAAATGATAAGGAGAATATCACCACCAATCCCACAGAAATACAAACTACCATCAGAGAATACTATAAACACCTCTATGCAAATAAGCTAGAAAATCTAGAAGAAATGGATAAATTCCTGGACACATACACCCTCCCAAGACTAAACCAGGAAGAAGCTGAATCCCTGAATAGACCAATAACAGGCTCTGAAATTGAGGCAATAATTAATAGCCTACCAACCAAAAAAAGTCCAGGACCAGATGGATTCACAGCTGAATTCTACCAGAGGTACAAGAAGGAGCTGGTACCATTCCTTCTAAAACTATTCCAATCAATAGAAAAAGAGGGAATCCTCCCTAACTCATTTTATGAGGCCAGCATCATCCTGATACCAAAGCCTGACAGAGACACAACAAAAAAAGAGAATTTTAGACCAATATCCTTGATGAACATCGATGCAAAAATCCTCAATAAAACACTCACAAACCAAATCCAGCAGTACATCAAAAAGCTTATCCACCATGATCAAGTGGGCTTCATCCCTGGGATGCAAGGCTGGTTCAACATACACAAATCAATAAACGTAATCTAGCATATAAACAGAACCAATGACAAAAACCACATGATTATCTCAATAGATGCAGAAAAGGCCTTTGACAAAATTCAACAACTCTTCATGCTAAAAACTCTCAATAAATTAGGTATTGATGGGACGTATCTCCAAATAATCAGAGCTATTTATGACAAACCCACAGCCAATATCATACGGAATGGGCAAAAACTGGAAGCATTCCCTTTGAAAACTGGCACAAGACAGGGATGCCCTCTCTCACCTTCCTATTCATCATAGTGTTGGAAGTTCTGGCCAGGGCAATTAGGCAGGAGAAAGAAAGGATATTCAATTAGGAAAAGAGGAAGTCAAAATGTCCCTGTCTGCAGACGACATGATTGTATATTTAGAAAACCCCATTGTCTCAGCCCCAAATCTCCTTAAGCTGATAAGCAACTTCAGCAGTCTCAGGATACAAAATCAATGTGCAAAAATCACAAGCATTCCTATACACCAATAACAGACAAACAGAGAGCCAAATCATGAGTGAACTCCCATTCACAATTGCCTCAAAGAGAACAAAATACCTTGAAATCCAACTTACAAGGGATGTGAAGGACCTCTTCAAAGAGAACTACAAACCACTGCTCAATGAAATAAAAGAGGATACAAAGAAATGGAAGAACATTCCATGCTCATGGATATGAAGAATCAATATCATGAAAATGGCCATACTGCCCAAGGTAATTTATAGATTCAGTGCCATCCCCATGAAGCTACCAGTGACTTTCTTCACAGAATTGGAAAAATCTACTTTAAACTTCATATGGAACCAAAAAGGAGCCCACGTTGCCAAGACAATCCTAAGCAAAACAGAACAAAGCTGGAGGCATCACACTACCTGACTTCAAACTATACTACAAGGCTACAGTAGCCAAAACAGCATGGTACTAGTACCAAAACAGAGATATAGGCCAATGGAACAGAACAGAGTCCTCGGAAATAATACCACACATCTACAACCATCTGATCTTTGACAAACCTGACAAAAATAAGAAATGGGGAAAGGATTCCCTATTTAATAAATGGTGCTGGGAAAACTGGCTAGCCATATGTAGAAAGCTGAAACTGGATCCCTTCCTTACACCTTATACAAAAATTAATTCAAGATGGATTAAAGACTTAAGTGTTAGACCAAAAACCATGAAAACCCTAGAAGAAAGCCTATGCAATACCATACATGCCATAGGCATGGGCAAGGACTTCATGACTAAAACACCAAAAGCAATGGCAACAATAGCCAAAATTGACAAATGGGATCTAATTAAACCAAAGAACTTGTGCACAGCAAAAGAAAATACCATCAGAGTGAACAGGCAACCTACAGAATGGGAGAAAAATTTTTACAATCTATCCATCTGACAAAGGGCTAATATCCAGAATCTACAAAGAACTTAAACAAATTTACAAGAAAAAATCAACCCCATCAAAAAGTGGGTGAAGGATATGAACAGACATTTCTGAAAAGAAGACATTTATGCAGCCAACAGACCATGAAAAAATGCTCATCATCACTGGCCATCAGAGAAATGCAAATCAAAACCACAATGAGATACCATCTCACACCAGTTAGAATGGCAATCATTCAAAAGTCAGGAAACAACAGGTGCTGGAGAGGATGTGGAGAAATAGGAACACTTTTACACTGTTAGTGGGACTCTAAACTAGTTCAACAATTGTGGAAGACAGTGTGGTGATTTCTCAAGGATCTAGAACTAGAAATACTATTTGACCAGCCATCCCATTACTGGGCATTTACCCAAAGGATTATAAATCATGCTGCTATAAAGACACATGCACATGTATGTTTATTGCAGCACTATTCACAATAGCAAAGACTTGGAACCAACCCACATGTCCATCAATGATAGACTGGATTAAGAAAATGTGGCACATATACACCATGGAATACTAGGCAGCCATAAAAAAGGATGAGTTCATGTCCTTTGTAGGGACATGGATGATGCTGGAAACCATCATTCTGAGCAAACTATTGCAAGGACAGAAAACCAAACACCGCATGTTCTCATTCATAGGTGGGAATTGAACAGTGAGAACACTTGGACCCAGGGTGGGGAACATCACACACCAGGGCCTGTCGTAAGGTGGGGGGAGCGGGGAGGGATAGCGTTAGGAGATATACTTATTGTAAATGATGAGTTAATGGGTGCAGCACACCTACATGGCACATGTATACATATGTAACAAACCTGCACATTGTGCACATGTACCCTAGACCTTTAAGTATAATAAAAAAAAATTGGTGTGGATGTATGTGTGGGTTCACATTGCTAAATGCATAGAGGAAATTCTGGAAGGATATGCAGAACCCTCTGGAGAGGGGAGAGGGATTAAAGGAATGATGAAGAGGGACTTTCCTTTTTTTAATTCTTTAAATTTTTATATTTGAAAATACACTAAGTATTTGTAACTTTCATAATATTAGGATAAATTCTTTAATTTTTGTGACATTTTTGGTAATTTTATTTTTTTGGTAATTTTTTACTTTTTTTTTTTTTTGAAATGAGAGTCTCACTCTTTCACCCAGGCTGAAGTGCAGTGGTGCGATCATGGCTCACTGCAGCCTCGAACTCCTGGGCTCAAGCAATCTTTCTGCCTCATTCTCCCAATTGCTGGGATTACAGGCAGCGAGGCCAAGGCAGGAGACTTGCTTGAGGCCAGGAGTTCAAGACCAGTCTGGGCAACATAGTGAGACTCTATCTCTACAAGAAAAATTTTTTTAATTAGCCAGGTGTGCCTGGGCATGGTGGCTCACACCTGTAATCTCAGCACTTTGTGAGGCCGAGGTGGGTGTATCACCTGAGGTCAGGAGTTTGAGACCAGCCTGGCCAACATGGTGAAACCCCGTCTCTACTAAAAATACAAAAATTAGCTGGGTGTGGTGGTGCACGCTTCTAATCCCAGCTACTCAGGAGGCTGAGGCAGGAGAATTGCTTGAACCCAGGAGGCGGAGGTTGCAGTGAGCCGAGATTGCACCATTGCACTCCAGCCTGGGCGACAAGAGCAACAAACTCCATCTCCAAAAACAAACAAACAAAAAATTAGCTAGGTGTGGTGGCATGCACCTGTAGTCCCACCTATGTCAGACCTCTTAGGGACCACAATTGGAGTCCCAATTGTGCAGAACAACATTGAGTCACAAATGTATATTCGTGGTAACCTTCCCTAGCCAGAGTCTTATGATTAAAACAAAAGGTAAACGTTTTAGGATGCAAGCAGCAAATCTCTAGCAAGTATTGGTGTGATTCAGTAGCCATTGTACTCTGAGAAAGAAGGTTGTCAGTGGGAAGGCAATTTGGGACTCACTGCAGCAAAACCTCCTAACTTGAATCTGCTGGGCACAAGTGAGCCTTAATCTTAATGTACAATAAAACAGCCAGGCCCACAAAGTCCTAGATTGTGGGTTTAAATAATCAGGCTCAGGGCCACCGAAACAGGATGATAGACATGTTTATGGATTCAGTATTGAGTTCTGGGAGCCAGCAGCCACGTCAGCAGAGGTGGAGTGTGCCCTACCTTTGGGCAGAATCCAAGGCTTTTAATTATAGATAAAGTCACCTGCTTCCTGATTTATGCAAAACACTTAGGGAATGCCAGTTATTGAGCCATCACAACAAGATAGCCATTTAAGACACCATTAAGATAAGGGAACAGCTTTCTGCCTCAAGGAAACAAAATATATTTCCCAAAGTTCCAAACTGGCACAGGCCTTTTTCCTATTCCCCTTGCCAAGGCCACCTGTCCTCTTCTCTGCACTGTTGAGTTGTTGAGTGTTCTCTACCTTCCTCCCTCCCCACTTGGTTTTCCACCCCCTCCCTGGAGCCAGAATCACTTAAGTGCCTCCCACAGGGCACCTGGCTTACATGGACACTTGAGTGGAAGTTTGTTAAGAATAGCTGTGGCGTTGCCCCTCTATTCCACGACTGTTCTCAGGCCTACTTGTGTATTTTTACCCAGTATCACTTATTTTTAAATGACAGAAGTTTGGAGCTTCTCAGGCAATGTGATTTTCCTGTGGCCTAAACTGCCTTAGGTAAAGCATCGAGACTAACCCAAAAGGCTATTGCTGGGTCTCTCGGCTCCCTTCCTTATTATCACCAGCAGCCGTACCTTTTCACACACCTCTGCATTTTGCCGTTCCACCCCACCGTCTCTACCAGGACTCAGTCCCATGTGAAGGTGGGTCCTGGGTATGGCAGAGCCTTCCTCATTACCCTCTGCCTCCTCGACCTGCTGTTCCCTCCCTCCTTTCCTGTAGGAGAGCTGCCGCTGTGGGGACAGGTGGGAGTAGGTCAGGAAGCTGGATGGAGGTACACATTTCAAAGTTTTATGTAAAAAATTTGAGTTGGTGGAATTACCAGAACTAGGAGTGAAGCCTTAGCAGGTAGGCCTTTCAGAAATAGTGAAAATGAGTCCCCAAATCTCAATGGTGAATTTTTCTGAGAAATGTTACAGAAACATAAAGTGACAAATTTTTGTCTTTATATTGATAAGATAGATAGATTAGTAGAAATTGAGAAGAGATTGTCCAGGTTTTTTCTGTTGCTTATTTGTATAAGCCCAGTACATTGACGGACTATATTGGGAGTCCCTAAGCAAATGCCTGCAGGGACCAGGCAGTTAATACAGCAAACTTCAGAGGCTCATCTGCTTTAGCCAGTTCTTGCCATGGTATGGTGGAATCATTGTTGCCACATCTGATTTCTCAAGAGAAGCTTTAAAATCCAATTTGTATGTGTGTATGTATGAGTATGTACATGAGAAAGCTTTCAGTTTTAAAATGTTGGCTCAGATTTTTAAAAAGCAGACCAAAGACTTATATTCCACCTCTGCTCTAGACTTAGAGAATCTGTTCAGGATAAAGCTTAAAGAAAAGATGACAATGGAAAAGAGTCATTGGTCAAGTATTAAGTACTGACACTTAGGGTTTCCTGAATATAGTAGTGAGTGCTACTTTAGAAGAGATTCCCTCTAGTTCAAATGCAGTTACAATCTCCAAATACATGCTAGCAACTCACGATTTAAATTCTCTTTGACATAATTTGTATGGTTCAATCTCCCTCATCCTGCTTTTCTTCTTTTTCTTTCTTTCCTTTCCTTTCTTCCTTTCCTTCTCTTTCCCCTCCCCTCCCCTCTTTTTGTTTTTAACAGATGGGGTTTTACTATGTTGCCCAAGCTGGAGTGCAGTGGCAATTCAGAGTGCAGTGGCAATTCACAGTGTGATCATAGCTCACTGCAATCTTGAATTCCTGGCCTGAAGCTATCCTCCAGCCGTAGCCTCCCAAGTAGGTGGGAATACAGGCATGCACCACTGTGCTCAGCTCTGCCCTCCCTTTTTAAAGGTCAGACTGAAGTTTCAGTTTTCTGTATCCATAGAGCTGACTTTGCTCAGGAAATTTACAACTTACCTAATTTGAACGCAGCTGGCCAAGTCTGTATTTCCCTCCAGGAATGTGCACAGTTGTGTTCAGACCGTTTAGCAGGTTGGGGTGTGGAGGAAGACAGATGAATAGTAGGGGCTTTACTCCAGCCTCTAGCTGGGGATTTTCTAAGATACTGTCTTCAGAAAAGGAAACATAGCTCGAAGTTGTACCTACATGGAAGGACCTCATCCTCCAGGTGGCAAAAATTTGTAGTATGCCTGTTAGAATGAGGTTCCTTCCTGAAACTTCTGGGAGATCTAGAATTTAAAGCTATGTCATTCTCTTGTAGGTAATCAGAAATCAATTGGAAATTCCTGCTTGAAGAGATAGATATTCTTGCCCCACCTCAATCCTTCCAGCACAGATTTGGGAGATACCCCCCTTTCCAGTGAAGGCCTAAGTGTCCAGTGCCCCCACTCACCTTCTGAGGCATGTAGGGCCGCACAGACAGCCAAGGCCACGATGGCGAGTCCTCTCTGCTGCATTCCTGCCTGCCCTACTGGCACTGACAGCAACACAAGTGAGGCTGTTCGATCAGGAAATGAGGCTAAAGGTGTCCTTGGGCACAGAGAAAGTGCAGAGGAAAAGTAAGCCAGGTGGCCCCGCCCTGGGAGGTGTTCAGGGTATCTATTTCTCATGTTTCTTTCCTTAAGACCAGGCTCCTCCTCGACTTATTAAGCTCCTAACTTGTGTTCATCCTGCCTGGGGGTCAGGGGATGTCAATGGAGATCTGGCAGCTGGCAGGGTCACTGTGAGGTGGGGTGTGCATCAGAATCATTTGGGGAACATTAAAAAAAATCAATCTAAATGACTCTCCCCTTTCCCTGATTTGTAAACCAGAACTCCCAGGTAGGAGACCAGTCATTTGAATTTTGTAAAAGCTCTATAGGTGATTCTGATGGACACTTATGTTGAGACCCATTGCATAATCAGTTTTTAAGTAGCTTATGGAAACCATGAGTTTCTGGGGACAAGGGTGACAAGTCATAAAAAATGTATCTTTGTGGAAAGATATGGAAGTATTAAACCCCACTTTAGTCTTGGTTCACAGCCAAATTGTTTCCAGTGAAGCTTTTTACAATAGCTTATTTAGGAGAAAGACAGGAAGGGGGGCAATGCCTTGTAGAAAAGAGCCCAAGAGCAGGTGTGAAGAGGCATGAGCGCTAGTGCAGCTTTGCTGCCAATCAGCTTTGTGAATAAAAGCATGGGGTAGCATGAAGATAATTGGATTCTAATTGTTCCTCATCTACTAATAAGTTGTATAACCTCAGGCAACGTACTTAACTTTGCTGTAAATAACAAGTCAGACTAGATGACCTCCAAAGTCATGCCATGCTTCCTCTAGAACTGTGTTGTCCTATGTGGTAGCCGCTAGCCCACATGTGGCTCTTGAGCACTTGAAATATGAGTAGTCCAAACTCAGATGTACTATGGGTATAAAATTCACACTGGATTTCAAAGACTGGGTACAGAAAAAAATATAAAATATCTTGTTAATAATGTTTATACTGTTTATTGATTACATGATAGTATTTTGGACTTTTTGGGTTAAATAAAATATATTATTAAAATTAATTTCACCCATTTCTTTTTATGTTTTCAAATTACTGCTGTGGTTTGAATATTTTTTTCTTCTCCAAAGCTCATGTTGAAAATTAATCCCTAATAGTGCTGGGAGATAGGGCCTAATGGACAATGTTTAGGTTATGATGGCTCCACCCTCATGAATGGATGAATGCTACTATAAAAAGGGCTTGTGGGAATGGGTTGGTACCTTCTGCTCTTCTGCCAGGTGAGTACACAATGCTCCTTCTCTCCAAAAGATGCAGCAAAGTGGCATCATCTTGGAAATAGAAACTGAAATCACTGGAGCCTTGATCTTGGACTTCCCAGCCTCCATAATTGTAAGAGAATACATTTCTGTTATTTATAAATTGCTCAGTCTCGGGTTGTGGTGTTATGATATATATATTGGCTTTTATCCATGGTTCCTGGCTTATAACTCCCATAACCCTTGTTACAGTTTTTTTTTGTTGTTTGTTTGTTTGTTTTTTTTTTGAGACAGAGTCTCGCTTTGTTGCCCAGGCTGGAGTGAGTTTCACCATCTTGGCAAGATGCTGGTCTTGAACTCCTGACCTTGTGATCCACCCGCCTTGGCCTCCCAAAGTGCTGGGATTACAGACATGAGCCACTGTGCCCAGCCCAGTCTTTTTTTTATATTATAATGTTGGGGCACTTTAGGCTTCAGGAACAGGCCTCAGGAAACGGAATCTCTCTCTGACCTTCTGTTTTTCTTTCACCTGCCCAAGGCAGGACTCTAATCTGATTGTGGGTCATAAGATCCTCATTCCAGAAAGGGTTCTGTCCCATACTCTAGAGGAAGGAATGCTACACAGGCCAAGAAAAGCCTGAACAGGCAGGACTTGCTGGGTTTAGATTATGTGCTTTTTGTCTAATCACATTTCTACATGGTTGTTAATCATGCCTATGTAATGAAGCCTTTGTAAAACCCCAAAAGGGCAGAGTTTGGAGAGCTTCTGGATAGCTGAACATGTGGAGGTTCTTAGAGGGTGGCGTGCCCAGGGAAGGCATGGAAGCTCTGCATCCCTTCCCCCATACCTTGGCCTCAAGCGATCCTCCTGCCTTGGCCTCCCAAAGTGCTGGGATTACGGGCATGAGCCACTATGTCTGGCCTTCATCTGTATCTTCTGTACTGTCTCTTATAATAAACCGTTAAATGTAAGTATTTCCCTGAGTTCTGTGAGCCACTCCAGTGTTGCAGGAAGTCAGGAACCCCGAATGGAGGGACCAACCGGCTGAAGCCATGGCAGAAGAACATAAATTGTGAAGATTTCATGGACATTTATTAGTTCCCCAAATTAATACTTTTATAATTTCTTACGCCTGTCTTTACTGCAATCTCTGAACATAAATTGTGAAGATTTCATGGACCCTTATCACTTCCCCAATCAATATCCTTGTGATTTCCTATGCCTGTCTTTAATCTCTTAATCCCATCATCTTCATAAGCTGAGGAGGATATATGTCACCTCAGGACCCTGTGATGATTGCGTTAACTGCACAAATTGTTTGTAGAGTATGTGTGTTTGAACGATATGAAATCTGGGCACCTGGAAAAAAGAACAGGATAACAGCAATGTTCAGGGAACAAGAGAGATAACCTTAAACTCTGACTGCCGGTGAGCCGGGCGGAACAGAGCCATATTTCTCTTCTTTCAAAAGCAAATGGGAGAAATATCGCTGAATTATTTTTCTCAGCAAGGAACATCCCTGAGAAAGAGAATGTGTCAGTGAGGGTAGGCCTCTGAAATGGCCACTTCAGGGGGTGGCCATCTTTTATGGTCGAAGCTGTAGGGATGAAATAAGCCCCAGTCTCCCATAGTGCTCCCAGGCTTATTAGGATGAGGAAATTCCTGCCTAATAAATTTTGGTCAGACTGGTTGTCTGCTCTCAAACCCTGTCTCCTGATAAGATGCTATCAATGACAATGCATGCCCAAAACTTCATTAGCAATTTTAATTTTGCCCCGGTCCTGTGATCCTGTGATCTTGCCCTGCCTCCATTTGTCTTGTGATATTCTATTACCTTATGAAGCACGTGATCTCTGTGACCAACACCCTATTCATACACTCCCTCCCCTTTTGAAAATCACCAATAAAAACTTGCTGGTTTTACGGCTCAGGGGGCATCACAGAACCTGCCAACATGTGATGTCTCCCCTGGACACCCAGCTTCAAAATTTCTCTCTTTTGTACTCTGTCCCTTTATTTCTCAGACTGGCCAACACTTAGGGAATATAGAAAAGAACCTACGTGAAATATTGGGGGTGAATTTCGCCCGATATCTGGCTGAATTTCCCCCATACTCCAGCCAATTAATCAAACCCATAGAGAGGTTGTGGGAACCCCAACTTGGAGCCAGCTGTTCAGAAGTTCTGGAGGTCTGGACTTGTGACTGGTGGGAAGTAGGGGGTGATCTCATGGGACTGAGCCCTCAACCTCTGGTTCTGGCACTATCTCTTGGTAGATAGTGTCAGAACTGAATTGGAGGACACCTAGCTGGTGTCCGCTGCTTGGTGTATGCACCAATTTACCCCCTACATATTTGGTTATAGAAGTCTTCTGTGTTGATGATTTTTGTGGTATGAGAGCAGAGGAAAAACAGTTCGAGAGTTTTTTTCCTCAAACAGAGATATTCTGTTATAGCAGCATAAAACAGACTAAAACAATTACATATGTAATTGAAACCCAGAATATTTCAAATCACATGGGTAGATCACATATTTGCATTGGGTGTTGCTGCTTTTGAAGATCAAGAGCAGGTGTCCAAATTTACCCCAGCTATCAAGTTACATTTAACCAAGCTCCAATTCACTATCAAGAACCAGAGTTATAATAAGGAATGGGAGCTTTGGAGAGCAACAGACTTGCAAAGATAGTGACCTCTTGAATGAGAAGACCCACAGCAGCATTCCAGCCTTTCCACTAAGCAAAGGGACCTTACCACAGGTCTTGATAAAGGAGGACAGAGAACCAACCTGTGGAGGTGACAAAGACCTGTGAAATTACACACACCAGCCATAACCACAGGAGCCCCTCTGGACCAAAGCCGTGTGCTCTGAAGATAAGAGTCAGGAGGCTGGGTGTGGTGACTCATATCTGTAATCCCAACACTATGGGAGACCAAGGTGGAAGGATTGCTTGAGCCCAGGAGTTTGAGACCAGCTTGACCAACATAGCAACACCTCAGCTATACTAAAAATTTTTTTAAAAATTAGCCAGGCACTGGCATGCGCCTGTAGTCTCAGTTACTTGAGAGGCTGAGGTGGGAGGATCTCTTGAGCACAGGAGGTTGAGGCTATAGTGAGCTATGATCATGCCACTGTATAACACAGTTATTAGGGCACTGACAAGAAAGGCTGGACTGAATTTGAATGAGCCTGCAATTAGGCCCCCTGTATTCACTCGTGTACTTTTATTTGCTTTTGTATTTGACAAGACAGCTTCTCTTTCACTGTGTGCATATTTCTTCTGCTAGGAAATGTCACCTTGCCCCTGCCAGCAGGAAGACATAGGGACAGAATCCAGGGACTTGGAAAACAAAGGGACTCCTCCTTGGGTTGTTAGCACTCTCCCTTTCATCCACACTTTCCTGGGGGCACTGGAACAGGTTCGTGGGTTGGGTAGTGGTTACTAGAAGACAGCTGCTATAACATGTAGAACCAAAACTATTGAAGCACTCATGAAATTACCACCACTGGAATTACAGCCTTATGGGAGGGTATTATGTTACCCTGGTGCTAAAAAGCAAGCCTGACATCTGCCAACAGGAACCTGTAAACCACTAAAAACCCTATGCCATGTCATTTTTTTTTACTAAGTTTTTGTACTAAGACATGAATAAGAGGAACGCTGGGCACATCAGTTTTGTTTGGAGTGAGAGAAAAACTGAACCATGGGATTTTTGTCTGCAGAGAACACAGGACAGTTTATGATTATGGGGCATGTGTGTCTGTGTTTGAGAGGGATGCTAACTAGGCAGAAATGGACCACCGATAAACTAGGAAGGAGCCCCAAAGGGGTGGATTCAGATGAATAACTTTGATTACCTAAGTATTTTTCTCTGTGCACAGGGACTCTGCAAAAGAAAATGAGGAGACAGAAATGTGTGCCGTTAGGGCCCAGAGGATAGTTGAGCCATAGAATGAAACAGTTGAGGACCTAAAACTATGTCTGGTTTTGTGTTTTCCATTTATGAAATGGTCCTGGCTAAGAATATCTAGATGTAACCTTCCAGGAAAAAAACAAAAAAAATTACCAGGAAGAACCACATAGTTTTTACTTTAAAAAGAAGTAAATTGTAAATCTCAAATGATCATAAAAATACCTGCTGCCATCTCTGCACTGGGCAAAATGACCTGCTTGGATTAGAAGGATGATTTCCAAACAGTAACTTTCGCAAAATAAAATTAAGCCACTGAAGCTTTCTTGAATATTTGTCTTGGAAAATTAGTATATGGATGGAATATATATATATATGTGTGTATCTATATATATAAAAATTTTTTTTGAGATGGAATTTCACTCTTGTCACCCAGGCTGGAGTGCAGTGGCACGATCTTGGCTCACTGCAGCTTCTGCCTCCCAGGTTCAAGAGATTCTCCAGCCTCAGCCTCCCAAGGAGCTAGGACTACAGGCATGTGCCACCACACCCTGCTAATTTTTGTATTTGAAGGAGAGACAGGGTGTCACCATGTTGGCCAGGCTGGTCTTGAACTCCTGACCTCAAGCGATCCACCCGCCTTGGTCTCCCAGAGTGCTGGGATTACAGGCACGAGCCACCGTGCCCGGTCTGGATGGAATATTTTGAAAATCATATCAACATTTAAATATCCTAGGATAATTTATAATGTAATGGACCTTTTGATAAATCCTTTGGCATTGAGAATAATCACCTTTTAACTTGCATAATACTTGAGTTCTGATTTGTAGTTAATAGATCTGCTAAAGTAGGGCAGAGCCAAACAGAAGTCTCATATTAAAAATTGGGCTCCAGATACTTTATGACAGGCTGCTGAGTTACAAATTTTAAAAATAGTATGTTCTCTTTTGATTACAAAATTATACTAGGGCCATTGTAGAAAATTTGGAACATGTAAAAAAGTATAAAGGAGTAAACATTTTAAATATAAAAAAATAGCTTTCTTAATCTATTGGCATATATTCTTCCAGTCTTCTTTTTGTATGTATCTAGTAATTCATTCATTGACTAAACCTTGATAAAGGAACTGCTTACTATATGTGAGACACTGTGCTAGACATTGAGGACAAATGGTGAACAAAAGGGACATGGTCTCTGTCTGCAGGGAGGACACACAATTCAGTAAGCCACAGCAATAAAGTCTGCCTAGTGCAAACACAGGAGAAGCACAGTGCTTAGGGTGTTGTTGCAGAGGCACTTCACCTAGTCTGGGAATTAATCAGCTCTAAAACATGATTTTTTATTTTTTTAGATGGAGTCTCGCTCTGTCAGCCAGGCTGGAGTGCAGTGGCACAATCTTGGCTCACTGCAACCTCTGCCTCCTGGGTTCCAGCGATTCTCCTGCCTCAGCCTCCCGAGTAGCTCCCAGGCAAGTGCCACCATGCCCAGCTAATTTTTGTACTTTTAGTAGAGATGAAGTTTCACCATGTTGGCCAAGCTGGTCTTGATCTCTTGACCTCAGGTGATCCGCCACCTTGGCCTCCCAAAGTGCTGGTATTACAGACGTGAGCTACCATGCCTGGCCTAAAACATGATTTTTAACTGCTGCCTAGTTTAGTATTTCCTAATACAGAGGTATTGTACTTTATTGAACCAACCAACTGTTCTTAATGCTGAACATTAAGACTGTGGTTTGTTTTTTGAGACAGGGTCTTGCTCTGTCACCCAGTCTGGAGTGCAGTGGCACAATCTTGGTTTACTGCAGCCTTGACCTCCTGGGCTCAGGTGATCCTCCCACCTCAGCTTCCCGAGTAGTGGGGACTGTGGGTGCATGCCACCACACCTGGCTAATGTTTGTATTTTTTTATATAGATGGGTTTTTGCCATGTTGCCCAGGCTGGTCTCAAACTCCTGGGCTCAAATAATCCACCTGCCTCAGCCTCCCAAAATGTTGGGATTAAAGGTGTGAGCCAGGGCATCCAACCAAGATTGTGAATTTTTTCGACTATTATAAATAACTTCTGCAATGAATCACATTCAAACCTTTATACTTATTCTTTAGAATGCATTAAAAAAAATTTTTTGAAAAGCAGAATTGCAAAGTAAAAAGGAATCCTTATTTGAAAGGCTTTTGATACACATTCATGCTGTTAAGCTGAAACATTTACCCAATTTTAATTTTTTCTCGGCAACACTTTCCACATCTTCCCAGCATCTTGCAATGATGGCTCTTATTATATAAAGCCTATCACATGCATTACAATGGCTCTGGAGAGCATATGACAGGGCTCTTTCATCCTCAGGAAGACATTGTCAGGTATGGTTTTTCCCAAGTCAGGATTTAAGGACTTTTTTGGACAGAGGTTTCAAAGCCCTCAGTGCACCTTCTGTAAATAGGAAAAGGTATCCCTCTCTGGGTGGACAAAGCCTCCAGACCCACAGCTTCACAAGCAGAAGGTGCTTGCAGAAACAAAAGTCCCCTTTCCTCTATCAAAAAAAAAAAAAAGATGGGGAGTGGATACTTCTTTGGGTGGTTGCAAATGGGACGTATAACTTGGCAAGCAAAGCCCATCCTGCATATCCGCCCCACTCCTCCTTCCTCAGCAGGTAGCTTTCTGCAGTGCAAACTGCACAACCAACTGCAGCCCTGACCTTTCTGTTTTTTCTTGAGACTCTGATCTTGTTGCCTTTGCCTGGACAACCTTCACAGCCTTTCCCATACTATCTAGGAAACTCTTCCTCATTCTTTAAGGCACAGCTCCAGTGACACTCTGTGCATCTCTCTGCTGCCCATCCATGTTTCCCCATGCTCCGGTGGGTGACCCTCTGCTCTCACAACCTTCTAGGCTGGGCCTTGAGAGCAGGAAACCCCTCCCATTAGCTTTGGCTCCTCTAGTGCGGCTCAGGCCCAACACACAGAAGGTGCTATATTCCCGTTACTGAAAGGAATGCCTGTTGACTCACTGTTACTGTATTACGCCTTAGGTTTAGAAACTTTTGTTCTGACTAAAAATATACATGTTCTTTGTAAAATATATATATGAATATATAATTAGGTTTTACACTATATTATTTTTTGAAAATACAAAAATCGTCTATAACCAGATACCCAATTCATATTATAAACCATCATATAATCATTTACATATAATAATTTATAACCAACAATCCAATCAAATGTTAAATAACTCTTTTTTAACATTAGGATGTACATCGTTTCATATTTTAAAAATTTGTTTGTAAGTGTATTTTATTTTTACAAAAATAGAGTCAGGTAACACTTCCTGTTTTGTGACTTTTTTCAGTTAATAAATCAGGAATCATCACCCATAGCTATATCTATATATTTGTATAGTTTTTTTCTTTCAGTGGTTTGACAGTATTCAATCACATGGTTTTGTCATAGTTTATTTACTTGATTCTCCCAGTTGCTGGATATTTAGGTAGTTTGATTTTGTCTCTTTCCTGACGATTATCATTATTGTGGAAATGCTATGATACTCGTTCATATACCTTTTGTTCATCCATTTCAATATTTTCTTAAATAAATAAATTTACTTATTTATTTATTTTTCCGAGACAGAGTCTTGCTCTATTGCCCAGGCTGGAGTGCAGTGCTACAATCTCGGCTCACTGCAACCTCTGCCTCCCAGGTTCAAGTGATTCTCTTGCCTCAGCCTCCCGAGTAGCTGGGATTACAGGTGTGTGCCACCACGCCCAGCTAATTTTTGTATTTTTAGTAGAGACAGGGTTTTACCATGTTGGTCAGGCTGGTCTTGAACTCCTGACCTTGTGGTCCGCCCTTCTTGGCCTCCCAAAGTGCTGGGATTACAGGCGTGAGCCGCTGCACCTAGCTGTTCTTAAATAAATTCTTAGGGCCAGGCATGGTGGGTCTTGCCTGTATTCCCAGCACTTTGGAAAGCGAGGTGGGCAGATCACTTGAGCCCAGGAGTTTACCACCAGCCTGGGCAACATGGGGAAACACTGTCTCTACAAAAAATAAAAATAAATAGCTTGGCATGGTAGCGTGTGCCTGTAGTCCCAGCTACTCGGGAGGCTAAGGTGGGAGGATTGCTTGAGTCCAGGAGGTTGAGGCTGCAGTGAGCAGAAATTGCGACATTACACCCAGCTTGGGTGACAGAGTGAGACTCTGCCTTGAAAAAAATAAAATAAATTCTTAGAAGTGAAAATTGTCAAAGGGTACGCCCATTTAAATCACTTTTTCATATATAGTGCCAAATTATCTCACAGTATGGAAAATATCTCTGTACACGCCTCTCTCCTCCAATAGTGTGGGCTCAGTGAAGGCAGGATCTCCAGTGCCTCGCTCAGTGCTTGGCAAATGGTAGATGACTAGTGTTCACTGAATGAATAATGAGTTGGATAACTTAAATGAGAAGGCCTTCATTACATAAGCAAAACCTTGCCAGTGTGGTCACAGAAGTCTACAATTGGTACTCTTGGCCTTTTCTGAATATCTATAGCCTAATTGGCAATAATATTTTAAATTTTCATTTCTCAGAAGAGATTGTTTTATATACCACAGTGAAAATAATAAATTACTCTGGGAGGATAATTAGTTGTAAAAATATATCACCAGAAGATTTATAGTTTTGAAACAAGGACCAAGGGCAGTGAGAGAGAGAGAGAGAGAATTTCAGAAATCTGTATTTAGAAACAAGATGGAACATTTTCCAGCTGAGATAGCTTTTAGGACAGCCAGGTTTGATTCCTTTCAGTGCTGTGGTTTCATAGCTTTCACTCTGTAATTAAATGTGTGATGAGGTATGCCAAAGTAAACAGAGAGGAAAGAATGCAGGACTAGTCATTAGGAACAAAGTTTGAACCTGGGGCCAACGGAGGGAATTTCCCTTGCACTGACTTTCTTATTCCTGGTTAACGCTATAGTTTCCTTTCTGGCTTAAATTTATAACTTTTTCTTTTTTTTTTAGCTTTATGCTTTCCAGATATATGAATACAAATTCATTCCCATATCACCATCATCAGCTTTATTATATGCTAAAGCATAGAAGTTAGGTGACTTGCCTAAGGTCAGTCAATAATTTGGGAACCATAGAGCAGAATGGCACCTCGTGCTAATAGGAATAAAAACACCCTCAGGGAGATCAGAAAAAGGAGAGCAGTGAGGGATGATTAATGTTTCTAGATGTTAAAATATATTATAAATTTACTGTAATTAAGTTAGTGTATCACTGATGCATAAATCCAGAAGACAAAAGGCTCGTGCCAATTTAATATATTGCAAAGTTAGTATTTTACATCATGGAAAACCATGGATTATTCAATGAATGGTTTTGAAACAACTGGTTAACTGTGTAGAAAAAAGATAAAGTTAAACCTTTAAATTCCACGTATATTAAATATATAAAGTGAAGAATTAAAATGTAAAACCACCCAAAGAAAATATGGAAGAGGTTTTTTTTTTTTTAAGTTTTACAGCAGAGAAGGTCTTTCTAGGCATAAGACAAGACTCAGAACCATTAACAAAAAAAACTTGACCTTATAAAAAAGTGAAATTTCATCATGGATAAATAAAATTCAATAAAAGACAAACGGTGAAAAAAGTATACCAGGGGATTATATTTGTAAGGCAGAAGACAAAAGGCTCTTGTATTAAGAGGTCTTGTATATCAATAAGGAAGAAGCCACTGGCTCAATAGAAAAACAGGCTATGGATGGCCGGGTGTGGTTGCTCATGCCTGTAATCCCAGCACTTTTGGAGGCCGAGGTGGGTGGATCACCTGAGGTCAGGAGTTCGAGGCCAGCCTGGTCAACCTGGTGAAACCCCGTCTACTAAAAACACAAAAGTTAGCCAGGCATGGTGGCGGGTGCCTGTAGTCCCAGCTACTCAGGAGGCTGTGGCAGGAAATCACTTGAACCCAGGAGGCAGAGGTTGCAGTGAGCCAAGATTGCACCACTGCACTCCAGCCTGGGTGACAGAGGGAGACTCCATCTCAAAAAATATATATATATATAATAATAATAATAAAAGAAAAATAGGCTGTGGATATGGATGGGCAGTTCACAAAAATAAAAAGGGCTTATAAACTTTTTTTAAATGCTCAACATTATTCAAAATTACTTAAACACAAATAAAAACAAATGAGAGTGAGATACATTTTCACCTGCCTAACTGGCAAAGATCAAAGTGATTCATATTACCCGGTGTTAACAAGTATTCCATCATACATGGTTAGTAGGAGTATAAATTGGTGCAAATTTTTAGGATGTATTTGTCAATACCTATTAATTTAAAATATATACTTTGACTTAAGAGTTTCACTACTGAAATTTATGCTACAAATGCAGAAAAATGCATGCAAAATGTAAGCATAAGAATCTTATTATAGCATTATCTTAATAGCAAAATATTAAAACAACCTGCATATCTATCAGTAGTGAACTAGGAAAAATGATGGCACATCCACACAATGAACTGTAGTGCAACAATAAAAAGTAACATAAGGAAAGATCTCTGGCCTGGGTGTGGTGGCTCACCTGTAATCCCAGCACTTTGGGAGGCTAAGGCAGGTGGATCACCTGAGGTCAGGGGTTCAAGACCAGCCTGACCAACATAGTGAAACCCCGTCTCTACTAAAAAATACAAAAAATTAGCTGGGCATGGTGGTGGGTGCCTGTAATCCCAGCTACTTGGTAGGCTGGGGCAAGAGAATTGCTTGAACCCGGGAGGTGGAGGTTGCAGTGAGCCAAGATCGTGCCATTGCACTCCAGCCTGGGCAACAGGAGTGAAACTCTGTCTCAAAAAAAAAAAAAAAAAGACCTCTGGTCTTTAAGTGAAGAAAACAAGATGCAAAACAGTGGAAAATATCTATCTGTCTATCTCTCTACTATGTGTGTACATATAGGAAATTCGTATGGACAACACATAGATGGATATAAATGCTTACACATGCATAGATGATTGTGGAATGATAAAGCACAAGTTCTTTTTTTTAGATGGAGTCTCACTCTGTCTTCCAGGCTGGAGTGCAGTGGCGCAATCTTGGCTCACTGCAACCTCCACCTCCCACGTTCAAGTGATTCTTGTGCCTCAGCCTCCTGAGTAGCTGGGATTACAGGTGTGCACCACCATGACCAGCTAATTTTTGTATTTTTAGTAGAGACGGGATTTCACCATGTTGGCCAGGCTAACCTCAGGTGATCCACCTGCCTTGGCCTCCCAAAGTGCTGGGATTACAGGCATGAGCCACCGTGCCCGGCCAAAAGCACAAGTTCTTATTAGTGGTTGTTTCTGAGGAGGGTGAAGGTCTGGAATGGTAGAAAAATATCTCCTTTTCATTGTATATACTTTATTATGGTTTGAATTTTTACTACTTGCATTAGTTGCGTATTGTTGCATAACCAATTAGCAGAAACTTAGTGGCTTAAAACAACACCCATTTATTATACCATAGTTTGCATGGACCAGGAGTCAGGTATGGCTCAATGGGTCCTCTGCCCAGGGTCTCACGAGGCTGCAATTAAAGTGTCGGCCTGGACTGCAGTTTCATCTTAGGTTTGGGGTCCCTTCCAAGCTCAGGTGGTAGTTGGCCTCGTTCACTTCTTCACAGCTGTTGAGCTTACAGCCGCTTGCTTCTTCAACACCAGCAGGTCAGAGTCTCTGATCTCTAGATCCTCTTTTAAAGAGCTCACTTCATTAGGTTAGCTCCACTCAGAATAACATCCTTTTGAATTCACTTAAAATCAACTTTAGGGACTTTATATCTGCAAAATTCCCTCACTTTTGCCATATTCTATCAACTAGAAGCGAATCACTGCTTCCATCTGGATTCAAAGTGAGGGAATAATACAATGGCGTGGACAGCAGGGAGCAGGAGTCACAAGGGCCTTCTTAGAATTCTGCCTACCACATTAGTATTACCCATAATAACCATCACCCAAACCACCACAACATATGGAATACTTACATAGAGCTTATTTTGTAGTGGGCACTGTTTCAAACATTTTGCATGTATTAAGTCACTTAATGATCAGAACAATCCTATGAAGTAGGTATTCTTATTACCTTCATTCCAGGGATGAGTTTAACTTGCCCAAGGTCAAAGAGCTTATAAGTGCTGAAGCTAGCACTAGAACCCAGGCAGTCTATGTCCAGAGTTCTGTGTTCCTCATTATATTATGTATACATTTTTCAAATACAATGTTTAAAAAAAAAAAACTTGCTTTCCAGCCTGGGCAACAAAGTGAGACCCGGCTCTACAAAAAAATCAAAAAAATTAGCAGGGTGTGGTGACACACACCTGTGGTCCCAGCTACATGGGAGGCTGAGGTGGGAAGATCACTTGATCCCAGGAGGTTGAGGCTGCAGTGAGCCTTGTTTGGGCCACTACACTCCAACCTGGGTGACAGAGACACACTCTGTCTCAAAAAAAAATTTTTTTTAAGTTTTTCAGTTACTAAAGTTCTATAACAAATATGTCAAACTTGTGGCTTAAACAACCACAGCATTTATTTTGCTCATGAATCTGTTCTTTAAACAGGGTAAGGCTTGGCAGGGATGACTCATGTCTGCCCCAGTCAGCACCAGTTGGAGGGTTTGGAGGCTGGGAGCTGGAATCATCTGGAGGACTCACCTCATTCCCATATCTGGCAGTTGATGCTGGCTGTCGACCAGGAACCTTAATTCCTGTCCACATGGGCCCCTCCATGTGGCTAGCTTGACTACCTCACAGCACGGTGACTGGGTTCCAAAGTTAAGTATCCCATGAGTGAGAGAGAGAGCCAGATGGAAGCTATGTTGCCTTTTAGGTTCTGTCTTGGAAATTAAGTTCACTTCTGTTGCATTTGATTAGTCAGAGCAGTCACAAAATCCTATCCAAGTTTAAGGAGAGGGAAAATAGACTTCACCTCTTGACGTAGAGTGTCAAGGTTCTGTAAGAGCATGAGGGCCTGAAATATTGCTGTCAACCTTCCACAAAAAGGTTGATTAATTTATTCCCCTCTCTCACAGCTAGCCTGTAACCAAACCATTCCAATAATTTATCTATCCTTTTCTTTAAAAGCATCAAGAAAAAGATGCCACAACCTTAAGTAATAAAACATCAAAGTATTGTCCATTTTTCTTTTTCTTGTTTTAGTATTCCTAAAGCACTTTTCCCCTTCTGCTTCCTTTAGGGCAGTGGTCCCCAACCTTTTTGGCACCAAGGACCGATTTCATAGAAGACAATTTTTTCCATGGACGGGATGGTTCCAGGATGAAACTATTCCACCTCAGATCATCAGGCATTAGATTCTCATAAGGAGGGTGCAGCCTAGATCCCTAGCATGTGCAGTTCACAATAGAGTTCAAGCTCCTATGAGAACCTAATGCTGCCGCTGATCTGACGGGAGGCAGAGCTCAGGCTATAATACTTACTTGTCTGCCACTCACCTCTTGCTGTGCAACCAGGTTCCTAACAGGCCATGGAATGGTACTGGTCCATGGCCTTAGAGTTGGGGACCCCTGCTTTAGAGTGAAGAACAAGTGAAATTTTAAGCTTAGGTATTGGTCACTGACTTTGATGATTGTTTTCCTTCTTTGGGCTGACACTATAAGGCTCTTCAGGGAAGAATTCTGAGTTAGAAATGTCTAGGACACCTCAGCTCATCTTCTTAAAAAAAAAAAAAGGGAGGAAGGATGAAATAGATACAGCCATTCAGTCATTCATTCATTTAACAAAAATGTGTTGAGTCCCCACCTTGTGCTGAGCACAGCCCTAGGGAATGTATCCATTCTAGAGATGGAGACAACGTCTGTATCCTAGAGATGGAGACAATGTGTCTGCTCTCAAGGTGATTTTCTTTCATGGGGAAAGTCAAACACAACCACTCTTACAGGTCTTCAGCTGGGTCTTCGTCTTGTCTAGGATTGACTAGACAAGCCTTGTAATTAGAACACGTGTGGACATGCACCACTTATTATCAGTTAGTGTAGTAGGCTCAGTCAAGGCAAACACCATCTTAGTATAGTAGCCCCAGGATATTATTAGTTAATACAAAACCAGTTCAAAGATACGTTAGTGAAAGGGACCAATTAGTCCCTCTCAGCAGTCCAGTTGACTGCTGGAGTTCTCAAAACTAATGTAAGCATTCAATATTAATTATTAAAATTAACAATGCAGTTCCCAAACTATGTGCTGAGGCAACCTAGAATGCTGAAACAAACTCAGTGGTGCTGTAAGATATTTTAAAATTTTCAGAGAAACAGAGACATCTGTTGGACATGGCACAACTAATACCATTAGGTTGTTCAAATCTAACTAAATAACAGAAACTGGCCAGGCGTGCTGACTCACATCTGTAATCCCAGCACTGTGGCAGGCTGAGACGGGCGGATCACCTGAGGTCAGGAGTTTGAGACCAGCCTGACCAACATGGTGAAACCCCGTCTCTACTAAAAATACAAAAATTAGCCAAGCATAGTGGCAGTCACCTGTAATCCCAGCTACTCGGGAGGCTGAGGCAGGAGAATGGCTTGAATCTGGGAGGTGGAAGTTGCAGTGAGCCGAGATTGCGCCATTGCATTCCAGCCTGGGTGACAGAGCGAGACTCTGTCTCAAAAAACAAACAAAAACAGAAACTGTTATTTCTTTCGGACTAGTGGTGCAGTTAAAAAAAATTACTGAGACATTAAGGGCATCAACTGTGAGCCAAGAAAGTGTGGGAACCTCTAGTATGCCTCATCCATCAATTTTCCTGATATTTCCTTGTTTTTTTTCTAAGTGAACATGTACTGTTTGAGTCATTCTTTCTTTGGGAGAACATCTTCACCTGCCTGGGCCTCCTGCAGGGCCTGCTGCCTGGGCCATCAGAGGGCCTCTCCATGTGGACATCATTTCCAATCTCTCCCCACTGCTACTACCTCCCTGCAGCCTCCTCCCCATAGCTGACCTGGCTTCAGTGTTCCTTCACCCCAGGCTCTGGCATCCCTCTGTGGAAATAATCAAGTGTTAATCCTTATCAGTGTCATCTGGGGATATGCAGAATTTGCATCCTGGTCCCTTCCTCTCTGCCAAGTTATTGTTACTCAGCAAAAGGTAAGGGTGAGGGAAACACTGTGAAGTTCTTCCCTTCTGGGCTATGGTTGGTTCAGCATCCCCAAATTAATTTTCTTTTGAACTCCCAGTGAGGTGAGAAAGTCCTATCCCTTTCACTAACGTATCTTCGAACTGATTTCTTATTAACTAATATCCTAGGGCTACTATACTAAGATGGCGTTTGCCTTGACTGAGCATACTACACTAACTGATAATAAGTGGTGCATGTCCACACATGTTCTAATTACAAGGCTTCTTTCCTGGCCTTTGTGGTGGTGGTGTGGGGCGGGGGCAGGGGTGGGGGGATGAAGTAGCTGAATAAGAAAAGGACAGGAAAAGCATTTAGCTCTTGCCACCACATTAATGTGATAACCACACAACAGAAGGATGCAGAAGAATGTACTCAAGTGGGAGCCGTAGCTCCGTCTTGGAGTCAGATTGAGAAGGTCTAAGATATTCTACAGAACAGGACACACTTGAGGAACTCTCTCTTAAGTAACGGCTACCCAGATATTTAAGTGGTGGAGGAAGAGCTTCTCGGAGAACAGCATGTGCATAGGGAGCCAGACCATGTTCAGTTCTAGGCACTGCAAACAGTCCAGCGCTCTGCGCAGAAGCTGGACTTGATCCAAAAAGGCTACAATCCAGGGGGCAGGGAATGTGTCTGGTTTGCTTAAGGTAGGGGTGACTTTTGTTTACATATTATTTTTAGTGGGTTTTTTGTTGTTGTTGTTGCTGTTTTGGTTTTTTTGTTTGTTTGTTTTTTTGAGACAATCTCTCTCTGTCGCCCAGGCTGGAGTGCAGTGGCCCAGTCTCGGCTCACTGCAACCTCTGCCTCCCAGGTTCAAGTGATTTTCCTTCCTCAGCCTCCCTAGTAGCTGGGACTACAGGGGCCCACCACCTGTATTTTTGTAGTTTTATGCCCCGCTAATTTTTGTATTCTTAGTAGAGATGGGGTTTTACCACATTGGCCAGGCTGGTCTTGAACTGACCTCAAGTGATCAGCCCGCCTTGGCCTTCCAAAGTGCTGGGATTACAGGCATGAACCAGTGCACCCAGCCTTCAGTGCTTTATTTTTAGATTGTAAATAGCCCATATTAAGAGGCAGCTCACATTATACTGAGTCTGTATAGAGGCTTCTTAGCTGCTATGCCTCTAGCCTCTGAAGTTCTTGATGGGAAGTGTACATAGCTAAAAGACACCAATTAAAATCTGGGAGCTTTTGGATTCAGCTCCCAATTATCACCTCTAGAAAGAAAGGCAAGCCTGATCATGCCATTCTCAGGCTTAAACCTTGCAATGCTTCTGCATTGCCTCAAGGTAAGTTCCTAAGTCCTTAAAAGGTATACAGGGTTCTCCAGGACCCAGTTCTGGTTAGCTTACCGACTTCAACTGTTGTCACTCTCCCACCTCAAACACTCTGCTCCTGCGTTTCCTACAACCCCACTGACCAGCTGCCACTCAAGGCTTTTGTAAATGCTATTCCCTCTGCCTTCAGGGAGCTTCTCAGCAGTTCTCCATCACCTTATTCACTTTCACCTGAAGACCTCTTGCTCAGCTATTGGTTCTCAGGGAGCTTCCCTGTCTGCCCTAGGGGGACCTCCAAGCCCCTGTGCTTGACCTGACTGCAGCACTTACCACCCTATACTGAAATGTCCTGTCTCCCTGTCCATCTTCCAACTAGCCTAGGAGATATTTTAAGATGGGGCCTGGTTTTTTCCACCATTAGAATATTAGTTTTTAATACAAGGCCTGCTACATTATAGGAACACATTAAACATTTGTTCAATTGCTAACTGAACCAGTATTCTGTGAGGGCAAATATTGTATTCATTTTCATCAAAAGGGCTATGAACGTTCAACTGATAAGACTTTTTTTTTTTTTTTGGCAACGGAGTCTCACTCTGTCACCCAGGCTGGAGTGCAGCGGCATGATCTTGGCTCACTGCAACCTCTGCCTCCCAGGTTCAAGTGATTCTCCTGCCTCAGCCTCCTGAGTAGCTGGGATTACAGGCATGTGCCACCACACTGGCTAATTTTTGTATTTTTAGTAGAGATGGAGTTTCACCATGTTGGCGAGGCTGGTCTTGAGCTTCTGACCTCAGGTAATCCGCCCACCTCAGCCTCCCAAAGTGCTGGGATTATGGTGTGAGCCACCACGCCTGGCCCTGATAAGACTTTTATGAATTAAAATTTTTTTCATGGAGAATAGAGAAAGGGTTTTTCTAAAGATGCAGTAGTTCTACATGGAGAAAATAAAGGAAAAATACAACCAAAAGTGTTGATATTGAGGGAGAAAAACATATCCCAAGAATGAACTTAACTGACAAGGCAAGTTGCAGGCCATTTCCCCAGAATTTGAGGAGCCCCAGCATTACTTGGACAAAGAGCTGGAGAGTATAAAAAAATAGAGCAGGAAGGAATCTTGGGAAGCATCTGGCCTATCCCTCGTTGGCTCAGAACAGATGAGTGACTTCTCCAAAGACACCAGGAACACAGCGATGTCCAGGTCATAGTGACTTTAGAAAGTGGTTTCAGGAGTACGGGAGGTGGCCCACCAGCTTGTATTAAACAAACAAAACCACTAACAAACTACAACAACTGAAAATACTGAAGCAATCATAGCAGGTAGAATATAGTAATGGCCTCCAAAGATTCATCCCAGTCCCTGGAACCTGGCAAAAGAGGCTTTGTAGACTTGATTAGAACCTTCAGCTGAGGAGATGATCATGGATTATCCAGGTGGGCCCAGTCTAATCACATGGGTTCTTAAATCAGAGAACCTTTCCTGGCTGTGGTCAGAGGAGGGTGTGACTATGGAAGGAGGATCAGGCAGACGTGATATGAAAAGGGATTGACCTGCCATTGCTGGCTTTTAAGACTGAATAAAGGGCCACAAGCGAAGGCCTGCAGGTTGTCTGAGTCAGTTTGGGCTGCCATAACAAAGTACCATAGACTAGCCAGGCGTGGTGGCTCACACCTGTAATCCCAGCACTTTGGGAGGCCAAGGCGGGTGGATAACCTGAAGTCAGGAGTTCGAGACCAGCCTGACCCACATGGTGAAACCCCCGTCTCTACTAAATACAAAAAATTAGACAGGCATGGTGGCATATGCCTGTAATTCCAGCTACTTGGGAGACTGAGGCAGTAGAATTGCTTGAACCCAGGAGGCGGAGGTTGCATTGAGCCGAGATTGCACCATTGCACTCCAGCCTGGGCAACAAGAGCAAAACTCCGTCTCAAACAAACAAACAAAAAAACTAAAACCATAGACTAGGTGGCTTATAAACAATAAAAATTTATTTCTTATAGTTCTCAAGGTTGAGTTTCTGATGAATGTTCTCTTCTGAGTTGCACGCACTGAATTCTCACTATAACCTCCCAGGGTAAAAGAGGCAAGAGAACTCTCTGGAGTCTCTTTTATAAAGGTACTAATCCCATTCATGAGGGCTCTGCCCTACCAACGGCCCCACCTACAAATGCCATCACAGGGGGATTGTATGCATTTTGGGGGGGATACACTGAGTCTATAGCACAGGTGGTATCTAGAAGCTGAAAAAGACAAGGGAGCAGATGCTTCCCTAGAGCCTCCAGATGGACACTTTCCTGCTGATGCCTTCATTTTAGTTCAGTGAGACCTGTGTTGGATTTCTGACATACAGAACTACAGGATAATAAATGTATCTTGTTTTAAAGCACTAAGTTTGTGGTCATTTATTACAGCAGCAAAAGAAAAGTAATACTGGATACACAGACAGAAACTCATACCCTATAACCCCTAAGCAGTCCAAGTAGGCAGAATTCCCCACTTCCTTACTTCCTTTCCACCCTTTTGTAGTTTTCAAAGATACCTTGAAGTTGATTTTCATCTGATCTCACCTGGATTGGTATGTGGAGAAGGAAGCAGAGGGCTTGCAGAGTGGTTTGTCTTAGATGTCACACCCTGGGAATGGGAGAGCCCTTTCCAGGATTGGCCTGGGGCCCAAGCCAACTTCTCTGGAGGCCAGATTGCACAAGAGCAACCTATGCCAATCATTTTAGAATCTAGAGAAACATCAGAGTCTCTGCTGGCCAGGGAACCAGGCCTACCACTGAGAGACTATTGTCAGACATTGAGCAATCAGCTGTGGACCTCCAGGAAGAGGGAACTGTGGTATTTACACATGACTTTCCAAGAGAAACAGGGCCTCTGCAGCATACAATGTGTTCCTAATAGTACTCTCAGGAATACTTTACTACTGTCATTAAGATATGTTATATGTGCCTGTTATGTAACCACTGTCTCACATTTTAGACTTTATTTAGTATCACCCAGATATTTAGGGGAAATTTTCTCTCTGCCTTCCACTTTATGTGCATGCTGTCAATATCACTGACCTGGAAACTTGGGCAGTGCTCAATATAAGACCAATTAATACCAAATGAGTAAGGAGGTGTGAATTCAGATGACCACCTTCTTTGAAGGCTCACACAGAGGTCTTAGGAAGATCACGATATGTGCTAGACCTCTAAACTGATATTCCCCTCCTGTTCAGGCATTTGTGGGGTTGATGGAATTGGAATGCTGCCCAGACCTTGAAGCAACAATATTAATTGCGATACTGGATATGTAAGTCAAACTGACTCCTTGCAAAGTCAGAAGAAATGGTAAAATGCTTCATACACCCTTTCATTATTATTGTTATTTCTGGCAAGTAAAGAACTGCCAAGGAGATGCAGGTGGCAGAACCTTTGATTTATGCAACGTGCAAAGTAATTGTGGAGACTGATTATTAACATGAGTTTCTCAGATCAATGAAATGGCTGTGAAGTTTCTGGCTTGGAATAGATCTTGGTACGTAGCTAGAGTCTGATGAAATAACAAATTAAATAATAAGGACAGCTATGTGGGCTTAACTGAGGTGCTGAATCCAATGTGGAAACAGAGTAGCTTATCAGTAGCTCGGCTCACTGACCCACGAGAACAATCAGCACCAGTCTGAGGTGTGTTACAGGGAGAGTCAGGTGCTGGTGTCAGGCCAGAGCTGCTCTGTAGACTGAGAATTGCATTTGTGATAGCAAATTGAGATACCTCTATGTCATATAAAAGTATACATGCTTATTGTAAAACATGATACAATATATAAAGTAAAAGCAGAAGTTCCTTATGGCCCACTCCCCGAACTCCTGAGGTGACCACTGTAAATTGCCTGGTAGCTAGGTTTCAGAATTGTTTTCTACACTACACACATGTATATGCCTATTTTACAAAAATGGAATCATCTTGTTTTATTACTGGCCTTTATTTTTAAAATATTTCATACAGACATTTTTGCATATCATTACATATATCTACTTCATCCATTTAAATGATTTAGCCATTAGTATTCCATTGTTTGCACAGTAGCTTAGGCTACTAATCCTCTAGTTAGACTTTCAGGTGATTTCCAGTTTTGTCTCATTTTATTTTTGCCATCTGAAGCAACCAATATAAATCCCTCTCCTTTGTATACTTACTTGTTTGTTTCTTAGAATAAATTCCTAAAATAGAATTTCTGAGTGAAATGGCTTGTACTTTTAAAACATGTTACCAAATTTATCTCTAGCAAGAAAGTGTGACTTTATTGTTTCACCAACAGTGCCCATTTCCTTACACCTCTTGCCAATACTATTATCAATCTTTTTAAAATGTACCAAACTGAGAATTTTAAAAAACCCTTGTTGATGTTTTATTTTGCATTTTAGTTACATTAAATATCTTGGGATTTACATTTTAATAGATTGTTTCTATAACATAACAATTACAATGCTTGTAATAATTTGCAATAATCAGAAATAAAAATTTCTTTCTTTCTTTTTTTTCTTTTTTGAGATGGAGTTTTGATCTTTTTGCCCAGGCTGGCGTGCAATGGTGCAGTCTTGGCTCACTGCAATGTCTGCCTGCCGGGTTCAGGTGATTTTCCTGCCTCACCCTCCCGATTATCTGGGATTACAGGTGCCCGCCACCACGCCTGGCTAGGTTTTTTTTTGTTGTTTTTTTTTTTTTGTATTTTTAGTAGAGATGGGTTTCACCATGTTGATCAGGCTGGTCTCGAACTCCTGACCTCAGGTAATCCACCTGCCTCCGCCTCCCAAAATGCTGGGATTACAGGTGTGAGCCACTGCGGTTGGCCAGAAATAAGCATTTCTTGATGTAACTGAGAAGTTAAAAGTACTCCAATCACAAAATATCTATAAATTCATAACAAAACTAGGTGAAAATCAACCTGTTACCACATCTGCAGATTCCATTAGAATTAAGTTCAGTATGTCTTTTCATCACGTGAAACAGACATAATAAGTCACATAGAAGAAATTACAAATTAAGATATTCCTTAAGGGCTCTAGCTTTAGAACTTTGTGAATAAAATTTAGATCAACATTTTCTTTTTTTAAGGTCATGATTTGGGCCCAGAGGAAAAACCATAGGAAAACAAATAGAAAACTTTTGACCGACACATTATTATTATTATTATTATTATTATTATTATTATTATTATTATTTGAGATGGAGTCTGGCTCTTGTCGCCCAGGCTGGAGTGCAATGGCATGATTTCGGCTCACTGCAACCTTTGCCTCCTGGGTTTAAGTGATTCTCGTGCCTCAGCCTCCCAAGTAGCTGGGATTATTAGACACCCACCACCATGTCTGGCTAATTTTTGTCTTTTCAGTAGAGATGGGTTTCACCATGTTGGCCAGGGGCTGGTCTCGAACTCCTGACCTCATCTGCCCACCTCGGCCTCCCGAAGTGCTGGGATTACAGGCATGAGCCACCGTGCCTGGCCCAGACACATTATTGTTTGGCCATATATGTATTATATTTTGTAGTTAGTGCATCACAGACCATCTAACATGATAGACATTTGGCAGGATACTCTGGCACACTAGTAAAATCCCATTAAATTCCTCTTTGTCTCCCCCACATGCATGTGTGACAACATTCAGAAGAGGGCACAAAATATATAAAATAGTGAACACTGCTTGCCAAATGATGCATAATTGCTTTCAGTCCCGTACATTTCCATTGAGATCCAACCATATATGGCGAGGAAGAAACCAGCACAATTTTCAAAAGTGCTTGCGCATGGTAGCTAAACTCCTCAGCATGGCACCCACACCAGCCATCAAGGAGTGAGAGTCACTTCTATGCCCCATAAATCAGAAGACTTTACTGGTTTCTAATTTGTGGGGTAGACATTTAGACTCATCATATTTGCATTTTACTGCTTCATAATCTGGTATATGAAATAGATTGCTAGGTGGCTAAGTTTGCTTTTCAGGGAGAATTTAAAATGCAACACAATATGCATCATTATCCATGCTCAGGAGGCCATGGCACTTAAAATATGGCACAGTTATATGTGAAACATTCTACAGAAGTCCACACTCAGAGATTTGAGCATGTCACCTACTCCATCATCCTGATGTTTTGTGTTGTTGCCATAAAATTGTGCAAGGTGCCAATGAGCCTTATAGTTCTGTTATACCACAAATCAGACTGTATGTGCAGACTATGCATACAGATAATGTGGAAAAAAAGAAAACCCTTGTGTTTTCTTTGGAGCAAGACATAAAAAGCAGAAAGAATTTGAAATTCTCTTGAAAGCTGTAAAAGTAGGCTTGACAGTCACTGGGCTCATCCAGTTTGAAGGCAGAGCACAGGACTGAATGACCTCACTCATCATTCTGTAGCTCTGGGAAACAGAGTCTGTCAACTGAAACTCTTAGTAAAAAAGTATACCCTTCAATAAAAGTCCATAGGATGGATTGAAAAATACCCCTGGCTTTCATATAAGTTGAAAACATAAGCCAGGTGCAATGGCTCACACCAACACTTTGGGAGGCCAAGGCAAAAGGATCATTTGAGGCCAGGAATTTGAGACCAGCCTGGGCAACATAGTGAGATCCTGAATCTATTAAAAAAAAAAAAAAAAAAACAAACAAACAAACAAACAAAAAAAACAACATTAAAAAATTAGCTGGGCATGATATTGCACCTGTAGTCCCAGTTACTCGAGAGGCTGAGGTGGAAGGAGTGCTTGAATTTGGGAGGTCAAGGTTGCAGTGAGCTGCAGTCATGCCACTGCACTCCAGCCTGGGTGACAGAGCAAGGCCTTGTCTTAAAAAAAAAAAAAGAAAAAAGAAAAGGAAAAAAAAAAGACCGGGAACGGTGGCTTATGCTCGTAATCCCAGCACTTTGGGAGGCCAAGGCGGGTGGATCACGAGGTCAGGAGATCGAGACCATCCTGGCTAACATGGTGAAACCCCGTCTCTACTAAACATACAAAAAAATTAGCCGGGCATGGTGGTGGGCGCCTGTGATCAGCTACTTGGGAGGCTGAGGCAGAAGAATGGTGTAAACCCAGGAGGTGGAGCTTGCAGTGAGCCGAGATCGGGCTACTGCACTCCAGCCTGGGCGACACTGCAAGACTCTGTCTCAAAAAAAAAAAAAAAAAAAAGGAAAATGTAAACCTTTACCAGTTCTGCATACTTTGTGGCTTGTGCTGTCTGCTTTCTCTTCTCTAAGGTTCTAAGGTGCTTTCTCTTCTCTAAGGAATTGGTCAAATCTTCTTTATCAGGCCATCTCCAAAGACTCTAACCTGCTGTCAGTTGGCAACACTTGGGTCAAGGGTCAAGGGCACCCTCTTGTGGTATGTCAGTGTGGGGGAGGGAAGAGAATAGAGTGGGGTCATGAGGTCAGTATGATCAGTTATGCTTAAGCACCCACCCAAGTCTATGCCACTATCAAAAAGCTGTGGTGTAGCAGACATTCCGTGTTACAATATTACACTACAATGTTCAGTAGTGAGTAACACATTATCAAGTACCTGGCTGAAGTTAGATTGCATGAGTTGTAGTAAGCCAAGTCAGCATGCTTCCGTAACTACTTCAAAGACATATGGCCTAAAGTAGAACTGGGAAAAGCCCTCTACATAGACTATTCTGGATTGACTAATTTTATGATACACGAGGAAGTGCACAGTAATTTACACTGTACTGTACATTGCACTGATGGGTGACTGAACTTATACCACTGTACCGGTAGGGCCTTGGCAGAGTTAAATTGTACCCAGCAGAGGGCTGATGGACTTGGTGATGAGGGTCATTTAAGAAATATTAAAGATATCGATAAGGCAGAACAGCTGGCTCAATTAAAAAAAGAGAGATGAGGAAAATGAAGTTAAAGAAGCAGGATGGGTCTGGAGTAGTGGTCTTCAAAATATCATTCCTGAACAGCAGCATCGACATCAATTGGAAATGTGTTGGAAATGTAAGTGATCAGGACCTACCAAATCAGAACTCTGGGGATGGGTCCCAAGCAGTCCAGGTTTTAACAAGCCCTGAATGTGATTGTGATGTATGGTAGAGTTTGAGAACTACTGGTCTAGAGAAAGGAAACAAAGCTTAAGATCTCAGAGGTGACCAGTATCATCTAAGAAGGAGGTACAGGGGCCCACTGTACTGATAAGTGGCTGATGTGATGTGGCAATGAGAGTAGTGGCATAGAATAGGGGAATGCACAAGTCCAGGTTTTAGGCAGGTTATCTGTAACTGGGAAAGATAAAAGCAAGGGTTGGAATAAAAGGAAAAAGGGGATCCTTTTTGCTCATATCATCAAAGAAGGGGAAAGTGAGTCTTAGAAGGTGAGGAGGATTTGAAGTGAGCAATATAATGAGCTATCAAATGAAAAAAACTGAGAACTCTGACAGTGGTGAGCAAAGACCAGTTGGTTAAATGGGCCAAACTAAGTAATCATTCCACCAGCCAAAAGAAACAGGAGCCAAGGGTGTCTGCCTAAGGGTCAGAGTGGGAAGGTTGCTGCCTCAGAAAGGGCCGAGTTAAAGAGGTGAAAATAAAACGGAGAGTTTTGACTGGGCACGGTAGCTCACGCCTGTAATCCCAGCACTATTGGGAGGCTGAGACAGGCGAATCACTTGAGGTCAGGAGTTCGAGACCAGCCTGGCCAACATGATGAAACCCCATCTTTACTAAAAATAAAAAAATTAGCCTGTTGTGGCAGGTGCCTGTAATCCAAGGCTGAGGCAGGAGAATCTCTTGAATCTGGGAGGCCGAGGTTGTAGTGAGCCGAGATCATGTCACTGCACTCCATCCTGGGCGACAGAGCGAGACTCCATCTCAAAATAAATAAATAAATAAATAAAATAAAATAAAAAAGGGAGTTTTTACCCATTCACAACAGGGATTATTATTTTTTATTATTATACTTTAAGTTCTAGGGTACATGTGGACAACTCTCAGGTTTGTTACATATGTATACATGTGCCATGTTGGTTTGTTACATATGTATACATGTGCCATGTTGGTGTGCTGCACCCATTAACTTGTCATTTACATTAGGTATATCTCCTAATGCTATCCCTCCCCCTCCCACCACTCCACCACAGGCCCTGGTGTGTGACGTTTCCCACCCTGTGTCCAAGTGTTCTCATTGTTCAGTTCCCACCTATGAGTGAGAACATGCGGTGTTTGGTTTTCTGTCCTTGCAATAGTTTGCTCAGAATGATGGTTTCTAGCTTCATCCATGTCCCTACAAAGGACACGAACTCATCCTTTTTATGGCTGCATATATTCCATGGTGTATATGTGCCACATTTTCTTAATCCAGTCTATCATTGATGGACATTTGGGTTGGTTCCAAGTCTTTGCTACTGTGAATAGTGCTGCAATAAACATACATGTGCATTTGTCTTTATAGCAGCATGAATTATAATCCTTTGGGTATACGCCCAGTAATGGGATGGCTGGGTCAAATGGTATTTCTAGTTCTAGATCCTTGAGGAATCACCACACTGTCTTCCACAATCGTTGAACTAGTTTACAGTCCCACCAACAGTGTCAAAGTGTTCCTATTTCTCACATCCTCTCCAGCACCTGTTGTTTCCTGACTTTTTAATGATTGCCATTCTAACTGGTATGAGATGGTATCTCATTGTGGTTTTGATTTGCATTTCTCTGATGGCCAGTGATGATGAGCATTTTTTTCCTGTGTCTGTTGGCTGCATAAATGTCTTCTTTTGAAAGTGTCTGTTCATATCCTTTGTCCACTTTTTAATGAGGTTGTTTGATTTTTTCTTGTAAATTTGTTTAAGTTCTTTGTAGATTCTGGATATTAGCCCTTTGTCAGATGGGTAGATTGTAAAAATTTTTCTCCCATTCTGTAGGTTGCCTATTCACTCTGTTGGTAGTTTCTTTTGCTGTGCAGAAGCTCTTTAGTTTAATTAGATCCCATTTGTCAATTTTGGCTTTTGTTGCCATTGTTTTTGGTGTTTTAGTCATGAAGTCCTTGCCCATGCTTATGGCCTGAATGGTATTGCCTAGGTTTTCGTCTAGGGCTTTTATGGTTTTAGGTCTAACATTTAAGTCTTTAATCCATCTTGAATTAATTTTTGTATAAGGTGTAAGGAAGGGATCCAGTTTCAGCTTTCTACATATGGCTAGCCAGTTTTCCCAGCACCATTTATTAAATAGGGAATCCTTTCCCCATTTCTTGTTTTTGTCAGGTTTGTCAAAGATCAGATGGTTGTAGATGTGTGGTATTATTTCTGAGGGCTCTATTCTGTTCCATTGGTCTATATCTCTGTTTTGGTAGCAGTATCATGCTGTTTTGGTTATTGTAGCCTTTTAGTATAGTTTGCAGTCAGGTAGTGTGATGTCTCCAGCTTTGTTCTTTTTGCTTAGGGATTATCTTGGCAATGAAGGCTCTTTTTTGGTTCCATACATGAACTTTAAAGTAGTTTTTTCCAATTCTGTGAAGAAAGTCATTGGTAGCTTGATGGGGATGGCATTGAATCTGTAAATTGCCTTGAGCAGTATGGTCATTTTCACAATACTGATTCTTCCTATCCATGAGCATGGAATGTTCTTCCATTTGTTTGTGTCCTCTTTTATTTCATTGAGCAGTGGTTTGTAGTTCTTCCTTGAAGAGGTCCTTCAAATCCTTTTTAAGTTGGATTCCTAGGTATTTTACTCTCTTTGTAGTAATTGTGAATGGGAGTTCACTCATGATTTGGCTCTCTGTCTGTTATTGGTAGAGGAATGCTTGTGATTTTTGCACATTGATTTTGTATCCTGTGACTTTGCTGAAGTTGTTTATAAGATTAAGGAGATTTTGGGCTGAGACGATGGGGTTTTCTAAATATACAATCATGTCATCTGCAAAGAGGAACAATTTGACTTCCTCTTTTCCTAACTGAATACTCTTTATTTCTTTCTCCTGCCTGATTGCCCTGGCCAGAACTTCCAACACTATGTTGAATAGGAGTGGTGAGAGAGGGCATCCCTGTCTTGTGCCAGTTTTCAAAGGGAATGCTTCCAGTTTTTGCCCATTCAGTATGATATTGGCTGTGGGTTTGTCATAAATAGCTCTTATTGTTTTGAGATGTGTTTCATCAGTACCCAGTTTATTGAGATTTTTTAGCATGAAGGGTTGTTGAATTTTGTTGAAGGCCTTTTCTGCATCTATTGAGATAATCATGTGGTTTTTGTCTTTGGTTCTGTCTATGTGACGGATTGTGTTTATTGATTTGTGTATGTTGAACCAGCCTTGCATCTCAGGGATGAAGCCAACTTGATCATGGAGGATAAGCTTTTTGATGTGCTGCTGGATTCGGTTTGCCAGTATTTTATTGAGGATTTTTGCATTGATGTTCATCAGGGATATTGGTCTAAAATTCTCTTTTTTGGTTGTGTCTCTGCCAGGCTTTGGTATCAGGATGATGCTGGCCTCATAAAATAGGGAGGATTCCCTCTTTTTCTATTGGTTGGAATAGTTTCAGAAGGAATGGTACCAGTTCCTCCTTGTACCTCTGATAGAATTTGGCTGTGAATCTGGACTTTTTTTGGTTGGTAAGTTATTAATTATTGCCTCAACTTCACAGCCTGTTATTGGTCTAGTCAAGGATTCAACTTCTTCCTGGTTTAGTCTTGGGAAGGTGTATGTGTCCAGGAATTTATCCATTTCTTCTAGATTTTCTAGTTTATTTGTGTAGAGGTGTTTGTAGTATTCTCTGATGGTAGTTTGTATTTCTGTGGGATCAGTGGTGATATACCCTTTATCATTTTTTATTGCATCTATTTGATTCTTCTTTTCTTCTTTATTAGTCTTCCTAGCAGTCTATCAATTTTGCTGATCTTTTCAAAAAACCAGCTCCTGGAGTCATGGATTTTTTGGAGGGTTTTTTTGTGTTTCTATCTCCTTCAGTTCTGCTCTGATCTTAGTTATTTCTTGCCTTCTGCTAGCTTTTGAATGTGTTTGCTCTTGCTTCTCTAGTTCTTTTAATTGTGATGTTAGGGTGTCAATTTTAGATTTTTCCTGCTTTCTCTGGTGGGCATTTAGTGCTATAAATTTCCCTCTACACAGTGCTTTAAATGTGTCCCAGAGATTCTGGTATGTTGTGTCTTTGTTCTCATTGGTGTCAAAGAATATCTTTATTTCTGCCTTCATTTTGTTATGTACCCAGTAGTCATTCAGGAGCAGGTAGTTCAGTTTCCATGTAGTTGAGTGGTTTTGAGTGAGTTTCTTAATCCTGAGTTCTAGTTTGATTGCACTGTGGTCTGAGAGACAGTTTGTTATAATTTCTTTCTTTTACATTTGCTGAGGAGTGCTTTACTTCCAACTATGTGGTCAATTTTGGAATAAGTGCGATGTGGTGCTGAGAAGAATGTATATTCTGTTGATTTGGGGCGGAGAGTTCTGTATATGTCTATTAGGTCAGCTTGGTGCAGAGCTGAGTTCAAGTCCTGGGTATCCTTTTTAACTTTTTGTCGCATTAATCTGTCTAATGTTGACAGTGGGGTGTTAAAATCTCCCATTATTATTGTGTGGGAGTCTAGGTCTCTTTGTAGGTCTCTAAGGACTTGCTTTATGAATCTGGGTGCTCCTGTATTGGGTGCATATATATTTAGGATAGTTAGCTCTTGTTGAATTGATCCCTTTACCATTATGTAATGGCCTTCTTTGTCTCTTTTAATCTTGTTGGTTTAAAGTCTGTTTTATCAGAGACTAGGATTGCAACCCCTGCCTTTTTTTGTTTTGCATTTGCTTGGCAGATCTTCCTCCATCCCTTTATTTTGAGCCTATGTCTCTGCAGGTGAGATGGGTCTCCTGAATACAGCACACTGATGGGTCTTGACTCTTTATCCAATTTGCCAGTCTGTGTCTTTTAATTGGAGCATTTCGCCCATTTACATTTAAGGTTAATATTGTTATGCGTGAATTTGATCCTGTCATTACGATGTTAGCTGGTTATTTTGCTCGTTAGTTGATGCAATTTCTTCCTAGCATTGATGGTCTTTACAATTTGGCATGTTTTTGCAGTGGCTGGTACCAGTTGTTCCTTTCCATATTTAGTGCTTCCTTCAGGAGCTCTTGTAAGGCAGGCCTGGTGGTGACAAAACCTGTCAGCATTTGTTTGTCTGTGTGGTGACAAAACCTGTCAGCATTTGTTTGTCTGTAAAGGATTTTATTTCTCCTTCACTTATGGAGCTTAGTTTGGTTGGATATGAAATTCTGGGTTGAAAATTCTTTTCTTTAAGAATGTTGAATATTGGCCCCGACTCTCTTCTGGCTTATAGAGTTTCTGCCGAGAGATCAGCTGTTAGTCTGATGGGCTTCCCTTTGTGGGTAACCCGACCTTTCTCTCTGGCTGCCCTTAACATTTTTTCCTTCATTTTGACTTTGGTGAATCTGACAATTATGTGTCTTGGAGTTGCTCTTCTCAAGGAGTATCTTTGTGGCATTCTCCACAACAGGGATTCTTAAGCCTGCCATTAAAGAAAGCTGGGCTTGGGGATGAGTAGAACATAGTTCAGTGGCAGAAGTTGTCCAGAAGCCAGCATGAATAACACAACTCAAGAAAAGAGAATGGTAGACTGGGAGGTTGGATCAGTGAAACAGCAAAGAGAGAAACACTAGGTGAAGGAAGTTAGTCTAGAGGATGGAGAAGAATGCACACGTGCAAATAAGGTACAATCTAACTTTCAATCACAACATTGTATTGACACAAATTCTTTCATTGTAAGCAAAAACAAAGTGCGGGCATGGGGAGGTGGTTGCTAGTTTTCCAGACATTACAATCACAACTTTTGTGGTCCATTTAGAGAAGGGGTCCCCAACTCCTTGGCTGTGGACAGGTACTGGTCCATGGCCTGTTAGTAACTGGGCCACAGAGCAGGAAGTGAGTGGTGGGTGAGCGAGCATTATCACCTGAGCTCTACCTCCTGTTAGATCAGCTCCAGCATTAGAGACCCATAGGAGCAGGAAACCTATTGTGAACTGCACATGTGAGAGATCTAGGTTGAAAGCTCCTTATGAGAATCTAATGCTGAATGATCTAAAATGGAACTGTTTCATCCTGAAACCATCCCCACCCCCACCCCGCCCCTGCCATCTGTGGAAAAATTGTCTTCCACCAAACTAGTCTCTCCAGTCTCTGGTGCCAAAAGGCTGGGGACTGCTGATTTAGAGGACAAGGAAGATTTCCGATGGTAGAGGTAGGAACCAAGATGAATCCACACATAAAATGTGCAGATTGTTTAAGCAAGGAGTTATGTTCAAAAGTGAATTCCCATTCTAATAAAGAAAAGTTATGACAACCCAAAAAATGCCTATGTAGCATTCTTATTTATTTATTTTATGTTTATTTTTTAAGACAGTCTCCCTCTGTCACACAGGCTGCAGTGCAGTGGCCCCATCTCAGCTCACTACAACCTCTGCCTCCCAGGTTCAAGCCATTGTCTGCCTCAGCCTCCCGAATAGCTGAAACTACAGGTGCACACCAGCACGCCCAGTTAATTTTTGTATTTTTAGTAGAGACGGGGTTTCACCATGTTGGCCAGGCTGGTCTCGAACTCCTGACCTCAAGTGACCTGCCTGCCTCGGCCTCCCAAAGTGTTGGGATTACAGGCGTGAGCCACCACGTCCGGTCACTATGTAGCATTCTTAAATAAGGCCCTATATTTTTAATAATATTTATTTGTTTAATATGAAGAAAGAAAAAGTAGAAAAGGTTTTGCAATTTAGTCAGGAATTGTTACACAAGATACAGACTTTATTTCCATGGATTTCTGAAGCCAGTGCTTAAAAAAAAAACTCTAATCAAATTTACCCCCACTATATAATATTTACCATTATACCAACCAAACTTATACAATAATTACTCTTGAAAAATAAGTAGACTGTAATATCTAATCAATTGCAAAATATAATAGATTGCAACCAATTTGTTAACAACAAGAAAAAAAACTCCCCTAAAGAGCTTGAACCTTCATAATAATTTACAGAATTCTGTTTAACTTAATATACAAGAAAATCTGCTGTGGATAAGGCATTGCTTTATGAACCCTCCATCTTTCCTCAGAGAATAAGGCACCAATCACTAACATTATAAATCACAAAAGTGTAAGAAAATCTGAAGACAGCAGATGCCATATATGCCACAAAGAAAAGCAGGTACCTTTAGGGCACTGACTTTAATAAACTGTGCAAATATAAGATGTATAGCAACTAAATTTTCCTTCTCTAATAAAGAGGAATCATTTTAATAGAAGATCAACCTGAAAGAAAAAGGAAAAAGCAAATTTCCTAAAACTTTATTTTGAAAAAAATATATGCTGTCTTTCAGTATCAGGCAGAGTAAAATATTTTAGAATAGTATATAAAATAGTATATAAACAAACTGATAGCAACTAAAATAATTTTAATGGTACATTCAGGAATTTACATTTGAAATGACATTTCTGGTCTTTTTTTTGCATAAATTCAAATGTTACGGTTATGATCCAAATATCAACATTTTGTTAATGTTACTTATTATTTTCAAAACAGTTAAAACTAACACACGAGATTCTAGGCTAGAGATACCAAAAAATACTACTTCAGTAAAGTGCTACTGTAGCCAACATGTTTTAATAATTATTTCCTAAATTAATTTCTGAAATAATAAGCTAGATCTAATGTTAGCTACTGGATATTATAATGATGTGTCACAAGTGCTCTGAAGGTTTTGCCAGTAATCATAACTCATAAAGCATTCTGCAAATTAAATTTCACTCAGGATCAACATATATGAAAATAAATACATGTTAGCATTAACTATACATTTGTATAGTTAAATGATTCATATCATTTATTTGGTGATTTCACTATTTCAATATCTCAGGAAAATTGGATCCAAATATAATGTTAACTCTTTACAAATTAGTTACCCTAAAATTTGAGCTGTTTTTCATTAGGAAATGGACTAAATTCCAGGTATATTTCCAGAAAATGAACTGGATGTTAATCTAAAAGAACTACTAGTAAAGCCAGATAAATAGAAAAAAACAGTAAAAATATATTGTGGAATAAATGAAACTCTAATATTGCACTAGAGTTGTCATAGAAGAGAGAAGTAGAATAATAACAAGTATAATTTTTAAAAAAGTTGTATACACTTCCTGAGCAAGAGGATTGCAGAATTATAATAACTAAATAATATAAACACCTAACTGTATTTTTAAAAATTAACTTTAATGTTGGCTACTCTTAATTATCATCATCTGAGCCATTTGCTTCTCTAAGACTGCCGTGTACCTCAGACATCAATACGAACTCCATGTTTTGAAGACATCATTTGTCTGGTTCCTGTTAAATACATAACGAATGAACAGATGTGAGGTAAAGATGATGTGATTATTACATAAAGCCAGAATGGCAAAGGAGAAGTTTTTCCAAATGGGCATATCCACAAACCATGACGAATCCCATCTCGGATATGATGTGAAGTCCAGGATATAAATAACATCCAGGGAAGAAAGCACCATGAGTCTTTGAGCTTGAAAAGGTGCATAGTAAATTTCAGGGTCAGAACCACAACGGGAATCACAGTAGAACAGTGAAGGAAAGGTCTTCGCGGGAGAGTCAAAGCAGCCTGAGGGAGCAAAGTAATAGCGAGTATCATTTCCTTTCTAGCAAAACAAAATTTTATACATGCTTCTTAATATTTTAAAATATTTTCCAGAGTCTATTGGACATGCAAAAGAAACATGTTCTATGCCACTTCAGGATACATATACCAAAATTATATATATATAAAAGAATATAAAAGTGTGAGCAGGATATCCTTTACATTAAAAATAAAATCAAGGTCTCAGGAATATGGTGATTAATTTTTTAAGTTTCCCATTATTTGCTTAGAAAATTCACAATATGAACATAATTTATAATCTAAGTGTACAGTTTGTGTAATTTGGAGTTTTATATAATTATCCAGGGCCTCTAAGAGCACTGTAAAAATATCTCACAACCAAATAAAATATTCTTTAGTTAAGGCAAAAGAGGGAAATATTTTTGTTATATCCATTTTATATTAGCTATAAACACTTTTGGAATTTATTTACAACATTTAGAAAAATTATATTATTTTAAATACGTATTCTAAAATTGAGTTAAATAAACTTCAGTAAATTTCTTTTTTTTTTTTTTAGGTGGAGTCTTGCTCAGTTGCCCAGGCTGGAGTGCGGTGGCGCAATCTCGGCTCACTGCAATCTCTGCCTCTTGGGTTAAAATTCTCCAGCCTCAGCCTCCCGAGTAGCTGGGATCATAGGCACCTGCCACCATGCCCGGCTAATTTTTGTATTTTTAGTAGAGACAGGGTTTCACCATGTTGGCCAGGCTGGTCTCGAACTCCTGAACTCAGATGATCCACCCACCTTGGCCTCCCAAGGTGCTGGGATTACAGACGTGAGCCATGACGCCCGGCAAACTTCAGTAAATTTCTAAACCACTACCAAAATGTATACTCAATATCTGAACCAATAAAAATTTCAGGCTTAATCCCTGAATGATTCATGAGTAGGGTTTTGTTCTCACCTGCTTTAAAGACTAATTTGCAGCGAGATAATCCCTAAACAAAAATAAAGCTGAGGATAGTTATGATTGTCTAAATCTGAATCTCTGCACATATCCTCTAAAAGTATTATAAAACATGAAGGACAAATAAAACTACACAAAATCTCAAACCCTCAGCATAAACAGAAGCCAGAGAATGCCCATATTTGAAATTACCCATAAGTATTAACATAAACACCAAATCAGTGGGTTCTCTCTCTCACACTTCCATCCAAGTCAGGAAAAACTATATTGAAGAGAGAAGAGGGGAAACCTAAGATTGATCTAAAATTACCACTAGGAAGTTCAGTTTAAGTGTGAAAATACTGAAGAGTGTCCTAGTAGGTCACAGCACTAACTGCAGGGAAAGGACTTAAGAGTGGACCTTCAAGACTCTGAAAGGTATTGATTCTGGGGGAGACGATGGTAAGAAAGGGAGAGACACTCTTTGGAGACTGGATGGTGAAAAGGAAAAGAAGTAGTAAAAGGAAGAAATGTAGTTTCCTGTCCAAAAAACACAAACAAAAATCAGACAATGTTCCGACCACATGAAAAAAAGTTACCTATTAAAGAGACTCTACCTTGTCCCACTGTCAAATCAGACCACCCTTGAACAAGGAATCCTATAAACCCTCTCCTCAAACGAGTATTCTTTACCTCTCACCTACGGTCTGAACATCAAAGAGTTTATTTTACGCTCCTCTTTCCCTGCCTTCTCCTCCACATTTTGTTTTACTTCTACTTCATCAGAACATGTACCATTTCTATATTATTATTCTACTTTTGTCTTCACCTTTGTTTTTAAATTCTATATCCACAATATGTTAAGTTCATCATTGGTCCTTTTGCTAACACTGCCTTAACCAAGAATATGTTAGAATAAAGAATCATGTAATATCATGAAATGAAGTGATAAAATAGAACAAATCTATAAAAAGCTAGTATAGGAGGAAAATCAGAAACAGAATAAAAATATCAAGCCAGGTGGAGTGGCTCACGCCTCTAATCCCAGCACTTTGAGAGGCTGAGGCGGGCTGATCACCTGAGGTCAGGAGCTCGAGACCAGCCTGACCAACATGAAGAAACCCCGTTTCTACTAAAAATACAAAATTAGCTGGGCATGGTGGTGCATGCCTGTAATCCCAGCTAATTGGGAGGCTGAGGTAGGAGAATCGCTTGAACCTGGGAGGTGGAGGTTGAGGTGAGCTGAGATCATACCGTTGCACTCCAGCCTGGGCAATAAGAGTGAAACTCTGTCTAAAAAACAACCCCCCCCCACAAAAAAAACTATCTCTTGAACCCTGTTCCTAGTAACAAATACAAAACAAAAAAAAATTTTTTTTAAACTACATAAAACATAAGAAAATTATATCACACGACTCCAAAGTACGTTAAATCTCAAACAACCACATGGGGACATAAAAAAATCTTGAATCAGAAATTCAAAAATGGAAAAAAAATAGATTAAAAAAAGATAATAATTGATTAAACTCAGTATGGAAAAAAAACAAAAACAATCTAATAAATGACTATATAGCAATGTATCCAAGGGAGAATAGGTCAAATGAAAGTTTAATAAGGCACACTGAAAAAATTAATACAAAAATTAGCTGGGTATGGTGGTGCATGCCTGCTATTCCAGCTACTCAGGAGGCTGAGGCATGAGAATCCCTTGAACATAGGAGGCAGAGGTTGCAGTGAGCTGAGATCACACCACTGCACCCCAAACTGGGCAACAGAGTAAGACTCTGTCTCAAGAAAGAAAAGAAAAAATGCAGGAAACCAACCAAGAGAATAAAAATGATATGAGGAAAAAAGTAAAAACAGTCAGGTAGAAAATAGCTGAAATAGAATACAGGCAAAAAGAAACAACATATGTGTAACTGAAGTCCCTAAAGAAGAAAAACAAAGAAATAGAATGGAACTAGTATTTAAAGCTATGATCCAAGAAAACGAAAAATAAAAATGCAAATCTATTAAAAGAGCCCATCTGAAAAAACTGACTCAATGATAAGCTTCAAGACAATTTAGTAGAGCTATTACTGTAATAATGATAAAAGAACAGTTTTTAAGCCCTCCACGCAAAAGATAAAATAACTTGCAGAGGCAATAGTATTACACTGGCATTGGATTTCTCCCCCCAACAAAAGCACTTTTATGTACTATAGTAATAAAGGTTTAGTTTATAATCCATATTAGTAAAATATAAATCATAGAACTGATTGGAAAGACTGGAGACACCTTTAATAGGAAGTACAACATTTTCAACAGGATGGGATTAAGGAGCCTATGGTAATCACTACTTGCAAGAAAGCAATAACCTGATGTTGAGTTATGCTCTGGATATGTTTACAGCCATACTGATTCTTTACACTCTTATTTGTGAATTAACATCTATTTATATTAATAGCTGCTAAAAAAGAAACTGGAAATTCTTGTTGTTGGCTGATGTCTAAAATATCAATGTAGCGTTTTTTTTTTTGTTTTTTTTTTGACAGAGACTTGTGCTGTCTCAAAGCCCAGGCTGGAGTATAGTGGCACAATCTTAGCTCACTGTAACCTCAAACTCCTGGGCTCAAGTGATCCTCTTGCCTCAGCCTCCTGATTAGGTGGAACTATAGGCATACACCACCATGCCGGGCTAGTTTTTTATTTTTTGTAGAGATGGGGTCTGGCCCTGTTGCCCAAGCTGGTCTTCAGCTCCTGGCCTCAAGTGATCCTCCCATCTCAGCCTCACAGTGTTGGGGTTACAGGCATGAGCCACTGCGCCTGGCCTTTGATTTTTTTATTAATAGAAAAACAATGAATAATGAAAGAAAATGGAATTATCATAGAATCATAGAAGTAAAAATAGATCACTGTCATGAATACTTATTCAGTTTTGATATTTATTACTGATAATCACATACCACCTTATGGTGGATGTAAAATATTTTAATACTTAATTCAAAAATAATGATTAATACTAGAACTATGCTGTACTTTATGTGCACTATCTCACTTGATCCTTATAACAACTCTATGTGGTAGGTAGCATTTTACAGCAGAGGAAACTGAGGCAGTGAGGCTAGTTACTTCCCCCATACTGTGCAGTTAATGAGTGGCACAGCTGGGATTTGACCCTGGGTCTAACTCTATAGTTCATATTCTTAACAATAGTGCTTCTAAGTGAATTAAAGGATAAATACGTTATGCAGCCTAAATGCTTTTAAAAATTATAATAGAATAAATTCTAGATGAACACATTTATGAATCACATATTTTATAATGTTTCATAGCTTATCCCAATCTCTAACATTTATTGTTTTTTTTGTTTTGTTTTGTTTTGTTTTTTTGAGACAGAGTTTCGCTCTTCTTGCCCAGGCTGGAGTGCAATAGTGTGATCTTGGCTCATTGCAACCTCCACCTCCCGGGTTCAAGCAATTCTCTTGCCTCAACCTCCCAAGTAGCTGGGATTACAGGTGCCTGCCACTATGCCCGGCTAATTTTTTTTTGTATTTTTAGTAGAGACGGGATTTCACCATGTTGGCCAGGATGGTCTTGATCTTTTGATCTCACCTCAGCCTCCAAAGTGCTGGGAGATTACAGGCATAAGCCACCGCACCCGGCCCATTTACTGTTAATATTTACCAGGACATGTCACTTATCATGCTTATTTAATCCTCACAACAACCCCACAAGGTAAGTAATGTTATAATCCACATATTACAGATGAAGAAATTAAAACTTAAAGAAGAAAAGGGAACTTAATTAAACTAAAGAGCTTCTGCACAGCAAAGGAAATAATCAATAGAGTAAACAGACAACCTACAGGATGGGAGAAAGTAGGGTTCATTTGAAAAAGGGCTCATATCCAGAATCTACAAGGAACTCAAACAACTCAACAAGAATAAAACAAATAACCCCATCAAAAAGTGGGCAAAGGACATGAACAGACATTTTTCAAAAGAAGACACAGAAGCAGCCAATAAACATGAAAAAATGCTCCATATCACTAATAATCAGAGAAATGCAAATTAAAACCACAATGAGATGCCATCACACACCATCAGAATGGCTATTATTAAAAAGTCAAAAACCAACAGATGTTGGCAAGGATGCAGAGAAAAGGGAACACTTATACATTGTTGGTGGGAATATAAATTAGTATAACCTCTATGGAAAACAATATGGAGATTTCTCAAAGAACTAAAAATAGAACTACCCTTTGATCCAGCAATCCCACTACTGAATAGCTTCTAAAAGGAAAATAAGTTATTATAAAAAACTTAATCATTGCCAGCCACAGTGGCTCATGCCTGTAATCCCAGCACTTTGGGAGGTTGAGGCGGGAGGATCACTTGAGTCTAAGAGTTTGAGACCAGACTGGGCAACATAGGGAGACCCTGCCTCTACAAATAATTTTTTAAAAATTAGCCTGGCATGGTGGCATGTGACTATGGTCCCAGATACTCAGGAGGCTGAGGTGGGAGAATTGCCTGAGCCCAAGAGGTTGATGCTGCAGTGAGCCGTGATCACACCACTGCACTCCAGCCTGGGCATCACAGCAAGACCCTATCTCAAAAAAAAAAAAAAAAAAGAAAGAAAAAAGAAAAGAAATCATTATATAAAAAAGACACCTGCACTTGTATGATTATGACAGCACTATACACAATAGCAAAGTCATGGAATTAACTTAAGTGTCCTTCAGTGGATGACTGGATAAAATGTGATTGATATATAATCACACCATGGAACACTACTTGCCCATACAAAATAATAAAATCGTGTCTTGTACAGCAACATGGATGGAACTGGAGGCCATTATCCTTAGTGAAATGATGCAGAAACAGAAAGTAAAAAAGACACACATGTTCTCACTTGTAAGCGAGAGCTAAACAATGGGTACACATGGACATACAGAGTGGAATAACAGACACTGGAGACTCCAAGAGGTGGGAGAGTGAGAAGAGGTGAGAGATAAAATACTATTTGTACAGCATTAGAGTGACAGGTACACTAAAAGCTCAGACTTTACCGCTATGCAATACATACACGTTATACAACTGTGCTTGTGGCCCTAAATCCATAAAAAAAAAAAAAAAAACTGAAGAAAAGAAAAGTACTCTACTAACACCAAACAACCAGGATTCAAACTCAAGTCTTCTCATTTCAATCTTAAACAAAATGTTATGCTAACTCTACTTATAGCACAAAAGTTTGTCTTTAATTAGCAATTACTGATTCTTTACTGATTAAGTTTCTAAATAAGTGAATCAATTTCTGAGAAATACCTGGTACTTGACGCATAATAGGAAAAAGTGAATATTTCTCATTCATTCCACAAATATTTCCTGAATATCTACTAGGTAAGCCAGGCATTGTTCTAGGCCAGGGGTGAATGAAACAGAAAGTCCTTGCTCTATGAGTTTAGATTTCTTTCCTGAAATGTTTATAGATCATAAGCACGTAAAATATAGGCAAATCTTCTGACATTTAGAAAATATTATCTGAACCAACATTTTAAGTTTAGTTCATTTGTGAACTATATAACTGAACTCCTGAATGCCTCAGTGAAATTCCTCAATTTCTTCACAAGGGACTGTGTTCTAGCCAGTCCAGTTGAAATACATGCCTTTCGCTCCAAAAGGGACTGGGAGAATTAATCTGTTCAAGTCATTCCTTAGGACTGGGAATCATCTTAAAGCTATTCAACTTTTATGGAGTACTTAGGAGCTGCATACTAACTGTAAAACATAAAGAATAAGGGGGAAATGTTAAGTGTGCTCCTGAAGAAAGTACACTGATACAGAAAGAACTAGGACAGCCTTGAGAATCACCCCTGTTAATTTAAACCGGTTTGCTAATACTTTCTTCAAGACCTGGCTAAACGCATCCTCTGTAAGCCAGCACTGAACTCTTTAGGTACAGTTCGTGGGTCTTTGCTCTATGTGAATCCATAGCAGTTTGTGATGGCAAATAATTTGATTAGCAACATGTCTGTGTGCATCTTTAGGCAAGTACTAAGTGGTCAAAAAGGTTACATGAATGTGCTTTCCTATTTTAAGACAAATCCTCTCTAGTTCTAAATGATGCTGTAAAGATCAGCAAAATAGTGCTAAGGAAATTAAAGATCAGAAAAATTAAGCCTATGCTTTTTACCTTTAAAGACATGGATCCAGCTAGAAAAAAGTGGTCTACATCAATAACAGAGGCTAAAAATCCAGCTAAAATGATTTCTCCAAAGTCAGTCTTCTTCTTGATTCCAGTGACTACCGCCCATGACCACATGCCAATTACACAATGTACTGCATTATCTGAGAGAGCACGAAGCCAGTCATTTTGCTGAATTGTGGAAAACTGAAGAAGTCTGTCAGCTACGAGGCAAAATGCCCCCAGACCAAGGCTGGAAATAAGAGATTCAGTGCTACAAGTCTGCAGTAAAGCATGGGTCTTTTCAGTCTCGGATGCCATGACAAACAATATGTTAGTATAGACTAAAAGCCATCAGGAATGAACAGTCTATTCTTGTTTACATTTCCAGCACCCTAAAGGAGAAAGTAGAGAAAAATATGAATGAAGATTATGGACTACCATATAATATTTAAACAAAACAGTATCAGCAATAATTTCACAAACATAAAACCAAGATGTAAATACTGGCAACTTTTACATGTTATATATAATATGTCACATAGCCCAAGGAGAATAGATTTTTTTTTTTTTTTTTTTTTTAGGAAGAGCAGGGTACATGGTATGTATCAAGGAGAATTTCAGAAAGCCCACCAACTGCAATCTATTGCTTTAAGGTCATCAAATAGATCTATCTCCCAGCTGTGTGTAGTACATGGTGGTGAATATCCGTTGGGTTTGTGTACCCAACAACTACTTTCCATACTTCTGACAACAGTAATCCCTTCCTTTGGGAAAACTTTCTCACATTAAACTCCAGAGCTCACCAATTAGAGTTTTCCATTTCCCTAATAATGGTGACTAATCTAGTAATGAAAGTGGTCCAGGCTGAGCCAATCAGATTCCTTTCCAAAATTTGTCTTGTGGTAGAGAAAGTTCCTCTTCTTGGAGGCCATGGGCTCCACTACACGAAATAGCCTAGGAAAATAAAATCCCAGAGAGACACAAAGGAGAAAGGCTAATAGAATCATGATGACAGTGAGTACTTATGTCCAACGTCTAAAGGTTCTCAGAGCTACCCTAGATCTTGCAGCTCCCCCTCCACTTCAATGAGCTACCCCAACATTTTCCCATCAAATCCCCTTTACATTTCTGATGCCTTGAACCAAATAACCTTAATTGATATAAAAATGCAATCATAATTCTATGCTGAGTTCTCACATGGCACAGAATATTGACATTATTTACCTAGCTAGAAAATATTTGTCTACCTAAAGTGTGACACATGAAGTTTTTTCTTTTACATTGTTTTGTTTTAATCCTGAGACTAAAGAATAACTGATTTATTGATAATGACTCAACTTCTATTACACAATAAAAGCTATACATAGCTCATTATATATATTCTAAAACTGCAGAGGACCTAGAAGAATAAAACAATTTTGAAAAACAGAAACTAAGTTGGAGGACTACTTATGCCATCTTATTTTAAGTTTCATTATAAAGCTACAGTAGGCTGGGCACAGTGGCTTACACCTGTAATCCCAACACTTTAGGAGGCTGAGGCAGGAGGATTGCTTGAGGACAGGAGCTCGAGACCAACCTGGGCAACATAGTGAGACACTGTCTCTACAAATAATAAAAAATTAGCTAGGCGTGGTGGTGCATGCCTGTAGTCCCAGCTACTTGAGAGGCTGAGGTGGGAGGATCGCTTAAGCCCCGGAGGTTGAGGCTGCAGTGGGCTGTAATCGTGCTACTGCATGCCAGCCTGGGCAACACAGAGACCCTGTCTTAAAAAAAAAAAAGCTACAGTAATCAAAACAGTGTAGTATTGGTATAATGACAGACATACAGACTAACAAAACAGAATACAGAGTGGGATCAGAAATAGAACCAAACATACCTAGTCAATTTTATTTATTTATGTATTTATTTTTTGAGATGGAGTCTCACTCTGTCACCCAGGCTGGAGTGCAGTGGTGTGATCTTGGCTCGCTGCAACCTCTGCCTCCTGGGTTCAAGCAATTCTCCTGCCTCAGCCTCTCAAGTAGCTGGGATTACAGGTGCCCGCCACCATGCCTGGCTAATTTTTTTGTTTGTATTTTTAGTAGAGATGGGTTTCACCATGTTGGCCAGGCTGGTTTCGAACTTCTGACCTCAAGTGATCCACCCACCTCAGCCTCCCAAAGAGCTGGGATAATAGGCGTGAGCCATCGTGCCCAGCCAATTTTTTTTTATTTAAGACAGAGTTTTACTGGAGTGTAGTGGCACAGTTATGGCTCACTACACCCTTTACCTCCCACGTTTAAGAAGTTCTCCTACCTCAGTCTCTTGAGTAGCTGGAGCCACAGATGTGTGTCACCATGCCTTTTTTTTTTTTCAAAGAGACAAGGTCTCCCTGTCTCTAGAGAGGCCTCGAACTCCTAGCTGGTCTCGAACTCCTGGCCTCAAGTGATCCTTGGCTTCCCAAAGTGCTGAGATTACAGGCATGAGCCATCATGCCCAGCCTGGTCAATTAATTTTTGATAAAGGTGCAAAGATAAATCAATGGAGGAAGAATATTCTTTTCAACAAATGGTGTGAGAACAAATGGATATCCATATGCAAAAATCATAAACCTGAATCTATATCTTACTCCATATACAAAAATTATCTCAAAATGAATCACAAACCTAAATGTAAATAAAACATAAAAAGATAAAATTTCTGGAAAAAAACATAAAGTATTTTTGTGTCCTTGGGTCACGCAAAGAGTTATTAGATAAAATACCAAAAGCTTGATCCATTAAAAAATTGGTAAGTTGAACTTATCAAAATTAAAAGCTTCTGATCTTTGAAAGACAATGTTAAGAGAAAGAAAAAACAATTTTTAAATCTTATATCTGATAAAGGACTTACATCCAGAATATATAAAGAACTCTCAAAACAGAGTAATAGGAAAACAAACCAATACAAAAATGGACAAAAGATGTGAAAATGGGTACCTACCATTGATGATATTCAGATAGCCAATAAGTATAAGAAATATGTTCATCACCATTAATTATTAGGGAAATGCAAATTTTAAAAATTAGATATCACACACCTGTTAAATGGCTAAAATTAAAGACTGACAATCCCAGATGTTGACAAAGATGTGGAGCAACCAGAACTCATACGCTGCTGGTCGGAATAAAAAACAGTATGACTATTTTGGAAAAACAGTTTTCCAATTTCTCAGAAAGTTAAACGTACTCTTACCATATAACCCAGTCATTCCACTTCTAGGTATTTTCCCAAAAGCTTATGTGTACACAAAGGCTTACACATGAATGTTCATAGCAGCTTTATCTGAATTTGTTCCAAGTTGGAAACAACTCAAATGTCCACAAACATGTGAATAAACAAAAGGTGGAATAAAAAGGAACAAACATGTGATACACATAAAAACATGAATGAATCTTGAAATGATTATAGTAAGTGAAAGAAGTCAAACAAACAAAAATTACACAGTTAAAACCCATAGAACTGTGCGACATAAAGGATGAACCCTAATATAAAGTATGGACTTTAGTCAAAAATAACATATCAATATTGGTTCCCTACTTGTATCAAATATACCACACTATTGCAAATATTAATAATGGGGAAAATGTATGCAGGGCAAAGGGCATCTATAAGAATTCTCTATAATATTGGCTCAATTTTTCTGTAAACCTAAAACTACTATTTAGGTTTATGTATTAGTCTGTTATTGCATGGAACTACCTGAAACTGGGTAATTTACAATGAAAAGAAGCTTAATTGGCTTACAGTTCTGCAGGCTGTACAGGAAGCATGGCTGAGGAAACCTCAGGAAACTTACAATCATGGTGGAAGGTAAAGAGGAAGGAGTCACGTTTTACATGGCCAGAGTAGAAGACTAAAGTGGAAGGTGCTACACACTTTAAACAGCCAGATCTCGTGAGAACGAACTCACTATCATGAGAACACCTAGGGGGATATCTGCCCCCATGAACCAGTCACCTCCCACCAGGCTCCTCCTCCAACACTGGGGATTACAATTTGACATGAGATTTGGGTGAGGACACAAATCCAAACCATATCAGTTTATAAAGTCTATTAATTAGAAAAACTTACAAAAACTTAAAAATAAAGTCAATTTATTTTAAAAAATTAAATAAATGAACCGCCAACAAATATTATAAATTTAAGTAATAGATGTACTGTAGTTCATTATATTTTTCTCTATTTTTCTGTATGTTTGAAATTTTCATTTAGAAATGTTTTTATTAAATTTATTTATTTTGAGGACAGGGTCTCACTGTGTTGCCCACACTGGAGTGCAGTGGCTTGATCTTGGCTCACTGCAACCTTGACTTCCTAGTCTCAGGTGATCCTCCCACCTCACCTCCTGAGTAGCTGGGACTACAGGCATGAGCCATCATGCCTGGCTATATGTTTCCATTTCTATTTATTTAATTTAAAAAATTCTTTCTTTCCTTAATTTTTGAGACAGGGTCTTGCTCTGTTGTCCAGGCTGGAGTGCAGTGGTGTGAATATGGCTCACTGCAGCCTCTATGTCCTGGGCTCATGAGATCCCCCTGCCTCAGCCTCCTGAGTAGCTGGAATCACAGTCACAGGCCACCATGCCTGGCTAATTTTTAAATTTTTTTGTAGAGATGGAATTTCACCATGTTGCCCAGGCTGGTCTGCAGCTCCTGGCCTCAAGCAATCTTCCCACCTCAGCCTCCCAAAGTGCTGGGATTACAGGCGTGAGCCACTGAACCTGGCCTAGAAATATGTTTTTAAAAAGAGTGCATAGTATAATTCTACTTATTTAAAAGTCTACAAAATACAAACTAATTTATAGTGACAGAAAGCAGATCCATGGTTTCCTGAAGACAGTAGAGGCAGGAATGATTAAAAAGGAGAATAAAGAAACTTTGGTAAGGGACGCATATGTTCATTATCTTGACTGTGGTGATAGTTCCATGGTTCACAGTTTCATACATATGTCAAAACGTATCAAACTGTATATTTTAAACATATACAGTTAATTACATGTCAATTATACTCCAACAAAGATGTTAAAAAGTTAGGAAGGTACACTTCATTGATTATAAAACAGCAGGCTTTTGTAAAAAAGGAGAAATATGAAAACAAGAAACTATGGAAATGAAAAAGTTGATTACCCAAATAAAAACTCAATGCAAAGTCTACTATGCACTGAAGGAATGCACAGTGGCGTGAATCTTTCAAACATCAAAATTAGTAAATGAGAACATTTGCAAATAATTTTTCCAAAGCTTAAGGGGAAAATATAAGACAAAGAGTTGGGCATTGAAAAAAAATTTCCAAAAATAAAGAGAAAACCTTTAGAGTTTCTATGTCAAAAAAAAAAAATTATCTTCCAAAGAAAGAGAATGTGATTATCATCAACCCTAAATGTCAGAATACTGTGAGGTAACATTTACAGAACTCTGAGAGAAAAAGATCATAGACTGTAGCATTCTAAGCATAGTTAAATTATGGCACCTATGTGGCAACTGTGAATTTTAAAAGTTTTGCCTTAGAAATTATACACCCATGTATGATTTTGGGGGGTAGGGGAAACTGAGCAGTAGAACTTCTCAATCTCTAGCAGGAAGGGAGACAAATAAAGAAAATTTGATCAATACAGCAAGACAGAAAAGAAAAAAAAGAAAACCTTACTTCCCTCCAGCTCACCCCCACTCTGCAAAAAGCAATAGGGACCAAATAAAATACAAATACCACAACAAATGTGAATGTGTTAAATTTCTCTATAAAGAGACAAACATAATCAGATTGGGGCAAAAGAAAACATCACTAAATTATTGTTCAAAACAAAACACCTCAAACAAAAAGTCTTCACAATATAGAAAATAAAGAGATGAGAAAATATATGTCTAAGAAATACAAACAAAATTAAGTAGCAATGGTAATATTAACTGCAAACACAGAATTCAAGGTAAAAATGATTAATTAGAACTGAAAAGGATAAAATATTCACATCACAGTAAAGTTCTATGGGGTAAGAGGATGCTTACATGTCAAACAACAGCAGCAAAAAATTAAGTGGTCAATAAAAGGCATAATCTGAATAATATAATTTATAAATTTTATTTCATACTCAGGTATACAACTTCATATGCTATGAAGCAGTGGTCCCAGTCCTTTTTGGCACCAGGGACTGGTTTTGTGGAAGACAATTTTTCCATGGACTGTGGAGGGGGATGGTTTTGCGATGATTCAAGTGCATTACATTTATTGTGTACTTTATTTCTATTATTATTACATTGTAATATATAATTAAATAATTACACAACTCAACATAATGTAGAATCAGTGGGAGCCCTTAGCTTGTTTTCCTGCATCTAGAGAGTTCCATCTTAGGATGGTGGGAGACAGTGACAGATCATCAGGCATTAGATTCTCATAAGAAGCACGTGACCTAGAACTCGCATGTGCAGTTCACAATAGGTTCACTCTCCAATGAGAAGCTAACGCTGCCACTGATCTGAAAGGAGGTGGAGCTCAGGCAGTAATGTCAGTGATGGAGAGTGGCTGTAAACACAGATGAAGCTTCACTTGCTAGCCTGCCGTTCACCTCCTGCTTTGCGGCCTGGATCCTAATGGGCCATGAACCTGTACTGGTCCATGGCCTGGGGGTGGGGACTCCTGCTATAAACAGTACACATTCTTTTCAAATGTTCACGGAACCCCCATAAAAGTTAACCACATATTTGAATTAGGGAGGCAGAGCAAAATAGCAGAATAGAAGCCTCCACCAATCATCCCCAAACACAAGTTAACAACTATCTACACAGAAAAAAAATACCTTCATAAGAACCAAAAATCAGGTGAGACTCATAGTACCTGGTTTTAACTTCACACCACTGAAAGAGGCACAGAAGGGATTAAAAAAAAAACAAAACACAGAAAAGCAAAAAACAGTCCTGAATCACTAAGGCCACCCCTCCCCTACACCCCAGAAGTGGCAGAGTGGGGCAGAGAGCATCTCTGGGCACTGAGGGAGGGAGAACACAGCAGTTTTGAGGCACTGAACTCAGTGCTGTCCTGTTAGAGCAGAAAGGAAAACCAGACTAAACTCAGTTGATGTCCAGCCACGGAGGGAGCATTTAAATTAGCCCAAGCCAGAGGGGAAATGCCCATTCCATTGGTCCGAATTTGAGTTTCTGCAAACCTCGCCACTGAGGGCTACAGTGCCCTCTGTCTCCAGGTAAACTTGAAAGGCAGTGTAGGCCTTAAGGACTGCAACCCTTAGGTGAGTCCTAGAGCTGAACTAGGCCCAGAGACAGTGGACTGCGTGGGCACATGACATACTGAGACCAAAGTTGGGGCAGCCAAAGGTATGCTGGCATCACCCTCACCTAACCCCATGCTGCACATCTTGAGGCTCCAAAAGAGACCCCTTCTTTTTGCTTGAGGAGAATAACAGCTCAACCACAGCAAGACAGGACACTGGTCAGAGTCATGAGGGCCCCATTCCAGGCCCTAGTTCCCAGATGTCATTTCTAGACATACTCAGAGCCAGAAGGGAAACCCCTGCCTTGAAGGACAGGACTCAAAAACTGGCAGCATTCATCACCTGCTAACTGAAGAGCCCTTGGGACCTGAACAACCAGCAGTGATACACAGGTACTACATCAAGGGCCTTGCGTGAGCCTCTGAGACTTGCTGGCTTCAGGTGAGACTCAGCACATTATCAGCTGTGGTGGCTATGGGAAAAAACTCCCTCTGTTTGACAAAAGCAGAGAGAAAACTAAAGGGGACTTTGCCTTTCACCTTAGGTATCAGCACAGGCATAGGAGGATAGAGCACCAAGTGAGCTCTTGGGGTCCCTGATTCCAGGATATGACTCTTGGATGGCATTTCTGGACCTGCCCTGGGCCACAGAGGAGCCCACTGCCCTAAAGGGTGGGTCTCAGGCCAGGCAGCATCCACCACAAACTGACTTAAGAGACCTTGTGCCTTAAGGGGCATTAGCAGTGTTCTGGCAGTACTCTTTGTGACCTGGGGTGGTGGTGGCTATGGAGTCAGGCTCCTCTGTCTTTGAAAAGGGGAGGGAAAAGTGGGAAGGACTGCATCTTGTGGTTTGAGTGCCAGCTCAGCTGCAGTGCAATAGAACATCAGGTAGACGTCTAAGGTTTTTGACTCTAGTCCCTGACTCCCAGATGGTACCTCTAGACCCACCCAGGGCCTGGGGGACCTCACTGCCCTGAAAGGAAGGACATAGGCCTGGCTGGCTTTGCTACTGGCTGATTGTAGAGTCCCAGGGCCTACAGCAAACATAGGCAGTAGCCAGGAAGTGAATATAGCAGGCATTGTGTGAGACCAAGTGCCATGCTGGGTTCAGGTCTGACCCAGCACAGTCATGGTAGTTGTGGCCACAGGGGTGCTTGGGTTACTTCACCCTAGCTTTAGGTGGCTCAGAACACAGAAACAGACTGTTTGAGGGAAAGTAAAGGAAGAGAACAAGAGTCCTAGCCTGGTAATCCAGAGAATTCTCCCATATCTTGTCCATGACCATCAAGGCGGTACCTCTATGAGTCTGCAAGAACCACAGCATTACTGGGCTTGGAGTGCCCTCTAAAGCAGATATAGTTTAGATTATAACACCAAAGTCCTTTCAAATATCTGGAAAACCTTCCCAAGAAGGACGGGTACAAATAAGCCCCGACAATGAAGCCTACAATAAATACCTAAGTCATCAATGCCCAGACACTGAAGAACATCTACTAGCATCAACACCATCCAGGAAAACATGACCTCACCAAATGAACTAAATAAGGCACTAAAGACCAATCTTGGAAAAGAAGATATGTGACTTTTCAGACAGAGAATTTAAAATAGCTGTGTTGAGGAAATTCAAAGAAATTCAAGATAACACAGAAAAGGAATCCAGAAGTCTATCAGATAAATTTAACAAAAAGATTGAAATAATTAAACAGAATCAAGCTGAAATTCTGGAGCTGAAAAATGCAATTGGCATACTGAAGAATGCACCACAGTCATTTAATAACAAAACTGATCAAGCAGAAGAATTAGTGAGCTTGAAGCCAGGCTATTTGAAAATACAGTCAGAGGAGACAAAAGGAAAAAGAATAAAAAACAATGAAGCACACATACAGGATCTAAAAAATAGCCTTAAAAAAGCAAATTTAATAGTTATTGGCAGAAAGCAGGAAAGACCCAAAATTGACACCCTAACATCACAATTAAAACAACTAGAAAAGCAAGAGCAAACACATTCAAAAGCTAGCAGAAGGCAAGAAATAACTAAAATCAGAGCAGAACTGAAGGAAATAGAGACACAAAAAACTTTTCAAAAAATTAATGAATCCAGGAGCTGGTTTTTTGAAAAGACCAACAAAATCGATAGACCGCTAGCAAGACTAATAAAGAAGAAAAGAGAGAAGAATCAAATAGATGCAATAAAAAATGATAAAGGGGATATCACCACTGATTCCACAGAAATACAAACTACCATCAGAGAATACTAGAAACACCTCTATGCAAATAAACTAGAAAATCTAGAAGAAATGGATAAATTCCTCGACACATACACCCTCCCAAGACTAAACCAAGAAGAAGTTGAATCACTGAATAGACCAATAACAGGCTCTGAAATTGTGGCAATAATCAATAGCTTACCAACCAAAAAAGGTCCAGGACCAGATGTATTCACAGCCGAATTCTACCAGAGGTACAAGGAGGAGCTGGTACCATTCCTTCTGAAACTATTCCAATCAATAGAAAAAGAGGGAATCCTCCCTAACTCATTTTATGAGGCCAGCATCATCCTGATACCAAAGCCTGGCAGAGACACAACCAAAAAAGAGAATTTTAGACCAATATCCTTGATGAACATTGATACAAAAATCCTCAATAAAATACTGGCAAACCGAATCCAGCAGCACATCAAAAATCCACCCCACCATGATCCAGCCCACCATGATCAAGTGGGCTTCATCCCTGGGATGCAAGGCTGGTTCAATATACTCAAATCAATAAACGTAATCCAGCATATAAACAGAAGCAAAGCCAAAAACCACATGATTATCTCAACAGATGCAGAAAAGGCCTTTGACAAAATTCAACAACTCTTCATGCTAAAAACTCTCAATAAATTAGGTATCGATGGGATGTATCTCCAAATAATCAGAGCTATCTATGACAAACGCACAGCCAATATCATACGGAATGGGCAAAAACTGGAAGCATTCCCTTTGAAAACTGGCACAAGACAGGGATGCCCTCTCTCACCACTCCTATTCAACATAGTGTTGGAAGTTCTGGCCAGAGCAATTAGGCAGGAGAAGGAAATAAAGGGTATTCAATTAGGAAAAGAGGAAGTCAAATTGTTCCTGTTTGCAGATGACATGATTGTATATCTAGAAAACCCCATTGTCTCAGCCCAAAATCTCCTTAAGTTGATAAGCAACTTCAGCAAAGTCTCAGGATACAAAATCAATGTACAAAAATCACAAGCATTCTTATACACCAATAACAGACAAACAGAGAGCTAAATCATGAGTGAACTCCCATTCACAATTGCTTCAAAGAGAATAAAATACCTAGGAATCCAACTTACAAGGGATGTGAAGGACCTCTTCAAGGAGAACTACAAACCACTGCTCAATGAAATAAAAGAGGATACAAACAAACGGAAGAACATTCCATGCTCATGGGTAGGAAGAATCAATATCGTGAAAATGGCCATACTGCCCAAGGTAATTTATAGATTCAATGCCATCCCTATCAAGTTACCAATGACTTTCTTCACAGAATTGGAAAAAACTACTTTAAAGTTCCTATGGAACCAAAAAAGAGCCCGCATTACCAAGTCAATCCTAAGCCAAAAGAACAAAGCCAGAGGCATCACGCTACCTGACTTCAAACTATACTACAAGGCTACAGTAACCAAAACAGCATGGTACTGGTACCAAAACAGAGATATAGATCAATGGAACAGAACAGAGCCCTCAGAAATAATGCCACATATCTACAACCATCTGATCTTTGACAAACCTGACAAAAACAAGAAATGGGGGAAGGATTCCCTATTTAATAAATGGTGCTGGGAAAACTGGCTAGCCATATGTAGAAAGCTGAAACTGGATCCCTTCCTTACACCTTATAGAAAAATTAATTCAAGATGGATTAAAGACTTAAGTGTTAGACCAAAAACCATAAAAACCCTAGAAGAAAACCTAGTCAATACCATTCAGGACACAGGCATGGGCAAGGACTTCATGTCTAAGACACCAAAAGCAATGGCAACCAAAGCCAAAATTGACAAATGGGATCTAATTAAACTAAAGAGCTTCTGCACAGCAAAAGAAACTACCATCAGAGTGAACGGGCAACCTACAAAATGGGAGAAAATTTTTGCAATCTACTCATCTGACAAAGGGCTAATATCCAGAATCTACAATGAACTCAAACAAATTTACAAGAAAAAAACAAACAACCCCATCCAAAAGTGGGCAAAGGATATGAACAGACCCTTCTCAAAAGAAGACATTTATGCAGCCAAAAAACACATGAAAAAATGCTCATCATCACTGGCCATCAGAGAAATGCAAATCAAAACCACAATGAGATACCATCTCACACCAGTTAGAATGGCAATCATTCAAAAGTCAGGAAACAACAGGTGCTGGAGAGGATGTGGATGTGGAGAAATAGGGACACTTTTACACTGTTGGTGGGACTGTAAACTAGTTCAACCATTGTGGAAGTCAGTGTGGCGATTCCTCTGGGATCTAGAACTAGAAATACCATTTGACCCAGCCATCCCATTACTGGGTATATACCCAAAGGATTATAAATCATGCAGCTATAAAGACACATGTATGTTTATTGCGGCACTATTCACAATAGCAAAGACTTGGAACCAACCCAAATGTCCAACAATGATAGACTGGATTAAGAACATGTGGCACATATACACCATGGAATACTATGCAGCCATAAAAAAGGATGAGTTCATATCCTTTGTAGGGACATGGATGAAACTGGAAACCATCGTCAGCAAACTATCACAAGGACAAAAAACCAAACACTGCACGTTCTCACTCATAGGTGGGAACTGAACAATGAGAACACATGGACACAGGAAGGGGAACATCACACACTGGGTCCTGTTGTGGGGTGGGGGAAGTGGGGAGGGATAGCATTAGGACATATACCTAATGCTAAATGACAAGTTAATGGGTGCAGCACACCAACATGGCACATGTATACATATGTAACAAACCTGCACATTGTGCACATGTACCCTAAAACTTAAAGTATAATAATAATAAAATTTAAAAAAAAGAAAAGAAAAAAAAAGAAAGGAGTATATAGGGAATAAACTTTTTAAAACTTTAAAAAAAATAGTTATTGGCTGTAAAGATGAGACAGAGGAAGAGATAGGGGTAGAAAGTTTATTGAATGGGATAACAGAGAACTTCTCAAACTTAGATATCGCTATCCAAGTACAAGAAGCTTGTAGAACACCAAGTACATTTAACCCAAAGAAGACTACCTTAAGGCATTTAATAATAAAACTCCCAAAGGTCAAGGATAAAGTAACAATCCTAAAAGCAGCAAGAGAAAATAAACAAATAACATACTATAGAGCTTCAATACATCTGGCAGCAGACTTTTCAGTGGAAACCTTTTCAGGCTAGGAGACAGTGGTATGACATCTTAAAAGTGCTGAAGGAAAAAAAACTTTTATCTTAGAATAACATATCTGGCAAAAATGTCCTTCAAACATGAAGAAGAAATAAAAACTTTCCCAGACAAACAAACACTGAGGGATTAAATCAACACTAGACCTGTCCTATAAGAAAAGCTAAAGGGAGAACTTCAGTCAGAAAGGAAAGGATGTTAATGAGCAATAAGAAATAATTTGAAGGTACAAAACTCACTGGTAATAGCAAGTACACAAAAAAATAGAAAGTGAAAAAGTAGGCGGGGGGGATGAAGTTAAAACAGAGTTTTTATCAGTTTTCTTTTTGCTGTTTATTTGTTTACACAGACAGTGTTAAGTTGTTATCAGGCAAAATAATGGGTTGTAAGAGTATCTACAAACCTCATAATAACCTCAAACCAAAAAACATGCAATGAATACACAAAAAATAAAAAGCAAGAAACTAAATCACATCCCCAGAGAAAATCATTTTAACTAAAGGAAGACAGGAAGGAAAGAAAGAAGGAAGAGGCCAGATGCAGTGGCTCATACCTGTAATTTCAGCACTTTGGGAAAGCAAGGTGAGTCGATCATTTGAGGTCAGGAGTTTGAGAGTAGCCTAGCCAACATGATGAAATCCTGTCTCTACTAAAAATATAAAAATTAGCTGTGTGTCGTGGCGCACATCTGTAGTCCCAGCTACTTGGGAGGCTGAGGCAGGAGAATTGCTTGAACCTGGGAAGTGGGGGTTGCAGTGAGCTGAGACTGTGCCATTGCACTCCAGTCTGGGCAACAGAGAGAGACTCTGTCAAAAAAAAAAAAAAAAAAAAAAGAAGGAAGAAAAGACCATAAAACAACCAAAAAATAAATAACAAAATGGAAAGAGTAAGTCCTTACTTATTAATGATAACATTAAATATAAATGGACTAAATTCTCTAATCAAAAGCCATAGACTGGCTGAATGTATGAAAAACCAAGACCTATTTATCTGTTACCTACAAGAAACACACTTTACCTATAAAGACACACATAGACTGAAAGTGAAGGGATGGGAAAAGATATTCCATGTTAATGGAAGCCAAAAAAGAGCAGGAATAGCTATACCTATACTGAACAAAATAGATTTCAAGACAAAAAGTATAAGAGACAAGGTCACTGTATAATGACAAAGATGTAATTTCAGTAAGAGGATATAACAATTTTAAATGTATGTGCAACCAACACTGCAGCACCCAGATATATAAAGGAAATATTATTAGAGCTAAAGAGAGAGATAGGCCCCAATATAATAATAGTTGGATACTTTGACACCCCACTTTTGGCATTGGACAGATCTTCCAGACAGAAAATCAACAAAGAAACATCAGACTGTGAAAGGAAAACATCCTGGGTCCTTTCAAGCTGGGAACCACTCAGGGCAAATCTGCCTCTCATTCTATTCAAGTCATCCCTTTGCTCACAGAGATAGATACATATTCTGATTGCCTTCTTGGGAAAGACTTATCAGAAACTCAAAAGAATGCAACCATCTGTCTCTCACCTACCTGTGACCTGGAAGCCCTCAGTTGGGGGGGGCCTTACTTTGAGCTGTATCTGCCTTTCTGGATGGAACTGATGTACTTCTTATTGATTTGTTGTACCTGAGCGAGTTAGAAAAATGCCACATTTTGAGACGAATTAAGAGTCCTTTATTAGCCAGTGACCAAGAGACAGCTAATGCTCAAAATTCTCTCGGCCCTGAGGAAGGGGCTTGATTAACTTTCATACCTTGGTTTAGGAAGGGGAGTGGGGGGGCGGGTGTCTAGTTAGAACAATTTTACAGAAGTAAAGTAGGCAAAAAGTTAAAAGGATAAATGGTTACAGGAAAGTAAACAGTTCCAGGTGCAGGGGCTTTAAGACTATTACAAGGTGAAAGACGCGGGGCTTTGGGCATTATCAATCAGATGAATTCCTGGGAACTGCGGATATAGCTTGCCACAGTATCTTATCGGTTAATTGCATTCTTGGATGTGCTGGGAGTCAGCTTGCACAAGTTAAGTCCTTGAGGAAGGGGCTGCCAGTGAAAGAGCCAAGATGGAGTCTGTCTGGTTCTCTTAGCTAAGGGAGAGTCCATTCAGGTGGAAACAAGGCTAAGTGATTAAAGGAAAAAGGGAGAGTCTAAAAACAGGGTTAGTAAAAGTGAGGTTGGGCATTACAGATTGATGTCTTATGTCTCCCTAAAATGTAAAAAACCAAGCTGTGCCCTGACCACCTTGGGCACATGTCATCAGGACTTCCTGAGGCTGTGTTATGGATGCATCCTCAACCTTGGCAAAATAAACTTTCTAAATTAACTGAAACCTGTCTCAAATTTTCGGGGTTCACAAGACTTAATCTGCACTGCAGACCAAATCGATCTAATAAATATTTACAGAACATTTCATCTAAGAGCTGCAGAATATACATTCTTTTCCTCAGCACATGGATATTCTCAGGGATAGACTATACAAAACAAGTCTTAAAACATTAACAAAAATTGAATTAATATCAAGCATCTTCCCTGACCACAGTGGAATAAAACTAGAAATTAATAACAAGAGGAATTTTGGAAACTATACAAATACATGGAAATAAAACAATATTCTCCTGAATGACCAGTGGGTCAATGAAGAAATTAAGAAGGAAATTTAAAAATTTCTTGAAACAAATAATAATGGAAACATAATATATCAAAACCTAAGGGATATGGCAAAAGCAGTACTCAGGTAAGTTTACAGCTATAAATGCCTACATCAAAAAAGAGGAACTTCGTATGAACAATTTAACAGTGCATCTTAACTAGAAAAGCAAGAGCAAAGCAAGCCCAAAATTAGTAGAAGAAAAGAAATAATAAAGATCAGAGAAGAAATAAATGAAATTGAAATAAAAAAATACAAAAGATTAATGAAACATAAGGTTGTTTTTTGGAAAAGTTAAACAAAGACACACAAAAAAAGAAAACTAAAGGCCAATATCTCTGATGAATATTGATGCAAAAATTCTCAATAAAATACTAGCAAACTGAATTCACCAATACATTAGAAAGATCACTCATCATGACTAAGTGGGCTTTATCCCCGGGATGCAATGATGCTTCAACATACGCAAATCAATCAGTGTGATACATCATATCAACAAAATGAAGGACACAAACCATATGATCATTTCAATTGATGCTGAAAAAGGGCTAGGTAAAATTCAACATTTATTTGTTTTAAAAACCCTAAAAATAACTGGGTATGGAAGAACATACCTCAACATAATAAAAGCTGTATATGACAGATCCATAGCTAGTATCATACTGTGAAAGGAAAATAAATCTCGGGACCCTGAAATCACTAAATCAAGAGAAAAGTAAACTTGGGAACTATGTCAGGTAAACCTGCCTCCTATTTTATTCTCAAATAAGATAGCTACAAAGATAAAAAGCTACATACCTCCCTCACAATTTGCCCAGAAGGAAATTCCTTGCGGATCTCAAGATCTTTACCCTGAAACAGTTCCACCCAATTTCACCCTGGCGATGTAAACGGATGGCTTATCTTCACAGGTGCAGGACAGTAAATCATCCCCCTGCTCACCTGAGACAAATGGATATCTGATTGCTTCCTTTGCCCTATTTATGTAAAAATGCAGATTCACTGAGCCAGATAAAATTGTGTATTCATTAAAAGGCTGGGCCAGGACTCAAAATAATGCAACCTTTTTTCTCTTATCTACCTATGACCTGGAAGTCTTCCCTTTGAGTTGTCCCGCCTTTCCAGAAGGAATCAACATACATCTTTTTTGTTTTGTTTTGTTTTCAGATGGAGTCTCGCTCTGCCACCTCAAGGCTGGAGTGCAGTGGTGCAATCTCAGCTCATTGCAGCCTCCACCTCCTAGGTTCAAGTGATTCTTGTGCCTCAGCCTCCCAAGTAGCTGGAATTACAGGCACACACCACCATACCCAAACAATTTTTGTATTTTTAGTAGAGATGAGGTTTCACCATGTTGGCCAGGCTGGCCTTGAACTCCTGATCTCAAGTGATCCACTGCTTCAGCCTCCGAAAGTGCTGGTACTACAGGTGTGAGCCACCATGCCTGGCCCCAACATACATCTTACACATACTGATTGATGTCTCATGACTCCCAAAATGTATAAAAGCAAGCTGTACCCTGATCACTTTGGGCACATGTCATCAGAGCCTCTTGAGGCTGTGTCACGGGCACATCCTTAACCTTGACAAAATAAACTTTCTAAACTGATTGAGAGCTGTCTCAGATATTTTATGTTCACAACACCAAATGGGGGAAAATTGAAAGCTTTTCCTCTAAGATCTGGAACAAGATAAGGATGATGCCCATTGTCATCACTGTTTTTCAGCAGTAATAGACATCCTAGCTAGAGCAATCAGATAAGAGAAAGATATAAAAGGCAACCAAATTGGAAAGGATGGAGTCAAATTAGCCTTGTTTGCGGATGATATGATCTTATATTTGGAAAAACCTAAAGACGCGACAAGAAAACTATTAAAACTATTAAACTAGAAAAGCATGAGCAAACCAAGCCCAAAATTAGTAGAAGAAAAGAAATAATAAAGATCAGAGAATAAATAAATAAAATTGAAATAAAAAAATACAAAAGATCAATGAAACACAAGGTTGGTTTTTTTAAAAGTTAAACAAAATTGGCAAAACTTTAGCCAGACTAAGAAAAAAAGAGGGAAGATAAAAGAGAGAAGATAAACAACTTCAGTAAAGTTGCAGGATACAAAAGCAACATACAAAAGTCACTAGCATTTCAATATGACAATATTGAACAATGTGAAACAGAAATTTTTAAAGTAATTCCACTTATAATAGCCACACATAAAATTAAATACCTAGGAATTAACCAAAGAAGTGAAAGATTTCTATAATGGAAAGTATAAAACAGTGAAGAAAGAAATTGAAGAGGACACCAAAAAATTGAAAAATTATCCATGTTCATGGACTGGAGGAATCAATATTGTTAAAATGTCCATAATACCCAAAGCAATCTATAGATTCAATGCAATCCCTATCAAAATACTAATGACATTCTTCACAGAAACAGAAAAAAAAAAAATCCTAAAATTTATATGGACCCACAAAAGGCCCAGAATACCCAAAGCTATCCTAAGCAAAAAGAACAAAACTGGAAGAATCACATTACCTGATTTCAAATTATACTACAGAGCTATAGTAACCAAAACAGCATGGTTCTGACATAAAAACAGACACATCAGCCAATGAAACAGAAAAGAGTACCAAGAAACAAATCTGCACACCTATAGCGAACTAATTTTTGACAAAGGTGCCAAGAACATACACTGGGGAAAAGACAGTCTATTCAACAAATGGTAATGGGAAAACTAGATATCTATATGCAGAAGAATGAAAGTAGACCCCTATCTCACACCATATACAAAAATCAAATCAAAATGGATTAAAAACTTAAATCTATACTTCAAACTATTAAACTACTACAAGAAAACATTGGGGAAAATCTCCACGACATTGATGTGGGCAAAAATTTCTTGACCAATATCCCTCAAGCACAGGTAACCAAAACAAAAATGGACAAATGGGATCACATCAGGTTAAAATGCTTCTGCACAAAGGATACAATCAGTAAAGTGAAGAAAAAAACACAGAGAACGGGAAAAAATATTTGCAAATTACCCATCTGACAAAGGAATAATAACCAAAATACGTAAGTGCTCAAACTGCTCTATAGGAAAAAAAATACAATAATCTAATAAAAAATGGGCAAAATATTTGAATAGACATTTCTCAAATGAAGACATAGAAATGGCAAACAGGCATATGTAAAGGTGCTCAGTATTTTTGATCATCAGAGAAATGCAAATCAAAACTATAATGAGGTATCATCTCCCCCAGTTAAAATGGCTTATATCCAAAAGACAGGCAATAACAAATGATGAAGAGGATGTGCAGAAAAGGGAAACCTTGTACTCTCTTGGTGGGAATGTAAATTAGTACAGCCACTATGGAGAACAATTTGAACGTTCCTCAAAAAACTAAAAATTGAACTACCATATGATCCAGCAATCCCACTGCTGGGTATATACCGAAAAGAAAGGAAATCAGTATATCAAAGAGATATCTACACTCCTATGTTTGTTGCAGCATTGTTTACAATAGCTAAGATGTGGAAGCAACCTAAGGGTCTATCAACATATGAATGGATAAAGAAAATATGGTGCATATTCACAATGGACTACTATTCAGCCATAAGAAAGAATGAGATCCAGTTATTTGCAACAACATGGATGGAACTGGAGAACATTTTGCTAAGTGAAATAAGCCAGACACAGAAACACAAATATCACATATTCTCACTTATTTGTGGGATCTAAATATCAAAACAATTGAACTCGTGGACATAGAGAGTAGAAGGATCATTACCAGAGGCTGTGAAGGGTGGTGGGGGGTCAGCAGGGGGAGGTGGGGATGGTTTATGGGTACTAAAAAAACAGAAGGCCGGGCACGGTGGCTCACACCTGTAATCCCAGCACTTCAGGAGGCCGAAGTGGGCGGATCACAAGGTCAGGAGTTCAAGACCAGCCTGATCACCACAGTGAAACCCTGTCTCTACAAAAAATACAAAAATTAGCCGGGTGTGGTGGCGTGCACCTGTAATCCCAGCTACTCAGGAGGCTGAGGCAGGAGAATCACTCGAACCCAGGAGGCGGAGGTTGCAGCAAGACGAGATCACGCCACTGCACTCCAGCCTGGACTACAGAGCGAGACTCCGTGTCACAAAAAAAAAAAAAAAAAAAAAATAGAAAGAATGAGTAAGACCTAGTACTTGATAGCACAACAGGGTAACTACAGTGAATAATAACTTAATTGTACATTCAACATAGTTCTGGCCAGGGCAATCAGGCAAGAGAAAGAAATAAAGGGTATTCAATTAGGGAAAGAGGAAGTCAAATTGTCTCTGTTTGCAGATGACATGATTGTATAATTAGAAAACCCCATCGTCTCAGCCCAAAATCTCCTTAAGCTGATAAGCAACTTCAGCAAAGTCTCAGGATACAAAATCAATGCGCAAAAATCACAAGCATTCCTATACACCAATAACAGACAAACAGAGAGCCAAATCATGAGTGAACTCCCATTCACAATTGCTACAAGGAGAATAAAATACCTAGGAATACAACTTACAAGGGATATGAAGGACCTCTTCAAGGAGAGCTACAAACCACTCACTGATCAAGGAAATAAGAGAGGACACAAACAAATGGAAAAACATTCCATGCTCATGGATAGGAAGAATGAATATCATGAAAATGGCCATACTGCCCAAAGTAATTTACAGATTCAATGCTATCCTCATCAAGCTACCATTGACTTCCTTCACAAAATTGGAAAAAACAACTTTAAATTTCACATGGAACCAAAAAACAGCATGCATAAATAGCCAAGACAATCCTAAGCAAAAGGAACAAAGGTGGAGGCATCACGTGACCTGACTTCAATCTATACTACAAGGCTACAGTAACAAAAACAGCATGGTACTGGTACCAAAACAGATATATAGATCAATGGAACAGAACAGAGGCCTGAGAAATAACACCACACATCTACAACCATCTGATCTTTGACAAATCTGACAAAAAAAAGCAATGGGGAAAGGAATTCCTAGTTAATAAATGGTGTTGGGAAAACTGGCTAGCCATATGCAGAAAGCTGAAACTGGATCCCTTCCTTACACCTTATACAAAAATTAACTCAAGATGGATTAAAGACTTAAACGTAAGACCTAAAACCATAAAAACCCAAGAAGAAAACCTAGGCAATTTAGGACACAGGCATGGGCAAAGACTTCGTCTTTTGTTACCAAAAGCAATGGCAACAAAAGCCAAAATAGACAAATGAGATCTAATTAAACGAAAGAGCTTCTACACAGCAAAAGAAACGATCATCAGAGCGAACAGGCCACCTACAGACTGGGAGAAAATTTTTTGCAATCTATCCAACTGAAAAAGGGCTAATATCCAGAATCTACAGAGAAACCAATTTACAAGAAAAAAGCAAACAACCCCATCAAAAAGTGGGTGAAGGATATGAACAGACACTTCTCAAAAGAAGACATTTGCCAGGCGTGGTGCTCACGCCTGTAATCCCAGCACTTTGGGAGGCTGAGGCAGGTGGATCACCTGAGGTCGGGAGTTCGAGACCAGCCTGACCAACACGGAGAAATCCCATCTCTACTAAAAATACAAAATTAGCCAAGCGTGGTGGTGCATGCTTGTAATCCCGGCTACTCGGGAGGATGAGGCAGGAGAATTGCTTGAATCCAGCAGGCAGAGGTTGTGGTGAGCCAAGATCACGCCATTGCACTCCAGCCCGGGCAACAAGAGCAAAACTCTGTCTCAAAAAAAAAAAAAAAAAAAATGAAAAAAGGCTCATCATCACTGGTCATTAGAGATATGCAAATCAAAACCACATCTCACGCCAGTTAGAATGGCGATCATTAAAAAGTCAGGAAACAACAGATGCTGGAGAGGATGTGGAGAAATAGGAACGCTTTTACACTGTTGGTGGGAGTGTAAATTAGTTCAACCAATGTGGAAGACAGTGTGGCGATTCCTCAAGGATCTAGAACTAGAAATACCATTTGATCCAGCAATCCCATTCCTGGGTATATACCCAAAGGGTTATAAATCATTCTACTATAAAGACTCATGCACACGTATGTTTATTGTGGCACTGTTTACAATAGCAAAGGCTTGGAACGAAATGCCCATCAGTGATAGACTGGATAAAGAAAATGTGGCACATATACACCACAGAATACTATGCAACCATAAAAAAGAATGAACTCATGTCCTTTGCAGGGACATGGATGAAGCTGGAAACCATCATTCTCAGCAAACTAACAGAACAGAAAACCAAACACCGCATGTTCTCACTCATAAGTGGAAGTTGAACAATGAGAACACATGGACACAGAGAGGGTACACAGGGAGGGGAATACCAGGGCCTATAGGTGGGTGGGGGGCTAGGGGAGGGATAGCATTAGGAGAAATACCTAATGTAGATGACAGGTTGATGGGTGCAGCAAACCACCATGGCACGTGTATACCTATGCAACAAACCTGCACATTCTGCACATGTACCCCAGAACTTAAAGTATAATTTAAAAAAAAGTCAGAAACAGTATAGCTATTATAACATCGTTTTGGCGGTTTTAATCAATGTAATGAGGAAAAAGAATAAAGGCAGGAGAGGGAGGGAAGAAAATGTATCATTACATTATCAGGAAGGAAAAGATAATTACATTAGTTTGCAGGTGAAATGACTGCCTACCCAAGAGAACCAACAGAAAACTGTTGGAATTTAAGTTGAAAAATGTGGTTAGTTCAAGGTATGAACTAAAACAATTTTTCAATATAATAGCAATAATCATAAGATGGGAAAATGAACATTCACAACAGCAACTCAAAATGCCAAGAATTAAAATAGCAAGAATGAAACAACAAAACTCTATTAAAAGATGAAAAAGATCAGTTAACTAGAGCTCTAATGGCTTTGTACTGTATCAACTCAGCTAACTCGGACTTAAAAACATTTCCCAGAATTCCCTTCCTTATATAGTTCTGGGTACTGTTGGCTATAGGAGACATTATATGGAACTCACAAATGAAGCAAGTCATATTTTTTACACCGTGAAGGTCAATGGAGAGCACACTGTGAAGTTTGCATGTGCTGCCGATCTGTTAGCTCACCTTGCTGGCATGGGGAAGAAGCTGGACCTGCAGCTCCTTCAACTCCCATCAGACCTTCTCTCCACTTCTCCAAATCCTGGGCCCACAAGTGCAGCTCTGACATCGAAAGTGTCATCCTCTCCTGCAGGTTACTCAAGCATCAAAACTAGGGTTGGTGAGAGGCTGATGCAGGTTCCGTTTTGTTCCCAAGGGTTTCAGTTTGTCTTTTCTCTCATCCACATCCAGTATCCCTGTCTGACTGCCAGTCTAGTAGATCTGCAGCAACTTCAGGCTGAACAAGAGACTCAGAGGCAAGTCTGCAGACCGCTCTGCCACCTCCCACAATTCCATAGGTCTTTAGCTCACAAAGTAGTTCTGCTTCTTTGATGGATCCTAACTGATACAAAAGCCAGACCTTTTTTTTTTTTTTTTTTTTTTTTTTTTTGCATAAGAAGACAACACTGATGGTGTTATTCTCTCCAAATTAATCTATAAATTTAATGCAATTTTAATCAAAATCATAAAGGGATTTTCTTCTAGGAACTTCACAAAATAATTTTAAATTTCATTTGAAAGAGTACATGCTAATAAACTTTTGAAAAAAAAGTAGCATAATGTGAGTACATAAAGGTGAATACAAAATCGAGAACCAGACCCAGTACGTATATGGTGGGGAGAAATGTGTACATAATTCTGAATTGGTAGAGGAATGATGTAATATTTGACCCAGATCTCGTTATCAGCTATGGTTCCAAGTGCAAGGAAGGGCAAAAACAGTTTTGTATAAGTAAAAAAAAAAAAATATTAAAATTTTTGAGGCCAGGAGTGGTAGCTCCCACCTGTAATCCCAGCACTTTGGGAGGCCAAGGCAGGAGGATTGCTTGAGGCCAGGAGTTTGAAACCAACCTGGGCAACACAGACTGTCTGTACTAGAAAAAAAAAAAAAAAAAGCCAGGCGTGGTGGTGTACACCTGTAGTCCTAGTTACTCAGGAGGCTAAGGTAGAAGGATCACATGCGTCTAGGATTTTGAAGCTGCAGTAAAAAACTACGATCGCCCTACTGCACTCCAGCCTAAATGACAGGGTAAGACCCTGTCTGAAAAACAACAACAACAACAAATAAGGAAATTGGGAAATCACAGACTTGTCAGGTTTTGAAAACCAGGCTTTGAAACTATCCCTCAAGAACTTCAGTTAAAATGACACCAGACACAGGCCGGGGGCGGTGGCTCACGCCTGTAATCCCAGCACTTTGGGAGGCCGAGGTGGGCGGATCATGAGGTCAGGAGTTCAAGACCAGCCTGACCAACACCGTGAAACCCCATCTCTACTAAAAACAAAATACAAAAAATTTAGCTGGGCATGATGGCGTGTGCCTGTAATCCCAGCTACTTGGGAAGCTGAGGCAGAAGAATCGCTTGAACCCAGGAGGCGGAGGTTGCAGTGAGCAGAATGCGCCACTACACTCCAGCCTGGCAACAGAGTGAGACTCCGTCTCAAAAAAAAAAAAAAAAAAAAAAGGACACCAGACAACTGGTCCGATGAAGATCTCCCTGCCACCAAGCCCAGCTTGCACTGACCAAACTCCTGTCACCAGGTATTTCCAATGGCATTGCTGCCAGTGCTGCCTTGTCTGCTGCTGCTATAAAAGATTCTTGGCAGTATTTGTTTCTTGCTCTCAATACAAAATTCGGAGCGAGGTAAAGTATGTGTCTGATTGGCTAAGTCTAGGTCATATGACCACACTCAAGCTGCAAGGCTGGAGAAGACAGAAGAGTATGTGGCCTTTTCAGTATATACAGATGGTTTCAACCTACGATGGTTCAATTTATTATTTTTTTGACTCTACAGTGGGTTTGTGGGCGTTAATGTATTTTCAACTTATGTAATTTTTGACTTACGATGGGTTTATCAGGACATGGACACCATCATAAGTAAAGGAACATCTGTATAGATGAACATGGGTTCTATCTTCCTTCACAATAGATTGGAAGAGGAACCTCCCAAATATATTACATTGAACAGGAAATGACCTGTCCATATCGGTAATCACTAGGTAGAAAAGGCTATAATTACTAAATACCACTGAAGAAAATCAATCATCAGACAAAACCTAGTTTGGATAATCAACTTTCAGTCTGTATAATGTAATTTTATATAAACAACTTTAGATTTTAAAACGTCACACCCCATGTTTTACAATATAGACTCTTTCTCTGATTAAATTAAGAAAGGGAATCAATTTGGTTGACTAGCTGCCTGGAAAACTTCCATGGTTAGATAGCTTTTGTGATCAACTGGGTTATCAAATTTGGGATACTTATATGAATTTGTCAACAGAATTCTACATAGTCCAGCTAACTAGAGGAGCCCAAAAATATTTTAAAAAATCTGATAGGAATGACTATATAATAATGTAAAGCTTTTAGCTAGAAGAGCTCAAAATTATTTTTAAAAATCTGATAGGCATGACTACACAATAAAGTTTCTGCATGGCAAAGTTAAAGACAAATAAATGGAGGAAATTTAGAACATTTATGACAGAGAAAGATTAGTAGCCCTAATGTATTAAGGGCTCTTAAAATTAATACAGAAATAAGCATCCCAATAATAATGTGGGCAATGTACATAAAAAGACAATTTGGAAAAGAAATACAAAGTGTCAAAAAATATGAAAAGATTTCAATCTTATTAGTAATCAGTTGAATTCAAATTATAACAATGAGATTTCAATGTAAGACTGACAAAAGATTACTAATACTCTGTGATAGTAGGAGTAGGGAAATAATGATCACTCTCAAAGATTATTGGCAAGAATGTAAATTGGTATAAACTTTCTCGTGGTCAATTTGACTATTTATCAAAAACCACAAAAAATAAGCAAACACTTTTGATGCTACATTTCCAATTCCAGGAAAATAAGGAAATAATTAGATAAATATGAACAGCTATATATGAATATTCAGCATAGCATTGTTTACAAGAAAAATTTTAAAATAATGTATATGTCTGAAATATGGCACTAGTGAAATAAATTCCACAAATATGCAGCCATTAAAAAATACTTATTCTCATATTTACTGAAATAGAAAGATGTTCATTAAGTATTCAAATTTAAAAGATAACCTATAAAATAATATGTAAAAAATTACATTTTTGTTAAAAAATATATACAGGTCTATTAAAAAATCTGGAAGACTGTTTATTTGGTTTGTTTCTCAGCGGTGGGCTTACAAATGTAATCATTACTTTTTTTCCTTTTTTGAATTTTTGAAAAATTTCGATGTCTTACTGTTATGACCATAAAACCAATAAAGCTACTTTGAAAAGTTAAAGCCAGGAGTAATTAAACAACTCATACTTGATTGTTAAAGTCAGTCTCTTAAAAGTGTAATTTTAAAAAGGTAATAAAAAAGGTATAACATTATAAATATATATTAATATGCACATTAAATATATAACACTAATTGGTATTAATAAAATTACATCCAATCTCATAAATCAAATTTATTGTATAACATAACAATTTGTTCATAGTTATGTAATAATAGACACAAGAAATAACTTATGCAGATTCCTTATGTGAAGCGTACTTACTTTGCAGATAACAACTATTTTTTAAATGATAATGGAGTCTACAACAATGCTCATTCTTGATCATTTGCAATAATGAAAATTGTTCTCTAAAGCATTAAGATGGATTATTTTCTATAGATTCTTCCAGGATCTGGAAATAATGATTTCCAGGTACTCTCAACCAAGAGATGTGACCAAAATACAAAAAATGCAAAACATACCTCCATTACAAAGTCATGAATCCTTTCTATAAACCTCAGGATTTACAGTGTCACAAATTATGAATCATTGTCTCCTTTAGAAAACAAACATTCAACACCTGAATGGATAAAGAAGTCAACATATTTAAATATTTAATGCATATAACTTTAAAGTTGATAAAATGTCCCTTTCAACTAAAAATAAATGCCCTTATCCACTTAGCTGGACTGAAACAGGGACACTGAAAACTTGAATTAATGGCCAACCCAGAGCAGCGGCAGCAGCAATATTCCCCTCCTTCAATAAAGTATGGCCTGTAAGTTAGCCCTAATGAGAAAGAAGGCCATTCAGGTATGAGAAGAACCTAGGCTGGGCACAGACTACACAGACGCCTAACACAAAAGCTCTGCTGCCACTCAATCTTTGTTTATATATTATCACAAATTTTCTTTTCTTTTTTTAGAGACAAAGTCTTGTTCTGTTGCCCAGGCTGGAGTGCAGTGGCATGGTGCTAGGTCACTGTAGCCTCTAACTCCTAGGCTCAAGCAATTCTCCTGACTCAGTCTCCTGAGTAGCTGGGACTACAGGCAAGTGCCACCAAGCTTGGGCAATTTTTTCTTTTTTCTTTTTTTTTTAAGAGACAGGGTCCCTCTATGTTGTCCAGGCTGGTCTCAAACTCCTGGCCTCAAGTGTTCCTCCTGTCTCAGCCTCCCAAAGCACTGGGATTACAGGAGTGAGCCACTGAGCCTGACCCAATTACAAATTTATTTTCAACCCTCATTCCAGAAGGAAGACAAAAATAAAAAGCCAATATCCACTTAACTGCAAATTTCATGATGTCCTTATAAAGCCAGTGCATTATATTTTCTTTCACTCATGAAGCAATTTTTAATAATCACAATATATATTTAAATGTTAATAATCTTACTTTTTTTTTTTTTTTTTTTTTTTGAGACGGAGTCTTGCTCTGTCGACCAGGCTGGAGTGCAGTGGCGCGATCTCGGCTCACTGCAAGCTCTGCCTCCCGGGTTCATGCCACTCTCCTGCCTCTCAGCCTCCCGAGTAGCTGGGACTACAGGTGCCCGCCACCACGCTCAGCTAATTTTTTGTATTTTTACTAGAGACGGGGTTTCACCATGTTAGCCAGGATGGTCTCGATCTCCTGACTTCGTGATCCGCCCGCCTCGGCCTCCCAAAGTGCTAGGATTACAGGCGTGAGCCACTGCGCCCGGCTTACTTTTTTTTTTTTTTTTTTTTGACAAGGTATCTCTGTTGCCCAAGCTGAAGTGTAGTGGCACGATCATAGCTCACTGTAACCTTGAACTCATGGGCTCCTGCTTCAGCCTCCTGAGTAGCTAGGACTACAGAAATGCACAACTATACTTGGCTAGATTTTTGTTTTTAAAGTGTTTTGTAGAGATGGGGTCTCATTGTGTTGCCCGGGCTGGTCTTCAGCTCCTGGCCTCAAGTGATCCTTCCACTTTGGCCTCCCAAAGTGCTGGGACTACAGGCAGAAACTACCACACCGAACCTACTAACTCTACATTTTACATGATGAGTTCAGATTTTAAAAGGATTAGTTTGCTAATAAAGTGTCGTGAGCAAAGTGAAAAATCAAAAGATTACTTGAAGTATTTACATGATGATCCAAATTTAAAGCGACCTCAACAAGCAAAATTTACTGTTTACAAAAAACTGTATCACGGTTTACGAATAGGAACACATATATTATATATAATGGGTATAATGCGAATGCATTTTACCAATGGAAAGTACAAAACAGCTTGCTGATGAAAGAGGAAGGAAAAAGCTCACAGTGAACTTGGAAGCAGATCCTTCAGCCCCAGTCAACCCTTCAGATGTCCGCAGCCACTGCCGACATCCTGACTGCAACTTCATGAGACCCTGGGCCAGAACCGCCAGCTAAGTCTTGACCCCACAGAAAGAATAAAATTATTGTCTACTGTTTTTTGTTTGTTTGTGTTTTGTGTGAGATGGTTCCTCGCTCTGTCACCCAGGCTGGAGTGCAGTGGCATGATCTCGGCTCACTGCAAGCTCCCCCTCCCGGGTTCACGCCATTCTCCTGCCTCAGCCTCCCGAATAGCTGGGACTACAGGCGCCCGCCACCACGCCCGGCTAATTTCTTGTATTTTTAGCAGAGACGGGGTTTCACCCGTGTTAGCCAGGATGGTCTCGATCTCCTGATCTCGTGATCCGCCCGCCTCGGCCTCCCAAAGTGCTGGGATTACGGGCGTGAGCCACGGCGCCTGGCCCCTACTGTCTACTGTTTTAAGCCTCTAAGTTTTGGTGTAATTTATTACACAATAGATACGTAGAAGAGAACTATTTCTATTTTTAAGGAAGGTATAATTGCAGTTCCAGAACCCCACATTTCTGGCATCTATTCTACTCCAACTTTTGGTGCAGATATTTAACATCTGGCTCAGAGTCTGAGTATTAGAAAAAGAGAAATTTACTAAGTGTTCTTCCTGTATTACTTATTGTCTCTGAATAATACACCTAAGGGTACCCATTTTTCTTCTTAAACTTTTTATTTCCTTTTCCACTTCCTATTCCTCCCCCTACAAATAAAACGGACTCCCGAACCTCCTTTTACATATTCACTTTTGTTGATAAGGTTCCTTAAGAGTAGTGATCTCTTTTAAACTTGTCATGTTTAAAAATCCAGTGTGCTCAAGGTATTTAATAAATATTCCATTTTACTAATACAAGAGATAATCACATAATAAATCCGCAGCCTATGAACTAAAGATACTGTTTGGGATAGCTTCTCTGACATAACTGACATATTATAAATTCCTCCCTATGACTCGCAGAAGCCATTTTCTGCAATGGCCAAACTTTGTCACACCCCATCCCCCTTATAGCAAATACCACTAACTTTGGGGCCTTCAGAGTATACATAACAGTACTTTTCTCCTTCCTGAATTCCACAAACATATAATTAGCTGGTCACTTTAATTATACGCTATCATGTATTGTTTGCTAATAATCTCTTAGACATTATTTCTGTCAAAACAAATAAGAGCTGATACATTCTCTAAGTAAGTGTCATCTGTTTTAACTTTCCCTCTTCCCCACCAACCTTACACATTATATGCAAAAACCCAAGGTCAAAACACGGTCCAAATTCCAGAAACCGCCTTTATTATGCTTTACCAGTAAGTCTTCTTCACTGAACTGTAGTTGCTGTAAACTTAATATATTTAATTTCTTTAATGGAAAAATATCAAAAGCAGATGCCAAATCTGATGCAACTAACTGACAAAGGAAACACAAATCTTGCTTACTTTCACTGAAACTTTTTATAGCCATCAGATGTCTGCACTTAAAATGTTTAGTTCCTATGCCCATTACGAATAAAACAAAATTCTGTATTTCAACATGTTTCAAGCCTCAGAAGTTCCCAGACATCCTTTTCTGAGTCTGGTGTGATGCAATAATTTTTCAAATGTCATTTAAAAAAATGGGCCAGGCTGCAGGGAAAGGACCATGTCACACTCTCAGCATTCAAGCCTCAAAGGCTCCGGGGCACGAAAGGCTCTTACAACCGGTTAAGGACGGCAATGGGCTCCTTCGGCACGACTCCCGGAACCCCACCCTGGGCCAGAAAAAGGCCAGGGGCGCGGAGCGTAGGCGGAGGGCTGGGGTTCTAGGGATCTAGAAAAAGCGCGAAGCCGGAGGGCGGCGCCAGGGCTCCTCGCAGACCCCAGGGCCGCGGGACGGTGCCGGCTCGTGGGTCACACGCACCCAGGAGGCTCCTGGCTCCCGCGTGGCGGCTGTTCCAGCACGCCCTCCGACCCGCAACCGGACCCTCCAGACATCAGACTCAGTGGTCCCCCACCTCCGGTCTCCCACCTCAGGACGCAGTTCCGCGGCGTCCACCCGGCCCCCTCCCCTCAGTCCCACGCAGCGGCTCAGCCATACCCACCCCGGCTTCTCTGAGTTCAATCCAGCAGCAGCTCGAGCAGCGGCTCCGCCCCTCGGTCGGAGCCATAGAGACGTCGGCTGCCGGCCAGAGTGGCCTCAGACCGCAGCGTCGGCCGAGAGGACGCCGGGATACTGGCCAGCTCCAAGTCGAAAGGAAGCGACGCATGAGTTGTTTGGTGCGGTGGGTAGATACCTCGAGTTTCTCCTCGCCCACCGTAGGCCCCGACCCCTAAAAAGGAAACTTTTGGGACGTCAGAGTGAGAGGAGAAAAGTGTCTTTTTAGTTTAGTTTTGTCAAACCTGAGGATTCGTTTTTCAGTTTAGCCGGAGCTGTGCCGCAAACGTAGCTGCCGACATCCCCACGACGCACCCAAGTGGTGGCCCGGAAGCTGGGGATAGAAAAGTGGCCTCCCCGAATGCCAGGCACACAGGCCTTACTACCAGAAGCTTGAGCTGGGAGCCTCGGCCGTCGCATCTCTAAGGTGCAGCGATACGGCCAACTTCCTTCCGCGAAGCCCTCAGGGTGGGCAACGGAGCTTTTCACCAGACTGAGGGACCGGGCGACCTGGCCGACCGGCGGCTCCTCACCGCCCCCTTGGGGATTTCTTGATAATTCTTTGCCACGATGCGGGCGGATGTTGTGGAGCTACTGTTTGTAGATCGCAGTAGCGTGACAGCACTTAATCATGACTACTAAATCCTCAGAAGTCGAAAAAGCAAGTCCATACAGAATAGTTTGACCCTAATTAAATTGCGCTTACAAGATACAGTTTGTTTACTGGGACTTTGGCTAGGTCCCATCCCGTCTCTGCCTCAGAGTGGTGGTTGCTCTTAGCACCAAGGAAATACCAGCTTGACATTTGACTCTAGGAAGCACAGGCCCAAAAGAAGAGGCCCAAGGAGGGACATTCTTCTTTCCCTTTCCTACCTACAGTTTCTCAAACCAAGTGTCAGATGGAAAGCAAGGGGTGGTATCATCGTAATTATACAGTTGACCATAGAAAATAAATTTCAATCTCAAAGTAAACTCCTAGGCCACCCCCAGAATCTTAGAGTTTCTCAATCATAGAACTCATTTCTTGTCACAGTCTTGGTTCTTAGCCAATGTAAAACACCCAACTGACAGGGAAAATTAAACACCTTTTAACTCCCACACACCTTAAATGAGAATTTAAAGTATCTTTCAGCAAATGTATTTATAATTTTGAGTGCTTTTAGCCATGTTAAGGACAAATTTTCTCCTTCTGAATGCAGTAATAATTTGGCATTACCCTTTTGGCAGTGTGGTACAAAGTCTTATAATCTAGGCTTTATGGAGCTATTGAGGAACAACATAGATGGCTTCATGCAAACCCAAACAATGTAATAGTAGTTCTTTTCTCTGTAGTCGGTCTACTGCCTGTAGATGTTTATTCCTTTTTTTTTTTTTTTTTTTTTTGAGACAGGGTCTCCCTCTGTCACCCAGGCTGGAGTGCAGTGGTGCAATCATAGCTCACTGCAGCCTTGACCTCCTGGGCTCAAGGGATTCTCCGGCCTCAGCCTCTGGAGTAGCTGGGACCACAGGCACATGCCATCGTGCAGGTAATTAAGTTTTTTGTAGAGATGGGCATCTCGCTATGTTGCCCAGGCTGGTGTTAAAGTCCTGGGCTCAAGTGTTCCCCCCTCCTTGGCTTCTCAAAGTGTTGGGATTACAGGCGTGAGCCACTGTGCCCAGCTTACTGATTCATTTATACAAACAGAGTGCTCTCAGTGTGCTACAGAATGACTATGGAGCTCAAGTTCTAGTGGAGGGTGTGAGCCACAAGGAAACAAGCTAGACAGATTGTAATAAGTACTATAAAGGAAGTAAATAGGGTGATGTAATAGACTTGGGAGATGCTAACTTTAGTCAGGTAGTAAGGAAGGCCCTTTTGAGGAAATGGTACTTGTTTGAGAATTGAAATGTGAAGGAATCCAGTGTCAGAGGAACTAAAAAAAAAAAAAGGCATTGTGCCCCTTTAACTTAGTGACATTATCATTCCTGATCTACACTCTTCTCCCCATTTTTCTCGTTTTCTCTGTTACTGCTTCCCGTTTATTTGAAGAGCCAGGTCTTTTATAGAAATCAGAAAATTAGAACATTTCTGGTTGTGTTTGGTGTAATCTTGACGTCATTATAGATATTTGGTTTTGTTCTTTCTTAATAGACAAGCTTATAATAAATAGCACTTTTGGTGAGCTCATTTCTGTTAAACACTTTGCAGCATAAATCTTTTCCTGTGTTCAAAAGAAAGTATCTGGTTCATGAGACAGTTTAGATACAGTCTTTGCCAAAGTGCCTGATTTTTAGTTTACAATGTTGCTTGTCTCCGTTTTTGTTTTTGAGATGTAGTTCTTGTCTCATAGCTCTACTGAAAAATACTTGGAGTAAAGGGACCAAATAGCAAGTGAACAAATGCACAATTCTGCATATTAAAAAAAAAGAGGCTGGGTGCAGTGGCTCACACCTGTAATTCCAGCATTTTGGGAAACGGAGGCAGGAGGATAGCTTGAAGCCAGGAGTTCAAGACCAGCCTGGGCAAGATAGGGAGATTCCTGTCTCTACAAAAAAAATTTTTAAAAATTAGCCAGGCATGGTGGTACATGTCTGTGGTTCCAGCTACTCAGAAGGCTGAGGTGGGAAGATCCCTTGAGCCCACAAGTTCAAGGCTGCAGTGAGCTATGATTGCACCACTGCATTGCAGCCTGGGTGACAAAGCAAGACCGTATCTCAAACAGTAAAAACAAACAAAATGAAAAAACCTGAAGATTAATAGTGAATGCTCCACAAGATAAAAACAGCAACAACTTTATAATGTTACAAATTTTTTTTCTTGTTAATCTGAAATAAGAATTAAATGTGAAACGTTCAAAACTTCGAAATATTTATTATTAAGATATAAATACATATTTTAAAAATGTACAAGTTAAAAATACCTTCAAAGTTAAATGTCAGTTCTTTCACAATCATTGTGCCGGGGTAATACGTACAATATCTTGGCTTACTAGTAATTTTATACCAGTCACTTGAAACAACATCCTTAAACTTTAATAATATGTTGTAATAATTCCATTTTTCACTTTTTAGAGTTTGATAGAAGACAGTCAATATCGTGAAGGATTTCAGAGGTTTTTTTCAATGCTATTGATACTCTATTTTCATTAACTTCTCCTAGCAAGGTTTCTGAAGATCCTGGTTTATAATGATCAAAAGACTGTTGTTCATTTTTCTTGTTAGAAATCTGGTTTAGGATACCACTATTTTCTAGTAGCACTAAGTTGCTTAGTTAAGGAGGTTTTCCCCACATTTTTCACTATATAAATATCTTTATATACAGAAAGCATAGGCTTCATATTAAAATATTTCTCAGCTGGAAGACCTCTTGGATTCATAATACAGTTGGAACTGCAAGGCTTATCAAGTCTGCTCCTTGTAGATGAAGAAACTAATTACAGTATAAGGGAGGGGGAAAGAGAATAGAGTGTGTATGTGTGTGTTTGGGTGGAGGTTTGGTGGTAAGGAGGAAATGAAAATTTCAGTAACATTTCTTTAAGTGAAGAAATGACACGGGAATTAAAGAGTAGGATGACAGGATTATAAGGAATCTGTGTAGTGTCTATTTTTAATTTAAAAAGATTTAGAGTGAAAAACCTGTTCGCTATAGAACTAACTTATTTGAATAAGATTAGAGAAAAACCACAAGAGAAAACAAATTTAGATGAATTGGGTGAGAATGTACAGAATGAAATATTTCATTTAAAAAAAGAGGTCTTAAACAGTTATAATTTTATTATATAATTATGTAAGTGAAAAAGTCTCCAAAGGAGACCTTAACCCTAATTAACTGTTCTTTGCCCAATTTAAACTCAAAGAAAAGTATAAATGTTAACATGCTATACCTTCTATGGACAAGATCCATCTTAAATTACAATCTTAGGTATTTGCTGACTCAATAAAGGTTAGCAATATATTAAGTATAGATTAATATTCACAAAGTACTGAAGTCATGAATTAAGCCTAGAATGAAAGAGAGTAATTATGTAGGACAGTGCATTCTGTTTAAAGGATACAGTTAAACTTCTGTATCTTTTCAAGTTCAGAAGCAACAGACCTGTCCAAGGAAAAAGAAAAAATTCATTCAGTTGTCTGATTCTTTTGTATTCATGATATTTCAAATAAGCATACCTGACTTTTTTTTTCATTAGAATTTTAAACGGAAGAACGCAGAAGAATTCTCTTTATGTTACCTTTATTTAGCAACAAATCAACTTGACTCAACTGATACTTACTGAGTGCCTTTAAAGGTAAGTGAATAAAAGTCTACCCCTTGTAAATCCACTTCAAGGAATTTGTAATCAAATATTGATGTTTGAGGATAATGGGCCTTCCTGTTACTTCTTAGTACTAACCTAGCTTACACTCTACTTTCCTCCCTAAAGTTTACGCAAACTTTACAAACCTATTAAAATCCCATTCCTTCTGTGAAAGAACTGCTCTCTCCTTCCTTGAATTCCTATAGCATATTAATTAATCACATACTTATTTGTAATATCTTCTCTTGAACTATTTAACTTCCTGCTCTTCCTACCTAGATTGTTTCTCTCAGAAGAAAGGATTTTTTACTTTTCTGTACTTGTGCATATATTAAGACCTCATTTATATGGAACTCTTTGGGAATGGATGGTATGGGAGATCCAAGTTTTTAAATAGTTGAATTACGTGTCAAAACAACTATTTTTTATTAAATTCTTTCTGGAATAGACTACCTACTTATTTCATTGTTTTTTTAAGCACAGAGGGTTAACATGATGAACATTAGCTCTTATACCATGTTCTATAGAAAGATAGTGGGACAACTGGTATGGAGTAGAGGGCTAATATATACGTCTCCAGCAGAACCCCTAAGTGTGTGTTCTTTATCCTTTTTCTTATCAAGTTAGAATGAAATATGAGCAATGGCATACAACTACAAACTGTAACTTGACTAGCTCTCTGCAAAATTAATGAAGACATTAGTCTAAAATATTCAAGTCACCAGAAAAATCTTCACAGTTCGTAGTAGGTTGTGTGACTTGTCTGCTTTATTGGCTTTACTACAACAGATCACATGCACCTCCCTGTCAGCTTGTACTCTTTCCCTTGTACTCCAGCCTATGGATGGAGAATGAAAAGAAATATTTCATAATTTTAAACACCTGTGGCAAAGAACTTGGATACAACTTACCCCAACAACCAGCTGATTGTTCATTATTGCAAAATATCTTTTTTTTTTTAAACCCAACGCATTTTTCTGGATGTAAGAAACAATACAACCTTTATTGTTATTGCTCTCATAATGAACGAACTTTTTATGAAACGTACTATTTGTTGACTAAAAAGTTGAATTAATAAGCTAATAATGGAGGGTGTGGCGGAAAAAAAATACTAGAATACAACTTAGGTAGCTTTTTATTGTACAATCTTGTTTCTTCCTTCAACCTACCCTCTTTGATAAGAAAAACCGAAGTGGAGATACCTAAGGCTTTATAGGGGGAATGGAGCTACTCCTCAATTTCTTTATCTTGCCTCTGCTGTTCCTAGTTGCTTTCACCTTTAGCTACTATCACCAATCTCTACTTGCAGTTTTTAGTGTGTATTGACAGCCTCTTCTCAGCTTTCAAATAAAAAGGCTGATGATATTTTACAAACTGCCAGCTAAGCAATGGTGAAGTGATGGTTTTATAGACAAGTACAATTTTCCTTCCATCACAATTGTTTTTTGCTAGTTACTTTAGCAACTTTTCTGCTTCCAAACAGGCTACAGCTAAAGGATGAGGGATCTGCAAAGCTGGATCCTTAAGCTACCTGAGATATTCAAATAACGCTTACTGATATGATTTGATTTGTTCTAAGAAAGGGCTTAGGAAAAGGTAACAAAAATTGGCTTAATGTTTACATTTTGTTTCACTACACTATGTTAGGTCACCTCACAAAACTTACTTAAAAAGCTTCCCAAATTGTTCCTGGTATCCCTGTCTTCCCATATATTCAGGTTAGACTCTCAGTGACACTAATCTTCTAATGACCTTTCTTCCTATCATTTTTCCATTTAGGACTTTCTAATTCCATCAGGTCTGAACTCCTATTTATTATAAGATCCATTCCTAGCCCTCAAAACTCATACTATATACTAATAGATAGCATATGTTCCATAAAAACTATCTTCTATCTCCACAGGCTAAAATATCCTTTTTACTTCTGCCCTTATTTCCTCCCTAAAATGTCTTATATTTTCACAGAAAGTTCCCTTGAAGCCCAGTTCTAGTACCCTGCACACTGAAAAGCACACAGGAGGGACTAAAATACTTGCTTTATTTGATCTGCCAGTTAATTTGGGAGAAGTAACTAATATGACAGAAATTATTTAAAAATCAATGTTTTCTGAAAGCTTATGTTATTAAACCTTTTATTTCCTTCAACATTACTAAAAATTTAAGAATCCCCTTTAAATTTTTCCATAAAGTTTTCAGGATGAATTTGTCACATAAAAAGAGCCACTCATTTTCATGTTAAGTTTTCAATGCAAGGTTTTCTTACCTTTAGGTAAAATAGAATATGATGAAATGTAATAAATTAGATGTCTGATTAGAAATTATTTTCAAGCTTAAGCTATCAAAAATACTTTAGGAGTTAAACATATTCAAAACTAAGAAAGTTTTTTTGGGGAAAAAAGTCTCAGTTTACCATTTGACATTTTAATTTTTTTTAAAGTATTAGCTCTTCTAAACAGATTTAAGTTTAAAAGAAAAATACCAATTTTCTTGGAGAACAGAAGATGACGAATGAGTGGGCATCTCTCTGGGACTAGTCTGGGTCAGTCTCCTGCACCATGATGTTACTGTTGTCACATATCTAAAGTGAATACATTAAAAGAAATACTTGAAAAATGAACTTGAATACATTATAAAATTATAAACAAATGTAAAAATAAGACAATTTGGGAAAAAAGGATAAAGAAAAAATGTTAAAGTGAAGCATTTACTGGGCAATTCTCAAAATATTTTTCACTGGTCATAGAAAAGCCAAATTTTTTCCATTATTCATCAAGAATAAAATGATTTACTTATATTTGTGATTAATACAAGTGACATTTAAGAATCAAAATAAAGGCGATATTTGGATTTCATTTAAAGTTCAATTTTAAATGTTCTAATTCTTTTAGTTTTTCAAAGTAAAATGCGTTTAAGTTTTATCAAAAAATATTCACACAAAATAAGACTGACTGAGCATTTGCTTACTAAAATTTAAACCAAAAAACACCTGCTAATGCATATACACATATGCTTGTATGCATATGTGTAATTATATGTAACTTACTACATATCTAAAACAAGTATCAAGTTTAATAAAATGAATGATCTGAAATGATTGGCTGAATCAATAGAAATGTTTGCTAAAGAAACTATCTTTTTTGAGGCAAATCATTAATAGCAATGAATGAGCACTTAGACTGAAACACAATAAAACCCAACAGAAAAATACATTCAAGAGGTAACAAAAAGCTATTATTTTGTGAATATTCTCAAGTGAAATCACTAAAATGTGAAGACTATCACAAGATTTACTGTAATAAATTAGATAAACCAAAAGAAAAAAAATTCATAAAAAGCTGAAGACTCTTCCCCATTTTAAGATAATCATTGCGTAATTTTATCCACTTTATAGAAATATACAGAATTTCAGTTATTTGTGGTTGCAAATCTTATTTCAAATTGGCTAGAGGATTAGTTAATTGTTAACACAGCTGACCATATCCAACCTCCACAGCAAATCAGTATGTCTATAACACATTTCATTTTGAAAAGTTACTTGAATACAAATGAAATGATTAAAGCTGACCTGAAGGCCGGGCATGGTGGCTCATGCCTGTAATCTCAGCACTTTGGGAGGCCAAGGTGGGCAGATCACCTGAGGTCGGGAGTTCAAGACAAGCCTGACCAACATGGAGAAACCCCATCTCTACTAAAAATACAAAAATTAGCCGGGCATGGTGGCACATGCCTGTAATCCCAGCTACTCAGGAGGCTGAGGCAGGAGAATCGCTTGAACCCAGGAGGCGGAGGTTGTGGTGAGCCGAGATCGTGCCATTGTACTCCGGCCCAGGCCACAGGAGCAAAACTCTGTCTCAAAAAAAAAAAAAAAAAAAAAGCTGACTTGATCTATTTAGTTATGCTAAACACAAGTACAGCTATCAACTCTGAAACGACTGAAATGCCTTCATTATTATCCACATGGAAAAACTAAAAATATATATAACACTTAAATAATGCTTATTGCTTATTCTCTGTTAGTTAAAAGTAAAACATAAAAATAATTTTTAAAATTGCTTTTCAGTACCTTTCATATGGTTCAGGGTGTTCAATCTGAATTAACTGCTCTTGTCCATCAGGAAAAGTTAACTTACACCAACCTAAGTTAAGACCTTGATTTACCTGAAGAAGTAGAAAGATAAGTTTTATCATTTTAGAACTGAAAAAAAGAACATAAACAACCTATTCTAACTTCATTAACTTAAAGAAATAAGTAGAGGAATCATTAAAGATGCAACAGTTTAAATGTTGTTTACATGAGATATGGGTGTTATTTAACCACCACTCATATAGGTAATTATCAAAGCAAATGAAAATACTAATCCCTTTCTCTATAATCAGTTATCTTTAGAAAAGTGACTATTTGTCAAATCATTCTGATTTTTGCTAGGAAATCCAAAGAGATCAGTAAAGCTTCTTGACAGATTTTATACTTCAAAAAATGAACTGAAATAGTGTGGTACTTTGTTTTCTTTGTTCTGTTTTCCACAGATTACCAATAAAAAATAGATCTAAGTCTGAAGTATACCCACCTGTCTCTTCTCAATAGGAGAGCTGAAATTCCAATTTAGGGTTAGAGTAATGCCATCTAAAAAGATAGCATGTACTTTGTCATCAGAGTAGGCAAGAAATCTTCCCACACTGGGTATGAGTGACTCTTTCAAAACCAAAGGCAGTATATTGCTATCATTTATCCCAGGTACCTAAAACCAAGTAAATAAAAATAGCAGGAAATAGAGTTATCTAAGAACAAGATTTAAATGAATATTAATGACTCTAGGGCAATTTTGGATACTTATTCAGAAGTCAAATATTATAAAATCCTTATATTTTAATTTTTCCAGAAGTGGATACCCAAAACAGTCTTTTTTTCAAGCAGATTCAGTTATAATATATTTGTAAAGTCACTGTTCTGCTCTGAACTTTACATCCATTATAGACAAAAATTAGGAGCTTACAGGTTTGTAATTAAATGAATATAGATACAGAAATCAAAGTCTGAGAATCACTTCCTCCAAATCAGCATTAAGGAATTTATTTTTACGGTTATGAAAATATAGAACACTATAATATCATGGTTTATAATGACTAATGATTTTACATACTTCAAATCCAATCAGTTCCCCTATCCTTTCCTCTTCATGAAAAATAAGAACCATATACAATAAAACTATAACATAAAAGCCTGAACTTTCAGTGTTTGTCTACTAGGTAGGTATTTTTCTGAATAAACCAACATTAATGTTACAAGAATTTCTCACATGACTTAGAGGAAAACTGTTTGAACTCAGAAGTATGGATATAAACAATAAAACAATTTAAAAATATCTTGCTTTTAAAATAATTTTAACATACCATTTTCCAGCAGCATATACGATAGTTATGGCTTAAAGAAAGTCTCATCTTCACACAATGTTGAAGAATTCTGTGAACACAAAAAATACTACTTAAACATTTGCAAATGACATTTTCCAATTCTAGCAACCCATTTTCACTGCCATACAACATTTTAGATGATCAGTAAATCATTTTCACTGAAATGTGTTGGGAACTCTTTTTTTCTCCAGAAATCCTTAAGCCCCTAGAAGGGAAATACTGTTGCTTCCCTTTGTGCTAATCTTACCTACTTAAGGCTATTCCTTTAATTTTTAGCAATGAAATGATTCCATGGACAGAATTTTCAGGAACTCCTTTTTTAAGAGGTGATAGATTCACACTGCCTGGAAAGTTTCACATAGGCTAAAAATGGTAGGGATGTGAATCAACTATCCCTAGGAAATCAAATTACAGAATATGCTTCTTCAAATCTATTTTGGAAATTGCTTGTACATAAATTTATAAAAAGAAACAACAGTCCACTTGCATTCTTCTGGGTATCATAGATTGAGAGAATTTTAAAAACATATGAACCAAAGAACCAATCTATGCTTTATCATTAGTATATTTTCAGAAATCTATTACTCTGAAGATAATAAAGAAGTATAAAAATTTTAAATGTAACATCAAATCTCCAACTTGATTTCAAGGAACAATAATGATGCCACACTTATGCAAAGAAAGGGCACTTACTTCCTCTCAGCACTTGCTCACCATATATGGATATTTCTCCATATTTAAATTACAAAGCCAGAAGTAATCTTAATAAATGACACAAAAATTACCTTATTTTATAAATTATGACACCAAAAAAGTTGACAAATTTTACCGAAGGCATATATTTCCATTGTACCTGCCAATTCTTAATCTTATCCTTAATCACAAGAAAATGTGCCAAGATGTTTAGACACATAACATTTGATTCAATTGAATGGGAAGAACTTACCTTGTTGCCTGTTTAATTAGAGAACCGACAGTGAATGGACTTCCCGGTCTATCTGGAGGAAGGTTATTTACTGAGTAAGTTTTCTCTTCTCTCTGAAAATTAGTTAAAATGAAAAATTTCATTAATAATAAATTTTGGCCTTTATTACTTAGCTGCTTTTCCTTGAAATATGTTTTTACAATAGTGACAAGACGAGTAGTTATTTTAACAAAATAAAGCCCACAAAATCATGGTATTTTATGATGCTTTTTCATTTTCCCATTTTTTTTTTCTCATTAAACTTTTTTAACAGGTCTCAAAATTCTGTGACAAATTTTTGGTCAAGTTGTTTCCATTAAAAAGTACTGATTTTAAAAACTAATAACTTAAAACTACCACATGCAAAAAAGAAAACCAAAGTGGTCCACAAAACATTCTCCTTTCCTTCTGAAGGTTTTACGATGCATTGTTATCATTAACCAGTCTTTCACTACTAAACTTAAATGGCCAATTGAAACAAACAGTTCTGAGACCATTCTTCCACCACTGATTAAGAGTTGGGTGGCAGGTATTAGGGATAATATTCATTTAGCCTTCTGAGCTGTCTGGGCAGACTTCGTGACCTTGCCACCTCCAGCAGCCTTCTTGTCCACTGCTTTGATGACACCCACCGCAACTGTCTGTCTCATATCACGAACAGCAAAATGACCCAAAGGTGGATAGTCTGAGAAGCTCTCAACAATGGGCTTGCCAGGAACCATATCAACAATGGCAGCATCACCAGACTTCAAGAATTTAGGGCCATCTTCCAGCTTTTTACCAGAACCGCGATCAATCTTTTCCTTCAGCTCAGCAAACTTGCATGCAATGTGAGCCGCGTGGCAATCCAATATAGGGGCATAGCCAGCGCTTATTTGGCCTGGATGGTTCAGGATAATTACCTGAGCAATGAAGTCAGCTGTTTCCATTGGTGGGTCATTTTTGCTGTCACCAGCAACGTTGCCACGACGAACATCCTTGACAGACACATTCTTGACATTGAAGCCCACATTGTCCCCAGGAAGAGCTTCACTCAAAGCTTCATGGTGCATTTCGACAGATTTTACTTCTGTTGTAATGTTGACTGGAGCAAAGGTGACCACCACACCAGGTTTGAGAACACCAGTCTCCACTCGGCCAACAGGAACAGTACCAATACCACCAATTTTGTAGACATCCTGGAGAGGCAGGCGCAAGGGCTTGTCAGTTGGATGAGTTGGTGGTAGGATGCAGTCCAGAGCCTCAAGCAGCATGGTGCCGCTGGCACTGCCATCCTTACGGGTGGCTTTCCATCCCTTGAGCCAAGGCATGTTAGCACTCGGCTCCAGCATGTTGTCACCATTCCAACCAGAAATTGGCACAAATGCTACTGTGTCAGGGTTGTAACCAATTTTCTTAATGTAAGTGCTGACTTCCTTAACAATTTCCTCTTCTCTCTTCTGGCTGTAGGGTGGCTCAGTGGAATCCATTTTGTTAACACCAACAATTAGTTGTTTCACACCCAGTGTGTAAGCCAGAAGGGCATGCTCTCAGGTCTGCCCATTCTTGGAGATACCAGTTTCAAATTCGCCAACACCAGCAGCAACCATCAGGACAGCACAGCCTGAGATGTCCCTGTAATCATGTTTTTGATGAAGTCTCTGAGTCCTGGGGCATCAATGATAGTCACATAGTACTTGCTGGTCTCAAATTTCCACAAGGAGATATCAATGGTGATACCACGTTCACGCTCAGCTTTCAGTTTATGCAAGACCCAGGCATACTTGAAGGAGTCCTTTCCCATCTCAGCAGCCTCCTTCTCAAATTTTTCAATGGTTCTTTTGTCGATGCCACCACATTTGTAGGTCAGATGGCCAGTAGTGGTGGACTTGCCCGAATTTACGTGTCCAATGACGACAATGTTGATATGAGTCTTTTCCTTTCCCATTTTGGCTTTTAGGGGTAGTTTTCACAACACCTGTGTTCTGGTGGCAAACCCATTGTGGGAAAAAAAAGCCATTTTCCCATTTTTTAAAAATATAGAATTACTCCTATTCATTCAAAAGTTTTTTTTAATTTTTTTTTTTTTTTTTTTTTTTGGAGACAGGGTTTTACTCTGTTGCCCAGGGCTGGAGTACAGTGGCGCAATTACAGCTCACTGCAGCCTCTGTGGCTCAAGGAGTCTTCCCACCTCAGCCTCCCAAGTAGCCAGGACCACAGGCACATGCCACCATACCGGGCTAATTTTTTAAGTTTTTTTGTAGAGGCGAGGTCTTACTATATTACCCAGACTAGTCTCAAACTCCTGGGCTCAAGGGATCCCAAAGTGCTGAGATTACAGGCATGAGCCACTGTGCCTGGCCCAAAAGTTACATTCTAATAACTTATTGTGCAATTTAAATATTAGCTACATTTACATTAACATGGTAACCAAACTAATTTTCCTACACATTAGCAGGAAATTTATCATGAGCCACCCCTTTCCCTTAAGACAAAAAGACATGGATATATAGATTTAAAAAAACTATTTTAATTGAATGAATATACCATTTTGCTACATTAATGGAAGAAATACTGCTACAGTTTGTGGAAGAAAAAATTATTTACAGGCGGAGGTTACTGAAATTTGAAAAAAATTGTTATTTTAAAATTCTTTCTGAGTTTCCTCCTCCTCAGACTTGCTAGTGTTTCCCAGCACTCTGTCTCCAGCCTTCTCTTCTGACTTCTTGATTTCTTTTTAGATAATACTAAAAGGGTCCAAAGCTGTGTTCACATTAAATATCATAATAGCAACAGCTAACATTTGTGGAGCAGATACTATGCGCTAGGCACTATCCTACTCACTTTACATGGATTATCTCATTTATTCCTCAAAATAATTCTGAGATAACTATTAATGCTTGTTCTTCAGATGAGAAAACTGAGACTGAGGGCTAAGAAACAGTAGAGATCTGATTTAAACCACCAAGAGAGTGCAGCTCATACTCTTTACCATTAGGGGAAGAAGAGGGGCTTCAAAGTCAGACAGATGTGGATTCAAATCACAAGTCTGCCTCTTACCAACTATAATGATGGGCAGGCTATACAACCTTTTGTAAGCCTCAGTGCCTGCAGCCTGTGAAATGGGGATACTGCCTACCATCCAGACTTATCTGAGGATTAATGATATAATATACATATGAAGTTCCTGGGACAGAATTTAGCATATAATAGGTACCAAACAAAAGTCTTTGTCCTTTTATCTTGGTCTACAGACCTGACTATCTAAATCTCTATTGGGCTTCTCTTTTGGCTATGAAAACAGACACCTCAACATCACCATGTTAAAACTGGAATTAGCGTCATTTCAAAATTTGCACTTTCACTTTCTCTACGCTGTATTTACCTTTGGTATGTCATTTATCACGTTGTTCCCTCTACCTAGAACTCAGTTCCCTCCTCCAGCACCTCCCTTTGCCTAGCTAACACCTGTTTTTCCTTCCGTCTCAGGGAAGCCATTGCAGAGGTCTCATAGACTAGGAGAAATCCCCTAGTTATGTCCACAAGCACAGTTCCCTCTAATCCTGCCTCTTGGTCTTAATTACAACTTCAATTTAATAGTTTTTTACTTAATGTCTGTTTTCCCTGTTAGAATGCAGCTCCATGAAGGAAGGGGCTGTGTCTGTTTTGCTCATGTCTGTATCATTATCATTTATTAGCACAGTGCTTAGCACATGGGAAGCACTCAAAATACCATATTTTAATTATTTATGTCTTTCTCTACTGGATATTGAGTTCCCTCTGGGTTCTTATTTCCAAGACCCTATTTCATCAACTCTAAAATGCTCATTTTTCACAATTTAACCTCTCTGAAATCTGGATCCATCTTACAATTAAGAGTGTCTTATAATCTATTAGGCAGGTGGGGTTGAGATATAGTTGAATTTTAATAATCTCAAATCCTTAATTGACATCTCATGGTAGGCGCAAAAGAAAAAAAAGCCATCATCAAAAAAATTTAGATTTGATAAAAATTTTGGTTTCACACAGTACCGGGCACCACCATTCATTGATTAATAATTTGGCATCCCTTTCAACTCCTTCCTCATCCTCAGCGTCCAGTCAGCAATCAATTCTGTCTCCTTAATATTCCTTCTCATTTTTCCTACCACTGCCTGGCCTTCACTTGAACTACTATACATGTCTTCTGACTGGTTCTACAGCTTCAAGTTTTACCTCTTCCCCACCCAGTTCATCTTCCTCTGAAATAATCTAACAAAAATCTGATGTCACTTCCCTACTTGAAATCATTCAATGGTTCCCCAAATGCAGTGAGGTTACTCATGCTCCAGTTGTGAGCTGGCCATCTTAGTGATCTGGCTTCTTCTCTGGACATTTCCCCCAGCATCCCATCTATGTTTTGGCCTACCAAACTACAACATTTTCACTTCCTTCAACACTCCACACTCGCCCCAGGCTCTTGTGTCCAGTTAGGTGCCATTTATAAACTGTGCTAAGAAGCAGCAATAATAATGTGTTGAATAAGATAGGGCTTAAATCTAGTGTAGCTGATAAAGAACATACATCATTAAGAAAATGTCACCCAATATTCAGTGCTTTGAAGAAAAAACATGAGGATGTCATGATAGGGAGTGTCTTGGGTAGCTTCTTTAATTTGAATAGTCAGGAAAAGCGTCTGTGAGGAGATGACATTTAGATAGAAATCTGAGTGACAAGAAGCCAGCCATGCAAACAATTGAGAAAGTAAATTGTTCCCTTAGCTATATGCTCCTCCTACCTCCATCTGTCTTTTGTACAACTCCTCCTTTGGAATTATAGATCCTAGCTTAGCCAAGTTTTCCTTCAGGAGTTGTTTCTGGAGCCTCAAACACTGGGTCTGGTGCCCTTTCTTATGTGGTCCCAAAGCACCAAGTTCTTATCTCTATGGAAGTACTTACACTGTGAGTACTTGTCAATCTTTCCTATTTCAATTTTTAATTATACAATAAATAATACATTAAGTTTTTGTTAAAAAAAGTTCAAAAAGTATGAAAATTGAGTCCTCTCAGACTTCTCCTCCCTCACAAAATCCCACACTCTTTCCCAAACATAGCTACTTCAGTGTGTATTTGCCCAGGATCCTTACTTGTGCTTGTGCATGTGTATTACAGAAAGTACTATATAGGTATGGGTTTATTTTTTGTTCTTTACACAAAAGATATCATTGTACGTGTTCTAACGCAAGTTTCTTTATTCGCTCAACAACCCGATCTTTGAGATCTTCCAGAATCTATTACTGTATGCATCGACATCTACCTCATTCTTTTCAACTACTGTACACCATTCCCATAATTTGATAATTACAACTTATTTCACCATTTCCCTATTAATGAACATTTATTTAGGTTGCTTCTGATTTTTTGCTGCTACAAATAATGCCACAAAACACACCCTTGGCCGTGCTTCTTTGAACACGTGCAAATATTTCTCTAGGCTAGATACTGAGAAGCAGAATTTCTCATCAATTTCATTTGATGTTATCAAATTGTCCTTTAAGAAAGCCAAACCAATTAACACTTCAACCAACACTATGAAAGCACCACTTTTCCCACACCCTTCCCAGCAGATGTCATCAGTCTTTTTAGTTATTGGCAATTTGGTAAGGGAAAAATGTTATGTCATTGATATTTTAATTTGCATTTCCCTGATGCAAGTAGTAAAGTTGAATATGTTTTCAAATATTATGACTTTTTAATTTACATTATCTTTTCTATGGCTAAATCCATTTTTACCCTTTGCCCATTTTTCTATTAGGGTATTTTGGTTTTTTGGTCTATTACTGATTTATAGTGTGGAATATCTTCTGGGCTTTTGCTTATCTTTTTAACAGAAATTCTAAAATTTTCTTTTAATTAAAAAAATTTTTTTGAGACAGAGTCTTGCTCTGTCTCCTAGACTGGTGTGCAGTGGTGTGATCTTGGCTCACTGCAACCTCCACCTCCCAGGTTCAAGCGATTCTCATGCCTCAGTCTCCCAAGTAGCTGGGATTACACACAAGCACCACCATGCCTGGCTAATTTTTGTATTTTCAGTAGAGACGAGGTTTTGCCATGTTGGCTGGGCTTGTCTCGAACTCCTGGCCTCATGTGATCCACCAGCCTTGGCCTCCCAAAGTGCTGTGATTACAGGCATAAGCCACTGTGCCCAGCCTAAATATTTATAATTTAACGTAAGTTTGAAGATTTCAAGCTTGTCAAACTTTTCTTTTATGCCTTCTGGTTTTCTGTATTCTACTTAACAAGGCCTCCTTTACCCAGAGATTTTAAACATTGTTCTTCTATATTTTCTTCTAACACTTATAAAGTTTGGTTTCTTACATTTAGCTCTTTAATTCATCTGAAATTTATTTTGGAGTCTGGGTTAAAGTAAGGAGCAAACAACTTTATCCCCAAAAGAGGGTCAATTGTTTCTAAACCTTTGCACTAAAACAGACAGAGAAAGGTGAAGGTGTTGCACACAAAGGTTGGAGAGTGAAGCCCAAGGCAGTCCACCACAAATGCGTTTTAACCCAAAAGCTCATGCTTCTACTCCATGATATATTTGCTTTAGTATAAAAATTATCACCCCCTCCCGCAACAGCTTTGAGTAAAATTGAAGCTCCAGGAAGACACACTCCTTTTATCTTGCAATTTTGCACACCCTCTGATATACAGCAGTCAGCAATATGACTATGCATACCTACTCTATTTGCTTGCTCACTTGATTGTCTGATGTACTATATAAACACACATACACACATATATACGTATACATGTTACTGGGCATGCTTGTATCTCATTTGCTTGTTTGCCTGTCTAACTGAACACAAGACTGTGAACTCTTGAGGGCAGGAACTCTTCTTCATCTTCATCCTTGTCAGTGCTTACCAGAATGCCTGCCAAAGAGTTACTGTTCAATTAATATGTATTTACTAAATATTTTCCTAGAAATAGGCCCCAGTTGGGAATCTGTTCCAATATATACTGAAGTATTTATGAAGAAAACAATATTTGGTTGGGATTTACTTAAAAATAAACAGGGAGTGGAGGGAGAAGCAGGAAGTATAAATGAACAAGATGGGTGATGGGTACATAGGGGTCCCTTATATTTGTCTACTTTTGTATATGTTTGAAATTTCCATAGTTAAAAAAATCTCAATTTTTAACTCTATTCCCTAGGGATTCTGATAATCTGATTAGTATTTAAATACTCCACTCTGTAATGAAGAGAGAAAACATACTTATTTTGTTCTAGCATGCAAAGTAGTGTGATACTATAGTGATTGCTGTGAAATGGTAGATGTCAAATATCAGAGGGGCAATAAGCAAATTAAAACTCATTAACAAAATATTGACATTATTAAGACTATGGGCTGGTAATTATACCATGTTATGTTTCACTGTTTTCAGCAACAGAGAACAATCTTATTCAACTGTCTAGTTGTATATAAAGATTTAGAAGTTAAGAGGTGCTTAAAATACACAATTACATGGTGGGGAAAAAAGAATGTGCTTTTGCTTTTTAATGTACAAATATTAATTCAAAGTAGTGTATTAACTCAAAGTCCTGGTTTCAGCATTTTCCATCAATAAAGTCTATGACAAAAGAAAGTTTCTGATTTAAACATGAACTGCTTAGGCAAATGGAGATAGCAGGTGAAAATACAGTAAAAATAAGGTGGTTAATAATTACTGTACCAATGCTGGCAGTAAGATTATATTAATACTCCAGACTGGGGAGTAGGAAGCAATGTTATATAATGACCAAATTTCCCATATATATTTGGAATTATTTAGAAAGAGCTATACAGCAAAACTCTTCTTGAGTTGAGTTCATTGTTGGCTTACCTTTCCTGATCCTTCTTGAATAGAATAATAAGTAAAATAGTTCCCAAAATAAGCCCCTTCTGATTTGAAAACAGATCCATCCCCAGAATAAATCTCTATTGAGTTCATATTTTGATGGGTAAGTCTAAGAAATAGAAATAACCATTAAAAATTTTTTTCCACTTGAGATTAAAACATGCATGAAGATAGTCATCAAAAAACAGTAACAACAAAATCTAAGCAAAACAACACAGTCTTTTTGCCTGTCCAGTGAAGCAGATAATTTCATATTCTGAACCCAACCAGCTAAATTAACTCTTTCACGAAAAGATAAATAGAATTGGCTTATGCATTTATTTCAACAACTAAACTAAGAACTTCTGGAATTCAGGCATCTTGTCTTATCATCTTCTTGATATCCCCACTGCTAATCACAAGGCTGGCATATAAGGGTCACCAAAGCAATGTCTATTGCATACGTGTTAAATACAACATTTCCAGAACCTGAAAATAGATTAATGAAACTAGCGGAATCAATACTTTATGGATAAGATTAGCCGTCTGCACAAGGGGCTATCCCTAAGAAAAGATGGCTGTACCTGGAGCAGCCAGGTACAATCAAGGTACTGGGTATATACCAAATAGAAACTTAAGCCAAGTTAATTTTATTAACATACATGTTAGAATATGTTGTTAGAAGGAATAGGTCTTCACATAGGAAAAGGAGAGCCCCCTCGCTCTCCAAAAATTTAGCAGTGCTCTTCTAGCATTGTTCATGGAAGTGAAACTCTCAATCTGGCTAACACTAGTATTCTAGTCACTAGAAGGGTGTCCTTTGTTGTGGGGTATGGATAATTCAATGGAACAGTGCTGGCACAGAGTGGCCACTCAATGAGTATTTGCTTTGTGAATGAAGGCTAAAATCTCCCTTAGGTGATCTAACTTCTCTAATTCCATGCTCAAGCAATTCTGTTTTGACTATTTCAAACAACTTGATCCTCCAATGCTTGGAAGGAGTATCCTAAATAACTGATATGAATGTTACATTCACTAGCAAACCAATCCCTCATTGGCTTTGGAGGTACCACATAAGTCTTATAAAAATGGTTAATGTGAGTGAGTCACAGGACCCTTGTGTGCACTAATAACATTAGTTTTGAGACCTGTAAAACTCAGGATCAAACACAGGAGCACAGTTGGCCCAACAGAACTGTGTCCTCTTCTGAGAGTCTGTCTATAAGGCTCGTCCCATCTTCTCTGTGACATCAATAAACAGCTCTAACTCCAACATAGAAGCCAACATAGGTGCCTTACCTATATGTAACACCTTTGTACCAAACCATTTTCACTAGTTCAGGATAGGAATATTCATCAGATTGTCTCTGTAAAAGTGAATCACAAAAATTCCACCTGTGAAGGATAAAATACAAGCTATTACTTCTGGTTGCTCAATATAATTGTCTTTAGAAGTCAACAAAATGTTGCTACTGTAACAGGATTAATTTCTTGTTTAACTCACTAGATCAAAGAATAAAAATTAATATGAAGGTATATTAATGAAATGTAAAAAGCAAGTCTTTTTCCATGTTTTTTTCACTATTTTCAATAATCTCATTATTGAATCTCAGCACAATTACATAAATTAACAGTTTTAATAACATTTAAAATTTAGCCTGGATTCGCTAGGCATGGTGGCTCATGCCTGTAATCCCAGCACTTTGGGAGGCCAAGGCGGGCGGATCACGAGGTCAGGAGTTTGAGATCAGCCTGACCAACATGGTGAAAACCCGTCTCTACTAAAAATACAAAAATTAGGCGTAGTGGCACGTGCCTGTAATCCCAGCTACTCAGGAGGCTGAGGCAGAAGAATCGCTTGAACCCGGGAGGCGGAGGTTGCAGTGAGCTGAGATCGCGCCAGCCTGGGTGACAGAGCGAGAATCCATCTCAAAAAAAAAAAAAAAAATTACTAAAATATCTATAGTGGGCCAAGCACTGTGCTATACACACTGTGGATATAACAACCAAAAAAATGTAGACATGGTCTCTGCCCTCAGCAGGGACATTAAATAATAAACATTGAGTGTAAAGAAGAGGCAAGTACTGCATGCTATGGAATTGTATAGGACTTAACTTGTTTAGGGTCTTCAGGAAAACCACTCTAAAGAAGTTAGGTTTAAGCTGAAACCTGGAAATGAGCATAATTTAGCCAGCTGAGAGAGAAAGAGAACACTCCTGCAGAGTAAAGAGTAGGTGCAGTGGTCACAGAGTGCTTGAGCAAGCATTTTAGGGATTGCTAAAGTCCAGCTTAGCAAGAATAGAGAAAGCAAGGGCAAGAGTAGTGAGAGAGTTGAGGATTACAGATATAGGAAGGGACCAGGTCACAAAAGACCTGGTAAGCTATGTGAAGGATCATGGATTTCAACCTAAACATCATGGTAAGTTATTGAAAAATCATTACTTTTGAAGCATAATTCCCTTTTGATGTGTACTCGTAATACTTTTCTCATTTTAACCAGATAATCATGACAAGCCTAACAGTCATTCCCATATTTTTGTTTTAAATAACAAATGTATACTCAGAGATTGCCTGGGATCAAATCTCAATTTTACAAGTACTAGCTGTGTACCTTTCCTCAAGTTATTTAACATTTCTATGTCGCAAGTTCCTCTACATATAGGGATGATACGTTTTTTAACTTCATGGGAATGCTTTGAGAATCAAACGGGTGAAGTCCAACAGTACCTGGCACATAAGTGTTTTGTAAGTGTTAGTTTTTATCATTATGATTTGCACTGTTTATGCAAAGTTGATGTTACAAATCTACAATCCTTAGTGGAGTTAAAAGTTTTATACTTAGCCTTACAGAAGCCACTCCGTGTGTACCCCTTTTGAAAACAGACGTATTTATAGTCAGTGAACCAAAGACACGGGTAGCCTCTGAAGCTAGGTATGGACAAAAGAACTGTGTCAGATCCACACTCCAGCAAGCAAGGTCACGGGCTCCAGTGAGCGGCAGCAGGTGCTCCCCTGGGCCCACAGAGCCCTGTGCAGACTCCTGTCCCATCATTTAGCATACTTTAATAATCTTTTTAGGTACAGTGACCTTCACTAGATTCTAAGTTGCTATAAAGCAGGGACTGTGTCTTAGTCATCTCTGCAGTTACTGGACTTAGCACAGTATCTAGTGTAGAGTCAGCCTTCTACATTCAATGCATGGACACAGAGTAAAAAACATAAGCAACACATTTGCTAGGGAAATTATTTACTATCAGTTAAAAGCAAAATTTTGGATGAGATAAACTTTCCTTGTGAATGGTATCAGATAAAAAGAAAATTATCCAGGTTAAGACTGGTTCTGATAAAAAGCTTCATGACCAATAGCCATTACTGCATTACCTGTGTAGGTGTGGGACTGGACAGCTGAGTGACAGGGCCCTGGGAAGAACAGAAACCACTTTTCCTCTTTCCTCTGAAATATCAGAAGTTAAAAATCTACTCTGAGTTATATGTGCATCAATTTTAGACATATTGCTGATTTTATTATGAAAATGAAGTGCTAAAGACAAAGGATATTTCCATTCCTCTGGACAGGCAGCCACAGACCAGCACTGCTTGACCCATGTGTATACACATGTGTGCTTTGTACCAGGCGAAGGCAGCTCTTCCCTCCCTTCAGTTCCATTTACACAACTCATCTTCTTTAAAGTTTCTTTGGATTTCATGATCTGGCAATGAAACTCATTTTCTTTATTCTTCAGTCTCTGTCCTGGTAAATTTCCACGTATACAGATTTTGCCAGTTTTTTCAACTAGTTTATCTTTTGGGGCTTTATTATTTGTTTCTGACAACACTGCAGATGAGTCTGACTTCTGGCTAACTTTACACAAAAAATGTACTGTAAATTCATGCTGAGATCTGGGCAGGCAGAGGTATGCATGACCATCTAAAGATGTTATCTTCACAATGCCACTCTCCATATATATCATGGTACCATCTGTATCAAGACTGGGCCATCTCACTTCTGTTATGTCAATGAAGATATGCTGCAAGGAGAGGGGAAAAGAGACGGTGAGTATTTTCTGTTAACAGTCCAATTTTTCCATATATTTGATATTTAAGTATTGTGTAAGAAAGCTCTTAAATATTTGTGTTTTACTATCTACAGAGAATGAAAAAATGGAGGGCCAGATCTCAGCCTATATATGATTTTCCAGAGAATGTTTGATATTGTTAAGATTATCACCCTTAAAAAAAAGAGATGTAAAACAGACACAAAATGAGAGAAATGGTCATATTTAGTGTTAAATGTATTTTGGTTTTAAATGTACAATGAATTAAACAGATTTGTATCCCTCCCCTCACCCTGCAAAAGTTTACTCTGAAAAAAAACTAGAAATAAGGGAAGACCAACACTATGATACATTATATTAAAAGCAATCATAGCTAAAAATTTTTCTTTAAGTTTTAAATAAAAAAAAAAGCAACCATAGCTTAAATGGTACAGGACTACCATAAAAATTATTGACAGAACAACTCAGAAAATTCAAAAACAAACTCAATCATATCTTAAAATTTACATGAGATAACATAAGTTTTTCAGAGCAAGAGGGAAAAGAGAAAATTATTTAAACTAGTACTAGAATTACTGAACAGCATTTGGGAAATTCTGTCTTGCAGGGTTATCACATGAACCAAATAAGGTAACATGTAAAAAGTACCCATCCTAGGTAGTACCTGGCACACCATACACTAAAATAAATTTCAGGAGGCTTAGAGGAAACTTTAAAAAAGTTTAATTACTCAAAGAAAAATTGATTCTGACTAATAAAAGACTCATAACAAGTAACAGTGTTGATTGTGACTTTTCATATAAGATATAAACAGTAGATATTGCGTGAGAGGTTTTTACTGAATTAATTTTGCCAAGCATTTAGCATTTCAATTCCATTTATGTAAAATCTTACGTTTACACAAACTATTGTCAAGAAAGCTTCCTAAATTTACCATGCTATCTATATGTACGATGTTAGGACACTAAAATTGAGGGCTGTATTTACTGACAGCAAAGCTGGTTTGTAAGGATGGTCATCAAACTCCTCTTTTAGAATTAGACTATCTAATAATCCTGCTGCAGCATCAGCAACAAGCTAGGCAGTTTCAGTGAATAAAGTGACTCAAAAGACACAATGGAAAATTACCATTCTAGGCTAAGTTACAACTTATAATTTTTTATGGCTCCTTTGCCACGAGACAATATAAAATTACTCAGCCGGCAGGCAAGCATCTTGACAGCATAGAAAGGTAGCAGAAAGTAGTTGAGAAACAGAGTTTACAGAGTCAGATAGACTAGGTTCAAATCCTGACTTTGCCACTGAGAAAACTGCCATAGACAAATTAGGTAAACTCTCTAAGACATAATTTCCTTGCCTATAAAAAGAGGCTGCCGGCCGGGCGCGGTGGCTCACGCCTGTAATCCCAGCACTTTGGGAGGCTGAGGCGGGCGGATCACGAGGTCAGGAGATCGAGACCATGCTGGCTAACATGATGAAACCCCGTCTCTACTAAAAATGCAAGAAATTAGCCGGGTGTGGTGGCGGGTGCCTGTAGCCCCAGCTACTCGGGAGGCTGAGGCAGGAGAATGGCGTCAACCTGGGAGGTGGAGGTTGCAGTGAGCCGAGATCGTGCCACTGCACTCCAGCCCTGGCGACAGTGTGAGACTCCGTCTCAGAAAAAAAAAAAAAAAAAAGAGGCTGCCATCTAGCCAATATACCTGTTTTGATTGGATGGACATCCATTTTGATCAGTATGGTGTTATTAAATATTTCTAATATTGTTCATAGTTGTTGGACATAGTAAACCCTCAGTAAATGACAGTTATTATTCCTAAAAGTCCAAACACAATACTATATAAGCAAAATAATAAAGGTCATACCCATAGTTACATATTTCTACTATACATTAACAAATACGCTGTTACTGAAAATGGTCACATAATTACTTAATTTTGAGACCTCTGAGAATGAAAAAGTCACCAATCTAAAAATTCTGATTATAATGCTTGGATACAAAGAAAATGGCAAGGGGGATACACTATGTAACTTTGATGTTTTATAGCAATGTATCCCCAGGTGTCCTGAAAAGGAAAAAAAGGCTAAATATTAAATTACCTGTTTCTAGTTACTTGTCCTCAAATAATACTAACAAAAATGAAGTTAAAAAAATCACCTTTTTTCTTTCAGAAGGTATGATGGTTTCAGATAAAAAAGGGCAAGTAGCTGAAGAGTTTCGAAAATCTAGGGCTCGCTGTAGTTGCTCCTATGAAAAGAAATATAAAATGTAACCTTAATGTAAAATGATTTGAAAATCAATTAAAAATGACAGTACAGTATAATCCATAATACTAATTACTTTTCATATTCTAGCCACGTCAACAGTATTTTGGTATTCAAAGAGTAGTTTTGGCCAGGCACGGTGGTTCACTCCTGTAATCCTGGCATAATGGGAGGCCAAGATGGGAGGATTACTTGAGGCCAGGAGTGTGAGAACCAGTTTGTGCAACATAGCTAGACAATGCTCTACAAAAAATTTAAAAATTAGCCAGATGTGGTAGTGCACACCTGTAGTCCTAGAGTAACTCCCTTGTAAAAGGAGGCTGAGGCAGGAGAATCACTTGAGCCTAGGTGTTCGAGGCTGCAGTGAGCTATGGTAGTGCCACTGTACTCCAGCCTGGGTGACAGAGCAAGAACCTGTCTCTAAAAAACAAAAAAGTTGTTTACGTGATATCTTTACTTACTCTGTAAGTGCTAATGACAAAATGTGTCCTTTGACGAATTCTTTCTGGTTGTTCTAAAGGATGTGCTGAAACAGGTGGTGACTTTTCAAATAAAAATTCAGAGCCACAGGGAGAAAGTTGCAATGTGGAACCATCAACATATTGTACTTGTACTGAATCATCTTCATAAAGTATCATTCGCAGTTCAGCTGCCATTACAACGGCAGGATAAGATATCTTCTAAGTCAAAGACTGAATGAAATAGGAAAAACAACAGCATAAATAGTTCTCTTAATGTACAAAACTTTTATCAAAATAAGTGCGTGCATTTTCTAAGAAGATGACATTGCCATTGCATTTACTTTTGTTAAGAATACTAACTACACTGGATAAATCTGAAATGAACATCCTTAACAAAATGCCTTAATTAACCCCTAGAAGTTTACTCCAATGGAGGAACATAACCAAGAAGAGACAACCACAAGTGATAACTGTCTTTATAATTTTAATAGCTTCACTTCTACTGAAATTTAATTTTTGTAAATTATATGCTTATTATTTAGAAGCTTATAACTTCTAGAAGTTTACTCCAATGCAGGAACATAACCAAGAAGAAATCTAATTTCTTTTTGTTTTTTTTGTTTTTTTTTGAGATGGAGTCTCGCTCTGTCATCCAGGCTAGAGTGCAGTGGTGTGATCTCGGCTCACTGTAACCTCTGCCTCTCAGGTTCAAGTGATTCTTCTGCCTTAGCCTCCTGAGTAGCTGGGATTACAGGTGTGTGCCACCATGCCTGGCTAATTTTTGTAATTTAGTAGAGACGGGGTTTTACCATATTGGTCAGGCTGGTCTGGAACTCCTGACCTTGAGATCTGCCTGCCTCAGCCTCCCAAAGTGCTGGCATTACAGACATGAGCCACTGCGCCCGGCCTAAAGAAATTTAATTTCTATAAATTATATGCTCATTATCTCATTTTAAATTTCAAATAATAAGCAAATTCCACCTTTATGGTAAGAATGCAGCAAATTGTTTGTAATATAAATTCCAAAGACAGGCAGAAAGTAACTATTAGGCCTATGGGAAAAGGACCCTGAAGAAGAAATCCAAATACCTGGAATCCTGTCTCTACCCTAGCATTAAAGAAACAGCTCTTTATTACTACTGAGCAACTTAATCTCCTATTATCTTGGATTTGTCCTTATTTCTCTGCATTCAGTTTCTTCTTCTCTACCTCTAAAGTACTATGTCTTCACCTATGCTCTCCATACAGCAGTGACAGAAGGGGAATTAAAGAGTTGGGTTTCCTCCCTCTCCCTCTCCCCACGGTCTCCCTCTCCCTCTCTTTCTACGGTCTCCCTCTGATGCCTAGCGGAAGCTGGACTGTACTGCTGCCATCTCGGCTCACTGCAACCTCCCTGTCTGATTCTCCTGCCTCAGCCTGCCCAGTGCCTGTGATTGCAGGCGCGCGCTGCCACGCCTGACTGGTTTTCATATTTTTTTGGTGGAGACGGGGTTTCGCTGTGTTGGCCGGGCTGGTCTCCAGCTCCTAACCGCGAGTGATCTGCCAGCCTCGGCCTCCCGAGGTGCCGGGATTGCAGACAGAGTCTCATTCACTCAGTGCTCAATGGTGCCCAGGCTGGAGTGCAGTGGCGTGATCTCGGCTAGCTACAACCTCCACCTCCCAGCCGCCTGCCTTGGCCTCCCAAAGTGCCAAGATTGCAGCCTCTGCCCGGACGCCACCCCATCTGGGAAGTGAGGAGTGTCTCTGCCTGGCCGCCCATCATCTGGGATGTGAGGAGCCCCTCTGCCCGACTGCCCAGTCTGGGAAGTGAAGAGCACCTCTTCCCGGCCGCCATCCCATCTAGGAAGTGAGGAGCGTCTCTGCCCGGCCGCCCATCGTCTGAGATGTGGGGAGCGCCTCTGCCCCGCCGCCCCGTCTGGGATGTGAGGAGCGCCTCTGCCGGGCCGCGACCCCATCTGGGAGATGAGGAGCGTCTCTGCCCGGCCGCCCCATCTGAGAAGTGAGGAGCCCCTCTGCCTGGCAGCCGCCCTGTCTGAGAAGTGAGGAGCCCCTCTGCCCGGCAGCCGACCCGTCTGAGAAGTGAGGAGCCTCTCCGCCTGGCAGCCGCCCCGTCTGAGAAGTGAGGAGCCCCTCCGCCCGGCAGCTGCCCTGTCTGGTTAGTGAGGACCGTCTCTGCCCGGCAGCCGCCCCGTCCGGCAGCCGCCCCGTCCGGGAGGGAGGTGGGGGGCAGCCCCGACCCGGCCAGCCGCTCCGTCCGGGAGGGAGGTGGGGGGCGCCTCCGCCCGGCCGCCGCCCCAACCGGGAGGTGGGGGGCGCCTCTGCCTGGCCGCCCCTTCTGGGAAGTGAGGAGCCCCTCTGCCCGGCCGCCACCCCGTCTGGGAGGTGTACCCAACAGCTCATTAAGAACGGGCCATGATGACGATGGCGGTTTTGTCAAATAGAAAAAGGGGAAATGTGGGGAAAAGATAGAGAAATCAGATTGTTGCTGTGTCCGTGTAGAAAGAAGTAGACATAGGAGACTCCATTTTGTTCTGTACTAAGAAAAATACTTCTGCCTTGGGATGCTGTTGATCTATGACCTTACCCCCAACCCTGTGCTCTCTGAAACATGTGCTGTGTCCACTCAGGGTTAAATGGATTAAGGGCAGTGCAAGATGTGCTTTGTTAAACAGATGCTTGAAGGCAGCATGCTCGTTAAGAGTCATCACCACTCCCTAATCTCAAGTACCCAGGGACACAAACACTGCGGAAGGCTGCAGGGTCCTCTGCCTAGGAAAACCAGAGACCTTTGTTCACCTGTTTATCTGCTGACCTTCCCTCCACTATTGTCCTATGACCCTGCCAAATCCCCCTCTGTGAGAAACACCCAAGAATGATCAACTAAAAAAAAAAAAAAAAAAAAGAGTTGGGTTTCATTCACACCTTACCATTTACTAGCTAGCTATAAGTCTCAGGTTGTTCCTCATTTGTAAAATGGGAGTAGTAACAGGATTGTTGTGTGTATTAAAAGAGAAAACAAATATGACAGTGACCAGCACTGTGGATGCTGCCTTGCAGGCACTCAAGCAATCTTATGAAATGTTTTTATTCCTTTCCAACACTAACCCCATCCCCTTCCACATTATCCCCTTCTACTACCAAGATGATCAAGTTTTACCTGCCAGAAAAAAATAACGTTCTATAGAAAACACTTTCACTTTATCCCTATTTCCTACCTATAAACAGCTCAAGTGTAGTATTCACTCACTACCAACCTTCTCTCCTATCAGTCTTCAATTCACTGCAATCCAGCTTTCACCTCTATCTCTTTACTGACATTGTTTCGCAATGGTCGCCAATGTCTTCTTATACCCAATGACTTTAGTCTTCATCCTACTAAACCTCATCAACGTGTAACAGCATTGTCTACATTCCCTTGCACCAAACTCTCTTTTCCCCTACTTTTCTCCCCTAACATTGGGCTGCCACAGTTTTCTTCTTCACTTCTACCTGTTTTTAGTTTAATCATTCTTCTTCACCATTCCCTTAAATCAAGGATTCTTCAAGACCTGACCTTAGTCCACATTTCATCCCTTCTTAACATAACACTGATGTCACTTTTATGCCCCACCTTGTCTTTTTTTTTTTTTTTTTTTTTTTTTTTTTTTTTTTTTTTTTGAGACAGAGTCTTGCTCTGTTGCCAGGCTGGAGTAGAGTGGCGCAATCTGGGCTCACTGCAACCTCTGCCTCCCGGGTTCAAGTGATTCTCCTGCCTCAGCCTCCTGAGTAGCTGGGACTACAGGTGCGTGCCACCACGCCTGGCTCATTTTTTGTATTTTTAGTAGAGACAGGTTTTCACCATGTTGGCCAGAATGGTCTGGAACTCCACACCTCGTGATCCACCCGTTTTGGCCTCCCAAAGTGCTGGGATTACAGGCGTGAGCCACCGCACCTGGCCCACCTTGTCTTTTTTTAACCTTACCCCCTTTAATGTATGTAATCAGCTGTAGGTGATATCATCTGTAATCTTCTGAGGATATGTCAGGATATAAGTAAATATTTAACCACATGGTCTCTCCTGAGGAGATTCACACACTTTTAATTATTTTCTTTCTCTAGAGAACTAAATGTACCTGACCTCTCACAGAGCTTTCAGGTGGCTGCCTGCTAGACCGCTCTCTATGTCCCTGTCCCATAGATAAATCAAACTCAACATAACTAAAATGGAACTTAATCACTCCTACCAAAAGCAGGCTTCTGTAATACCCCCTAATTGCACTTTCACTCTCATCTCTTCCCTCAAATCCAGTCTGCATACAGTAGTGCCCAGAGGGATCTTTTAAAATGAAAATCACATCTATCACTTCGTGGCTTAAAACCCACCAGTACCTTCCATTTCTACTTAAAATCCAAACTCCTAAACTATGGCCTACAAAGGCCACACAGTCTGGTCCTATCTACCTCTCCCAATGTCATTTCTCAACTCTCTCCTACTTCTACAGGGCACTTTAGATACATTGGCATTTTAAATGTTCTTTAAACAAGCTCTTTCCCATCTTTGCAGTTCTTTCTGCCTGCCTTGTCTTTTCCTTGGCTAATCACAAGGCTGGTTCTTTATCATCATCAAGGTTTCAGCACAAATGTAACTCCTACAAGGGCCCAACGACCAACTAAGTTAAAGTTACTCCCAAACATCTCCCAATCATTTGTCATCCCTCTTCAAGTTTTTTCTTCATAGAATCTATCATCAAAATTGATTATTTACTTGCTTTTTATTTTCTCCCACTAGGATATAAAGTCAACCGAAGCAGGGGCCTTATCTGTCTTATATGTAACAGTATCTCTGGCATCTAAAACAGTATTAGGCAAATAGTAAATGGCACAATAAATATTTGAATGATGAAAAATAAGTAAACTGCTCCTCTTGAATTTGCAATTTGAATTAATGGTGTCTCATTGTTAGCAGCCAATATTCTAAAACTTGACTTTCCACTCCATGCCCCTGTAACAAGTCCTGTTGATTTTCTGTCTTTGGAACCTGACTCTCTCTACCTCTTTCTCTTTTTCAGGCCATAGACTCTCCAACTCCTGCAACTGTCTGGAATTTCTTCTCTCTCCAATCCATCTCTAGTATTGATGACATAGGTAACTTTCCACAAGTCACACCATACCAAGTGCTTTACATCACCTGTTTACGTACTTATCAAATGGCAATATAGATTACAGATATATATATAAACACACACGTATATATCGGGTATGTCTACTTGGTATTTTAGGGGAAAAAACGGGTGCTGATACATAGATGGAAGACATTTTCTGATTCCAATTTGGGAAAAATAGTCTATCTTTGGTCAGGTCTTTTTTTTAATAGCTTTACTGAGGCGGTTTTCTAATTTTAAATAATCAAGCATACACAACAAACAGTGTAATGACTAAGGTTCTTGGCATACCATAGGAAACCATAACCCGGCTCCAACCCACACTGCCATTCTCATCTCTACAGTCTCATTCCCGCTTGCGTTCTCATCACCCAGCACATTACGTCAGGGTATGTTTAACACTCAAAAATCCACAAGTCTGTTCTTGACATGAATGAGAATCTCATTTCTTTCAAAATGCTATAGTCTCTAGTTACAGAAGGAGCCTGATCAAAACAACCACCAAAAGTCTTCCACTCACAGCAGTTCGGAGCCGAAAAGTTGCGGAAATGAGGCCCAGCAACGGTCCCTGGCTTTGATTTGCCAAAATGCTCTGGAAGCCGCAGCGTCGGCGCCTGCCCACCACTGCTTCTTCAGGGGTTTCTTCAGTTTGACAAATTACCAGCGAGTGATATTTCTTGGTGAAAGAAAAAAATCACAACCCTAGAGGAATAAGGTGGCAGGGAGAGTGTTTTGGCCAAGATGCCCGCCACGAAACAGGAAAGCGGAGACAGCGCCAACTGTAACCACTAAGAGAAAGCGCAAACCGCACAAGACCAGTTCAAAACCAGCGCCCTCAGGGAGCCGCTTCAGAGCTCCGCAACAGGGAAGACAGGAAGTCCCGCCCCTCCACAACAGGAAGGGCCGGAAGTCCCGCCCCTCCACTCCGGAGGCTGCCCTCGCTGCGTTCCCTACGAAGGGCGGAGCAGGAATTGGTGTAGGAAGGGGACGGGTGTTTCCTTGTTCGGAATGGGGTTGGCTCCTCTTTGATTTTTTACTTCTGGTGACCCACGCAAAAGCAGTCCCGACCTGGTTGTATTAATAATAAAGGCTGTAAGGATCAGCCTTTTGAACGGTCCAGCCGAGAACTAACCACAGAGCGCGTTTTAGTGGAGTGGTACTTATTTTTAAATAAGGTAAAAAACGATTATACTTCAGTAAAGCTGTTTAGAAAAAAAAAAACTTGGCCAAAGATGGAGAACTCTTCCTAATTTGGTATCAGAAAATAGGTCGTCTATGTATCTGCACCTTTTTTCCTTATAAAGTGGCAAATAAATGTGTCTGCTATATTTATTGCCACTAAACAAGTGTTTATGGAACACTCACTGTGTGTTTAGGCATAGTGGGGATAAAGCAGGGAAGGTGGCCCAGTTCTTTGCGGGTGAGGATCAGAGCTAGAGATTAACTGGAAAGAAAGAATAAACAATCATTTATTACAGTTGTGAGTGTTTCTAAGATAAAATACAGAGGTTTGTGAGAGCATAGAGAGGCATACCTTGTTTTATTGTGCATTTTATTGTGCTTTGCAGATACTGAGTTTACTACAAATGGAAGGTTTGAGGCAACCTTGATGGAGCAAGTGTATGGGTGCCATGTTTTTCCAACATCATGTGCTCACTTTGTGTCTCTGACATATTTTGGTAATTCCCACAATATTTCAAACTTTTTCATTATTTTTGTATCTGTTAGAGTGATCTGTGTGATCACTGATCTTTGATGTCACTACTGTAATTGTTTTGGGGGACCACAGATCATGCTCATACATTATAAAATGGCGAACTGAATCTGTTACAGGTAGTTAGGCATGAGCAAGGCAGGAGAGGGCTCTCCCCTGCCACCCACCCACTAGAAATGTTGGGTGATGGTTCAGCAATTATCACATGGCCTCTCTAAAAATGAAAATTTGGCAGCGCCAGGGAAAGGCCATTTCCTGATGGCCCACACCTGTTAACATCAAAATGTTAATTGAATGCAGGCCCCAGAGAGAAGCAACTTCCTGGGCATGCCGGTTAAGAGACAAAAGTGATGAAGTATGATTTTTCTGATACACTCCACCGGAAAAAGGAAGAAAGCCTCAGATGGGCATGTGTATAAATCCATAAAATCACTGTGTGTGCTCACTTCCCAAGGGTAAAGAGGGCTCTGAGCATGCAGGGAGCCCATCCTAAGATCATGGTTAAATGCGGCACTTGACCTTCTCTCTCTCTCTCTCCTTTTCTTTTTCTTTTTTTTTTGAGACGGAGTCTCACTCTGTCGCCCAGGCTGCAGTGCAGTGGCGCGATTTCAGCTCACTGCAATCTCCGCCTCCCGGGTTCAAGCAATTCTCTGCCTCAGCCCCCTCCCCGAGTAGCTGGGATTACAGGCGCCCACCACCATACCCGGCTAATTTTTTTGTATTTTTAGTAGAGACAGGGTTTCACCATCTTGGCCAGGCTGGTCTTGAACTCCTGACCTCATGATCCACCTGCTTCAGCCTCCCAAAGTTCTGGGATTATAGGCGTGAGCCACTGCACCCGGCTGGCCTTCTCTCTTTAACCTTCACATGCCCACTTGGGTCTCTTCCATGCGTACCTTCCTTTCTTTCCTGTTCTAATGCCTGTTTAAATAAACCTCCATTCCTACTCTGGAACTTGCTTCAGTCTCTTTTCTGCTTTATGTCTGTCAGTCAAATTCTTTCTTCTCTGAGGAGGCCAGGACTGAAGTTGCTATGGACCTGCAAGGATAGGCTGCTGGTAACTTGGGGTAACTCAGATCTCTTCCACTAGTAACAAGTCGATTGATATATATTGTGTGTGTCTGGCTGCTGTATTCACTGGCCACTCTCATCTCTCACCCTCTCCTAGAGCCTTCCTATTCCTTGAGACACAACAATATCAAAATTAGGCAAAGTAATACCCCTACAGTGGCTTCTAAGTGTCCAAGTAAAAGAGGGTTGTATGTCTCTCACTTTAAATCATAACCTAGAAATGCATGATTAAGCCTGTAAGGAAGGCATGTTGAAAGCTAAGATAGGCTGAAAGCTAAGCCTCTTGTGTCAAACAGCCAAGTTGTGAATACAAAGAAAAAATTCTTAAAGGAAATTAAAAGTACTACTCCAGTGAACACATGAATAATAAGAAAAACCAAAACAGCCTTATTACTGACAGGGAGGAAGTTTGAATGGTCTGGATAGAAGATCAAACCAGCTACAACATTCCCTTAAACCAAAGCCTAATCCAGAACAAAGCCCTAACTCTCTTCGATTCTATGAAGGCTGAGAAAGGTGAGGGAGTTGAAGAAAAGTTTAAAGCTATCAGTAGTTGGTTCATGAAATTTAAGGAAAGAAGCCATCTCTGTAACATAAAAGGGCAAGGTGAAGCCACAAGTGCTGATGTAGAAGCTGCAGCAAGTTATCCAGAAGATCTAACGAAGACCATTGATGAAGGTGGCCAAATTAAACAGCGGATTTTTAATGTAGATGCAACAGCCTTCTAGTGGAAGATGTCATCCAGGACTTTCATAGCCAGAGAGAAATTAATGCCTGGTTTCAAAGCTTCAAAGGACAGGCTGATTGTCTTGTGAAGGTCTAATGCAGCTGGTGACTTGAAGTTGAAACCAATGCTCATTTCTCATTTCAAAATCCTAGGGCCCTTAAGAATTATGTTAAATCTACTCTGCCTGCACTCCAGAAACAACAGAGCCTGGATGACAGCACATCTGTTTAGAGTATGATTTACTGAATATTTTAAGCCCACTGTTGAAAATGACATTCAGAAAAATAGATTTCTTTTAAAATATTGCTACTTATTGACAATGCACCTGGTCACCTAAGAGCTCTGATGACGTACAAGGAGATTAATGTTGTTTTCATGTCTGCTAACGCAGCATCCATTCTACAGCCTAAGAGTCAAGAAGTAATTTTGATTTTCAGGTCTTATTATTTAAACAATACATTTCTTGAGGCTATAGCTGACATACAGAGTGATGTCTCTAATGGATCTGGGCAAAATCAATTGAAAACCTTTGGGAAAAGATTCACCATTCTAGATGCCATTGAGAACATTTGTGCTTCATGGGAGGAGGTCAAAATATCCAATTAAGAGAAGTTTGGAAGAAGTTTATTCCAATCCTCATGGTTGAGTTTGAGGGCTTCATGTCTTTAGTGAAAGAAGTGACTGCAGATGTGATGGAAACAGCAAGAGAACTGAATGAGAAGGGGAGCCTGAAGATGTGACTGAATTGCTGCAATCTCCTGATAAACCTTGAATGGATGAGTTGCTTCTTTTTTTTTTGAGATGGAGTCTTGCTCTGTCACCCAGGCTGGAGTGCAGTGGCACAATCTTGGCTCAGTGCAACCTCCGCTTGCTGGGTTCAAGCAATTCTTCTGCCTCAGCCTCCCGAGTAGCTGGGACTACAGGCATGCGCCACCATGCCCGGCTAATTTTTTGTATTTTTGGTAGAGACAGGGTTTCACCATGCTGTCCAGGCTGGTCTTGAACTCCTGACCTTGTGACCCGCCTGCCTCGGCCTCCCAAAGTGCTGGGATTACAGGCGTGAGCCACGGCGCCTGGCCTGCGTTGCTTCTTATGGATTAGCAAAGAAAGTGATTTCTTGAAATGGAAACTACTCCTAGTGAAGATGCTGAGTATTGTTGAAATGACAATAAAGGATTTTGAATATTACATAAACTTTGTTGATAAAACAGCAGCAGGGTTTAAGATGATTGACTCAAATTTTTAAAGAAGTTCTATTGTGGTTAAAATGCTATCACACAGCATTGCAAACTGGATAAATCTTTCTTGAAAGGAAGAGGCAAACCTCATTGTTGGCTTATTTTAAGAAATTGCCACAGCTGTCCCAGCCTTCGGCAACCACCACCCGAATCAGTCAACAGCTATCAACACTGGGGCAAGACCCTCCACCAGCAAAAAGATTACGATTCACTGAAGACTCATATGATCATTTGTATTTTCTAGCAATAAAGAATTTTTAAATTAAGGTATGTATATTTAAAGAATATGCTTTCGCACACTTAATAGGCCTCAGTATAGTATAAACATAACTTTTATATGTACTGGGAAACCAAAGAATTCCCAACTTACTTTATTGCAATATTTGCTTTATTGTAGTCTGGAACGGAACTAGCAATATCTCCATGGAATACCTGTAATGAGCAGATTTAACCTAAGATGAGAAAATATTTCCACTGAAGTTTGAAATTTAAGTACGTGTTAGCCAGGTAAAGTAGGGGGAAAAGTATTTCAAGCAGAGGTTAAAGTCCCTGTGTTAAGGCTGTGAGGCCCAAGGGAAGGAGCTTTCCCTTTAAAAAGGACTGAAAGAAAGCAAATGTGGTTTAAGCATGGTTAGGGAGGAAAGAGGCCTGAAGGGGAGGGAATCCTGGAGTGGGATACAGAGGTAGGCAGGCAGAGTACAGAACATTAGGGATTTATGGACTCAAGATTTATATTCTCTGACACCAAATTAGGAAAAAAAGAGGTCTCTATTTTTGGCCAAGTTGTGTGTGTGTGTGTGTGTGTGTGTGTGTGTGTGTGTGTTTTAAACAGCTTTATTGAGGTATAATTGTTTATTACAAGGTGTTTAAGTAGGCTGGGCACGGTGGCTCACATCTGTAATCCCAGCACTTTGGGAGGCCAAGGCAGGTGGACCACCTGAGGTCAGTAGTTCCAGACCAGCCTGGCCAACATGGTGAAACCCCATCTCTACTAAAAATACAAAAATTAGCTGAGCATGGTGCCAGGCACCTGTAATCCCAGCGACTCAGGAGGCTGAGGCAGGAGAATTGCTTGAACCTGGGAGGGGGAGGTTGCAATGAGCCAAGATCGTGCCACTGCACTCCAGCCTGAACAACAGAGCAAGACTCCATCTCAAAAACAAAAACAAAAACAGAAAACAACAAGGTGTTTAAGCAAATGTGGCAGCACCACAGGATGGGGGGGGCAACATAAACCCCTAATTTACCTCCATTTAAAAAAGGCTGATATGCAAATTGATATCAATCTTCCATGAAGTGTAAATAAAGGCATCTTTAAAGATCACATTTTCATTGACCTGTAACATCAGTTTGTATCACATAATGCTAACTTAGTTCCTGTCCCACCCCCACCTTTTACCTTCTAAGAACCTCCTATATCGAAATCCTATCTACTACAGAGTTTTGTGATGCTATTTGTCCATTAGAAAGATTCTTGGAACTGCTAAGTGGAGAAAGGATTATAGGATGCAAGGTTGATGTGGATAGCTCAGTAGAAGGTTTTTGAAAAAGCAACAGTAGAGATCATGGCAGCTTGGACGCAGGACCTGGGCAGTGAAGATGATGAGCACAGCTCCAGGAAATATTTAGGAGATTGACTGTATACTTGATGGTGGTTGAACCTGGGGCTAAGGGAGGGGTAGGAGTCATAGGCAATCAGGGTTTCTGGTTGGGACAAGTGGATAGGTGGCAGTGCTACTGATAAGAAAGGGGATGTTAAGAGGAAGAGCAAATTTACTGATAGCATGATTTAAATTTTGTTAGTCCACCTGATCGAAATGGTAAATTAGTAGAGGTCTGCAATCAGGAGATAGAAACAAATCTGGAGGTCACTGGCTGATAGCTGCTAACTGAAGCTACAGGAGAGGATGAAATAGTCCAAGAATATTGTGACATGAGAAAAGAATGTTTAGGACTGAACTTTGAAGAACACTAGTATGTACAGATTAGGTAAAGGAAGAGAAGCCCACAAAAACATTGAGGAGGAACAGCATGAAGATGGAAAGCAAGTTAACTGTGTCCTAAATGCCTAGAGGTTTTCTTTTTCTTTTTTTTTTTTTTGAGACAGAGTCTCACTCTGTCACGCAGGCTGGAGTGCAGTGGTGCAATCTGGGTTCACTACAAGCTCCGCCTCCCAGGTTCACGCCATTCTCCTGCCTCAGCTTCCTGAGTAGCTGGGACTACAGGCGCCCACCACCACGCCAGGCTAATTTTTTGTATTTTTAGTAGAGATGGGGTTTCACCGTCTTAGCCAGGATGGTCTCGATCTCCTGACCTTGTGATCCGCCCGCCTCGGCCTCCCAAAGTGCTGGGATTACAGGCATGAGCCACCGCGCCCAGCCTGAGGTTTTCAATTTTAGTGTCACTTAACAATGTCACATATTGAGAAAATTTATTTGTTGCTTCCCTCTTCCCTCTCCCCTCTCCCCTCTCCCCACGGTCTCCCTCTCTTTCCACGGTCTCCCTCTGATGCCGAGCCGAAGCTGGACTGTACTGCTGCCATCTCGGCTCACTGCAACCTCCCTGCCTGATTCTCCTGCCTCAGCCTGCCGAGTGCCTGCGATTGCAGGAGCGCGCCGCCACGCCTGACTGGTTTTCGTATTTTTTTGGTGGAGAAGGGGTTTCGCTGTGTTGGCCGGGCTGGTCTCCAGCTCCTAACCGCGAGTGATCTGCCAGCCTCGGCCTCCCGAGGTGCCGGGATTGCAGACGGAGTCTGGTTCACTCAGTGCTCAATGGTGCCCAGGCTGGAGTGCAGTGGCGTGATCTCGGCTCGCTACAACCTCCACCTCCCAGCCGCCTGCCTTGGCCTCCCAAAGTGCCGAGATTGCAGCCTCTGCCTCGCCACCACCCCGTTTGGGAAGTGAGGAGCGTCTCTGCCTGGCCACCCATCGTCTGGGACGTGAGGAGCCCCTCTGCCTGGCTGCCCAGTCTGGAAAGTGAGGAGCGTCTCTGCCCGGCCGCCATCCCATCTAGGAAGTGAGGAGCGCCTCTTCCCGGCCTCCCATCGTCTGAGATGTGGGGAGCGCCTCTGCCCCGCTGCCCCGTCTGGGATGTGAGGAGCGCCTCTACCCGGCCGCGACCCCGTCTGGGAGGTGAGGAGCGTCTCTGCCCGGCTGCCCCGTCTGAGAAGTGAGGAGTCCCTCCGCCCGGCAGCTGCCCCGTCTGAGAAGTGAGGAGCCCCTCCGTCCGGCAGCCGCCCCGTCTGGGAAGTGAGGAGCCCCTCCGCCCGGCAGCCACCCCGTCTGGGAGGGAGGTGGGGGTCAGCCCCCCACCCGGCCAGCCGCCCCGCCCGGGAGGTGAGGGGCGCCTCTGCCCGGCTGCCCCTACTGGGAAGTGAGGAGCCCCTCTGCCCAGCCAGCCGCCCCGTCCGGGAGGGAGGTGGGGGGGTCAGCCCCCCGCCCGGCCAGCTGCCCCGTCCGGGAGGTGAGGGGCGCCTCTGCCCGGCCGCCCCTACTGGGAAGTGAGGAGCCCCTCTACCCGGCCACCACCCCGTCTGGGAGGTGTATCGAACAGCTCATTGAGAACAGGCCATGATGACAATGGCGGTTTTGTGGAATACAAAGGGGGGAAAGGTGGGGAAAAGATTGAGAAATCGGATGGTTGCCGCGTCTGTGTAGAAAGAGGTAGACATGGGAGACTTTTCATTTTGTTCTGTACTAAGAAAAATTCTTATCCTGTTGATCTGTGACCTTACCCCCAACCCTGTGCTCTCTGAAACATGTGCTGTGTCCACTCAGAGTTAAATGGATTAAGGGCGGTGCAAGATGTGCTTTGTTAAACAGATGCTTGAAGGCAGCATGCTCGTTAAGAGTCATCACCACTCCCTAACCTCAAGGACCCAGGGACACAAACATTGCGGAAGGCCGCAGGGTCCTCTGCCTAGGAAAGCCATAGACCTTTGTTCACTTGTTTATCTGCTGACCTTCCCTCCACTATTGTCCTATGACCCTGCCAAATCCCCCTCTGCGAGAAACACCCAAGAATGATCAATAAAAAATAAAAAAATAATAAAAAAAAAAGAAAAAAAAGAAAAAAACAATGTCACATATTGCCACAGGATAAGCTAAGGATGAAATCTCTCCAGGACTTAGTGTCATAGAGGTCATTGGTGACTCTAGTGAGGGCCACTGTATATAGTGGGGGCAGGAGCCATAGTGGGTTTTAAGCTCAAATAGGAGGTAAGGACATGGAAAACATGGGAAGGCACTTGAGAAGTCTGACTATGAAGCAGAGATAGGACTGTGGTCAGATACAAATATGAGAAGCAGATTTCTTCTGATGAGAATGGTGTGTTCAACTGTCCATGCAAAGAGCCAATGGAGAAAGAGAGGAAAAATACAGACCAAGTAACAACAGACTCCATGAGAGAACGAGAGGAGATAGGATTGCAGCACATGTTGAATAACTGGCCTTTAATAAGAGGAGGGATTCTTCCTGTACAGGAAGAGGAGGGATGAAGTGAATGCAGATGCATTTGTGTACATGGGTATCATGGTTTTTTTTTCCCCTGTGAAGTAATCAGTTAGGGGGTGAAAGGGGCTTTAGAGGGAAAGGGGTTTGAAATAGTTACAGAAGGATTGAAGAGAAACACATTAACATTGTTGGCAGTACTGACAGCCTAACTCAATGTGCTGAGCATGAATTTACAGTGATAAAAATCTACCAGAAACGACCTCCAGCTGCAAGGATGCAGAAGCAGTGTTGGGTTCATCCAGGGCTGGTATTTTGCCAGGCTGACACAATAGAGCAGCAGCATACATGAGCTTAAATTATTTACATCTGCTGAAGTCTAGTCCGCCAAAGATCACCAGGCTCAAGCCTGTCTTCTGACAAAACCATTTATTGATTTGCAAGCAAGGGAACCAGAAGCAGCAAAGATGGTGCATTCCACAAGAGGGCAGGGGGTGCCATCTTTGGTAAGGTTTGGGTTCCCAGTGTAGGGTTCTGAGCAAGCTATAAGGGAAAGGAGACCAGTTCTGGGTTGGATGCTATTTCTGTAGCAAGATTAGATGTGAGAATTAACTAGAGATTGGTGCTGCAATGAGGTGAGGGCAAGTTTAGCAACTGGATATCCCCAGTAGTAGATGGGTTATAGCAAAATAGGTCTAAGGGTGTCACAGCCAACAAAGCAGTGGTCACATGAGGGAGTCATGATGGTATTTTATAGCTGCTGCAGGACCTAACAGTTTCATGTTAACTTTGCAGCTGCCTTGCCTGTCCCCCTGACAGTGGTGGAGCTTTTTTTTTCAGTTTGAGCCACTTTGAGTCCTAGAGTTTACTTTCATACCAAACATCCTCCTCTCATTAAATGTGAATGATTTTTCCCCCTAAAGTACAACTTAATCCATATGCATCTGTCCTCTCTAAAGATTTAATGAAATACCTAATTATAGAATTAAGCTTGCTTTCTGGCAAGACCCAGCCTAGAGTGAACGTTAAGTTTTAGACCATCCCCTAAATCACCAAAGCCCAAATCCTACCACAGATTCTAACACACTCTTACTGATGCACCCCACAACTCCCACAAGGTGTATGTTCTCCTTTACTGCAACAATAAGCTCAGGCCGGGCGAGGTGGCTCACGCCTGTAATCCCAGCACTTTGGGAGGCCGAGGTGGGCAGATCATCTGAGATTGGGAGCTTGAGGCCAACCTGGCCAACATGGCGAAACCCCGTCTCTACTAAAAATACAAAATTAGCCGGGCATGGTGGTGCGTGCCTGTAATCCCAGCTACTTGGGAGGCTGAGGCAGAATTGCTTGAACCCGGGAGGCAGAGGTTGAGGTGAGCTGAGATCACGCCACTGCACTCCAGCCTGGGCAACAAGAACAATACTCTGCCTCAAAAAACAAACAAACAAACAAAAAAAAAAACAAAACCCAGTAAGCTCAACATGTTCAGGTACAGTGTGTTCCTGGTAGTCTATGGCTGGAGAGCATTAACAACATAAAGACAGAGGGTCAGAGTTGATGACAACTTCTAGGTTAAGACCAATATTTGTGGTTTTTTTTTTTTTTTTGCCAGAACGCAAGACTATATTTACTAGCAGCTCTGTGTCCTTGCTCATTGGAAAATGATCTTTCCTCAAGACTTGCTGACACGTTTCTGTTTAAGGCATGACAATCCTAAAGGCCAACAATTGTGGACGGGGGCAACTCTTCCTTTCATTATGTACTGGTGTAGTCAATTATGCAAAGTCTGGTCAACCAAAGACCACCAGGCTCAAGCCATCAGTTTTAAAATATGGCCACATGCTCCTTGATGGCCTATGTGATATGGCTTTAGTAACTCCCTTAGGACCAAGAGAATATAATGGAACTAATGCTGTGTAACTTCCAAATGCAGCTGCTTTCTGGGTCTTTTGAAATGGCCCTTCAGAATCCAGGCAACATGCTGTGAGAAGTTCAAGCTACATGGACAAGTGTAGATGGTTCTGGTGAACGATTCCAATCTAGTCTTGGCTTTAAAAGTCATCTCAGTACCATGAATTCAGATGATTATAGCTCTCAGATATTCAAATTACCCTCAGCCCTTAGTTTTCCTTGCCTAGGCCTCAGACATCATAGAATAAAGCCATCCCCATTGTGCCCTCTCCAAGTTCCTGAACTATAGAGTCCATGAGCATAATAAAATGATTGTTTTAAGATGCTAGATTTCTGTGCTTTTTTTATTAAGCATAATACCGGGAACAGATATTGATCTTGTCGGTAGCTACTGTGAGTAGAGCAGTAGTTGGTGACAATGAGCTAGTAGACAAATACTGGACAGTTATTCACAGAGCAGCTGCTAGAAGTTTCAAGTATATGCAGTTAGCATTCCTTGTCCCTGGTCTAATGTACCATCTCTTCTCTACACCTCCTCTCCCTCCAATATTTATAGTCAGTGCTATCTTTAGAGAACTGCAGATTATGTTAATAGCTGCCATGTTACAGGAGCCATTTTGAAAAACATTTCTTACTACAACTTCCAAAAACCACAATTACGTACATTATTTCCTTTATAGAAGGAATTTTAAAGTTTTAATGTTTTATATTTGCTAGTTTTTCAAGGTAGACTTGTTACTGAATTCTTATTCAGAGAATGAATAAAATATCTTCTAATATGATTTCTTTGATTTCAAACCATTAAGTAAATTAATTATGTCATTTAAGTTCAACAGCAAATTATTTAAAATACCAGATGCTACTTCAAAAATTTAGAGGAAACAACTATTTAAGCTTTATTTTCAAAGTCTAATTTTAATTCAGACTGAACAAACAAGCAGAAAAGTGAGAAAGCTAACTGTATTAGCAGACACAGATGTACCAAATGTAAAACAGTGGGTTATTAACAGAACTATTTACATGCATATTTACAAGCAATCCTTTTGTACACAGTTTTTAGTTAGCTGGAAAAAGATTTGACATTAGGTAAAAATATTATTTATTAGGGCTGAGGTGGTACCACATTATAGTAAAAGTATTAGAAAAGTGACCCTCAAGGTGTATCAATTATAAAGCAGATGAAAACTTGAATGACAAATATCTAGTAAAATTCTCTAGTAAAAAAGTCGATGCAACCCATGCTACAAAATAAAAGTGAGAAAGCCATATAAATAAAGCAGAATAATGTTCTAGCCTTTAAGGTAATGAAGTTAGTCAGTTGAAAAAATAAAAATAAAAAAGAACAATTCTAGAATTGGAATAAATCTTCAGTGAAGTCTTGGTTGTTTAGCTGGGAGTTCACCAAGTTGGGTTTTTCCCCCCCATGACATTTAAAAAGCCCTTGGTATCAAATAGCATCTGCATATGTAAATCAGTTGTTGATATATTCCAAGACTTTAGTGCTAAAGATTTTCAAGATTATGATTCATATTTGAAATTCAATTCATTGGGACACTAAATGTCAAACTAAAATGAAAGCTATAATACTCCTACCTAAAAAAGGATGCTACATTTTTGCAGTAATATGTATTTCCAGAAGAAGACTTTTTCCCCTCAAGAAAAGTAGAATTTAAAGGATAAGCATCTAACCAACTAGCAAAATTTTCAACATTTCATTTATTTCAAAATCGATTTTATTGCAGCCAAAACAGTAGAATTAACTGTACATAATAAACTATTATATATATATACACATTTTAAGTTATAGGGAATAAAGTTTATTTTGGCAGATAGTGTTAAACAAAATTAAAGTTGCATACATTAGTAACATAACTCAACATCCTTAATTTGGTATAGATGTGACATTTTCTTGCTCTCTTGTGTTCTGCTAAATCACCATACCTAAACTGCTTTATAAAACTGATATGCTGAAATTTAACTTTACTGTTTTCGCTTACGCTCTGATTCCAAACAAAACTTTTCATAAGCTTCTTCTATCTCTGGGTCCATCTCATCATCAATATCATCCAAGTATCTGTAAAAGCAAAGATGATTCATAAGTGTAAGGTTTTTCAACTCAGAAAGTAAGATGCTAAATCATGAAAAAAATAATGTAATACAACTTTCCTAGACTGACTTATAATAGAACACAAGCCTAACTTTAGAATTACATTAATGGCAGTCTTCGGACAACCAAATGCTTAATTTGGTAAGTAAAATTTTACAGATTCTGAGTCCCTTGTGTGTGAAATTATAGTAAAGAATATATATACTTTTAGACATAAGTTAAATTCTATAACCTGAAAGTTAATCAAAGGCTTGACATATAAACTTGGGGCTCAAGATCGATATTAATAAATTTACCTTACCAACAAACAATTAGAATATAACTATTAATAGAACATAATTTCAAATATGCCATTCACCTCTAGTGATGCACTAATATTTTGTGTCTACTTAATAACAGAAAGTGCTATTCCTGCTATGATTTCTGCTGGGTTATTCCCATGATGACAATTTAGTCACATTCCCATTTATTTGGAATCAGATTTTCACAGGAAGCTACTTTTGAGATCATCTATTCCAGATTTTTTTCCAACTATTAGGTAGTTTAAAATGGTGGAAAGCAAGGCTTCCCATAGTTAAGTATGGCGGGAAAGATTTAAAGTGTCAATTAAGGATTTAATCTACACATTCTTACTGAATGTCCATAGCCATCTTAAAAAGATATGCATTACGATCATCTTCATTTTGGAGATGGAAAATAAAGAGATTCTGGAAGGTTAAATGAACAATGTAAAATTTTAAGTGTGTGGCGGGGCCAGAATTTGACTCCAGGTCTTACCCCTTTTCCTCCATAACATGATTCTATCAACATCTTCCCCACCCCTCCAATAATCCAATCCCTTCCACCTACAAGCATGAAAAAACAATCTTGCCAACCCTACCAACTGCTGATGAGTCCTTTTCTGTTTCTTCCCCATTTCCAATACAGGGCCATGTGTTGAAATAACCATGAGCTCATTAGGGCAAGAGAATATGATGCTTACCAAATAAACTTAAGAGGATAACCTGAAGTTCAATGCCAAGAACAACTTTATCTTCCAGCGGTATACCCAAGTAGATGGAACTTTCCTAGTTCTGCCTGGGTCCTTAAATCCCTGTATTTTTTTTGTTTTCTATTAAACTAGAATATAGAAGTACAGCAACAATTGTATTTCTAGATCTCAAACCGACACATAATTAAAATATCACTAGAATAAAAGTGGTTCACTTTTTTAAAAAAATCTACAACACAGGAGATATTAAAAAAAAAATAAGTTCAAGATATAATTTATTCCCTCCCATCTCCTACTTAGGAAGAAAAGAAACTAAGTAGCCTGTCCAAATATACACAAGTTGTTAACAGAATTGGTACTAAACCTCACAATTTCCTGGTCCTTCTATAAGAAAATGTAGTGCACTCTGATGGTAAGTGAGTAATATGTTTAAAGGGATCTTTAATTACAAAGAGTGGCAGGTGAAGAAACAGATATATAAACAGTCCTATAATTAACATCTTCTTATCAGTTCAAACATTTTTACATAGTAATCTGTTTTCTTTACTCTTAACTTACCCTTTAATAGCTAAGATTTGAGCCTTCTACTGTGTGCCGGAAGGCTAAGTATTTATGTATTCTCATGTAGTTCTCAAGAAAAAAAAAAAAAAGACTCAACAGGTACTACTATTCTTATTTTATAGATGGAGAAGCAGAACAGAAGTTGCCCAAGATCTTACAGTAAGTTTTAGAGCTTCTTAAAGTCTAAATACAATAGAATCTATTTTAAAAAAATAATTATGCTTAAGTATACTATATTTTAATGGTTATTTTCCTCAACTATACATTTTTCAGAACTAGTCTGTGAGTTAATACAATTTTCTGAAAATTTTTAGTACATAAACACTACCACATAGCACCATCAAATCAAAATGCCTTTTTTTTTTTTGAGACAGAATCTAGTTATGTCTCCCAAGCTGGAGTGCAGTGGCACGATCTCGGCTCACTGCAACCTCTGCCTTCCAAGTTCAAGCAATTCTTGTGCCTCAGCCTCCCGAGTAGCTGTGATTCTGTGATCCTGGCTAATTTTTGTACTTTTAGTAGAGACAGGGTTTCGCCATGTTGGCCAGGCTGGTCTTGAACTCTTGGCCTCAAGTGATCTGCCCTCCTCAGCCTCCCAAAGTGTTGGGATTACAGGCACGAGCCACTGCGCCTGGCCCCAAACACCATTCCTTCATGAGCTACTTTGTCTAATCTCCACCTATAAATTAGACACAGAAATTTCACGAAGTTAGTAACTGAAGAAAACTTACGGATCACCAGCCCCGGATAAATCTGTTCCATTTTCTTCATAATCTGGAAAAAAGTCCTCTCTTTCAAGTAATTCTTGGTATTTCTCTTGGTAATCTGTAAGACAACATAGGAGAAAAACTAAATACTGAAAAAATATCACATGAAATGACCAATCACCCCTAAATGTTTTTTAATATTATGACTTTTGCCCCCCTGCATGCTCAGAAATCTTAAAGTAATTACATATAGTACTATAGATATAAGTTGGAAATCAAAGCCACTGTAGGTGATGTACATTCATAGCCAATGTGTTTATATCCTCTACTGCTGCTTTCCATCAGACAAAATAATGGTTATATAACTGTTGGGGAAGAACAGTCCTTCCATTGGAAAGATATTAATCAAATACTACTGGTTTCCAGCTCCCTCTGTACTCCTCCACAAGGAAGTAAAGAAAGCAGGTAACAACAATTGGTCTCTGTTCCTCAGATGAAGTTAACCTACCAAAAGTTTTAACAATGGGGGATTTTCCTTCCCTTTCTTCCCAGAGAGATGGGGAAGGCAGCTACCTGGTAAACGTTTCAGCTCTGCCAACTTTCCTTTCATTGGGTCCTCCAAGGTAATACAGGTGATATTACACCTATCTGCCAATTGTCTTAGGAAGAGTTATTGGGTACCTTTTAAGTTAAGTATTTCTTTATGAAGTCCTAACCTCTGAATAAAAAAATGAATCAGTATATATTAAGACTAGTTACCTTATAGTTTCTTATGAACAGAAGCCAACGGAAATTTTGCAATTATATTAGACTGGGTAAAAGCCATGTTCTTCCAAGACTGTGTCAGTCTGTATAAAACCGTAACTCCAGCTTCAAGGGCTGGGGACATTTTGATACCCAATTTTGACAATTTAGAGACCGTTTTAACAGTAAAACCTTCCTGCTACAAAAAGACAGGCATTCTTTTAAATGTATGGATAAGTTCACAAAAAAGAAAATCCAAGTCATCAGGTCACAAATGAAGAAGGAACTGAAAGCCATATATAAACTGCAGCTGCTGCAGCTGGGAGGCTGACAGATGATGTTGGTCTCGGTAACTAAGGGGCTTGGATTTTAAAACCCACAGAAAGCCAGAAAGCAAGGTCTTGGGCCCCATGTGAAACAGGAAAATGAAATCCATGCTCCATGCCCAACCTCACCTGCACAAACCTGGGACCCTCAAAGGTCTGGTATCTTAAACAAAAGGTGAATCAGGAAAAAAGACCAAGAAATATCTCAGTGGTATTTTATCTTCCCTGCGAGATAGCAGGAAGCTTGGTCATGTCTGCCTGGGTTTGGAATAGGGACAGAGCACTTTGTAGAAATTGGTGCCCCAGAGAATTTTTAACAATGGGCCTGCACCTCAAATTCCTACTACCCACATAAAGAACCCCTATGACAAGAAAACAAAAAATTTGTCCAAGTCAGTGATACCTACTCTGTGGCTCCTGGCAGAAGGAAATATAAACCATTTTGGACAGAGGTTCCTATAATCCAAGCCACAGTGTTTTTCATTAAAAAAAAAATGAAAAAAGAAAAAAGAAAAAAGACAAAGCACTGAAGCATTTAATCAGGGTCATATTAATATGAAACTTCAAATGGTTTAAGAAAAAAAAAAAAAGTGTGTGGACAAGGTCAGGAAGTCAAGACCAGCCTGACCAACATGGTGAAACCCTGTCTCAATAAAAAAAAAAAAAAAATACAAAATTAGCCAGGCGTGGTGGCACAGGCCTGTAATCCCAGCTACTTGGGAGGCTGAGGCAGGAGAATTGCTTGAACTCAGGAGGTGGAGGTTGCAGTAAGCCGAGGTTGCATCACCGCACCCCAGCCTGGGTAACAGAGTGAGACTCTGTCTCAAAAAAAAAAAAAAAAAAAAAGAGAAAAAAAGAAAAGTGTGTGGAAAGAGCACAAATGATAAAGCAAGTAACTGTTAACAAAAAGTACACCTGGGTAAAAGGTATTCCTTGTACAATTTTACTTTTGTAACTTTTCTGTAAGTTTGAAATCATTTCCAAATAAAAGTTTAAGACGGTTAAGGCAAAAATTTTATGTGTGATGATCAGAAATAACAGAAGGGTTATAATTAAGAGATAAAACAAAAATATAAGACAGAAGTAAGCATGTTTAGAATGATGAGAAAAAATAACTTGAAACTCTGAGAAAAGGTCAAGATTATTTGAACAAAATGCAGAAACAAAATTTAGCTTGATTTTTCTGTAAAACTGTAAGATTTCTTTTACTTTCATGAAGTATAGCAGATTAAAAAACGTTTAAGAAAAAGAAACTGAGATCTACTGGCTGTCTACATTACTTCTTTTCCTTGAAAAGAAACTGAACAACCAAACTGAATTTCTGTAAATCGAACAGTACTAGAAACAATTAAACAGGTTAGAAAAAATAAAAAACAAATAATCAAAATAAATCAAGGTAATTTTTAAGAATAAGAGGAAAGATTTGTCTTACCAGACATAGCAAGATTCACAGTAAGGTAAAAATAATTTAAGTGTAGTATTGGCATAGAAAGAGATTAACAGAAAAAAAGATTCACACAAACACAGGAATAAGACACAATTTGATAGAAGAGTTACATAGTATACAACAAAGGGGGCTTATTATAACTAGGAAAGGAAGGATGGCTTAATACCAATTGTTGAGACAACAGGCAATGGAAAAGATAATTCCTATGATATCATCCTATATAAAAATTGCACTGGTAGATTAAAGACCTAAAAATAAAAAAGAACAATGATTTTTAGAAGAAAACAGAAATGGTAAGGAAACTTTCTTAAACCACAGAAATTACAAACAAGACTGATAAATTTTGTTCACATTAAAACTCAAAGGTTCTACATGACATTATAAACAAAATGCAAAGACAGGCAAATACTGAGAGAAAGAAGGTAACCAAAACCCTCAGCTAAGAATCACTTTGTTCTAGACTACAAAAGGAATTACAGATCAGTAAGACAGACAAATGATCCAACAGAAATATGAACAAAGAGTATTAGCAGGCAATTCTCAAAGAAAGAAATCAAAAAGGTCAACAAGAACAAGAAAACTTCAATATCACTTGTCAGGGAAATAAAATATCAGCAAGATAGAATTTCATACAATCTGATGGACAAAAATTAAGTTTAATAAAAAGTATTGCCAAAGATGAGGAGCAGGAACCCTCATGTGCTGCTGATGGGAAGATTAAGTGGCATAATCATGCTAGAAAACAATTTAGTAACATTTAGTGAAGTTTAAGATGCCCATAGCGTGTAACTTAATTCTACTTCCTTGCCCTAAAAAAACTTCTCTGTGCTAGAGACACAGGACAGTCAATGCTTGGAATCCAGAGGAAACAAATGGAAAAATTCCAACCATAAGCTGGTTGCAGTTTGTACCAAAGGGAAAAATTTCTCTTCCTCACTCTACAGTTCCATCTAATACAATTAAGGCAATCTTTCTATAAATGGTCCTCTTCTGGAAGAGGAAATGTGCAGAGATTTGGATTTTAATTAACTGTCACACACCAAGTATGAATGAAATGTGTAATTCTTCGTGTAAAGTATTAACCCATATTAATATATGTTGCTGACTATGCAGTGAACTAGAATCGTCTTTCCCCTCCATTCTAATCACCTGAAAATTTAAGATTATAAAAAAGTTAGAGGAAATATAAAATTAAAATAGTTGCATTTAATTGAGAATTCTTCCCATCCTCTGTTGTTAAGTGACAAGACATTATATGTGGAATCATACTTTCATTTGAAATGTTTCAAGTGGTCACTATGAAGAGCATTCTATATTAGACAAACCATTACACTGGTATTTTAGAATGATGTGAAGACATCAAAAAGTTACAATCTTGTGCTGGTGAGGATGTGGTTTTCTGTAAATTTACTACTTTACCAAACAACTGGGAGGAGGGAATGACTGTGAGACAACATACCTGGATCAGCTGCAGTGAAAGGAACACCATCAGATGTATAAAATGTTGGTTCATTCTAGGATGAATCAAAGTGATAAAAATATGTAATCATTTCAGAATTGATTTTTGTAAGTACAATAATGAAGCATGGCTGATGTCACCCGTCTGCACCTAATAATGCAAGAACAAGCAAAGGAACCTAACTTCCTGGTAGCCATTTTCACTTCACTGAGAAAGTCTATGGTTTTCAGATTTCCATGCCATTATCTCAAGTTCTTGTGGTTCTAACGGTGCTGTCTATTGTCTTTCAGTGAACTGTTCTGTTGTGCATTGTCATTTAGTGTCAGTGCATTTTTAGCTGTGGTTTCCAACCCCACCATTTCTTTTAAGAATTTCCAGGACCAGGGCTGGAGGAACATTTCTCCACAGCTGCTTTATGTTTGTTCATGTCAGGAGCTTCAGGGCATCACTGGCCTAGTAGCCATTTTTTTTTTTTCCCTGAGACAGAGTTGTGCTCTTGTTGCCTGGGCTGGAGTGCAATGGCGTGATTTCAGCTCACCACAACCTCTGCCTCCAGGCTTCAAGCAATTCTCCTGCCTCAGCCTCCCGAGTAGCTGGGATTACAGGCAAGTACTGCCACGCCCAGCTGACTTTGTAGTTTTAGTAGAGACGGGGTTTCTCCACGTTGGTCAGGCTGGTCTTGAACTCCTGACCTCAGGTGATCTGCCCACCTTGGCCTCCCAAAGCGCTGGGATTACAGGTGTGAGCCACTACGCCCAGCCAACCAATTTTATTTTATTTTTCGTTACTACAACATGCAAAGTAAAAGTCTGAGATGCAGGTCCTTGGTTATAAATTCTCTGGAAAAGCTGCTTCCTGGCATCCCTGTGCTCACTTAAGTCCAAGCCTTGTCAATCTCTCTTGCCATTGGATATATCTTTCTCTAGTCCACCCTTTCACTGGAGAATTCCAGGTCTCTTTTCTTTTTTACCCAGTCTGATGGCTGCCATGTCACTCAAAGCCAGTGAAGACAGTTATTAGGCACTGAATTCTGAGAACAGCTTTATGTAGCTCTTCTAATTTCCAAAACGGAATTCAAGCAATAAGTAAAACTTAAAATATAAACACTGGCATACCATAAAGTAGTTAGGATCATTTTCTGGTGTTGCTTCTCTATATGTTGAAGTTGCATGGACTCTGCCCCAGTTACTTGACCGGAGTTCTACAAGCTTCAAGAGCATCTGTTTTACATCTCTGTAGACAAAGTTGAAAATGAGTTAGTGTATCCACCATAAGGGCTGTCAGACCCTAAAATATCTCAGATTCCCAAAACTTTATTTCCTTAATTTAACAGGTACATCTGATGCCTTGACTTTCTAGACGTTTCCTATATGACATAAATTCATTTAAAAAAAAAATAGCCTTGAATTATGTTCCACGTAACTATGACTATATGGACCTTAAAGGCAGTGGCTATCCTTCAAACATTTTTATGTGTCCTACTATACTTACAGTAGTACTTTTATTTGTTGGACAGTTAATATTTGGATTTTGTTTTTCATTTAATTCATATCTTAAGAAAATTAGCTTTTTCAATTTCTAAATGTAATTGAGCAAAAATATCTGACACGTCTATCACAAAAATGTCTAGTGAGCAGAAACTATAGGTAAAATATTATTCCTTTAAAGAAAAGCATTTTTGTATATCCGTTAGCCATCAACTTACCCTGCTGAAGTATAGCAAATTAAAAAACAATCTCCAAAGAAAAAGCAAGAAATTGAGATGCACTGGCTATTTACATTACTTCTTTTCCTACCTACTGCAGTTTGCATCTAGGACAACGTTTTCAATTCTCTGAATAATTTCTTCCATATCCATCTTTCCTTTTTCCTTCCAAGCATCTTCCAAAACTGATCCTGTCAACTAAAAAAGCAGGTGTCAGTAAAATAAGAAATTCAATAGTGTATTATAGAAATTCTAAAAAGATACCAGTAACAGTTCAAGCATTCTCTAAACAAGATGAATTTAGCAAGTTTAATATTCCTAATTATTCTGTCTACCATCTAATATTCAGTGATCTCTACGCCCTCTATATTTCTCTTGACTGAGAGAAACTAAAACAAAAAAAACAATAGCAGAACTTTAATCATGGGTTTTATGTCAACGACTGTTATATTCCCTGTATGACTAAGATAGGCTATTAGATTTTAATGAACATGTCACTTTTTTTGAAATATACAGCAAGCAACAAGTATAGAAGCTTTGAATAAAAAAAAAAAACACAAACATGCATTTCATCAGGAAATAAATCAGTTAAGGATTTAAACAGGTAATTTATAGGAAATAATAAACAAATGGCTAATAAACATGAAGAAATGCTTAAAATCATCTGACAAAACAAAAACCAAGATTGATTATATCCATCACTATAAGGATGTAGGAAGAGATGTACTCATTCTGCTGATGGGGCTATACTCTGGTTCAGCATTTGGAAGGCAAATTAGCCATTACTTGTCGTAAAATACATATGCTCGTCCACCCACCAAATCCGTGTTTAAGAATTTAACCTACAAAAGTATCTGCACATATATATGACAAGAGGAAAGATTACAAGCAATGCTGCCATGGCTAAACTGAAGATAATCCAAATATTCATTAGTAAACATTGATAGATGTTACGGAATGGATAAACAATGCATATGCATATGACAGAATACTAGGAAGTTATTCAATAAAAGAGGTAAATCTCTGTGCCATGGAAAAATCTAAGATGTTTCATTAGGTGGCAAAAACAAAAACAAAAAGCCAGAACAGAGTAAGATCTTATTTAATAAGAGCACATATACAGAGATAAGAAGGGAAGAAGACAGAATTTGCAAATGGAAATGGCGTAAAGGACTTCCATTTTTCACTTCTGAACTTGCTTCATATATTAAACAATAAGTATATCTCGCTTTTCCAAAATATTCGAGAAAAAAGTAAAATGTCAATATTTACCTTAAAGTGATAAATCTTGAATTCATCTGTATACTATATAGACTAACCTTCCTCTAAATCATAAGTAAATACGTAAATTAGTTAAATTAAAAAAAAAAACCTACCTTTAACAATTTTACTGCACAAATTAAATTGTCATCCATAGGATTAGAAAACAGGGCATTCAGCAATTCTCGAAGACCAACCTGAAGAATATCTGCTCTTGTAACCTGTCCATTTGTTCCCTTGATCTTTCGGGACCAAAAAAAAGAACAAAAGGAATGATGCCAAAATATAATACAGATACATAAATGAACTAACAAGGTGTTGGCAAAATAAGCATTTTAGCTAAATCACAAAAGTCACAGGAACACACTCTGATATCTTCACAGAATTTGTTAGAATTACTTTATATGTAACTAAGACCTCTAATAAAACTGGTAAGCTATGGGTAAAATTTAATACCAGAGTCAGCATAATTTAAGCCCACTTTGATGTTACTACTTCATAAAGCTTTCTTTAGTTTGTTCAACTACCACTTTTTTTTGAACACACAGCATTTTATTCTGCTTTTAAAATATTTTAAAATATGGTATTTTGCATCAGAGTGGTATATGTATCTTATATCACTGTGTAGAAGAATTTTAGGTGCAGGAACTAAGCCTTATCTTTACATCCCCCATTGACCTAGCATCATTATCTCCATATAGAAAATGCTCAACAGTATTTATTTTAGATTGCTGTCCATATTTTGGCTTAAACAAAAATTAGACTGAAAAAGAACATGGCATAAGATTTTTCAAAAAACTAAGTCTACCTGTGGTAAAAAGGCATAGTAAGTTAGGCTCTGGACTGGACATAGACCTTTTAGATACAATGACTGAGATGCACATTTGATAGATTCACATTGTCTTATGATGTTTCTGATATTATGGCGTTTACGATCTTAAGTTCTCAAATCAGGGTGTAAGAAGGTATAAGCTTATATCTGATATTCACTAATTTAAAAAATCAAGCAGAGGCTGGGCATGGTGGCTCATGCCTGTAATCCCAGCACTCTGGGAGGCTGAGGCGGGTAGCACCTGAGGTCAGGAGTTTGAGACCAGCGTGGCCAACATGGTGAAACCCCATCTCTGCTAAAAATATAAACATTAGCCAGGCATAGTGGTACGTGCCTGTAATCCCAGCTGCTCAGAAGGCTGAAGCAGGAGAATCGCTTGAACCCGGGAGGCGGAGGTTGTAGTGAGCCGAGATCACGTCACTGCACTCCAGCCTGGGTGACAGAGCGAGACTGTCCCCACCCAAAAAAAAAAAAAAAAAAAAAAAATCAAGCAAATCTATTACACAGTAATAATGCCGTGCTGAATCCAGCACTTCTATTGCCTACTAACAAGCATATACTTAAGTATACCACCCAAATTTATAAATACGTTTAGCTGTAGACTTTGTACAAATGCATTTTTATGTGGAAGATTAATATATAAAATAGGACAAAAAAGAACTATTCTTAGGGGTTGGGGTATTGGGGAGATGTTGGTCAAAGGACACAGAATTTCATTTAGGGGGAATAAGTTCAAGAGATCTCTTGTACACCATGATGACTATAGTTAACAATATATTGTATACATGAAAACTGCTAAAAATTTTAAGTGTTCTTAACACAAAAAAGTATGTCAAGTAATGCATATGTTAAATAGCTTGATTTAGCCATTCTACGATGTATGCATATATCAAAGTGTTGTGTACCATAAAGATATAATTTTTGTCAATTAAAAAAATATTTTTAAAAAACTATTTGGGTGAATTAGAGTGAAAAGCCTAGAGAGACTCTAGTCTCTCTTTTCACTCAGAGTTCTGCAGAGTAAACTGCTTTGAGCCACCATCTGAAAGTCAACATACTAAATGTATTAATATATAAGATGTAAGAACTCAAAAAGGTATCACTGTTGATATCTCAAGAACTTAAATTTGCATGTAAACCACAGCTTCCTAAAAGTACGCAGATTTTTACCTCAGTAATTATTTCCTAACATTCTGTCCATGAGTAAATGTTATGGACAGACGGTCCAGTAAACCACAGACACTAGCAGGTGCCGAAACATGTTTTCTTTCCTCTCTCTTTCATTTCACTCTTAATGTTGTAAAAGTACAATGTGAACACAAATTCCTCATTGAGATCAACTTATGTTCTCAGGCCTTGTTAGTACTTAACAAAAGAAAAACTTCTCACCTCCAGGTTAAGATAAAGTTCTCCCAGAAAGAGTACAAATGCATGAAATCGTTTTCGAGTAACTTCATCCCCTTTTGCAGCTTGATCTTTAACTTCATATTCAGTCCGACATCTAATTAAAGACATATCTTTTATAATCTCACATTGCTTTGCTTTTTAAATAGTCAAACAAAATAACCATTTGTCAGTTTGGTTGTCCACAGCAAGAGGCAAGGACAATGTCCCAATGCTCTTTCTACAATAAAGAAACTGTTCCTGACTATTGAAGAGGCTAGAATATACACCATCTTTTCATACTAAGTCTCCCAGTTTGAAAAAACTGATAGTTTTATTTTCAACGATTTTTATCAAATTTAATATGTTTAAGCAACATAGGTGTAATCTGATTCACAGCATACTGGCAGCCCAAAGAGGGGAGAGAGAGCCTCACCTTGTCTTATAGGTTTTTTACTAAGAAAGCACTGATTTTACCCAAATTGTCTCTGTAATTTTTTTTTTAATACTACAACTTTGAAAAGGATCTTTAAATACACACACACACACACACACACACACACACACACAACCTCCAACTGAAAATAAAATGAATTGTTTTTAAGTCCATTATTCTTGTAATTTCCATTATACGTATCAGAGAAGTACTAATGTGAGGAAAAAATTCCCCCATTAAAACCACAATATAGAAAGCACCGGACTTGTTTTCTATTTCCAATGAGACTGACAGCTTCAAATAACTGATTTTTCCTTGCTCTCTTTGCCCCTGACTTGACCCATTTGCTTCACACAGAGGAGAAAAAGAAGAAATCCTCTTCTTGGAGCTTATTGTCAGTCATAGTTCCTACAAGGTAACTAAACTAGGCACAATAATCCTGTCACTGCCTTCATAAGTGAACTACAGTGTCAGATATTGTTACTAACATAGATTTTTTAAATGGACTGTAAAAGTTTATCATTTTGTTATTAAGTATTTGTAATCTTTATTGATAAGGTGAGAAAACTCTGGGAAAGTAACTTGCTTCACAAAACTGGTTTTGACAGTTTTCCTTTTCAAGACAAAGGGAAAAGCTATGGGTACTGAATGGTTTCCACGCAGCCAGTTTAGGTTGACTTTGTAAACAATTTTTAACAAAGAAAAAATAAATTACCTCTTGTTCAGTAATTGACTCTGGGTCAGTTTGCCAACCACGAAACCCCAGCACAGCTTACTGTGCTTACGTGGCCAATTCCAATGTTTACGAGGTATATTAACTGAGCAACATCTTCTGTTTAAGTCAAATGTGGTAAGATATTTGTTATCATCTTGTACATATTAAATTCCTCATCAGAAAAAAGTTGGGATATTTATAGATAGTACATTCTGGTTAATAATGGAAGAGATCAGTTAATTAATGCCAAATCAGTTATTTAAAAACACCTGTTGGCTGCTTTTCTGTTACAACTTTGTCGGTAAGAGTTGATGAAATAACTTTTTTTTTCATAAAATGCTATGACAGACTGTACGTTAGGATATGATTATGTACATGCAAACAAATACCTACATAATTGACTAGGTGAAAAGTCAAATTTTTAAGCTAAAGATTTTCAATTATAAAAGCAATGTATGTTTATTTTGGAAAGGTTAAAACAGAAAAAGTATAAAGAACAAAGTCACCTGCACTACTACTAAAAACAAGAGATAACTGCTGTGAAGGTAACTTCCGTTCCATCTTTTTCAAAGTATGTATATATTTTTTAAAGAGGTAGCAGAATTATGCTTTGCTTTTTACTTGTTAGCTCACTAGTATTTCTCTACATTATTATTGACAGGATTACAGTACTACAGAAGCACATATGGTGGGTAACAGTCAATGAGAAGAGTGGGTCTCAATCATAGCTATACAGTAGAATCACTTGGGAAGCTTTAAAAAACCATGTCCTAGCTCCACCTCGTCTAATTACACCAGAATTTCAAAGGGTTCAGACAGGATCTCGGCTTTAAGTATCTAGGTAACTCTAAGGCACAGCCGGGGGTGAGAAGCACTGAAAAATATGAGTGAGCATTCCTGGCGTCCTACCGCCTACAAGTACCCACTCTGAATCTTTACAGAAGCTATAATTTGTGTTTCTTTAATTATAAGTATGGTTAGATATCTTTTTATAACTTTGACATTTGTATTTTTCCAAACTGTATCTATATCTATTTGGCGCTATTCCAAGTATTTTCATTATTATTATTATTTTTGATACGGAGTCTGGCTGTCACCCAGGCTGGAGTGCAGTGGCGCGATCTCTGCTCACTGCAAGCTCCGCCTCCCGGGTTCACGCCATTCTCCTGCCTCAGCCTCCCAAGTAGCTGGGACTAAAGGTACCCGCCACCACGCCCAGCTTTTTTTTTTTTTTTTGTATTTTTAGGGTTTTTTTTTGTTATTTTAGTAAAGATGAGGTTTCACCATGTTAGCCAGGATGGCCTCAATCTCCTGAACTCGTGAGCCGCCCACCTCAGCCTCCCAAAGTACTGGGATTACAGGCATGAGCCACTGTGCCCCACCTATCATTTCACTTTTAATAAGTCTCTGACATATTTGGGATTTCAGCACAGAGAGTGAGATGGGAACTCATCTTTTTTTCCCAAATGACTATCCAGTTATGCTACCAGCACAATTTATCCTTTTTATCAAAAGCTTGAATTTTCAAGGGTCTCTGGGGTCTACTTCTAGAATCTTTATTCTGTTCCACTGCAGTTTAACCACACAATGGAATGCTTTGCAATCATTAAAAGTCACTTAAAAAACTAATGGACGAACTATAATAAACTTGAAGATAACCTTGTTACTGAAGACATCAAATTATAAGAAAACTAGTTTTCTCTAAATTAGCTTATAAATTGAGTATTATCTCCAAAATATCTAACATACTAGCAAGACTTGTGTAATTTCAAACACTGATTCTAAAGTTCATTAGACGAAACAAGCATAGCAAAGAATATTTGACAGGCTGGGCGTGGTGGCTCACGCCTGTAATCCCAGCACTTTGGGAGGCTGAGGTGGGCGGATCACTTGAGGTCAGGAGTTCGAGACCAGCCTGGCCAACATGGTGAACCCCATCTCTACTAAAAATACAAAAATTAGCTGGGCATGGTGGTACGCACCCATCATCCCAGCTACTGGGGAGGCTGAGGCACGAGAATCGCTTGAGCCTCAGAGGTAGAGGTTGCAGTGAGCCAAGACTGAGCCACTGCACTCCAGCCTGGGTGACAGAGCAAGACTCGGTCTCGGAAAAAAAAAAAAAAATCCCACAAAAGAACAAAAAACTAATTACCCTAAGATATTTTTAAAAATGATAGCTTTTGGCAGTGCAGGGTGGCTCATGCCTGTAATCCCAGCACTTTGGGAGGCTGAGGTGGGTGGATCACATGAGATCAGGAGTTTGAGACCAGCCTAGCCAACATGGTGAAACCCGTCTCTACTAAAAATACAAAAATTAGCCGGGCATGGTGGCGGGTGCCTGTAGTCCCAGCTACTGGGTAGGCTGAGGCAGGAAAATCACTTGAACCTGTGGGAGGCAGAGGTTGCAGTGAGCCAAGAGCGTGCCGCTGCACTCCAGCCTGGGAGACAAAGTGAGACTCCATCTCAAAAAAAAAAAAAAAAAGCTTTTTAATAGCTATTGTATGAATTGTATGGTAATAAAAAGGAACAGAATAAGTGATAAATGGAATGAAAATCCAGAATCAAAACCCAAATAATGCAAGTGTGATAAAAGTGGCAATTCAAATCAATAAGGAAAAATGGATTATTCACTTTTATTCTAATCTAAATAAAATTAGATCCTTATTCAAACCAAAGCTACCAAAGTAATAAGAATTACATAAGTGTTTATTTTTAAGATCTTGGAAAAGGAAAGATCTTTCTAAACACAAAACCAAATTCACAGACCATTACAGAAAAAAGACTGGTATACTGAACTATAAACTTCAAATATAATGCACATAAGAATAGGCTGCCCTATTCTTTCCTGCAGCTTTTTATAATATATGGTCTGAGGAATGGTCAAATTCTAGTATATTTAGAAGTAGTTTTCCTTTAATTTCACATTTACACTGACCTTTGAAGTAGCAATTGGCGGAAGTTGCCACTCTGTGGGCTAATTGTCAGATGATGGGACAGGTAATTACACAGGCGAGCTCCCATATAAGAGAAATTTGGGATAGATGTGGCCTTTTAAAAAGAAGAAAAGTGTTATATGACATAGGTACATCATTATTAATGTAAATACTTAACAGCAACATTCTAAAGAAGAAAAAATTGACTCCCCAAACTGACCATATATACAAGTCTTTTGTCATTGTTAGGCTTAAGGAAATTAAATTCACTTTCCCTCCCAACCTTACAGCAAGAACCACAATAAGTACAAAAAAAAAAAAAAAAAGAAAAAACCCATCAGTTACCTGAGGCTACCAGAAAGCGAAGAGATAATGTCTCCTGATGCTAACCCATTTTTTGCAGAAAACCTGTACATGTCCTCAACTGCACAGTGACAATTATGAATGAGAATACTGCCAAACTGTTGACCAGTGGGGCTTCTTGGGGCAGGAAAGCACAGACTTTTTAGTGTTTGGCAGTCCAGGACAAGATTCCCTGGCATTTTGCTTCATGACTTTGGACATCAGTAAACCTCCCTGAGCTTCAGTTAGACTTTAAAGAGGTGATTAATGGTAACTGGCACAAGCAACTAACACTTAAACACTCCAAGAATGATTGGGTAAAGGGGAAATGAAAACAGCTAAGCTACTTAAAAACAGAAAAAAAAAAAAGTAAGAAAACACTACACATCAAAGATTGTTGATATAACTGAAGCAGTGTTCAGCAAGTTTAACTTTAATTGCAATTTCTAAAGAATAGTAGAGAACATAGTTTACCATCTAATATTAGGTAAGAAAACACACATTAAAAGGTTAAGAAGTCGGGCACAGTGGCTCATGCCTGTATTCCTAGTACTCTGGAAGGCCAAGGCCAGAGGATCGCTTGAGGCCATGAGTTCAAGACCAGCCTAGTCAACACAGTGTGACCACCATCTCTATAAAAAAATTTTAAAATTAGCTGGGCACGGTAGCATGCACCGTAGTCCCAGCTACTCTGGAGGCTGAGGTGGAAGGATCACTTGAGTGTAGGAGTTCAAGGCTGCAGTGAGCTGTGGTCACGCCACTGCACTCTAGTCTGGGTGACAAAACAAAGCCCCCATCTTTTTAAAAAAAAAAAAAAAAAAAAAAAAAAAGCTAAGGGACTTGGCCACAAATGTAATTGAACATAGAATCTAGATCTAACAAATGTCCTGCTACCCCTCTGACTCTATATGTTGGGTCTACTTACTAACTTTTATTTCTAATTATTTCCTTGCTCACATGGGGCCAGTATATGTCACATTAAGGGAGAAAGAGTGATTTCTCCTGACATCATGTATGTTTAGCTGGTACCCAAGACTTGGTTCACCCTTACATTTTTCCCATTATTGGCACTGCATGTTTTCCTTTAGCTTCTTTTTAGTGTTATAACACGATTTAAAGACAAGTTCTATAAGGCTTGTCATTCAACAGTTTCCTACTTACATCCCGGTTTTACTCCCAAAGACAACCACTTTTGACTTCTTCAGCCAAAAATGTTTTAATCCCCATATCTCCGCACTACGTAATTTTTCAGTTTAGATGTTATTTCTTACTGCAACTTGAGCATCCCTGTCCAAAAATCTAAAATCCTCCAAAAACAGAAAATATGAGTGTCCACATAATGCCAAAAGTGGAAAATTCCACACCTGACCTCATGTGACAGGTCAGTCAAAACACAGGTGTACAACACATAATTTATTCAGCATCCCCAAAGGAAAAAAGACCCTGTCAACCCCCTTCAGCTGTAATATACTTAGGTACCCTCCCTGAGGTGTCTCATTATATACTGGATATGCTAAATCTGAAAAAATCCATCTGAAATGCTTGAAATCTCAAGCATTTCAGATACGGGATACTCAACTTACAGTTTCCCATCATGGAAGATGAGCTTTTAGCTTTCACCCTGCTTAATTTCACCCCACTCTACTATTTCCTCCTATCACAGTATGGTTATGATTTTATTCATTTGCTGTGTTTTCATTTATAGCTGAACCATGTATTACACTGCTTTTACTTTTGCACAACTTTGTCTTCCCTAGATTCAGTTTTTACTACACTTTTATATTCTTCTCATTGATTTATCCCTAAACTCACTACTCTGTAAATTTCTTCTTATGTCTTACAGCATGTGTGCTCATCTTATTACGGAAGTCTTTCCTGGAGCCTTCTGACCTAGTCCAGTGAAGCCTGGCTGCTTCAGACCTACTATGCATGCTGCTATTGTTTTGAGATCTCCTTTGAACCATCATCTGGACAGTTCACTTAGTCTCTCCTGTAGAGTTCCTTTTCCTGGTTCCCATGTCTTCATCCGTGGCATAACTCCTCTTTTTGACAGAGTACGTCCTTTGTTAATTTCATAAGAAGGGTTACAACAAAATTTCAAACCGGCTGTTCAGTGTAAAAAGATCTGGATGGTCTAACTTTTTAGATTCTCAAGCAATCCTTTTAGCCTCATTCCATCCTTATTTTAGAACCTTTTAGGTTTTGCACTGTAAGTCATGGTGATTCTCAGCTTTACCACCACTGGCTTGGAATTCAACGTTAGATCTGCCAAATCAGGTACCACTCACCCACCTGCTTTCTAGTCTTCAAAACTAGTGCTTTTCTTTTCCTCTTCTCTGTCCCTATGAGCTTCCGCCTTTTAAAAATCCCCATAGCATCATTTTAGTGGTGTTTGGGAGATATCAGAGTTGAATGTGTATTTAATCTGTCATTTTTTTTTTTTTTGATTCAGAGTTTCGCTCGTTGCCCAAGCTGGAGTGCAGTGGCGCAATCTCGGCTCACTGCAACCTCCGCCTCCCGGGTTCAAGCGATTCTCCTGCCTCAGCCTCCCGAGTAGCTGGGATCACAGGCATGCACCACCAAGCCCAGCTAATTTTGTATTTTTTTTTAGTAGAGACAGGGTTTCTCCATGTTGGTCAGGCTGGTCTTGAACTCCTGACCTCAGGTGATCCACCCGCCTCGGCCTCCCAAAGTGCTGGGATTACAGACATGAGCCACTGCGCCTGGCCTAATCTGTCATCTTTTGTAATACTTCCTCGTTTGTTAGTTGCTATGAGTAAATTTCCATAAATTACCTCAATGAAACTTAGCAGCTATTGATAAACCTATGCATCATTGATCATAGAATATTAAAACATTAAACATACTGACTACATATTTGACAATCAGAGAAATAGTTGACGCTTATCAGGTTACTGACCCTTTGTCCAGCCCTGAATAAGTATAATTACGCAGCCTACTGAATAACTGAAACTAAATAGTGGAGGAAGCCAGAAAGGCAACAAGAAATAAATACATTTGTTTCATTTTCTTATCTCATATTCCTTTTCAATCCATTTATCAGCAGAAAGCAGAAATGAGGACAAACAGTGCAGTTCTGTCTTCCTAACATCTCAGGTACTTCCTCAAAACTGACAGTTGGCTAGGTAATCTTGGGGTCCAGTAACCATCCAGAATAACTTGGAAAAGCAGCCAAATGAAACATTAGGATAGAAAATAATCATTAATTTGCATTATAATCTCCCTTCCATATATTCCAAATTTGAGTTGCTCTTGTAACAGTGACTTAAAGAACCTAAAGTTTACATTTCTGATCATGGCCCATTTTTTTTGACCAGTCTCACACTGACTAAGAAATTTTGTGTTAAGCCAGTGTTGTCTACTGTATTTTTCACTTTTAAAATAGCATTAATGAGGCCAGGTGCAGCGGCTCATGTCTGTAAAATCCCAGCATTTTGGGAGACCAAGGCAAGCAGATCACTTGCGGTCAGGAGTTCGAGACCAGCCCGGTCAACACGGTGGAACCCTGTCTCTATCAAAAATACAAAAATTAGCTGGGCATGGTGGTGCACACCTGTAATCTCAGCTACCTGGGAGACTGACGCAGGAGAATCGCTTGAACCCGGGAGACGGAGGTCGCAGGGAGCTGAGACTGCGCCACTGCACTCCAGCCTGGGAGACAGGGCAAGACTCCATATCAAAAAAAAAAAAAAAAAAAAAAAAAAAGCGTTAATATGTTAATGACCAATATGCTGGGATAAAAACTAAATGTTGTATAATGAAACAATTTCAACTGACTAAATTAGACTTTCAAGGAATTAAGATGAAATCCTTAAATTTTAAAAGAAAGCAAAGGCAAGTAGAAATGCTAAGACAAGACATTTTATGGTTTGGCTTTCTTTTTTTTAAAGACCTACTTATGAGGCAAGCAAATTCTCTCAATTTTTTTCCTCCCCTACTCTAATACTACTATTCAATTCAACACATAGGGGAAAAGAATTGCAGTCTTTTCTGGTACTGCTAATTTCAGAGCCTGCAAAACAAGGGGCAGGGTTTTGGTGGGGGTGACACTTATGTAGCCTTCGTTTTCAGTGCCCATATCACCTTCTATACTATACTGCTTGTATAGAGCTTTGGCTAAACAGGTGAATATTACCTATATTGAATCTTGACTACACATGTGAACTTGCAATCCTGTCTGGCTCTACCCTTGGATCCCTAACTATAGGAGTTTTATACAAGACAGACTTAGAACTCCCGGAAACTATAAAGAGTAAGTGTGGAGGCAGGTGATCATGAATCTGGTCTCCCTCAAGGAGTAGCCACTATCCTTGGGCTTCAAGGAAGCTATCTGAAGGTCACTGCATGCTATAAGCCAACATACCTGTTGATAGATGAGTTCCACAAGTTCTTGCAAAGCATCATCTGTTGTAACACAACCATTCAGGGTCTCTGCAAACTGTTCAATTTCAGTTTCAAAACTGCCAGGCTGCTCTGTAAGATGATTCAAAAAATCCTGAACATATTCTGATAGAGTAGGATAATCCTCACAACCATCCTCATAGGATTCCTACGGATCAAAAATGAAAAAACAATTTTAATCTATGCAACTGGCTAAAACACACAAGGTGGTATGTCTCTAGCACAAATGCTTTTTTAAAGATCCCTCACATGATAAAAATTTATGTTCATCAATAAAATTGTCAATTGAGCTATTTTTCTTCCTTGCCTAAAAGCTGAAGTGTTATAATTAACAGCAGAAAGGTTCTGTTCAGCTAAACAGGGAATTGTCTTCTCATTCTGGGTCAACTTCTAAGATGGCTGAGGAATAAAGTTTAAACCAATATTTCACTACAATGCCAATATAAAAATTAAGAATCTGATCCACTTACGAATGAAATAAGATCTAGGATTTGCTTCAAAGTGGGAGGGGAAGTATGGACTAGGGATATAAAAACAAGAACGGCCACATGTAGCTTACTGTTGAGGCCATGAGGATTCATTATACCATTCTCTGTATTTCTGCAAATGTTGACAACTTTTTTATTGGGGAAAAAAAAAACAAAAACAAAAACCTAATAAGGTTTATCATCTGTTAATCCCCAAGGGCAAAGAAATGCATAAAGCTGCTCGAGTAACTAAAATTTCATCACGGTATAAATGGAAGGAGACCTTTTGGCTGCTACATCCAGGTTGCTAACACAACCTTGATAGCAGCAGTAGTTTCCAGCTAATGTTGTTTCCACCACTGTCACCTTTGGCAGTTTCCAACCTTTTCATTAATGGCAGAAGGCTGAGTGGGCGAGTTTTACAAAAGATAATAGACTTGAGCAACAACTTTCACATCTCAATGCCTGGAATACCACCCGAAGCGCTTTAAAGTTTACCAAACAGTTAAAATCTAATAATAACTACACTGCTTGTATGAAATTTAACCTTCTCCAAACAGAGTAAATGAAAAGCCACATAAAAAAGTTATGACTACAAAACAGAAGCATTTTGTGAAGGGGTTAAGTTCTAAAGTCAGTGAGTGCATAGAAGAAAAAAAAAGTCATACATGGTCAAAACACCCTTAGAAATGCTCCATGTTGGAGAAAGACAGTCTTTTTTTTTCTTTGAGACAGTCTTGTTCTGTCGCCCAGGCTGGAGTGCAGTGGTGCAATCTTGGCTCACTGCAACCTCCGCCTCCCGGGTTCAAGCTATTCCTGTACCTCAGCCTCTCAAGTAGCTGGGATTACAGGCATGCACCACCATGCCTGGCTAATTTTTGTATTTTTAGTAGAGACAGGGTTTCACCATGTTGGCCAGGCTGGTCTCAAACTCTGACTTCAGGTGATTCCCCCACCTTGGCCTCCCAAAGTGCTGGGATTACAGGCCACTGCGCCTGGCCCAGGACACAGTCTTAGGAGAAAGACCAACATTGCCAATTGTCCACTTGTCCCTTTACTGTTGGTGCTTGATATGGTTTGGCTGTGTCCCCACCTAAATCTCAACTTGAATTGTATCTCCCAGAATTCCCATGTGTTGTGGGAGGGACCCAGGAGGGAGGTAACTGAATCAATGGGGCCAGTCTTTCCGGTGCTATTCTTGTCATAGTGAATACGTCTCACGAGATCTGATGGGTTTATCAGGGGTTTCCGCTTTTGCTTCTTCCTCATTTTTCTCTTGCTGCGGCCACGTAAGATGTGCCTTTCACCTCCCGCCATGATTCTGAGGCTTTCCCAGCCTTGTGGAACTGTAAGTCCAATTAAATCTCTTTTTCTTCCCAGTCTCGGGTATGTCTTTGTCAGCAGCATGAAAATGGACCACTATAGTGCTACCACTTCAAATAACCATCATTTGGAGGTCATGTTTTACACTTTTTATTTTATCTTTATTTTTTATTTTTATTTTTGAGATGGAGTCTCGCTCTGTCACCCAGGCTGGAGTACAGTGGCAAGATCTTGGCTCACTGCAACCTCTGCCTCCCAGGTTCAAGCAATTCTCCTGCCTCAGCCTCCCAGAGTAGCTGGGACTACAGGCATGTACCACCAGGCCCAGCTAATTTTTTTTGTATTTTTAGAGGAGATGGGGTTTCACCATGTTGATCAGGATGGTCTCAAACTCCTGACCTCAAATGATCCACCCAACTCGGCCTCCCAAAGCGCTGGGATTACAGGCGAGAGCCACCATGCCCGGCCTATGTATCTTCAGAGACTGAAGTGATACTTAGCAAAAGTTGCATGTACTATGAGAGGCAGTCAGGAAGTAAAACCAGCTGCAGAAATAGCAGATTCATGTGCCTTTTTCATTCACATATAGTGTTCATTGAATAGAAGGATAAACTCTAATACATTAGATTTTTGTCACGCATTTGAATTCAAGTTAAACATTCTACTATAATAGGAGGTATTAATGTTGATGCATTTATTTACTAATCATAAATATTATCACTGTGACTCTGAGGATTAAGTGAATTAATCAAATTCACCTAGATTGGTGAAGAGCACATAGTAAAGCACAGAATGTTCAACAAATGAATTACATTTTAAATTTCTAGGAGAATACTGAGTCATATTCCAAATGCAACAGCCATGTATTCATACATAAAGGGACTAAAGTATAAAAAGCATCCAAAATGAATGATAAAAAGCTGTATTTCTTGGCACCTAGGATGGTACTCCAGTTAATAAGCTAATAGCCACCAGCTGCATATATGATATGTGATAGACACCATAAGGGCTTTGCCTGCATCTTGTTTAACCTAGAACATTTTGAGGTAAGCATCACTATCCTCCCTGCATAGAAGAAACAGGCACAGAGTAGTTAAGTCACTTTGGTTATTCATTCAAAATGGTGTGGCTGCTGAGTACCTACTAAGTGCCAAAGACTGTCTTAGGGGATGGGATACTGCCATGACATGAATATCTGCCATGAATAAAGCAGACAAGGCTCTCCTCTCATGGAGCTCATACCCCATGATGGAAGACACATTCAGAAGTTGAAATATACTACAAAAAAAAAAAAAAAAAAAAAAGCAAAAAGCCAAGTAGAGATTCTTAGAGTTAATATATAAACTAAGAAAGAAAAAAAGATCCAGCCATACAAATATCTAAGGAAAGATATTCTCTTTCTATGGGCACAAGAAGCACACAGGCCCCAAGGAGGCCTAATAACTTTGAAAAAGACAATAACTAGAATACAGAAACTGAGGATGGGTGGTAACTAATGAGGTCAATGAGGCAGATAAGGAGATCTTAGAGGGCTTTGGGGGCCAAATTAAGGAAACTGGCTCTTAAGGAAGTAGGAAAAACAGGATGGGGGAAAGAGGGTTTGAACAAGGAAGGACCATGCACCAACTTAAGTGACTGTGCATGGTCACAAAACTGATTAGAAGAACTGAGCGCAGAACAAAGCCTATATTTTTAACCTCTCTGTGAAACTCAAAATAAAGGACAAAAGCTTAAAACCCAATTTTATGTACAAAGATGTTCATTGCCAAAAAATCCACGTAACAATCCATTAACAAGGAATTGGTTAAATACATTATCATATATCTGTATAATGGAATATTATAGCCATTTAAGAAAACAAGAGACAACAGTACTTACCTCTAGAGTGAGAAAATGTTCCCATTATAAATATTGACATTATAAAGTTGTGAAAGCAGTTAGGCATAATTGTACACATTCATATACTTAATGTTAACTACATACATGCGTGAATTTTATAACTAAAAACTAGTCTTAAGTTTTTGATATACAGTTACTAGTTTTACAGACTTGTAGTATCCTACCACTATTAATGACAAGGAACAGCAGAAAGGCAAAGGTACGGGTCCCAGCTGAAAGTACTAATTTCCTGTTTCCATCAAATGTCATTCTTCGTGGCAAAAATGCTGCTTAGAGCGCTGATTTGCAATCTTTTTTTTTTTTTTTTTAAAGTCAACAGAACTCTCTTTTAAGAAAATGTAAAATCTGATCAGTAAAAGAAGAAAGTAGAACTGCTCTGAATATAGCAGAACAGAGGATCCAGAGCCTGCCATTTTAAGCAAAAAAAGGAGGCATAGAGTATTTGGAACAGACAGGCACTCCAACGTGTTTGAATCAAAGCCTGCATTACTTCTCTAGCACCAGATTTTTTAAAGCCACAAATTTCTTCAGTCTTCAATGTGGAGTCAAATGGCTTCCAAACAGAGATATTTTCAAGTTTTATTTTTCTTAGAATTCTATGGGAGATTGGGAGAAATAGAAAATGTACTTTTTCATGGTAGGTACTCTATATACATTGTCAAGAGATGAGAACCTATTACAGAACCGTGGGAATAAAAGAAAACTGATCAGACACTACAGAGAGTGAATATAGTCACGACTACTTTAGCTAGCTGGATTGAATTAAGGCAAGGGTGTGCAGGAGAGGTGAGTCAATATGCCACCAAGTTCTTAGTGTAAGCAGCTAGTTAGAAGAGATTCGCATGAGATAAATAATTCTTACACTGTGTATAGATTTTATACTTGCATTTGAATGTGAGGTCCTCAAGAAGTGGTCAAATAAATGAAAATGTATGCCTAGAGTTCACTAGAGTTCAAAGGAATAATTAGATGTCAGGGTTATTAGCACATAAATAAGTGATAGATTCTATGGAATAGGCGGGATTAGCAAAGGAGGTAATAAAATGGAAGAAAGAACGTCACCAACTGTCATCTGAGGGGAAAAGGAATGATCTGCAAGTTGGGAGGATAAAGTACTGCCACAGAAGCCAAAGAGGTAGGGGAGAAGAGATGCTCATAACAACAAATGCTACAGAATAAATTCATAGGTTGAAATCTGGAAGAGAATTATCATTGCAGAGTCTCGGGAGTGAAGGAGATTATACTCAGAGAGAAAAAAGAACAAAACTAGTACCTCAAATACTTAGTTCTTAAAACAATGGGAGGGAGCTTCTGATAGACTAAAAAGGTACCTTTGCACCTAGCACAGGACCTGGCACATGGGGATTTATAAACTGAATAGATCCTACAGTGCTCAAAGTTTTAAAATGAGATTTAGGAAGATAAATTTAAAAATCGGAAGAACATCAGTCACAAAAATAGTATCAATACAATTAGGGAGATCAGACTGCAGAGGTCTGAACAGTGAGAGACAGTGAATAATTTTACCTATTGGAGAATGATACTACTGCAAGGCAGAACAAAAACTGGGAAGTAACTTGAAGAGGGATTCTCTTAGAAAAAAAGCTCGTTTTTTTGCAGGGGAGGAAGGGGACTTCTGTCTCTTCATCAATGCTTTATGAATTCCTATGTTAAATTTTTGGCTCTGGTAAGTGAACTGTGACAAATATTCAAGGCATAATGGTTTGTCTGAGAAGAAATAATGGCCAGGGATAAATGGATATAGCAACTCACTGGTAAGAAGACATGGAAAGTAGGAAATTCTAGCAGCAGGATTAGAGGAAGAACTGAAGATAAAAGGGCTTGGTGCCTTGAAAGAGTTAAGAAAGCACAGCAGAAGACTACCATAAAGGCTGTTAGAAAAAGGATACCAGGAAATAGATTTTCATGTGTAGAACAAAAGCAGATTCAATAAATGTCTGCAAACTGAGCCAGGAGACTACTAGAATAGAGACTCCATGAAGACAGGAATTTCTGTCCATTTTGTTTGTTGCTGTATCACCGGTGCTTGACTCATGATAAGTACTTGACTATTTGTTGAATGAGTGAATGTAGCTAACTTTGGATTATGGCTACTAAAAGGAAATGTTTCCTTTGCAACAAGAGCTTATCCTAAGAGTCGGGGGAAAAAAGGATCCTGCTGTTCTATGACTAATTGGATTGAGAAAAACTCTCTTAGCCTTAACTATGGGTAAAGATTAGGGTAAACCAGTAAGGCTAGAGAATATACCAGAACAGGGGTAGTAAGCCTGAATGCCTGTAGAATTCAGGTAGATTACAAATGAATGAAATAAGCCAGAAAGCAAATTAGAGCTCACAGACTCCATCTAAAGAGAATGCCTCTACTCAGCTCCAACCAATTTTTGCTGTATCAAAATGCCAGTCCACTAAGGCCAGATTTTATGACAAACCAGAACATTCAAGTTTCTAATATCTAATTTAGGTATTGGTTAATTAAATAAAACAACTTAAAGAAAAAACAAACCCATTCAGGGCTAGAGAAGACACCTGCAGGCCACACAGGTTTCCAGGTGCCAGGCTGCAATCTGTTTTGGTAAATTGAGCACAGGAGGTGCTGATCTATTAGAGGATGGCAAGGAATGCCTAAAAGATGCAGTGGCTCAAAGTAGGTGGACTAACATGACTTTATATACTGCTCGACAGCCCCAAAGTCACTTGAACCACGTAAAAATAGTTGATACACGATTATTACATACACAAACACACCCCTGTATCCCTCCATCATAAAACAGCCCAAGTCAATAGGGAAGAAAATAAATGGGAACCTGCTTGTAGCTGCTAGAACAAGCATCCTTAAGAGTTTATTCAACCTCTTACAGTGGCTCTAATGGTTCTTTTCCTCTGTGAGCTAAATACAATTTTCTGGCAAGAACTCAAGATGCTCTCATTTCTACCTTACACGATAGATGGCCTTTTTCACCCCATATCAATTGCTTTTCCTGCTATGCCTGTATCTTTTTCTTTCCAATCCCAAAGCTTTTTCCTATACAGCATAAGAATCATGGAGTATCTAAAACATGGAACACAGCTTTTTCCATACTTTTACTGTCAAATATGGAAGGAGAGCCAAAAAGAGGTAATAAAAAAGGTGTGTCATTATCAGTTATAAGGGAAATATAAATTAAAACCACAACTAGATACTATATGCCCACCAGAATGGTTAAACAGAAAATACCAAGTGCCGACCAGGAAGCAGAGTAACTGGAAATCATACACTACTCAGAATGTACAGTGGAACAATCTCTGGAAAACTACTTGGCAGTCTCTGCTAAAGCTGGCTACCCTAAGTCCCAGCAACTCCATACCTTGGTAATATACCAAAAAGAAATAAAGGCATACAGCCAGCAAGACACAAAATGTGCCCTATTCATAATAACCCAAGAGTGAAAGCTACCAACGTTCATCAACAGACAAATGGGATATATTCATGCAATGGAATGTTATAAAAATAAGTCACCTCCAATTATATGCTACAATATGGAGTAATCTTGATATTGAAAGTGAGAAAGAATATATTCTATATGACTTTATTTATATAAACTTTGAACACAGGCAAAACTATCCTATGAAGTCAAAACAGTGCTATACTTGGACATCAAGAACAACTGGAAGGAGACAGAGTGGGTTTTCGGGATGTTGATAATGTTCTATTTCCTGACTGGGATGCTGGTTAGTTGAGTGTTCACTTTATGAGACTGAGCTAACACTTAAGTACACTATTCTCTGCTATACTTCAATAAAACTAAGAAGATAGGAAAGACAGGATTTAAGCTAAAGTATCATCAATCATTTCTCCAATGATTCCCTCCCACTTCTCTATAATTAATCCCTATGCATTTACTCATCTGGGTTTATCCAGTACAACAAATTCCTTTCTACATATTCCAACTGTGCTTTGTACGGCTATTTAAGAAAAGTGACTATTTTTTAAAGTTGTTATATAAGTGACAAAGAAAAACTGAAAGTTTAAACATTCTTTATACCTATGTAAATACTTTATCACAACCCCGTAGGACATTTCTGCATACAATAATTAGGATCAAAACTATGTCTATTTTAACATAATGGAATAATCACTAGAAACAAGAACACAGATGTGTATCTCAAGCTTACATTCTAATACCTTGAATATAACTACAAAATGTATTTCTGAATCAGCTTTGTTTCCTTCTGAGTTCAATAATTCAAAACATTCACAATAAAAAAATTTTTTTACGTGTAGTACAGAAAGCACAAACATACTCTGATTAACAAAGTAACAACCACATTATTCCAGTAAATTAACCCAGAGTTGTAGGAAAAAGGGTGTACTTACTGTGTAACTGGAAGAATAACCTGAAGGGTAAAATTCAGGGGCATTCACAGACAGCTTAGACATTAATACAGGAGCTACAACCACCTGGGGCTTAGCCATTGCTGACTCCGAGTTCTGCTGTGGGATTTTATCCTGTGAACTAGGTGGAGCTCTCAGGGGCCTCGTTTGCTCTGCAAAAGAAAAAAAAACGGGGCGTCAGATGCATTCTTTCCTTTGTACAGCAACTTGCTATATACTGAAAAACCATCTGAAAAGCGTCTGTTTTTAAGAGTTAAACAGGAACCATCATGAAATTTATGGTTATCGCCGGAATGTGTACAGACAGCCTACAAAAAGGAACAATAGACTTGCTGTGACTCCGTTATGGGCATACCTGCCTCTCAAATGAGTGCTTGCGAGCTTTTTTCCTCTCTGTCGTTTTAAAGGGGTCGGTGGAAAAGAGGTGGTTACTCGCTAGGGTCTCGCTTTAGAGGGCTGCTGAGGGGAGGCGATTTTTACTTCCTCCCGGGACCCCGAACTCCGAGACCGCGCACCCGGCCCCTCCCCCCAGCCAGGCGCACAAAGGATTCCAGCAGACACCTTCCAAACCCGGTTCCGGGCCCGTCCCTACCCGGTCACGCGGCCCTCTCGGGGAATGCTTTCGGGGAACCGGGGGTGGGGACCGCAGACAGCGCGTCGGGCCTCGGCACGCGTGGAGGGCCGTGGGGAAGCGTTCGCCAAGGAGGACTGGGGCCCTTAGAGCTGCTCCGTACCTGGGAGCGCCCCGGGCCGGGAAGGCCGCTGGGGGCTGGCGGGGACCTCGCACTGGGCCCCTGGCGGCGGGGTCGTCCTGGGCTGGCGCAGCGGCGGTGGCTGCAGGAAGCCCGGGGCTTTGGGTTGCGGCGGCTGGTGCCGCGCCCGCTCAGCAGGCCCCGCTCCGTTCGGGAAACCGCCGCCCTCAGGCCCGCCCCCTCCGCGGCCCAGGCCCCGGCTCCGGCCCCGACCAGCACCTGGGGCCCGATCGAAACCGTCCGACATGCTCCTCCTCCTCCGCCTCCTCCTCCAGGGGCCGCTGCCGCTGCGCTCGCGATAGGACGCGGGGGGAAGGCGCCGCGGGTCGGCTATAGCCGCCGCGCCTCACTCGGGCCTCATGGAGGAGGAGGGCGGCGGGCCCCGGCTCGGCTGCTCGGTGCTTCTGGCGGAGCGGACGGCAGCCCGAGCACCCGCCGCTCCAGAGCGCCCGCCCCGCTCGGCTACCCTCGGCTTTCCAGTTCTCCCCCAAAACCCGGCTCCCCGCCTTCGGCGCGGCAGGGGCGCAGGCGGGTCACAGCGGCCCCCTGCGGCCCGGAGGCCCGGGACGCGCCCGCGAGGATCCTCCAGTTCGCGGCTGGCCGGCCGCCGGGCCCAGCAGGCCGCCCGCCGAGTGGCGTCTTGGCCACCTGCCGGCCCGCAGCCAGGCTCGGGCAGGGGCATCTCGGTTCCGGGGCCAGGCTGGGGGGGATGAGGGATGAGGGGTGAGGGGGACGCTTACCACAGGCAGGCCCGACCTACTCGGTAGTTCTCAGGAGAGACGTGCGAGACCGACAGTTGACGCCCGGGAAATAAAAACACGGGGGGAGGGGGCGTGGACCCTGCGCCAGGGTTCGCTGGCGCACAGGTGTGTTCAATGACTCGGCTCCGGCCGAGACCCGCGGACTGCTGAGGAGTGGTCCCTGGGAGACTGTCACCTGCTCCGTTAGCATCGGGGGAAGGGAGTAGAAACGGAATCAAAATATGTGTCCCCTCTTTAATTCACCCTAGGTGTTTACCACAGTAGGTCACACCTACGTTTAACAAGCTTCGTTCTCTTCCCGTTAACCTTCCCCTCCAGAAATTTCAAGAAAATGTGCTACCTTTCAGTGTAACTCTGCCCTCTTTTTCATCTTGCATCAGTGCTGTCCAATGAAAATATAATGCGAGCCACAAATGCAAGCCACTTATGTAATTTTACATTTTGGAGAAGCCACATTAAATGAGTGAAAAGAAACAGGTGTGGCCAGGCGCAGTGGCTCACGCCTGTAATCCCAGCACTTTGGGAGGCCGAGGGGGGCGGATCACCTGAGGTCGGGAGTTCGAGACCAGCCAGACCAACATGGAGAAACCCCGTCTCTACTAAAAATACAAAGTTAGCCGGGCGTGGTGGCACATGCCTGTAATCCTAGCTATTCTGGAGGCTGAGGCAGGAGAATCGCTTGAACGCAGGAGGCAGAGGTTGCAGTGAGCCGAGATCGTACCGTTGCACTCCAGCCTGGGCAACAAGAGCCAAACTCTGTCTCAAAAAACAAAACAAAACAAAACAAAAACCAGGTGAAATTAATTTAAATTTATTTAATCCATTATGTTCAAAATGGTTTTTTAACATGCGATTTAAAATATTAAATATTTTCTCTGTTTTTTAGATACTAGTTGAAATCCAGTGTATATTTTACACTTATGGCACATCTTAGTCGGGATTGGCACATTTCAAGGGCTCAAGAGCCACATGTGGCTAGTGGCTACTGCGTTGCACAGCACAATTCTAGATTTTATTAATATGTAAATTGTTGTTTTTGTCAGGCCTGACAGTATTAATGCCAAATAAAGGATAGATGAATATAAGTAACGACAAGGAAGGAAAAATTGATTTCTTTACTGTTGGATTGATCCATCTCCATAAATTCTGATTTTAGCCTTTTGTTTTAAGCAGGGTTTCATGTTTTTCTATCTTTTCATCTTAAGAATCATTTCAATTAGGGACACAAACTCTTGTTAACCGTTTTCTCTTCTCATTAATAAAGAAAACAATGTCTTCCCCTAAACGAATGAGAAAATGGCTTCACCGAGGGCAATCATGAATAAATGGTTCATGCTATTGATGTTAGGCAAAATAATGAAGTCAGGGAAGGAAGCCAGCAGTACGTGTGGCTCTTCGGTGTACGGAAAGTTTAGGATTCAGTCTGCCAGAGCTTAGTTGGGATTCCACTCTTGACTATTGCTGTCTGTGTGATTTTGAGTAAGTAAGGGGTTTAGCTTCTCTGAGCCTCACTTTCCTCATCTGTAAAATAATAACTGTGTGGTAACACTCAGCATATATTGCAGAGACAAGATTACAATTTAAAAATTACAATTTTAATATTTTCAAATTCATTATTGTATGTGGTCACCAGTCACTTCTTGCCTGGACTTTTTTATCATACAGGAAAGACCCATAAACTATGCTAAAAAACTAACAATGAGTTATGTTCCACTGAAGTAGATGCCCCAACTCTGCCCCAAGCTTTTGTTTGCACTCACCACCTTTTCATTTCCCCTTAAAACTTTTATGATGAACAGCACCTTTTCTAACAACTGGGACTTTCCCATGTGAAGATAAGGCCATTCTGCATCCATGGTGATGTCACGACATCTTCACACCCTCTTGTTAGGAAAATTAGGTAAGATATCCTTTGCCTTCTCTGTATTTGTTACTGTATAACTTTTGCCCTATTCTTATAATGTGTGGATGGTGGACTTGGAGATAACACGAATGGATTTTGCATCATGATAATAAAAATATCTAATATTTATTATGCGTCAGTCACCTTTTAAGAGCTTTTATTTTATCATTTTATTTTATCCTCATATCCTGTGAGATAGACATTCCAATATTTTCACTTTACATAAAAGGTGCCAAGATACCGCAAGGGCTCAGATCCATCTTGGGACTGTTTTAGAGCTAACTGGCAGGTATTGCAAAATGCATAGACAGAAACACATGAACGTGTGAACACCATGTGGAACTCCCTAAAGAGAATCATCAAAGTGCTCCTCATCCACGTGTATGCCTTTTTTATTAATTTATGGTGAAAGGAGAGTAGAACTAAATTTGGACAAATTGGAAAATATGTTGTAATATGGAAAAGGACCTGCTGTGAACTATGAAAAAAATGTTTCCTTAAACTGTACTTGAAAGGCATTCTCCAGTAAGACTTCCCAAGCTGCCTAATCTTAGATTCTCTCCCTTGTGATAAGTATACCCTGGGAAAACTGTCTTGGTACTTAGCATGCCAGATTGTTATCGTTAGTATTTGGTTTATTTAAATGTCTCCTTCCCTAAACTAGCCCTCTGAAGACAGAGGATGCCTTTTAATCCTTTAGGTCCAACCCAGTACTTAGTCCATAATAAGCTTTTAACAGAAATAGGACTCACCTGCAATGGTCCTGCCTTTCCTTAGGTCACCAGTCTAGTGATGGTAAAAAAAAAAAAAAAAAAAAAAAGACTGTTTTTTTAGAACTTATTGACCTCAGGATCATCATTAGACCTTATGGGAGTAGACAGTACAGCCTTCAAGGCCAGCTAACAGGAGAAAATTTTCATAAATATGCAAGAGGAAATATTTGCAAACCACATGGTATAGTTTGTATATTTGACCCTCCAAGCCTCCTGTTGAAACTTGATCCTGAATGTTGGAGGTGGGGCCTAATGGAAGGCGTTTGGGTCATGGTGGCAGATTCCTCATGAATGGCATGGTGCCATTCTCACAGTAACGAATGAGTTATGGTTTTACTAGTTCCCAAGGAGTTTCCCCAAGAGCTGGTTGTTGAAAAGAGCCTGGCACACTCCCCCTGTCTCATGCTTCCTCTCTTGCCATGTAATCTCTGCACACTGTCTCCCCTTCACTTTCTGCCATGCATAGAAGCAGGCTGAAGCCCTCACCAGAAGCAGATGTTGGTGCCATGCTTCTAGTACAGCCTGCAGAATAGTGAGCCAAATGAAACCCTTTTCTTTATAAATTACCCAGCCTCAGCTATTCCTTTATAGCAACAAAAATGGATGAAGGCACCACATATTTGACAAAAGACTTGTATCTAGAATATATAAAGTACTCTCAGAACTCAACTGTATTGAGAGTACTATAGCCAGGTGCGATCCCAGCACTATGGGAGGCTGAGGCGGACAGATTACCTGAGGTCAGGAGTTCGAGACCAACCTGGACAACATGTGAAACCCCGTCTCTACTAAAAATACAAAAATTAGCAGGCATGGTGATGCGTGCTTGTAATCCCAGCTACTTGGGAGGCTGAGGCAGGGGAATCGCTTGAACCCGGGAGGCAGAGGTTGCAGTGAGCCGAGATTGCACCACTGCACTCCAGCCTGGGTTGAGCGTGACTCCGTCTGAAAAAAACCCAAACAAACAAAACACCTAACTCAACTGTAAAAGGACAGTTCAGTTAGAAAAGGGCCAAACATAAATGAAAGAACACTTCACTGAAGGGAATATACAGATAGCATAAGCCTATGAAAAATGTTCAACATAATTAGCCAGTAGGAAAATTTTTTTAAAACCACTGAGATTTCACTACCTACTTATTCGAATAGCTTAAATAAACAATAGTGACAATGCAAATTCAAGGATGTAGAGAAACTAGGAACTGTGTTGCTCATACATTGCTGGTGAGAATGTAAAATGCTATAGTCACTTTAGAAAACAGTTTCTTTAAAAAACTCTACATATTAAGTACTGTACTACCTAGCAATTGCACTGCTGGACATTTCTCACAGAGAATTAAGATTTATATTCACATAAAATCCTGTACCCAAATATTTAGAGTGGCATCATTAATAAGAGCCCCAAATTAGAAAGAACCCAAATATCCTTTGATGAATAGTTAAACTGTGGTACATTCATACCACAGAATGCTACTCAGCAAAAAAAAGGAACAACTGCTCATATAAGAATGTTGATGGATCTCAAGGGAATTATGCTGAACACAAAATTTCAATCTCAAGAGCAATTGTATGATTCAATTTATGACAAAATTATGAAGATGGAGAGCAGATTTGTGGTTGCCAGGGGTTAAGGAGGGAGTGGAATTTAGAGGCAAGTAGATGGGGTTATTAAAAAAGTAGGTAGCATGAGAAAAACCTTGTGATGGAACTATTTTGTTCTTTACTATAATGATGGTCACATAAGTCTATACATGTGATAACATTGCATAGAAATAAGTGTGCACACATACACACACATACACACATGTGCATATAAAACTAAGGTTGGTGAACTGTATCACTTATAGTTATACAAGATGTTACTATTGGGGGAAACAAGGTGAAGAGTAAACAAGTTCTCTCTGTATTATTTCTTACAATTGCATGTGAATCTACAACTAAGTTTTAGAAACCTAACATATAAATAAACTTCGTTCCATGTTATTCCATCACTCCTAATTCTCTCCTAGCTAGTTCAGTTCACTCCTTTCTGCACAAATCATCATGGCAACTTACATATCATTATAAATGAGTGGGGGCATCATTAAGAGAGAAAAAAATTAGCTGATGCATTTGTCCTTGTGTTTCTCATCTGTGTAAATTATCTTCCTCTGGCCACTATTAAAAGTAACCCCAGGCAGTCAGCTCTTGAGACTCCCATCTGGATTAGGGCCCCAATTCATCTTAGAGTCTAAGATAGCCAGGAATGCTGCTTGGAATCTCCTCAATATCTACTGATACTTGTTTAACGTTGATCTCTTAGCTGTACTGTAAATTCCACGAGGCTAATGAAAGAAACCAAAATATTTCACCTTGACATAGTTCAAGATGGTTATTTGGATGGGCTGAAAATATAAGAGTAGCTAAAAACCTGCCTTTTTTGGGGAAGATTGGATCTGTAGAGACAACTTGCATTGATGCAGTGAGGCTTTCTCTGAGACCCTCACTTGTCCCATCTAGGAAAGATTAACTGAGACTCTGATACCTTTAAAGGTTTATAAACATTCTCTCTGAGGACTGCTACCTGTGAGATTTCATCTACATAATAAGACCACCTTTGCTAGCCAGTTCTCCTCTTCTCTCTCTCTCTCCCCTACCGTGTCTTGCTACTATAACCGATTTAACACCATAATCTGTTTTTGGCTATGTGCTGGGATTCCTCTCTTTCTGTAACTTCAAGATAGTAAGTATATCAGCTTCTGTACCCCATTTGGGTAATTACTTTCTGAGTCTCCTCTGAGCATAGTCATTTCTTTTTTTTTTTTTTTTGAGACGGAGTCTCGCTGTGTCACCCAGGCTAGAGTGCAATGGCATGATTTCGGTTCACTGCGACCTCCGCCTCCCTGGGTTCAGTGATTCTCCTGCCTCAGCCTCCCAAGTGGCTGGGATTACAGGCACACGTCACCACGCCCGGCTAATTTTTGTATTTTTAGTATAAACGGGGTTTCACCATATTGGCCAGGCTGGTCTCGAACTCCTGACCTTGTGATCCACCTGCCTCGGCCTCCCAAAGTGCTGGGATTACAGGCGTGAGCCACCGTGCCCGGCCTCACAGTCATTTCTTTTAATATATCTTTTGTCAGTTGATTTTTCAGTAAAACTTTAGAGAGCAAAGGGGAAGTTATTCTTTGGCCCCCGCAATAGGAATTCATTCATTCACTTGTTAATTCAACAAATACTGATTTTGTGTCTACTTCATGCCAGCAGTGTTCCAGGTGCTGAGGATATGCAGGGGTGTGAGATTAGTAGGTTTGAGGCATATGAGACATGAAGCAGGGAAACAAGTTCGGTGGCTATTGCAGACGTTCTGGTGATAAATGATGGTGTCTAGTAAGGTGGTGCTAGTGGGTTTGGAGGGAAAGGCCACACTGAAGAGATGTTGAGGAAGAAGTTGACAGATTGTGTGTGAGGCATTAGTGAGAGGCCAGAGATCAGGGTGAGTTCCAGGATTCTGGCTTTGGTGCCTCAGCCTGTAAGATGGAAAATACCAAAAGGAAACAGATTTAGGGATAGACGCCAAGGAAAATTTCTGCTTTGGCCTCTGAAGTTTCACTGAAAAATTTGCTGACAAAAGGCAGACTAATTGGAGAAAAGACATACAAATTTCTTAACATGTACATGGGGGAGAACCATAGAGTGATCACTCCAACCCCTAATGGGGTTCAGAAGCTTATATACCATATTGAGGTGACAGGAAGAATGGGGGCTTAGATTGTGACAAAACAGGTTACAATGACAAAACAGGTTATGGGAGACAGAGATAAGAGGAAGCCTGGCTAGCAAAGGTGGTCTCGTTATATAGATGAAACCTAATAGGTAGCAGACCTCAGAGAGGCTAGATGGTGAATAATTTTTCAGAACTTTAAAGTCATCAGACTCTCAGTTAATCTTTTCTTGATATAGACATTGGAAGGCCTCAGAAAGAACCTGGCTGCATCAATACAGATTTTCTCTACAGATGCAGCTCTCCCCCACAAAAGGCAGCTTTGCAGGGATACTTCTATTTGCAGGCCCTCTGAACAGCCATGGCAAAATATGTCAAATAAATACATTTTGGGGTGAAATATTTTTATTTCCTTCAGTCCTCATTTTGAAACTTTAAGAAGGTTTACATATTAAAAAGCCGAGTTGATAGCTTTGGAGAAATTTGGATCAGAGGTTTTATTAGTCTATTCTCATGCTGCTGATAGGCATACCCGAGACTGGGTAATTTATAAAGAAAAAGAGGTTTAATAGACTTACAGTTCCACATGGCTGGGGAGGCCTCACAATCATGGAGGAAGGAGAAAGGCATTCTTACATGGCAGCAGACAAAAGAGAACGAGAACCAAGGAAAAAGGGAAACCCCTTATAAAACCATCAGATCTCGTGAGACTTATTTACTACCACGAGAATAGTGTGGAGGAAACTAACCCATGATTCAATTATCTCCCACCACCTCCCTCCCACAACACGTGGGAGTTCTGGGAGCTACAATTCAAGATGAGATTTGGGTGGGGACACAGCCAAACCATATCAGAGTTTCTTAGGTATGTCAGAGGCATTGAAACCAGAGAGACTTTGTCTTGAATGAGGGCTGGGAAAAAGCCATCGTTCAATGCAGGCCTAGGCTGCATTCCCAGGAGGTTAGGCATTCCTAGCCTCTAGATGTTTATGGTTAAGGAAACAGATTAATAATGTTTACTAAACAGACCCAGGCCCAGCAATGTCCTGATATCCCCATATCTTGAGAACAAAAGCATTCCTGATTTTGCTTTAAAGATAATATCAATTCTTGTAAAATATAATAATTAAGAAAATTAATCCTTTATCACAAACCCTGTAGTAGAGCATATATCCCTGTGATTTTGTTTTTGTTATCCTATACATAAACAAGTATTGTACTTAGGGTGGGTGCATTCCTCCTCCTCCTTTTGGGAATGCCCTGCTCTGTCTATGGAGTAGCTATTCTTTCACTCCTTTTTAAATAAACTTACTTTCACTTTGCACTGTGGACGCACCCTAAATTATTTCTTGTGCAAGATCCAAGAACCCTCTCTTGGGGTCTGGATCGGGACCCCTTTCCAGTAACGTCTTTCTGGTGAACCACAAAGGGATTATACTGAAGAGACCCCTGACCCAAAGGAAAATCATCTGTGCACTCCACCAGGTGGCCGACTTTGGGTAAGTGGAGTGCATTTACCTAGGTAGAGGATGGGATTAGGTTAGAGGCCCAATTTAACTCTCTCCTAAGACAGGGAAGGTTAAAGGCCCCTCTTAATAAAAGTCAAAGACACTTGACCGAACTTGGGTTCAGGCCCAACTTAGGAAGGTTGGAGTCCCTCCCAAGGTTTAGGGGGTTGAGGCCCCATTCAGTAAAATCCCTCTTGGCTAAAAATGGGTTTGGCACCGTGGGATGTTAACTGCTATGTTCTTTGTATTAATCTGCCTTGTCCTCTTTGCTGCACGAATCAATTTCTTGGTTGCTGTCTCGGTTTCACTGTCATTTTCAGGAAACTTCATTTAATTGGTCTTAGGGATTTGAACTTTCTCTTCCCCTGTGTACCTCCTGATTTCTGTCCACTTGCTTTTGAAACATTGGGAACAAAATGCATTGCAGGATTTGGTTTTATTATATTTGGCTTATTTTAAAACTCTAGCTGCTAAGGTCCCATCTCTAAAACTGCTGATTGAGATTTGGTATTTAACAGGTATGAGCAGTAAGATTAGATAGATGTGGTTATGTTTTGCTGCAGCTATGCCCACTAGGTGTAATAAAGAAGCACTAGGATGGTGATATGGTTTGGCTGTGTCCCCACCCAGATCTCATCTTGAATTGTAGTTCTCATATTTCCCACATGTCATGGGAGGGAATGGGTGGGAGGTAATTTAATCATGGGGGCAGTTACATTCATGCTGTTCTTATGATAGTGAGTTCTCACCAGATCTGATGGTTTTATAAGGGGCTTTCCCCACTTTTGGTCGGGACTTCTCCTTGCTGCCACCATGTGAAGAAGGATGTGTTTGCTTCCCCTTCTGCCATGATTGTAAGTTTCCTGAGGCCTCCTCAGCCCTGATGAACTGTGAATCAATTAAGCCTCTTTCCTTTATAAATTACCCAGTCACCGGGATGTCTTTATTAGCAGCATGAGAACAGACTAAAACAGATAGAAATCAGGGGACTTTTCTCCCTGCTTTTTTGTTTCATTTGCACACTAAAAGAATTCTTTCCTTTCTTGGATTCAGGTAAATTGGCTTTGCTTGTCCAATCCATGCTACCATTGTTGCCCAGAACATGCTTGCTCTGGTCATCCCCAACTAAATCCTCTTCATTTTGTTTGCCTTATTTGACATTTATTTTGTCAGGTTTCATATTGTGGTTTATTTAAGATGCATGGCTTAGCTCATTTATGTTATTTGGCTTGTGTGAATAAGAGAATTCAGTTTTCAGCAGGGATCTCCTCATTAATGCAACTGGCCTTAAAACCTCTCCTATCCTTTTCAGTGGAACTTGGCCAGTGGCAAAACAGTCTTGTAGGTTTGGAACTTTTCTTCCAACATCACCTGCCTCCTTCATGGGAACCATGTTGTTGATTCCAAAGGACTCAATGTTAGAATGTATTCTTGAATGTTGGGACCAGTTTAAATTAAATGGGCTTAAGAAGAGGAAATTGGTGTTTCTATGTAATACTGTTTGGCCTTGATGTTATTTGGAAAAACAAGAAAAATGGCCACCTACTGGAACTACAGCCTTGAATACTATACTTCAACTCGATTTGTTTTGTAAGAGGGAGGGAAAATGGGATGAAATGCCACATGTTCAAGCTTTTTTGTTGTTCAGTCAGGAGAAAACCCTGCAGCAGGCATGTGCATGTTTGATGAGAGGAAAGGAAGAAAAAAACTAGCCACAATAGATGATCCCTTGATGCAAGCCCCCCAAGTTCAGTGGGCATTTTTGGGTGGAGCAGAACCTCCTCTGTCAGCTCTGAGTATTCAGTGCATTGGCCTCTTCTCCCTTTAGTCCACCTGGAAGTTGTACTGAAGCCCCTTCATCCCCTTCTCCTTACTTGTCTAGTCCTACTTTATACCCACCACCTCTTGAAGAATCTAGCCTTGCAGGTACTACTTGTAGTCAAGCCTCTTTTTAATCTCCAAAGGGAAATCTTTGTCCACTTAGACAAGTGGAGAACAGAGAAGAAGGCACTGTAAGAGTACATGTCCCCTTTTCTATGTCTGATGTGGCTCTATGTAAAGAGAAGTTTGGCCATTTTTCTGAAAAATTGAGGAAAATCCATAGATGAGTCTGAGTCTTTATGTAACTCTTAAGTATGCTAGACTTTTAATCCAGCTGCCTATCTGCCTGAACCCACAGGCACCCTATATCATTATTTTTTTATTTTTTATTTTTGAGATGAAGTCTTGCTCTTGTCCCCCAGGCTGGAGTGCAATGGCATGATCTCGGCTCACTGCAACCTCCGCCTTCCTGGTTCAAGCGATTCTCCTGCCTCAGCCTCCTGAGTAGCTGGGATTACAGGCACCTACCACCACGCCCGGCTAATTTTTGTATTTTTAGTAGAGATGGGGTTTCACCATGTTGGCCAGGCTGGTCTCGAACTCCTGACCTTAGGTGATCCACTCACCTTGGCCTCCCACAATGCTGGGATTACAGGTGTGAGCCACCACACCCTGACAATCATTCTTGTATACAAGTTACGGAGCAAATTTATTCCAGCTGGTCAAATTGAACGGCTAAGCCTCTAGATAATCCTGAAGTAGAATGGCTTATAGATGGAAGTAGGTTTGTGCACCAGGGAAACAGAAAAGCTGGGTATGCCGTTGTCAGTCAACATGAGGTAATTGAATAGAAGCCTTACCAGCTTCTACTTTGGCTCAAAAAGCAGAATTAGTAGCTCTTATTAGAGCCCTGCAATTGGAAAAAGACTTAAGAATCAACATTTACACTTCCTGGTACTTCATGCTCATGCTGCTATCTGGGAGGAACTGCTAAGGGCTCCCCTGTGCAACATCATTTGGAAAATTTAAATCTATTAGATGTTGTTTTGCTGCCCAAGAAGTGGGTGTAATCTGTTTCAGAATGCATCAAAAACGAGACTGTAGTGTGACAAAGGGAAACTCCTCTGCAGATGCTGCAGCTAAGGCCGCTGCATTAATGGAGCCAGCTGGACTTGTAGGCATATTAGTGCCCACCACCCCAGTAATGAGAGAACCGAGATGTACTGAGAGAAATAAGAATGGGCTAAAGGTCAGGGTTTAATTCAAGATCCTTCTGGATGGGTAATCAGTGAAAACAACTGTTGATACTGGGTGCTAATCAGTGGGAAATAGTTAAGTATTTGCATGATTCTACTCATTTGGGAAGAGATTCCCAATTTCAGTTAATGTCTCGTCTTTTTTTTTAGTAAAAGGCTTATTTAAAACAGTAAAGCAGGTAACTCGGGCCTGTAAACTCTGTGCCCAGAATAATCTGAATAACCAATCTTTACCTCCTTCTTCAGTAAGGTCTGTTCAGCTTAGGGGAACATACCCCAGTGAAGATTGGCAAGTAGACTATACTCAGATTACCCCAGGTAAAGGGTTTAATATTTAGTTATTCATCGACACCTTTACCAGTAGGATTGAGGCTTTCCCTACCCGGTCTGAAAAGACAATTGAGGTTTCTAAACTGCTATGAAGGAAACAATTCCTAGATTTGGCTTGCCTAAGAGATTGCAGAGTGATAATGGCCCATCTTTCATAGTGACAATACTCCAAAACATATCTTCAGGCCTAGGAATTCAGTACTGCCTTCATTTAGTGTGGAGGCCACAGTTTTCAGGGAAAGTAGAGCCAATCAAACACTAAAAAGGACTCTTGCTAAACTCTAACAGGAAACATCAGCAACCTGGCTGTCTTTATTGCCTGTAGCCTTGTTACAGATTCCAGTGGCCCCTCATGAGAAATCTGCAGCTCAGTCCTTTTGAAATAATGTATGGAAGGCCTTTCTTAACTACAGACTTCCTGATAGACATATATACTTTCACGCTACAAAGTTATGTAATCAACTCAGGACAAGTGCAAAAGACACCCCTTGGATATGGAAACCAAAGACTCCTTCCCCTACTAAGGAAGAGAATCCTATTATAACCCAGCTGGGAGATTGTGTCCCATTAAAAGCTTGGGAGGAAGGATCCCCAGCAGATCAACTTTCCCCAAATGGAAGGGACCCTAGCAAGTTCTTCTTAGTATCCCAACTGCAGTTAAACTTCTAGGAATAAACAACTGGGTCCACTTATCCGAATTAAACTTGTCTCTTATAACATCCCACAGGCCAACGGAACACAAGAGACTAATACCACTTATTCCTGTGAATCAACCAGTGACCTCTGGCTCCTGTTCAAAATAAACAAAAGGGATTGGTAACACAAAGATATGGATTGGCATCCTACTTTTGGGTATAAGATGGAATCACACAGAGAGTAACTTATTTGCTGAGTGGGCACAGACTTTAATTTCTCTACATAATCGGACAAACTGTTGGGTATGTGGAGAATTGCCACTTTCCTCTACTTCTGGTTTGCCCTTGAATATTCAACTGGCCAACCTAAGTTTATGGGGACTTTATTATGATTGGGAAACTGAATATTGTAAACATATTCTCTCTTTTCCCCGGTACCATAGCCACACAGGCCTTAGTCCTTTCCTCTCCTATGGAGAGAAAAAAAGGCACTTTTTAATGTAATTAGGAAACAGCTAAACTCCACCCCAACTTTAGGTTATACTGTACCTGATGGACTTAGGCAGATGACAGCTGTTCAAGTACTGGTATCAGGCAAAGGACCTCTTTGTTTTGAGAGGTATAATAATAGTCACCACCACACTGGAACACATGATATAGGATGGTTGCCGCCTCAACAACATAATCAGACCCTTCTTTATCAGACCACATTTGGTTGGGATGGCAACATAATTCACCAAAAACGGGTGCCTACCCTTCCCCTTGGGGATGGTTATGGGCTTGCGGAACCCACGGCTGGCCATACTTACCTTATAATTGAACTGGACAGTGTATGTGGGGTCATCCTTATCTCCCAGGACACATCCTCACCAAATTGGACTCTCTCTCATCTAACTGGGAAATTGTAAAGGCTCGGCATACGTGACAAAAATGGGCATTTTTGTGGTTCTACCTGTTGGCTATATTTTCCCCACAGGTGCCACGATGGATATTGAGCTGCGAGTTGAAGCCCTAGCCAAGCACACGGCTGCAACTTTCAATAATACTTACCATGCCTTACCTTCCTAACTTAGGAAACTTCTCAGATTAGGCAGGTGACCTTACAAAATTGTATGGCTGTGGAATTTTAACAGCAGCCTAAGGGGAAACTTGTGCTTTGATAAAAACCGAATGTTGTGTGTGTATTCTGGATGGTTTACATAATATTACCCAGCCTATGAAAGCTTTAGACACTCATATCTCTGTCATTGATGCGCTGTCAGTCGACCCTGTATCAACTTGGTTCCAAAAACTGCCTAGTTCTTGGCAAGCCTTCCTGTTTAGTTTACTTGGGATGATTTCATTTATTTTGCCTTGCTGTTGTGAATACATTGCTGTTGTACTTTTTGTGTAGGAATGCAAGATAAGCTTACTCAACGCTTTTTTAAATTGAACACTTGTTAATCTTCCAGATATCCCTTTTGCTGGGACTCAGAGTTACAAATGACCCTCACCATACTGACGCTTTCTGACTGAGCTTCTCTCTACCCTGAATATAAGAGACCCTAACAGGTAGGTAGGAATATCATTGCCCCTGTTCAGCATGAAGTTACAGAAGAGGGATCTTCATTCTTCTGCAACCCTTAGGATTACGGTTCCTCTTGTAAAAGGGATGGGGAAAATATGTCAGAAGCATTCGAACCAGAGTGACTCCATCTTGAATGTGACTCCATCTAGAAGAATAAGGCTGGGACTTGCTGGGCTGGATTCCCAGGAGGTTAGGTATTCCTAGCCTGTAGATGTTTCTGGTTAAGGGTACAGATTAAAAATGTTTACTAAACAGACCCAGGCCCAGGAATGACCGATATCCTGACATCCTGAGAACAAAGACATTCCTAATTTTGCTTTAAACAGAATAATATCAATTCTTGCAAAATATAGTAATTGAGAAAATTAGTCCTTTATCACAAGCCCTTGTAGTAGAGCACATCTCCCTGTGATTTTTTGTTGTTGTTGTTGTTGTTGTTATCCTACATATAAACAAGCACTGTACTTAGGGTGGGTGCATTCCTCCTCTTACTTTTGGGAATGCCCTACTCTGTCTATGGACTATTTCACTCCTTCACTTTCTTAATAAACTTACTTTCACTTTGCACTGTGGACTCGTCTCGAATTTTTTCTTGCGCAAGATCCAAGAACCCTCTCTTGGGGTCTGGATCAGGACGCCTTTTTGGTTACAGAAACAGATAGACAAAGGAGTGGAAAAACAAAAGGGATAAGCAGAAAGGAGCAAATTTGAATATATCATTTTATATCTTTTTTTATCAGTCTCTTAGTCCCGAGAATAGATCAGTTCAGTTAAACAGCTATGTCTCATTCCAGGGGGTGGCATTACAGATGGACTAGGACTCTATATATGAAGCGGCAAACAGATTTTTAATAAAAGGTGTTTCTATGAAAACAGAAGAAAAACAAAGGTTAATATCTACTGTAGACTATACACTAGTTTTTTGAGAGTCTCTGTAGTTCTTCAGATTGTAGTGTTAATCTGACAGAGTCTCCTGGTTGTAGTTTAAATCAGGTGTTGCAGTGAACTTTCTGAGTATTCCATACATCAACAAAGCATAAAAGCTGTTTATATATAAGTTGCTGTAGTGATTTTTCCCATAGTTTATTCAAGTTGTCTTGCTCCAGTCTGCAGGGCTTCAAGAAAAGCATAGTTTTAACTTCTACTTATTCCAAGTCAGAAACATAGGAGAAAAAAATTTAAATGTTAGCTTGGAGACTTGTAGCCAGGAAAGAATTCAAGATTTAGTTCAAATGTAGGCAAATAATTACAACTTAAAAACAATGGACAAAGCTAGAATCTAACAACAGGTATGCTATCATTTTCTTCTGAAACATAATTCTTCTCTCTCCAGTCCCCCTTTTCTATTAAAGGCAAATCATAACAGGACCAATTTATTTGCAAAATAAGTTTTAGTTTTATTATATTTGGCCTGATTATTTGCATAAAGTACAGCAAAAATAGTGATTGACCACATATAGGCTCTTTTAAAGTTTGGCTTTGTTGGAACTTTTTCATAAGGAATTTCACATTCAACTTTTAAAAACTCTCAAGGCTAAGAAGCCAAGACAAGGATTCACAATCAGACTGCACTTGTAATTCCTGTATAAATTGGATACACTCCTCTCTTGTCAAGGTTCCCAAAATATCCTGAGGCTCCTGGGCCTGCCAGAGAGTGACATTCTTTACTACCGCAAGGTCAGGAACCTTGTAAGGAAACTGTGTAGACAAGGTATCAGGCTAATTTTTCCAACAGGCTTTTTATAGGCTCTATAAAGTCAACTTCAAATCCTCAAAGCAGTCTGGTCATTAAAAAATTATGCCATTCCAATGAAAGCCTTGGCAAAATAATCAGTGTATCCAACTGTGTTCTGTTACAAAAGAAAACAGATTCCTATCGAATTTGTACAAATAACTATATTGCCAAAAGTGAAGAATACTCACAAATACTTTCCAAATTCTGGAGACATCAGGTAGAGAGAAAGGTTAGTGTTTCAATTGTTCTCACAAAAGTGTAATTTATCTAATTACTGTAAGCTATGTACAGCTCAAAAGAAAAAAACAATTTTCTTGACTCTGGAAAACAAAACATAAAAAGTATCAGCAATGTCTCAAACCAAAAAAAGGTTATGAAAATATTATTTTGGCATTTTATCAGTTCAGCCCCATGTAATTAACTTATTCTGCTTGATGTTGGATTAGCAATCTTCATTAATTTATTAGATTTTAAAAAATTATTTTAGAAGTTTTTAACTAGTCCAACGGTGTGAATTCCAAAGTTATCAGAAAACTGTGTTTAAGTGTGTGTGCTGTCAGGGCCCTTTCCATGGATTTTTTTTTTTTTTTTTTGAACAAGCAGATTTTAGGCTGTAGCCAATTACAAACCACTTTTGAAAAGAATCCAAGTAAAACAATAATCATCTGTGAATGACAAAAGACTTAGAAGAGCCATGATTACTGATGCAATTGACAAAGAAATTTCATTATTTCTGTGGTATACAATAATTTAACAGGATAACAATTATTACCAATAACATATAACAAGATCTATCAACATTTTAGCAATATGATACAATTTTGGGATGCATATTAATAACAGATTTATACAAATACAACTCAAAGAAAATTAAACAACATTTTTTATTTGATCAGCTTCCTGTATGATTTTAATATACCAAATTAGCCTAATATGTTTCTTTTGGACTTCCAGGGGCCCTATTTGGACTTCCAAGGGCTTTAATGCCCAAAAGTTAGCTTGAGGTCGAAAACATTTAAGTTAGAATTTTACATTTGATTTTGGGAAGTTTGTCAAATATCAAAGGTTTAAAACACTTGATCAAAATAAGATTACAGGTCACTGTAAGATAATAGTTATTCATTTAGCCAAACTGATAATTCAAAAATTTCAAAAAGCAAAAATTTTACTCTTTGACAGAGGGGAGATTCAGTTTTCCAAACAATCAAAAGACATAATAAAAACAGCATTAGGGAAATTCTCTCCTCTTATTACTAATATTTTTTGCAGTTTACTCAAAAGGTAAACAAAAATCTTTTACTATTTCTTATTAATGTATACAAAAATCTTGTTCAAAAGAGAAATCCAAATTCTAACTTTGTGCCAGTGTATTATAAATGCTAAAGCTAATTTTAATAAAGCCTTATAAACAGATCAATCCAATTGCAATTGTTTTCTTTTCCTTTTTTTGTTTTTTTTTGAGACAGGGTCTCACTTTGTCACCCAGGCTGGAGTGTAGTGGTGCAATCTTGGCTTACTGCAACCTTTGACTCCCGGGCTCAAGCAATTTTCCCATCTCAGTCCCCCAAGTAGCTGGGACTACAAGTGTGTACCATCATGCCCAGCTAATTCCTTTTGTACTTTGGTAGTGAGAGAGTTTCACTATGTTGCCCAGGATGGTCTCAAACTCCTGAGCTCAAGTGATCTGCCCATCTCAGCCTCCCAAAGTGCTGGGATTACAAGTGTGAGCTACTGCATCCAGCCTGCAATTGGTTTTGACTGCACAAGAAAAAACATAAAAAGGTTCCATGAACCTTTTATAACCTCTTATAATTGTTACGGTTTTATTTCTTTCCTCAATTTTCTATGTCCATTCAGTTTTAGGTCCTTAAAAAAATAGCAGAGATAGTGTAAACCTGTCTAACAAATAGACCCAGAAAAATATCTAAATTAAATTCAGAAAATGTTTCTATTTTATTTTACCCCAAATTTTAAACTATCTTCATTTACCACAGATTACTAATGCCCTGTGAACTTGAAAAGCGTTTGGGCTTATTTACTTAATTTATGAGTACTAATTTATTTATGTCAAGTTGGTACCATACAGGCAATCTATAAACATAGACACGTATCCATAAAATATAAACACAAATAAATACTTTATATCATTTTTTCTTTTTTTGAGACAGAGTTTCACTCTTATTGCCCAGGCTGGAGTGCAATGGTGCAATCTCGCCTCACTGCAACTTCCGTCGCCCGGGTTCAAGCCATTCTCTTGCCTCAGCCTCCCGAGTAGCTGGGATTACAGGTGTGTGCCACCATGCCTGACTAATTTTTGTATTTTTAGTAGAGATGGAGTTTCATCATGTTGGCCAGGCTGGTCTTGAACTCCTGACCTCAGGTGATCCATCCCCGCCTTGGTCTCCAAAAGTGATAGGATTACAGGCATGAGCCACTGCACCTGGCCTACATCTTTAAAATTTTAGCCACGAGACCAGTAAAACTCCTTAGTTTAAAAGGACAGTTGAATTCAAATGCAGCTTTGTAAATGGAAAGGTTACAGTTTGTCTGTCCTTCATGGCTGAAGATCTTACCAAGTTTTAAGAAAAACAGGATAGCAAATTTACATCTCAAAACAGAGAAAATTAAGCATTTTCAAGAAGAAGTTAGGGTATGTTAGAGAAAGATTAAAAATGGACAACAAGTGATATAGTTTGAGTATTTGTCCTCTTCAAATCTCATGTTGAAATGTTATCCCCAGTGTTGGAGGTTGGGTCAAGTAGGAGGTTTTTGGGTCATGGTGGCAGGTCCCTCATGAATGGCTGGGTTCTGTCCTTGTGGTAATGAGTGAGTTCTTATTCCATTAGCTCATGTGAGAGCTGGTTTTAAAAAGAGTCTAGTGTCTTTCTCACCTTTCTCTTGCTCCCTTTTTGGCCATGTGATATGCCTGCTCCTCCTCTTCGCCTTCCACCATGATTGTAAGCTTCTTTTTCTTTTCTTTCTTTCTTTCTTTTTTTTTTGAGATAGAGTATCACTCTGTTGCCCAGGCTGGAGTACAGTGGTGTGATCTCAGCTCACAGCAACCTCTGCCTCCCAAGTTCCAAGTGATCCTCTTGCCTCAGCCTCCTGAGTAGCAGGGATTCCAGACACATGCCACCATGCCCAGCTAATTTTTGTATTTTTAGTAGAGATGGGGTTTCACCATGTTGGCCAGCCTGGTCTCGAACTCCTGACCTCAAATGATCCATCTGTCTCCGCCTCCCGAAGTGCTGGCATTACAGGCATGAGCCACCGCACGCGGCCAATTGTAAACTTCTTGAGGTTGTCACCAGAAGCAGATGCTGGCATCATGCTTCTTGTACAGCCTGCAGAATAGTGAGCCAAATAAACTTTTCTTTATAAATCACCAAGCCTCAGGTATTCCTTTATAGCAACACAAAACAGACAAACACACCAATGTGACACAAAATTATAGAAATTCACATAGGATGTTACAATGAAAGATACAAATGAGCAGAGAGGAAATTCAGAAGCCTTTTAAAAATAACTAGCTAAGCCCGGGCAACATGGTATATAACTTTGTCTCTACAAAAGCAACAAAATTAGCCAGGCATGGTGGCGTGTGCCTGTAATAGCAGCTACTTGAGAGGCTGAGGTAGGAGGATGAGGACATTGCTTGAGCCCAGGAAGTTGAGGCTGCAGTGAGCTGTGATTGTGTGACTGCATTCCAGCCTGGACAACAGATTAAGACCCAGTCTGATATGGTTTGGATATTTGTCCCCACCCAAATCTCATGTTGAAATGTAATAACTGGTGGGAGGTATTTGGATCATGGGGGCAGGTCCCTCATGAATGGCTAGGGCTGTCCCCTTGGTGCCAAGTGAGTTTTTGCAAGATCTGGTCATTTTAAAGTATGTGGCACCTCCCCCCATACTCTCTTTCTCTTATTCCTGCTTTTGCTGTGAGATGTGCCTCCTCCCCCTTTTCCTTTCACCATGATTGTAAGCTTCCTAAGGACTCTCCAGAAGCAAATGCTGGCACTATGCCTCTTGTACAGCCTGCAGCACTGTGAACCAACTAAACCTCTTATAAATTACCCAGTCTCAGGAATTTCTTTATAGTAACTCAAGAATGGCCTAATACACTGTCTCAAAAAACAAAAACAAAAACAAAACGAAACAAAAAATACAGAAAACCCTACCAAAAACAAAAACAAACACCTAAATGTCAGAAAGTCATATTTTGGAGACCAATCTAGTCATATAGGTGGCTTCTAATTTAGTATCTGTTTTCTACTTAGACCACTGAGTTCTGGGCAGAGCCCATTAAGGAACAGGGCAAACAAAGCATTTGCAGTTTTTAGGGCCTAATATTTGTATATGTAAAAAGTAGGCACAGCTGGAAGACAGAGCATCTAGATTTTTAAAAATCAAGGATTCTACTTTTACACTGAACCCTGGGTCCCCCACAAAAGAGGGAAACACCAAAGGACTGGGCTGCACAGTGTTTCCAGAGTACACCTCACTACAAAGATGTCACCCTGAGGCTGGTGGGGGTGTGTGAGGCATTAGTGAGAGTGACAGATTGTGTGTCAGGTATTAGTGGGTGGGAGACCCATATCAATCAGCCCATTCTGTGATCAGCCCATCCACCATGGGATAGTTATTCCTTGGTGGTGAGTATTCCCACAGTCTCCATGTATTCAACTATGTCTTTTTTATAGAATAGAGCAAAGCAACAAGTAGCCTACATACAGTAATAACTATTAATTGCAACCACTGTCAGCTACCTCCAAAACTGCAGCCCTCACCAGTGACCCACCAGCCATTGCATACACAAGGTCAAATTCTCTAATAGGTCAAAGTAATTCCTTGAACCCCCAAAGCCAAAGAGACCAGGTAATGCAATGCAAAGGAGAGTGGAGCTTTAGACCTGATAAGAACTTGCCCATGACTCTTCAGACTCCACAGGAAGACAGAAGATCATTCCCATAAAGTGGGTGAGTGGTAGCTTTTCTATGTTTCTTTTTATTTATTTATTATTTTATTTATTTATTTATTTATTTATTTTTATTGATTATTCTTGGGTGTTTCTCGCAGAGGGGGATTTGGCAGGGTCATAGGACAATAGTGGAGGGAAGGTCAGCAGATAAACAAGTGAACAAAGGTCTCTGGTTTTCCTAGGCAGAGGACCCTGCGGCCTTCCGCAGTGTTTGTGTCCCTGGGTACTTGAGATTAGGGAGTGGTGATGACTCTTAACGAGCATGCTGCCTTCAAGCATCTGTTTAACAAAGCACATCTTGCACCGCCCTTAATCCATTTAACCCTGAGTGGACACAGCACATGATTCAGAGAGCACAGGGTTGGGGGTAAGGTCACAGATCAACAGGATAAGAATTTTTCTTAGTACAGAACAAAATGAAAAGTCTCCCATGTCTACCTCTTTCTACGCAGACACAGCAACCATCCGATTTCTCAATCTTTTCCTCACCTTTCCCCCCTTTCTATTCCACAAAACCGCCATTGTCATCATGGCCCGTTCTCAATGAGCTGTTGGGTACACCTCCCAGACGGGGTGGTGGCCGGGCAGAGGGGCTCCTCACTTCCCAGTAGGGGCGGCTGGGCAGAGGCGCCCCTCACCTCCCGGACGGGGCGGCTGGCCGGGCGGGGGGCTGACCCCCCCACCTCCCTCCCGGACGGGGCAGCTGGCCTGGCGGGGGCTGACCCCCACCTCCCTCCCGGACGGGGTGGCTGCTGGGCGGAGACGCTCCTCACTTCCCAGACGGGGTGACTGCCGGGCGGAGGGGCTCCTCACTTCTCAGACGGGCGGTTGCCAGGCGGAGGGTCTCCTCACTTCTCAGACGGGGCGGCCGGGCAGAGACGCTCCTCACCTCCCAGACAGGGTCGCGGCCGGGTAGAGGCGCTCCTCACATCCCAGGCGGGGCGGCGGGGCAGAGGCTCTCCCCACATCTCAGACAATGGGCGGCCGGGCAGAGACGCTCCTCACTTCCTAGATGGGATGGCGACCGGGAAGAGGCGCTCGTCACTTCCTAGATGGGATGGCGGCCGGGCAGAGATGCTCCTCACTTTCCAGACTGGGCAGCCAGGCAGAGGGGCTCCTCACGTCCCAGGCGATGGGCGGCCAGGCAGAGACGCTCCTCACTTCCCAGACGGGGTGGCGGCCGGGCAGAGGCTGCAATCTCGGCACTTTGGGAGGCCAAGGCAGGCGGCTGGGAGGTGGAGGTTGTAGCGAGCCGAGATCACGCCACTGCACTCCAGCCTGGGCACCATTGAGCACTGAGTGAACCAGACTCCGTCTGCAATCCCGGCACCCCGGGAGGCCGAGGCTGGCGGATCACTCGTGGCTAGGAGCTGGAGACCAGCCCGGCCAACACAGCGAAACCCCGTCTCCACCAAAAAAATACGAAAACCAGTGAGGCGTGGCGTCGCGCGCCTGCAATTGCAGGCACTGGGCAGGCTGAGGCAGGAGAATCAGGCAGGGAGGTTGCAGTGAGCCGAGATGGCAGCAGTACAGTCCAGCTTCGGCTCGGGAGAGGGGGAGGGGGAGGGGGAGGGGGAGGGAGAGGGTTTTCTATGTTTCTTACAGGGTCTTTAGATGTTCCCACAGATCCTTTTATGTGATATTCAAGACAGCAAAGAGAAAGGAGGAACAAAAAGCCAATGAAGTTTTACGCTTTTCTTAACAAAAATCATACCACAAGAAATGAAGCATACAAAAAGACCAAATATACAATTAAAAGAAGTTTCAGTAAACTAGAAAAATCCTCAGAAATAGGATCCCAAAGAAAAAAGGCAGAAAGGCCTTTAAATATATATATTTATATAAATATATTTTTGCATATTTATATACATATATTTATATAAATATATTTTTGCATATTTATATACACATATATTTATATATTGTAATAATACATTTATATATTATAATATATAATATAAAAATATTTTATCTATTATATATTTTATAATATTTATATATTATATGTTATATATAATATATAACATAATATTATACATTTATATAATATATAAATAAAATATAATATATAAATATATAACAATATATTTATAATATAATATAATATAAATTAAATATAAATTAAATATATTTCTATAAATATATAGGTATATATTTATATAAATATATAACTATATTAAATATATACCTATATATTTAATATAGTTATAATATAATATAATATAAATATATGTATATTATATATTTATGTATATAACGATATATTCAACATATATGTTGAATATTAGCTTCTAATTAAGCTGACTTCTGATCATAGAGCTTTTTAAAAATATATTTTCAGATCTTTTATTATTGGATTTTGGCTAGGACAAATAGCTAATATTCCTGACTTTTAAACTTTTTTATGAAAGGTAACTTTGCAAGTGACTCAACAATTTAACTAAGGACACATGAGGTGTCTCCAAAGAGGTAAAAAGCAGTCCTCACAAGATGCAGATGCACTGAAAGACAGTTCAAAGAAAATAAAGTTTCAGTAGCCGCAAACGGGATTCAACCCACATCTGTCCAGCCATATTCTCTAGTGTCTCAACTTCTCAGCTGACTGTCTACACACAAAGGCCCAAAAGCCTCATACGCCCCCACAGATGGAAGGAGGCAGAAAATCAAAAGCTGTCCATGAAACAGAAAATGATCAACAACAAATGGGTACCCCAAAAAGCCAAAAGTCACACAAATATCAGACCAAAAGGTACTGGTTCCCTGACTGGTAATCAAACCCAGACCACAGTAGTGAAAGCACAGAATTTTAATTACTGGACTGAAAGGTGGAGCAGCTTTATTGTGAATCCTACAGACAGTTTGAGCACATATGTTATTGTGGGGAAAAGAAAGAGAGATCAGATTGTTACTGTGTCTGTGTAGAAAGAAGTAGACATAGGAGACTCCATTTTGTTCTGTACTAAGACAAATTCTTTTGCCTTGAGATGCTGTTAATCTATAACCTTACCCCCAACCCCGTGCTCTCTGAAACATGTGATGTGTCAACTTACGGTTAAATGGATTAAGGGCGGTGCAAGATGTGCTTTGTTAAACAGATGCTTGAAGGCAGCATGCTCATTAAGAGTCTTCACCACTCCCTAATCTCAAGTACCCAGGGACCTCTGCCTAGGAAAGCCAGGTATTGTCCAAGGTTTCTCCCCATGTGATAGTCTGAAATATGGCCTCCTGGGAAGGGAAAGACCTGACCATCCCCCAGCCCAACACCCGTAAAGGGTCTGTGCTGAGGAGGATTAGTATAAGAGGAAGGCATGCCTCTTTGCAGTTGAGACAAGAGGAAGCCATCTGTCTCCTGCCCGTCCCTGGGCAATGGAATGTCTCGGTATAAAACCCGATTGTATGTTCCATCTACTGAGATGGGGGAAAACTGCCTTAGGGCTGGAGGTGGGACATGCGGGCAACAATACTGCTTTGTAAGGCATTGAGATGTTTATGTGTATGCATATCTAAAGCACAGCACTTAATTCGTTACCTTGTCTATGATGCAGAGACCTTTGTTCACGTGTTTATCTGCTGACCTTCTCTCCACTATTATCCTATGACCCTGCCACATCCCCCTCTCTGAGAAACACCCAAAAATGATGAATAAATACTAAGAGAACTCAGAGGCTGGCGGGATCCTCCATATGCTGAACGCTGGTTTCCTGGGTCCCCTTATTTTCTTTCTCTATACTTCGTCTCTGTGTCTTTTTCTTTTCCAAGTCTCTCGTTCCACCTAACGAGAAACACCCACAGGTGTGGAGGGGCAACCCACCCCTTCAGTTATGATTTTCACTTTGTGTTAGGTCAGATTTTTGCTGTTTAATTTTGTCAAGAGAATTTCTAAGGTTAGCCATGATACTATTATATGTCTTTATTTTAATTTGGTCTGTCTATAAACACAAAGAAGGCAATTGTTTAGAACCAAGCAACAAGAGTTGAGATGACAAAAGCCCACAGTGATGGGACTTTTAAGACAAACTCCCCTGAGAGCTTGACACATTCATAACAAAAAGTGTGCTGCTTAAAATCTTACATGTCTCACGTCCCAGCCATTTTCAGACTGGTCACCTTATATGACCTGAAAATCATGCCTCATAGATAGTGGAGACCAAGAGAGAGTGCTCCCACTTTGTCACCAGCCACACTTTCAAGGATATAAAACAAGATGAAAGGGGAATCTCATATGGTTTTTATTTTGGGGGCCCACAACAAAGTTTATATGCTGTTCTGGTCAGAACTACAATTCTGACAAGTCCGCAAGGCTGGCTGGAAAAATGGGCTTATAAAGGCTTTAGGCCTATGTTCTACCTCATGCTTGGTACCCTTCTTTATGACATAACAACACGGAAAGACAAAGAAAGAAAAAGTTGATTTCTGGGACAAAAAGGATCAAATAATATGAATACTTAAACCAAAAATTACACCAGAGTCACAACACCCAAGACTACTCACACAAATCCTTGTCTCCCATTAATCAAGATTTTGCAGAGAAAAGAGACAAACAGGGATTTTAACTGTCAACTTGATCAGATTCCACAGAAAGAGAGGCCAGAAGCTTGGCCGGTAAGAAATTCTTGTTCTTCTGGCAGCTAGTCAGGTCCTGGGTTCCCTTCACTCTGGCTTAAGAGCAGAATAGTTTTGGTATACTGCTCACAGCACCAAAACTATAGGAGCCAAGCAAAAACTTCCCCTTTGCCCTCTGAAGGTCCACTGAAAAATCAACTGATAAAAGGCAGCTTAATAGGAGAAATGGCACAGAAATTTATTAACATACCCACAAAGGAGAACCACAGAGTAATTATTCCTCATGTCATTTCTTCTTTTAATCTGCTTTTTTTGTCAGTTGACTTTTCAACAAAACTTCAGAGGGCAAAGGGGAAGTTTTTCCTTGGGCTCTATGATAGGAATTGATTCATTCGCTTGTTCATTCAACAAATATTGATTTGTGTCTACTTCATGCCAGACACTGTTCCAGGTGCTGAGGATAAGCAGGGGTGTGAGATTGGTAGGTTGGAGGCATATGAGACATGAAGCAGAAAACAAGTTCAGTGGCTATTGTAGAAATTCTGGTGAGAAATGATGGTAGCTACTAAGCTAGTAGTAGTGGGGTTGGACAGAAGGGCCACATTTAAGAGATTTTTAGGAAGAAGTTGACAGATGTTGAGAGATTGTATGTGAGTCATTAGTGAGAGGCCAGAGATCAGGATGACTTTCAGGATTCTGGCTTTGGTGCCTCAGCCTATAAGATTCGGAATACCAGAAGGGAGCAGATTCAGGAAATGAAGGGACTCTCCTTTCTTCCGTTTTGGATATTTCATTTGGTACCTGGAGCATCCAAGTAGAGTTCTTCAGAGGAGAGTTAAATTTATGGTGTTGGCACTCAGAGCAATGTTGCTTGAGTTAGAGATTTGATAGCTGAAGCCACAGGAAGAAATGAGATTACTTAGGAAAAGTGAGACAGAAGAGAAGAGAAAATTATCAAGTTTAATGGCTGGATTGAAGAAGAGAAATCTGTTTTCTTCATTTACATAGGAATAAAATGACAGAAGCCAGTGGAGAATAGAAGGTTAAAGAGGAAGAGCTTACGAGTGCCAAATGTTGGTTAGGGGCTGGGAAATCTTTCCCTTTGCCTTCTGAAGTTTTGCTGAAAATCACATATTACTAGGAGAAAAGGCATATAAATTTATTTGGTTAGAGTTGTACCTGACACAGGAGCCTTTAGAATGCGGACCCAAAGATATAGAGGAAACTGTCCATTTTTATCATTAGGTTCAACAAAGTATGGGCAGCTATGTAGAAATATGATTGGACAAAAAGGGTAAGATCTAATGCTAAAGACCGAGTGGGGAAACCTACCTAGAAAGGCCTGTCTGTCTAGATTCTTCTTGGCATCTCTGAGCATGGATTTCATTCTGGATATGGGGCAGGATGCTCTCTGGAATGAGGGTCTTTAGACCTGCAATCAAACAAGGTAGGTCAAATAATTTTTTTTATGGCTGATTTTTACACAAAAATGTTGGGGGAACGTTAGGATAATACTTTTAGGTTTTATGCCTGGTGTTGGGGAAATGGGGTTCTAGTTTCTATGACCTGCCTTGAGGAAGAAAAATTCTAGTTTCTAAGGCTAGCCTTGGGAGAATGAGGGGCCAGAGGCAGGAGGATAGAAGGTCAGAGAGACTTGCTTTTGAAGCCTTTGTATTGGAGTATTGTTTTTCTGACAGCCTACAGTTGCAGAGATGTGAAATAATAGTAGGATTCTGAAGAGTCCATGAAAGTGCACCCTTTCCTGAGATTGAGCACTCTAGATGCTGCAGTGGGTGTATCCTGCCTGAGGCCATTAAACTAATGAATAAACCACTTCTGGGAATCTAGTGCTAAGCAATCTTCTTCTTATAATTTTATTATCCATCTAAATTTGCATATTGGGAGGAAAATAATAACAATAATAATAGCTAATATTTAGCATTTACTATGTTCCAAATGAACACTTTACATGGATTATCTAATTTAATTATCTTATATAGAGGTAGATCAGCAGGACTTGTTTTCCAAACACTGGTCACAACCTTGCTAATCAAAACAGGAGGCATTAAATAAATCAGCTAAATCAGCTAAAACCAAGATGGCAACGAATGTGATCTCTAATTGCCCTTGATCTGTGTTATACACTAATTATAATACATTAGCATGCTAAAAGATACTCACACTGGTGCCATAACAGTTTACAAATGCCATGGCAATGTCCAGAAGCTATTATATGGTTTAAAAGAGGAGGAACCTTTGGTTTTGAGAACTCCTCATCCTTTTCTAGGAAATTTATGAATAACCTGCCCCTTATTTAGCATATAATTAAGGAGTAGCTATAAATAGAGTTAGTCAGCAATCCATGAGTGCTACTCTGCTTATGGGGTAGCCCTGCTCTATCTATGGAGCAGCCATTTTCCTGTATTCTGTTGCTCTTAATAAACTTGGTTTGCTTTCACTTTACTCTGTTGGCTCACCCTTGAATTCCTTCCTGCATGAAGCCAAGAACCCTCCTGGGCTGAGCCCCAGTTTTGGGATTCACCTGCATCATCTTTCCTGGAACCCATGAAGGGATTAACAAGCCGAGGGGAACTGCAGGAGACCTTCACTGGACGCCCCCCTACTAACATCAATCAGCACCATTTGCCCTCCATGGATAGGTGTCTCCTTTGTTTCCCCTGCTATTTGGGCAATTGTTTCTATGTTATATGAGGTAGGACAGTTTCCTTGTTTTGCATTTTTTTCTTTTTTTTTTCTTTTTTTTCCAAGACATAGTTTTGCTCTGTCACCCAGGCTGGAGTGCAGTGGCGTGATCTCGGCTCACTGCAAACTCTGCCTCCCAGGTTCAAGCAATTCTCCTGCCTCAGGCTCTTGAGTAGCTGGGATTACAGGCGTGCGCCACCATGCCTGGCTAATTTTTGTATTTTTAGTAGAGACGGGGTTTCCCCATGTTGGTAAGGCTGGTCTCAAACTTCTGACCTCATGATCCACCTGCCTCAGCCTCCCAAAGTGCTGGGATTACAGGTGTGAGCCACTGCGCCTGGCTGCATTTTTTCTTTTGTTATTATGAGTGATCCCCCATTGTGCTGACTTTGGAATGTTGGAGTCATGCTGTTCTGTGCCCCCAATTGTTTTGGAATTGTCCCCATAGGATTGTGGGTGAGAATCCCACCATTGAGGACCTTGGGCTTGTGCCTTTGGGGTTCACTGTTGTCTGCCTCCAGGTTGTTCTGGGATGTGTAGCATTTGATGTGGGGGACCGTCATTGGTTGATGCCTGGATGCTCCAGGTTTTTCAGCATTAACTGCTTTTGGCCCTCTAAGATTGTGGGTTAGAGTCCCACTCTAGAGGGATCTAGGTATCCCCTCTAGGATTGTGGGTTAGAGTCCCATCCTTGGGGGATCTTGGTCTCATTTTTTCTTGTTGTCTTTGTCATCCCATTTTTTCTCCAAAATGCTTTCTTCACTTTTTGTGGAATTCAGACTATAAGAATCCTATTTCCTTATTTTAATCTCTCCTTCAATAATTTGCTTATTAAAACTCCTCTTTTGGCCGGGTGCGGTGGCTCAAGCCTGTAATCCCAGCACTTTGGGAGGCCGAGGCTGGCGGATCACGAGGTCAGGAGTTCGAGACCATCCTGGCCAATGTGGTGAAACCCTGTCTCTACTAAAAATACAAAAAAATTAGCCAGGTGTGGTGGCGGGCACCTGTAGTCCCAGCTACTCAGGAGGCTGAGGCAGGAGAATGGCGTGAACCCGGAAGGCGGAGCTTGCAGTGGGCTGAGATCGTGCCACTGCACTCCAGCCTAGGGGACAGAGCCAGACTCCGTCTCAAAAACAAACAAACAAACAAACAAACAAAAACTCCTCTTTTGTTGCATTCCATTTGCTAGTGGATGCAGCCATCCATCTCTCTACTGTCCACTCATATCTGATAATTCATTTTCGTTATGCCATGGTAACTGTACTTATGCCTTCTTTGCAGGAATTAGTGGTGATTGCCCTACTGACCTTTCTTGAGGGAAAAGGGAGGTAGGCATTTGAAAGAAAAATTAACTAGGCTCTTGATAGATTTAGAAAAACTTCTGTGTCTAGTGGAGATCCTTGTTAGACATGGGGACAATGGCAAGCATCTCAAAGGACTTGCTGCTAGGGTGTCAAAAGCAATTGGATCAAATTCAAATTCTCTTAAAGAGAAAGAGACCGATTTTCTTTCTTTTTTTTTTTTTTCATGGAAGAAAAACTTTAATTGCTGTTTTAAAAAACCTCTGTATGAGGTAGAAATTGGTTTCAATAATATTAGTAAAGAATATGTTCTAGAAAGTGGAGGTAACTGGATGTAAAATTCTGGCAGCAATTTAATAGAACAGTCCTAGACGGTTAGGCTGAGTCCAACACCTAATGAGGATGAAAGCTTTGTCTGTGGGGAATTTTGGATGATACTTGGAGAAATATTACACTGTGCATAAACCAAATTGAATTGCTTTCACAAGTGTTATAAAGTTTCATATAGTAAAAGGTTTTTTCTACATGCACTTCAATTTCACAGCAAGAGTGGCAGAGAATACCTAAACACAGAAGCGAACATTCGTGCAAGATATCTATTTCCTTGATATAATAATGCATACAATTCAAAATGATTACACTATCATTACATATAGGGCTTTATGCAACTACACTGTGGTGGTTATGGAAAGCACTGACCCCAGCATCGACATCTAGAAAGCATCCACCACCTTCTTACGTGTGTTCTCTTTTTGCATTTTTTTCTTCATTTTTCTTAATCAACTCTGCTGTTATTGCTGCTTCTTAGCAAAACTGGTAAAAACAAAATTGTAATCATTGAACATAGCACTCTGGCAATCAAGACGCTTAAAACCTTCAATCTTCTGAGGTGAAGAAAACACGGCGCGACATTTAGAACTCTGATTAACAAAGTGATCACAAATTTTCCTGGCTTGAAGCCTTCCATAGCTTTCCTGATCAGGTCATCATAGGAGGTGGCTTAAGTTTGTTTCAAAGCTAACATAAAAAGATTCTGGTTCTGGAGTGATGTGAATAGTCCAATAAGTTCCATCTGATTTCATTCCATTCATCGAATACCCATAAGGATTGAACATTGTGGCATTAATGACAGAACCTGGTATCAGGTTGTGAATTCCACTCTCACAAATGACATCCTTTGCAGTAACGCCATCTTTCATGTAGAACTGGTCCATAACTGCTGGGTCAAGCCCACTCATCAAATTTTCCAGGGTTTGATCTGGCTGACTGATTACCTTTCTGGGAAATCCAGAGTACGTAAGTACCAACAGTCAGAATTCATACTTCCCATACAATATGCTGCTCCATTTGGGAAAATTGCATTAAGAAACTCTATTTCTTCCTGGAAATTCTAGTGTAGGTACCCTTAGGGGGAAGGCTTCATGAAATTCTCACAAGAATAAAAGAAGCTTTGAATTGAGTCAAACCCACTGTAATGCCTAGCAAGCTTCAACAGGGGAACCAGCGCTTTCAGTAAGAGAGTGGTACCACGTGTCTTCAAAATGAAACGTTTCTTGGAGACAAACATGCTACTCTCACTGAGTACACAAGCTTCCTGGTTGTCAGTTTTTGTCACACTTATCATTGAACGTTGCACATCCTTCAAAAGTATGTCCCACTTGGCCGGGCGCGGTGGCTCACGCCTGTAATCCCAGCACTTTGGGAGGCTGAGGCAGGCAGATCACGAGGTCAGGAGATCGAGACCATCCTGGCTAACACGGTGAAACCCCGTCTCTACTAAAAATACGAAAAATGAGCCGGGCGTGGTGGCGGGCGCCTGTAGTCCCAGCTACTCATGAGGCTGAGGCAGGAGAATGGCGTGAGCTTGGGAGACCGAGGTTGCAGTGAGCCGAGATCGTGCCACTGCACTCCAGCCTGGGCGACACAGCGAGACTCCGTCTCAAAAAAAAAAAAAAAAAAAAAGTCCCACTCAGATCTTGGGATAGTGCGAAGATCCCCAGATCCTTGGTTTGCATTGGGCTGCTGCCAGGAGAACCAAACCTCCAGCCGCTTCTCGGTCCCTTCGGAAAAATGTACAGCTTCCATCACCATGAGACTGGCGAACAATCAACAACCACAGAAAATCAACTAAATTAAACCTTTTCTTCTGCTGCTGCGGCTGCCGCGGCTGCTGTGAATTGTTCCAGCTGTGTTAGAAAAGTTCAGGTTCCTTTTTTTTTTTAAAGACTAATAAAATGACCGGACGCGGTGGCTCACGCCTGTAATCCCATCACTTTGGGAGGCCGAGGCGGGCGAATCACGAGGTCAGGAGATCGAGACCATCCTGACCAACATGGTGAAACCCCGTCTCTACTAAAAATACAAAAATTAGCTGGGCATGGTAGTGGGTGCCTGTAATTCCAGCTACTTGGGAGACTGAGCCAGGAGAATCGCTTGAACCTGGGAGGCGGAGGTTGCAGTGAGCCGAGATCAAGCCACTGCACTCCAGTCTGGTGACAGAGCGAGACTCTGTCTAAAAAAAAAAAAAAAAAAGTAAAATTTTCCCGGCTTTGTGTGAGTGAAAGTTGAACGTGAATCTTTTGGAAACAGAGGCAGATACAGTTCAGTCTCTTGTATTCCGCTGCTTCCCTGTCAGAGAGAGTAGAGCGAATGCTAGCTAATGTGGCTGACCATACTGTATAAGCCGAGACTCATTTTCCACTGCAACGCAGTTTGGGTCCAATACAAATTAAGAGACCAAGAAATTTGGCCTAAAAATGGTTTGTTACATTATTTTACAATTCAACTATTTTACAATTCAACTTATTCTGTAAAAAGGAAGGAGAATGAAGAGAAATCCCTTATGTACAGGCTCTTATGGCTCTCTACTAGGAGCCTGACTTAAGGGACACCTGTAGAATGTGCCTTGCTCATGTTACATCCAGACACCAAAAAGCCACACTAGATACCCTAGATAATCCCCTCCTAGCTACTCCCCATAGAAGGCCCATGTGCTCCCCAACCTGAAGTCTCTTCAGTCCCCCAGTTCTGAGGAGGCTGATCTCACCAGTTCCACAGCACAGGATTCCACCTCCCCTTCCCCTTATTAAACTATCCCAAGCCTATATCTCGCCCTGCCCAAGGAAGTAAGCCCAACCAGTATCACCAGGAGTGGGGTCTCATATCAGCCCCTAAAACTGAACCTATGTTCATTGTGAGAGGTAGCTGATAGAGATGACTGGACAATCAGAATACATGTGTTTTTTTTTTTTTTTCTATATCTGATTTGGCTTTATGCAAGGAGAAATGTAGCTGGTTTTTAAGAGGATGCAGGGAAGTTTGTAGAGAAGTTTGTTAAGTTGACCATGTCCTTTGACTTAACTTGGCATGACTTGCAAATATTGTCCACCTGCTCTATCATAGAGGATAAACAAATGATTCTGGGTACTGCCCGTAAAAATGCAGGTAGAATGCTTATAACCAAGGCCATGCCATTTATTATATGGGGGGAGATGCAGTTCCAGATCTGGAGACTCAAAGAGATTACCAGAGGAGTTGCCAAGATTTTGAATGCAGAAATCACATGGTAACTTGTTTAATAGAAAGCATGAAAAAGTGTGCGGTTAAGCCAGCTAATTATGACACGATTAGAGATGTAACTTTGAAAAGGATGGAAATCCTGCTTTATTTCAGGGCTGTCTGGTTGAGACACTCAGGAATTATACTAATACAGACCCAGACTCCCTGGAAAGGTATGCTTTCCTGGGTATGCATTTTATTACTCAGTCTTTCCTTGAGATTAGAAGGAAGTTACATAAGGCAGAAATGACACTTCAAACCCCAATGGGCCAACTCTTTTTTTTTTTTTGAGATGGAGTCTCACTCTGTTGCCCAGGCTGGAGTGCAGTGGCGTGATCTTGGCTCACTGCAACCTCTGCTTCCTGGGCTCAAATGATTCTCCTGACTCAGCCTCCTGAGTAGCTGGGACTATAGGCATATACCACCACGCCCAGCTAATTTTTTTGTATTTTTAGTAGAGACGGGTTTCACCATATTGGCCGGGCTGGTCTCGAACTCCTGACCTCAAGTGATCTGCCTGCTTCGGCCTCCCAAAGAGCTGGGATTACAGGTGTAAGCCACCACACCTGGCCAGGCCAACTCTTAAACATGGCCTTTGGAGTTTACAACAGTAGGAACAGGGCAGAGGAGGCAGAGAAAACCAAAAGAAATAGTCAAAACACACAGTTCCTGGTGGCTGCCTTGAGCCCCCTACCACCTCAGAGTTACACATCTTGAGGAAGTGCCATGAGATTGGCATCTGGGATGCATAAATGAGAGCCTGACTTAGTGGCCCCTGAGCCAAAGTCAGTGTGCCCTCTGTAAGCAAGAGGACCACTGGAAAAGGGCTGCCCCAGGCTCTGAGGGGGTCAACCAAACCCATAATAGCCAAGAGAACAGAGGACTCATGGGGCCTGAGATCCCCCACAGCTCCCACTGGACACCTTACTATCTCCACAGAGGAGCTTCTGGTAACCCTTTACATAGCAGGTAACAATATTGAGTCCTTATTGGATATGAGTCAGCCTCTCAGTTCTGACCCATTTCTCAGGGGCATTGTCTTCTTTTACATTTTGAGCACTTTACTGCTTAAAAATGTGTCCCTCATATGGTTTAAAAGGGGAGGAACCCTTGGTTCTAGGAACTCCCCATCCCTTTCATAGAAAATTTGTGAATAACCCACCCCTTATTTAGCATATAATTAAGGATTAGCTATAAATATTGTTAGTCAGCAATCCATGAGTGCTACTCTGCCAATGGGGTAGCCCTGCTCTGTCTATGGAGCAGCCATTTTCCTGTTCTCTGTTGTGCTAATAAACTTGCTTTGCTTTTACTTTACTCTGTCACCACCCTTGAATTCTTTCCTTCCTACCTGAAGCCAAGAGCCCCAATTTTTGGGTTTGCCTGCATCAATTTGATCTTCAAAACAACCCTATAAAGTAGGCATTATTGCTTACCTATTTTATTCGTATAAAAATACTGGGGCTCAGACATGTAAATTAACTTGCCTAAGATCACATAAATAGTGAGCTACTCAGTTCTAAATACATAGTCTACAAGCTTAAACAATATGCTACACTTTGTCTCCAGAATAAATGGATCATATTGATGCAAACATTCCATTCTTCTTGAATTATATTTCTCACAATAAATAAATAAATAGGCCTCCCAATCGTACTAGCATTTGGAATAATAAAAATTTGTGAATGATTTGGAAACCAGCAATTGTCAGTACCAGGAAACATAAACAGTGAGTGTAGACAACTTTGTCTAAGCTTGATTGTGAAATAAAAGAAAGAGATATGGAACTAGTTTGCAATGCAAGTGTATTAAAGAAGTTTCTGTTGCTATTAGAGTTTTTTTTTTAAATTACGTAAACATAAATATGTCAGCTAAAGACAATGAGGCGAAGGACTACATCAGGGAAAAGAGGGGAAATCAAGGGAGGAAAGGACTGAAGGAGGTGGCAGCTCGCAAATTCAAAGTACAGGCAGCAGGAGTAACTTTGGATGGGAGAAACTCTGTTTCACTGAGAAATGGAAGGAGATGCAGATACTGCAGGAAAAGAGAATGTTGGAAACAAGATGCTCTCCATGTTCTCAGTGAAAAAGAAGGAAATGTCTTTGCTGAGAGTGAGGGTGGGAATGTAAAAAAAGAGGACTTGAGGAAAGTGACAACAGTTGCAAAAGCTGCTCTGGGAGGAGTGTGATCCTAGGAAAACTATTGGGTGGTGCAGAGGTCCAGTTGAGGTTGGAAAGTAGAGATTTGCAGGGGCAACACTCTGGACCATTTTGTGATTTCTCTCTAGCAACTCCCCTTTTTTTTGAGACAGAGTCTTGCTTGGTGGCCCAGGCTGGAGTGCAATGGCACGATGTTAGCTCACTGAAACCTCCGCCTCCTGGGTTCAAGCAATTCTTGTGCTTCAGCCTCCCAAGAGGCTGGGATTACAGGCATGCACCACCATGCCTGGCTTTTTTTTTTTTTTTTTTAGTAGAGAAGGGGTTTTGTCATGTTGCCCAGGCTGGTCTCAAACTCCTGGCCACAAGCAATCTACTCACCTTGGCCTCCCAGTGTTGGTATTACAAGCATGAGCCACCACACCTGGCTTCTCTCTAGCAACTCTTGACAACCTGATATAGGCATTGGGAAACCTGTTAGTGGGAATGTAATTTTGTTATGTAGTTTAAGACACAAGGATTAAGACAGAAGGGGTTGAGAGGCTGTTCATGGCTTAGACTAGACAGAGAAAGGGTTGAAGATGGAAGATAGATTGGAAGGAAAAAGGAATCAAGACACAGAAATAAGGGAGTTGAAAAGAAAGTTGTGGTCAGACCATGAGATGTTGGTGTTGAAAAGTTTAGAGGAAGTTCTGAATGAATAATCAGAACATGCAATATACTACTAATAGCACAATTCAACTAACTGAACTGAGTGCTTGCTGACCAGCAGCAAGGTAATGTAATATCTGGAAATGCTCATTAATCAGATGATGTACAGAGTCCAAGTAATGTACAGATTCCAAATTTGGCACTTAAAAAGACAGGAACATCAATGTTTAATGTATAAATGTCAGCAAGCAGGCTTTTGCCACTGGCACATTTTGTTTCCCTATTTCTCTCGTTCAATCTATTAACTGCTCTTTTTGTTGGCATGTGGTCAAAACCCAGTATCTTTTTTCTATTTCAACTCCTACAGAATATTCACAATGCTTTCCTTCCTTTTAACAAGTATATTCTGACTGCCTAAGAAAGCCAGACACTCTGTTAGGTGTTGATGACATGCCAATGAATAAGATAAAATATCCATCTTCAAGCAGCTTGCACTTCAGTGCAGGAATTATACAAATAGGAAATAATATGGAATGCAGTGAACCAAATGTTTATGTCCCTGCAAAATTAATATATTAAAATCCTAACCCCCAAGGTGATGGAATCAGGGGGTAATACCTATACCCAATACCTTGGGTATTGGGAGGTGATCAGGTCATGAGGGCAGAGTCCTCATGAAAGGGATTAGCATCCTTATAAAAAGAGACCCAGAGAGATACATTGCTTCTTCCCCATGTGAGGTAATAGCTGTCTTTGAGGACACAGTCCCTCACCAGACAACAAGTCTGCTGCTACCTTGATCTTGGACTTCCCAGCCTCAAGAACTGTGAGAAATAAATTTCTGTTGTTTATAGATGACCCAGTTTATAACATTTTGGTATAGCAGCCCAAACAGACTAAGACAGAGAGTGATAAACACTATAATAATGTTAAAACTTGAGTCTTATGGAAGGGCACTTAACCTTGGATGGTCTGGAAAGGCTTCTGTGTAAAGGTCTCATCTCAAATAAAATTAAGGATTAGTAGGATAATCCAGGAAAATGAATGGGGAGGGAAAAATGAGAGGGACTTGATGTTCACAGAGGACTCCCTCTTTCTCTCTATAAAGGGGCTTCTGTTTTCCTTGCTTCTCTTGGTACCTTCATTCCCACAGGGAAGTCATTTTAGCATCCCCTCTCAGAGGATACTCTTTCCCACCAGAATCATTGAACTCAGAACCAAAAGACCTACAGTTAAGTCTCAGCTCTAATTCTTGTTGTTGTGACTTCAGATGTATCAGTTTACCCTAAGCCATTGTTTCTTCACCTTAAAACAGGAACAGGCTGGGCACGGTGGCTCACACCTGTAATCCCAGCACTTTGGGAGGCCGAGGTGGGCGGATCATGAAGTCAGGAGTTTGAGACCAGCCTGGCCAATATGGTGAAACCTCATATCTACTAAAAAATACAAAAATTAGCTGGGCATGGTGGCGTGCGCCTGTGGTCCCAGCTATTCGGGGGGCTGAGGCAGGAGAATCGCTTGAACCTGGGAGGTGGAGGTTGCACCACTGCACTCCAGCCTGGGCAACAACAGAGTGAGACTCCATCTCAAAAAACAACAACAACAAAAAACCCAGGAATAATAGAACCTTCTTCCGAGTTATTAAAGTGATTAAATCAGGTAATACATGTCAAGGTGGTGTGTAAACTGAAATATTACACAGAAAGTAACTATTCTTACTGTCCTAAGGTGGCATGATTTATGCTTTTGGACTCTTGAGCCCATTGTGGAGATTAAGAAACAAAGAATCTGTAATCATCAATATGAATTTATAGTTACTTTTCAGGTCTGACAAGTTTAAACCCTGAAATTAATTGTTCCCTGAGGCTTTCTAAAATTTTTGAGTTAATGCTATAAATTCCTACAATTTGTCGTCTACTCAAAAGCCACTACAGAGGGATGTAGTGCCTAAACTGTCACCTAACAGTAGAGTGTGCCAGCAATGCAATCTTTAGAGTACCTTGGACACTCTATCAGATAAAAAGATCACTTGAAAGGGGAATTTGACAATTAACATGCCAAATAAATGTTGAAAACACTGACTAAAGATGAGGTGTGGGGTAAGGAAGATGAAAAACCTCTTTATCCCAAATTCAGGATGGCATCCTGAACCTTCAATGTTTGCTTCCACTGATAAGAAATGATTTCATGAAATTGCTTTCTTAATCTACAGGCAATTCATTTGAAAAATTTATGCCACAGGAAAAGAGGCAATAATGAATATTTTCAGTAAGCTGAATGTACCGAATGTACCTTACTTTTATTTTTTAGATTGTGAGAGTGAGGGACTTAGTCTCAGAATAATTACAATACTTAACTTTTTTTTTCTAATTTTACAAAGAAACATTAAAAAAACAGCAAATTTGAAAGAATTTTATGTACTTACCTGTGCATCTACCACCTAGAGTCTACCATTACTATTTTACTACACCTGTCAGGCTTATTTTTTTAATTAAACATTTTATTTTGAGATAATTGGAGATTCACATGCAGTTGTATGAAATAATACAGAGAGATCCCCCCCTGTAGGCTCTACCCAGTTTCCCCTAAGGGTAATATTTTGCAAAACTATAGTACAATATCATAACCAGGGTATTGACATTGATGTAATCAAGATACAGAATATTTCTATCACCACAAGGATTTCTCGGGTTGGCCTTTTATAGCCACAGCTACATCTCTTTTACCCTCACCCCCTCCTCAAACTCTGGCAACTACCAATCTGTTCTCTATTTTGATAATTTCATTTTTTCAAGAATATTATATAGTGGGCCAGGTGCAGTGGCTCATGCCTGTAGTCCCAGCAGTTTGGGAGGCCGAGGCAGGCGGATTGCTTGAGGCCAGGAGTTGAAGACTACTCTGGCCAACATGGTGAAACCCTGTCTCTATTAAAAATGCAAAAATTAGCTGGGCATGGTGGCAGATGTCTATAGTCCCAGCTACTTGGGAGCCTGAAGTGGGAGAATTGCTTGAACCCAGAAGGTGGAGGTTGGTGTAAGCCGAGATTGAACCACTACACTCCAGCCTGGGTGACATAGGGAGATTTGGTCTCAACAACAACTATATATATACACATTATAAATATATATAATAATACATATACTTATATATATACATTATATATTAAATATAATGTATAATGTATATATAGCTATATAATCTATAATTATAGATTATAGCACTTTGGGAGACTGAGGCAGGAGGACCACCAGAGGCCAGGAATTTGAGACCAGCCTGGACAACATAATGAGACCTTCATTTCTACAAATAAAAGAGAATGTTACGTAAATGGAATAGTAAGTATGTAATCTTTTAAGACTGGCTTTTCCCTCTTAGCATAATTCTCTGGGGAGTGATCCAAGTTGTTGAGTATTTCAGTAGTTCATTCATTTTCATTGCTGAGTAGTCTTCCATGGTAAGCATGTATAACAGTCTGTTTAACCATTCACCTGTTGAAGGACATATGGGCTGTTTCCAGTTTTTGGCTCTTATGAATAAAGCTACTATGAACAATTATGTACAGGTTTTTGTGTGAACATACATTTTGTTTCTCTGTGACAAATGCCTGGGAGTATAAATGGTAGAACCATATGGTAGTTACAGGTTTTTTAAAGAAACCATCAAACTGTTTTCCAGTTTGACTATATCATTTTATACTCTCAGCAGCAATGTATGAATAATACAGTTTTTCCCCACCCTTGCCAGATTTTGATATTATCGCTATTTTTCGTTTTAGGCATTTTTTTTTTTTTTTTTTTGGACAAGGTCTGGCTCTATCGCCCAGGCTGGAGTGTAGTGGTACAATCCTGGATCCTAGCTCACTGCAACCTCTGCCTCTCAGGCTCAAGCCATCTTCCCACCTCAGCCTCCTGAGTAGCTGAAACTACAGGCACATGCCACCATGCCCAGCTAATTTTTGTATTTTTTGCAGGGATGGGGTTTCGCCATATTGCCCAGGCTGGTCTCGAACTTGTGAGCTCAAGCAATCTGCCCGCCTTGGCCTCCTAAACTGCTGGGATTACAGGCATGAGCCACTGTGCCCAGCCCTGTTTAGGCTTTCTTATAGATATGTAGTGTTGTCTCATTGAGTTTTAATTTTCCCTTCCTTAATGGCGAATAATGTTGATCATCTTTTCATGTGCTTATATTCCTCTTCTGTGAAACGTCTCTTTATACCTTTTGCCCATTTTCTATTTGAATTTTGTTTTGCTGTTAGGTTTTAAGAATTTTTAAGAAATATATATATATTTCTTAAATATGTATTTCTTAAAAAAATAAGAAAATATTTCTTAAATATTTTCTTAAATATTTATATATTTCTTAAATATACATAAATTTATATATATATAACTGATTGACTCTTTTGCAGAGCTAAATTTTTTTTTGCTTTTGTTTTGTTTTGTTTCTTGTTTTGAGACGGAGTCTCAGTCTTTTGCCCAGGCTAGAGTGCAGTGGTGCAATCTTGGCTCACTGCAACCTCTGCCTCCTGGGTTCAGGCGATTCTCCTGCCTCAGCCTCTCGAGTAGCTGGGATTATAGGCGCCTGCCACCATGCCCAGCTAATTTTTGTATTTTTAGTAGAGATGGGGTTTCACCATGTTGGCCAGGATGGTCTCGAACTCCTGACCTCAAGTAATCCGCTCATCTTGGCCTCCCAAAGTGCTGGGATTACAGGAGTGAGCCACAGCACCTGGCCTTTTTTTTTTCTTGACAAGGTTTAATTTATCCGTTTTTCCCTTTATAAATAATGCTTTTTTAGTCCTTCAACATAAATAAGGTAAAAAAATAACGCTTTTGGTGTCAAGACTATTCCTAGGTCCTGGAGATTTTATCCTATTTTTTTCTGAAAGTTTTATGGTTTTACACGTAACTGTGTATTCCATCCTGACTTTACTGTAAAAATCTGTGAGACTTAGGTTGAGGTTCATTTTTGTTTGACTACAGATGTCCAACTGTATTAGTACCATTTGTTGAAAAGACTATCTTTCCTTCATTGAATTGCTTTCGCACCCTTGCCAAAAGTCAGATGCATTTTTTAAAACCTATGATGGGCTAGACTCTGGGCTATATTCTTTACATAAATTCTCTTCTCCTCTTCACAATGGCCTGTTAAATAGTTATTGTCTCCATATTTTTTATAGTTGAACTATCCCAAGGGTATTCAGCCAGACTCAGGATTCAGTCCAGTCTTCTTCCACAGTGGCTGCTGCTTATTGATCTAGCTAACTTTTATTTAGCATTTGTTATGTGCCAACACTGTGCTAAGCTTGAGGAAATAAGAGTTGAACAAGGCTTCCTAGAATACTTCACAGAGGAAGAGACAAAAGCTACACCTTAGAGGATGAACATAAGCTTGCAAAGAAAAGGTAGAGCAGGGAGAGCATTCTAGACTGAAGGAAAAGCATGCGAAAGGCAAGGAAGTATGGAATTGCTCCATACATTCAAGAAACATCCAGTGTTTTGCTACAGCTAAAAGGAGGGTAGTAGAGAATTTTCTCATGTTTGGCTTGAAATGTTTGTGGATATCTCAAGGGCAATGACCAGCAGGCAGTTGGCTGCAAGAGTCTGGAGCTTAGGAGAGAGGTCTGGGCTAGAGATTGAGCTTTGGGAGTGGTCCTAGCACAAGTAACATTGTACACAGAGAAAGTATTAGAGTTAATAGCAGAGAGGGCCAAGGGAACATTAGAAACGTGCACATTTAAGTGGTAAAATAATTGAGAATGAGCTGGGTGTGGTGGCGCACACTTGTAATCCCAGCTACTTTGGGAGTCTGAGGCAGGCAGATCACTGGAGGCCAGGAGTTCAAGACCAGCCTGTCCAACATGGTGAAACCCCATCTATCAAAAATACAAAATCAGCCAGGTGTGGTGGTGGTCACCTGTAATCCCAGCTACTTGGGAGGCTGAGGCAGGAGAATCACTTGAACCCATGAGGCAGAGGTTGCAGTGAGCTGAAGTCACCCCACTGCACTGCAGCCTGGGCTACAGAGTGAGACTGTTTCAAAAAAAAAAAAAGAAAAGAAAAAGAAAAAGAAAGAATTGATAATAAATGGTAGGAGGAGAGGAGATAGGAGAGTATAACGAACCAGTGGAGGTGAGATATTCTGGTTTTTATTTTTCTATTATGGGTAACATGTAGCATAAAAAAAGATCTTCAAAGAGATGATGCTTTGCAAAACTTATATTAAATTAGAACTTTTAATCAAATGCAAAATTTAAAAAGTGAAGTATTATAAAAATGTTAAGCGTGTTAAAGCAAACTAAATATGGCCTGAGAAAGACTCCGTACTTCTATATTTGAGTCTTTGTGGATGAACTGTAATCTAACTTAATAAGCAAAATTGAAAACCTGACTTAATAACTATGCACCTGTAACAGGAGCTGAGTGGTGGCCAATCCCAGCAGCCATACTTCAACCACTCATAGACTACTGAATGTTCAAACTGCATTCAAATAAGGCAAATGCTGAGCTGTAACCAATCTCACTGTTTCTGTACCTCATTTCCAATTCCTGTACCTCACTTTACCTTTTTTGTCTATAAATTTGTTCTGACCACAAGACACCCCTGGAGTCTCTGTGAATCTGCTGTGATTCTGGGGGCTGCCCGATTCATGAATGGTTCATTGCTCAATTAAACTCCTTTAAATTTAATTTGGCTGAAGTTCTTTTATCAAGTACTATTATGGGGTTTTATAATCAAGTAGTTTGATAATGGTGATAAATATATGATATATAGAAATTGCAGGAAAAGTTCAATTAGGTTGAGTGCTTATTAAACCAGTAAACCGGGTATATAACTAAGGAAATTTTTCCCCAATTATTAATACAAAATGACTTTCACCTGAATTTCCCTCAAATAATTTGGATTTTCACTTTAAACTCAATAACTGGCAAATCCATCCCTCTTCAAAAAACAAAGAAACTTCCCCCCAAAGACCCCCAAAACCCTCTTTACAGTGTGTTACCCTTAAACACACAGAATGCCCATGTAGTGGGCTGAATAGTGTTCCCCCTCAAAGTATCTGTGTCCGCCTTTATTTGGAAATACAGGCTTCGTAGATGTAATTAGTCAAGGATCTCAAGACAGAAACCATCCTGGACTTAGGGTGGTCCTTAAGACCACTGACTGGTATCTTTATAAGAGAGAGGAGAGGGAGGTTTGGACACAGGCACATAGAGAAGAAGGCAATGTGAAGATGGAGGCAGAGATTGGCTGCATTTATAAGCCAAGGAACACCAAGGACTGCCAACAACCAACAGAAGCTCTGGCAGAGGCATGGGATGGTTTCTCCCTCAATGCTTCCAGAAAGAATCCACCCTGCCAACCCCTTCATTTTGGGCTTCTGACCTCCAGAACTGTGATAGAAATGATTTCTGTTGTTTTCAGCCACCCAGTTTGTGGTAATTTCTTACAGCAGCCGTAGGAAACTAACATAGCTTCTATTCCTCACCAGCTTCCCAGACCCCCTAAACTATGATTACACAGATAATTTTTTTTTTTTTTGAGATGGAGTTTCACTCTAGTCACTCAGGCTGGAGTGCAATGTGATCTTGGCTCACTGCAACCTCCACCTCCTGAATTCAAGTGATTGTCCTGCCTCAGCCTCCCAAGTAGCTGGGGTTTCAGGTTTCAGGCACCTGCCACCATGCCCAGCTAATTTTTGTATTTTTAGTAGAGATGGGGTTTCACCCTATTGGCCAGGCTGGTCTCGAACTCCTGACCTCAGGCAATCCGCCTGCCTTGGCCACAAAGTGCTGGGATTACAGGCATGAGCCACCGCGCCCGGCCAATTTTTTATATTGATTTAAAAACCCATAGGTTTTTGTAATTGGTACTTACATGAATATGCAAAGGACAATATTCACAGTAGTATGCCATGAGCTAGTTTTTTAAATGCTCACAGAAATTTCAAATGCAAACTGGTTTTACTTATGTAGCTTAAACAAATGCCAATTGTTGAACTTTGTGCTGGCTCTTTAATATCAGTTCTCTTTTTTCTTCCAGTTAATGTTGATTAGCATCAGCTCATTTAGTCAGTTAACATTTATTTCCTAAAATCAAACACTCTTGATTGGTCAGCCTGGGAGAAGAGGGCTAAGATTAAGGTTAGTGATGGTTCCCTTAAAACCTGTCGAGTGTCTGCATTGTTAGACACACTGAAATCTAAGAATCCCATCTCTCTGGGGCTGTTCACTTTACTAATAATTATTTATAAAAGGGAAGCTGAGACAATAAATTGCCAATAACCATGTAACATAATAACCACAATGAAAAGACATTAAAGCTACCTTTTCTGTAGCCTGATTTTACCTAGATGGTGGGTTTTGGTAACAAGCCATCACTAGAGGTCAGTTTTTGATTACATGTCTTCTCAGGTTCAGCCTATGTTTTGATTTTTGGCTACTGGGCACCTCTCTGGTTTTTAGGCTTTAAAGCAGATCCAAATGTTATATTATAGTCTTGTAAATGTTTCATCCTTTTTGCTTCTGATAGATTAGAACTCTAATTATTAAAAACTATTTTTAAGCATTTGTGACTACAAAAACTCCTAAACTTCAAATGGTTTAAATTTTGATGTTTATTTTAATTTTAAAATATTTTAAAAATTATTCAATAATAGAACAATCTGTAATGAAAACTTACACATATGTGAGAGGTACTATTTTAAGATGAGAGTTTGCAGGTCAAATTAGTCAGGGAGGAAAGAGTAGAAGTCAGAGTGGGAAAGGCCCTTAAAACTTAATAGGGAATATCAAATCTCTACAAAAATTTTATTCAAGACAGTGTCTAAGACTTAGAAGCAACTAACTTAAAAGCAAACTTTTGGAACTTAATCCTATTTTCATTGGGGACTCCGTTTATGAATAATATGCTGTAATTATACGTAGAAGCTTAAGGACTGAAACAGAGCATTCCAAATGACAAATGTTTTCTCCTGAAGAAATGGCACCCAAATTATGTTGTACAAGTAAGCGGAATAAAATAATCATATGCTTGTTATTAAAATTATCATATGCCTAACATTCATGATTTTCAAAAGTGAAAAACAGTATGTTATCTTTGAGTTTGTTTTCATGTGATATAAATTTATAAGCAAGTCAAAATTAAATAATGTACTGAGCATTAATTTAAGCCAGGATTTTTCAGCCTCAGCACTATTGACATTTGGGGCTGGATAATGCTTCGTCGTGAGGGGCTGTGTAGTGTGAGGTGTTCAGTAATATCCCTGGCCCCAACCCATTAGATAGGTCCCCTCTCCAATTGTGACAACCAAAATGTCTCTAGACATTGCCAAATATCCCTCGGAACTAAATTGTCCCCAGTTGGGAACCACGAATTATTAATCCCTAAAAGACAAAGCAGCAACTCCTGACCCCTACAAAAAGTTTTAAATCAATAACTTAGTTTAAAATCCTTACTAAGTGGGATCATTACTAATCTCACTTCATTGTACCTTCAGTATCTGGAAACCGTCCCTATGGTCACACTTACCACGGCTCATTATTATTTTAAAACATGGGGCTGTGTCATTTCCTGTCTGTGAGTTTGGACTGCAGTGGGAATCCATTAGTTGAATGACCTTCTGTGTAGGTTAATCACAAGACAAGTTCTCAAACTAAGGGTTTCCCTGCGGCTCATTTCTTTTTAAAGTTATGGAATACCTGTTCTGCTTATACCTTTTAGATTCATAATTATTTTTCTTGTATCAAAATTTCAATTAATAGAAATAAATGACGTTACTGACACTTCATGATGATTAAGTTTTGGGCAAGTGAACCATTTTACACTCTATTTTTTATTCCTCCCACTTTTAGTCAGAATACACCTGCAGAATAAGTAACAGAACTGTGTGAAAAGAACGACTAGGTCATTACGGTTAATAGTTTTAGAAAAACAGCCGAGGCCTGGTCTGGAAAGCTCACAACCTCCACCCAGATGCTTTCCAGCCTCGGGGATATTCGTACTAGCAGTGACACTAGCCAGCTTCCTCTAGGCTGGCTCTGATGTTGGAAGACAAGCACGCAGATGTGTGTTACTTTTCAAGCCTGGACATCGTTTCTGAGGAATTTAACTCCACCTCTCCTGCCAGAATGGAAAATCAACGCCCCCCATTCCCGCCCTTCACCAACCCCTCTCCGCCTGCCCCTTTCCCTTGGGTCCTCTCTGTTACAGAAGTTCTGATTTTTCCTAGCGAGCTGGAGGAAAGGCAGGTACCCGGAGTGGAGTTATATTACCTGTTTCTTTGTTCTGATGGGACCCCAGAGAGGACATCACGCTTTGTAACTGGTTCTTCAAGGGGAGAAGCAAATGTGTCCCTGAAAACTTCAGCTGCCGCGTTTGGCACCAGGTTTGATTGACAAGGACTGGCGGAGGGAAAGCGCGGAGGCTGGGCTGGGGGCCGCAGGCCGAGGCAGAGACAAAGAGGTTTCGCCTGTCCCCGAGAGTGGAAGGGCCCCTGGGGGTAACTAGCCTTTGAGCTCAAAGGGGCATTTCGTGAGGTCGCCTTTTGGTTCGGAGAGCGCGCGGCGATCGGGTGGAGGGGGCCTGGCGGGAAGAAAGCTGGGGCGGGGAAGGGGCGCGGGCCGAGGTGGGAGCGGAGCTGCAGTCACGTGGCCGCCCGCCGCCGCGGAGTTGGGGCTGTTCTTCCGGGTTGGAGGCGCAGCGCCGCGGGGCCCAAGCCCGGGTCTGCCAGCGCGACGTCCTCTCGCGGCCCTCAGGGCACAGCCCAAGGCTGTCAGCCTCCCGGCCCAGGTGAGCGCGACGGCACTGGCGGGTGCGGGCAGCCGGGGCGCGCGCCTAGGGCGCAGCTGGGAAAGGGGCTCGGGCCTTTCCTGAAGACCACGGCCCTCGCCGGGAGAGAGACCTGTCAAAGAGCAAAGCGGGGCGGGGTCGGCGGTGTCCCGGGCGCAGGGTGCATTGGGGTGTCCGCAGGCCGCAGGCTTAGGTGGGGAAGAAGCACCGTGCCTCTTGGTGTCCCTTTCTCGTCTCCTGCTGGGGCGATGTCGAAGGGAGTGGGCTGGTGGATTTGGGAACTGGGTCCCCGAAGAGGGCAGGGAATGAGGCGGCAGCTGTGCAGGTGCAGATATTTGCAGCTTTGGGGGACAGCGAGAGTCGTACGGGGTCATTTCGGCCCTCAAGATCGGGGGTGGTGGAGAGGGAGGTCATAGAGGACTTTCGATGGGCGGTTCATCCAGAGAGGTGGCAGCTGGATGCCCTTGAGGTATGCTTGACCCTTGAGGGAGTTCGGAGAGGGTGTCCGGCTGGGGACATAGGAGATTGCGAGCACAAATTGTGAGTGTGAGTTGGGGCGGTCTGGCGGTGGTGGGTACAAGTTTCTGGGGCCTAGGCTGGTGAGGAGGAAGAGACAGCGGAGAGGGCGACCTGGGCAGAGCTAGTTCAAACTCAACAGCCGGAATGACTATTTGCAGCCGTGGCCAATCGGCTTCCTAGGGAGGTTATAAATAGCGGTCTCGTGCAGATGCCAGCGGGTGGCAGTTAGTTGCCGAGCAAGGGACGGCACCGGTGGCAGTAGCCGTGACACCAGTGGCTTTGGGTGAGGTCACGGCGCCTGCCAGCCGAAGCTGGCTCAGTAGGGTATTGTGTCCTTGCTGGTATGTCTCGCTTTTAAAAGCGTGACTTGTTTATGGTTGCCGGTGTCCTTTATTCACCCTGTGGCGCCGGCCAGTCCTTAGGTGGTCTGTTTGTCAGGAGTCTTGTAGGACAGACTTATTCGGAGAAGCGCGTGGGGCTTAGGTGCCTACCTACTCTTCTTATTTAAAGTGTGCCCCTTTTCTTCATTGCACCCCTTTTATTTGTAAACCTTGACTTTTTATTAACAGACAGTTTAGGATTGCCTTCTTTCCAGCAGGTGCGCTTAGGCTGCTTACCTTGGTGATAGAATCAGTTTTCCACAAGGCTACACAAACATTTCCTTTTCAAAGGAAATTTTCCGAAAATCCTTGGAAAATGTGCTCAATAGGTACTTAGGCTTAAGGTCACCTAGCCCTATTCATTCAGTCAAAAATACTGACTTCCTCTGTGTTGTGCAAAGCACTGGGGGAGAGTAATACCAAAGTGAATATAACAGCTGATAAGGATATTCTCAGTCCTGGCAACAACCCTGAGAGGTAGGTGCTGTTATTTTATTTTTTCAAGTCTCGCTCTGTTGTCCAAGCTGGAGTACAGTGGCACAATCACGGCTTACTGCAGCCTGGAACTCCTGGGCTCAAGTGATTCTCCCACCTCAGACTCCCAAGTAGCTGGGACTTCAGGCTTGCACCACCATGCCCTGCTAATTAATTTTTTTTTTTTAGCAATGGGGGTCTCACTGTGTTGGCCAGGCTAGTCTTGAATTCTTGGCCTCAAGCAGTCCTCCCCACTAGCCTCCCAAAGAGATGGCATTATAGGCGTGAGCCACCACCCTGGGTGGGTGCTATTATTCCCCATTTTAAAGATGAGGAAATTAAGTACAGGGAAGTTAAGTGACTTCCCAAGGTCACACAGCCAATAAGTTGCAGAGTGGGGCTTCCAATCCGCAGATCCAGAGCTGACTCTCTTAAATATCTGTGGTATCCTCCCTCTTTAGGTTGGGTGCTTTCCCTCAAGGATTTTAATATCTAATAGGGGAAATAACCCATATAAGTTACATTAAACATACATATGAAAGCAATGCTTAAAAAGTTGTGCTTTTGGGCCGGGCGCGGTGGCTCACGCCTGTAATCCCAGCACTTTGGGAGGCCGAGGCGGGTGGATCATGAGGTCAGGAGATCGAGACCATCCTGGCTAACAAGGTGAAACCCCGTCTCTACTAAAAATACAAAAAATTAGCCGGGCGCGGTGGCGGGCGCCTGTAGTCCCAGCTACTCGGGAGGCTGAGGCAGGAGAATGGCGTGAACCCGGGAAGCGGAGCTTGCAGTGAGCCGAGATTGCGCCACTGCAGTCCGCAGTCCGGCCTGGGCGACAGAGCGAGACTCCGTCTCAAAAAAAAAAAAAAAAAAAAAAAAAAAAAGTTGTGCTTTTTTCCCCTAATTTTGAGTTATAAAGTTTTTTTCTTATTGCTTCAAAGCCACAGGAACACATGGATAAATGAGAGCTTTACAGTGAAGATGGAGGAAAATGTGATGATTAGGATGGAGTATTATCTTTTGTATAAACCTGTACAGGTCAATGATAAGATAGTTTAAATATTCTCTATCTTTCAGGGCCATTTGTATTTGGTTTAGACTTAGTGATATGTATTGCTTTTGCCAAGAAATGACCTCCTGATCTCTGCCCTGTATGTTCACAGTTGAATCAAGTGAAATTTTTCACAGAAATGGGCCTATGAAGGCTTTGGCCCTACTGATGTCTGATGCCCCTGCCAAGGATCTGCTGAACATCAAATTACCATTTTCCAAGTAGAAGGAACAAATTTTCCAGATTTCAGGCCATGAAATAGGACTTCAGTTTTATAGCATTACAAAGTCTCATCTAATCATAAAATTTCTAGAGACTAAAATGGCCTTTGAAACCTGTGCTTTTTTTATAGTTGAGCTAACTGAGGCAGGGGGAGGTTCAGGTCGAACAGTAAGTGAGTGGCAGATTTGGACAATACAGGACTCTATTAAAGCTCAGTTCACTCTTTTGCTGATGAGGTCTGGGAACTCTTTGTCAGCCCCATAAAAATGGTGGTTGTTGGGGAGTTGGGATGATCCAAGAAGAGAAACTTGGGTAAGTGGGGAGGTTGGGATAGGAGTAGGTCACTCAGTAATGGTGGGGAAAAAAAATCTCACTCAAGACAAGAATAATCTTTTACACATCTTTGCAACTCCCTTAGTTCTTGGCATAGATTCGGTAGGGGTTTTGAATGTGTAGCTGAATTTCGAACTAATTTTCTCTTTATTCTCAGCCATGATAACTCTAGATGTGACCCATGAATGAATGAGTAGGGTATTTATGAGACTTGAGAATACTTTAGGACTGAAATGAAATGACATGATATGTGGAAACACTTTGAACATGTAAAGCTGTCTGTCCAAATGCAAATAATTATTCATACATATTTTTAATTGCATGCCAAAACACATCTTGCATTCTTTCTTCCTTAGCTATTTTTCATTTGATTCTCTTCATCTCAAACGGCTTTCCCTTCCTTTTCTGAGCTCTAAAAGAGGACACAATCTCATTCTTTGATCCTTCAAAGGACTCTGAGCTTGTGTTACTCTGTTACTCTACTTTGTAGTGTTATTATTTGTTGACTTCTTATCTCCAGGAAAATTCCAGTTTGATTCTACAAGTGCTTCTTAATGGCAAAACTCTGCCCTTGGTATATATTTGTTGAATTAAGGGGCATCTTATGAATAAATATGCTCCCTGGATTAAAAATTTCCATTACCAATGCTGCTTTCTGGTATTTTAAAGATGTTTCTTCAAGGAGTTGTGGCAGCAGGTTTTTTTTGTTTTTTGTTTTTTTGTTTTTTTTTTGAGACAGAGTCTTGCTCTCTCGCCCAGGCTGGCAGGCTGGCAGGCTGGAGTGTAGTGGCATGATCTCGGCTCACTGCAACCTTTGCCTCCCAAGTTCAAGCGATTCTGGTGCCTCAGCTTCATGAGTAGCTGGGACTACAGGTGCGCACCATCACTCCTGTCAGGACTCTGAGCCCAAGCTAAGCCATCATAACCCCTGTGATCTGCACGTATACATCCAGATGGCCTGAAGCAACTGAAGAACCACAAAAGAAGTGAAAATGGCCAGTTCCTGCCTTAACTGATGACATTCCACCATTGTGATTTGTTTGTGCCCAACCCTAACTGATCAATTGACCTTGTGACATTCCTTCTCCTGGACAATGAGTCTCAGGAGCTCCCCACTGAGCACCTTGTGACCCCCACCACTGTCTGCAAGAGAAAACCTCCCTTAACTGTAATTTTCCACCACCTACCCAAATCCTATAAAACTGCCCCACCCCTATCTGTCTTTGCTGACTCTCTTTTCGGACTCAGCCCACTTGCACCCAAGTGAAAATAAACAGCCTTGTTGCTCACACAAAGCCTGTTTGGTGGTCTCTTCACACGGACGTGCATAACAACGCCCGGCTAATTTTTTGTATTTTTAGTAGAGACGAGGTTTTGCCATGTTGCCCAGGCTGGTCTTGAACTGCTGAACTCAGGCAACGCCTCCCAAAGTGCTAGGATTACAGGCATGAGCCACCAAGCCTGGCCAGTGGCAGCAGTTCTGAAATTAAAAATGAGCTAAGTCTTTCTCCCTCTGGAGTCTGGAAGAACATTTACGGAGCCTGCTAGGATCAGATGCTCAGTCCCGTGAGGGTCCACATGATACAGCAGAACTTACAGGCAGAGTTAGCAGTGTTAGCTGAGTTTGGCTGATAAAATTCTAAGTCCTTGGCTGCTTTCTATTCTTTTTTTTTTTGAGACGGTGTCTCACTCTGTCACCCAGGCTGGAGTGCAGTGGTGCAATCTTGGCTCACTGCATCCTCCACCTCCCAGGTTCAACCAATTCTCCTGCTTCAGCCTCCTGAGTAGCCAGGATTACAGGTGCCAGCTACCAGGGCCGGCTAATTTTTATATTTTTAGTAGAAACGGGGTTTCACCATGTTGGTCAGGCTGGTCTCGAACTCCTGACCTCGTGATCTGCTCACCTTGGCCTCCCAAAGTGCTGGGATTACAGGCATAAGCCACTGCGCCTGGCTTCTTTCCATTCTTGAAAGAAAGAAGAGAAAGGTATGGAGGATCATTGGGAATTATGGGGACAGTGGGAGTGCCTTTCATGCATCCCTGGGGATCTACTGAGGAATGTGGTGGAGGTAGTTCCTGAAACCTTAGTAACAGCAAAACCCAGTGACACTTCACGCAGCCTGGTGAGAACTCGCAAAAAGTGGCCATTTGTGAGAACCACTGACAAAACAGTTCATAGTTATGGCCACATCAGCAAGCACAAGCCTATTTGATAAAGATACTATGGAATTTTTCTTTCTTTCTTCTTTCTTAGAGTCATGTGTCATGCATGTTTAATTTTCTTGAGAGGTGCACTTGGCAAACATGAATCTTTTGTTCACTCAGTCAGCCTCAGTTCAGAGGTCTCAGTGGATAAGCATCCTGCTGCACTGAACAGGATGTCAGAGTATTTGGTATGACCTGGTGGCTAAATGTAAGTCACCATTATACTGTACAGTATTTTAGGTAATTTAAGGGAAATTCAAAGGTAACTGAATTACATGCACTTTTTGCTGGACATGCTGACTTAGAAGATAACTTTCATGTAAGATACAACTTGATTCTGTAGCAATATGTGTGTGTATTAAAGCTTTCTAGCTACATTAAGGATCAAATAGGTTATATGACCTAGGCTTGGAATTGAATAGTGAGTTTAGAACTCCAATTTTAGTGGGAAAATGGATTCCAAGTTTTAAATGTCTGAACTGGAAAACGAATTTTGAGCATCTTCTATAAGTAAGGAACTTGGCAAATAAATTCTTTATAGATGTCTACATGTAACTGTTATATTTCAAGCTCTTTAGATTAGTATTTTTAAAATGTTTTTCATGTTTAAAAGACAAATAGTTTTTTTCTTGGCATATATACATCCTATTTTCTTTTTTCTTAGTGATTTGCCTTCAAGGAAACTGGGGAGTCAGAAAATTGGGAACTCATATCAACATGGCAAACCTATTGAAAACAGTGGTGACTGGCTGCTCGTGTCCTCTACTTAGCAATTTGGGGTCCTGTAAGGGTCTACGTGTGAAGAAGGATTTTTTACGAACATTTTATACTCACCAAGAACTGTGGTGTAAAGCGCCTGTAAAACCAGGTAAAGTCTCACTTCAGTGATTGTAAATGAAACCTTCAAGTCATAGGAACTAATAGATCTGATGATTGATAAAAGGAAAAGCCATGTAGTTTTATGGCCTGGTGCTTGTGAGTGATCATTTTAAACAAACAACAAGTAAGTGCTATCTTGTATTTTCCATGTACTATAGACGTTCCTGATTTCCAGCGCTAACAGAGAAGACAAGGTAATAGAAAAAACAAACAAACAAAAAAGATAAACCAGTTGAGTTGTCCCTGGAGCCTATTGCTCATAATAACCATTTCTCCTAGAAGCCCTTCCTAATTCCTTGTTAGTATTTGAGAATTGTACCATATACAGCTCATCTATGCTCAGGAATTAGGAATTAAGTATATTAATTGGTCTACATTAATGCTTTCCAATTTAGTTAGTAGCAATTTGATTGCAGTTGCTCAGGTCAGAAACCCTGGAGTCATTCTACATCCTCCTAGTAGGTATAGGTCAGCTCCATCTCATATCTACAAACTGTCCTCTTCTTGCCATTGCTACTTTTATCATCTTGGTCCAAGCCATCGTCATCTGTCACCTGTACTGATGCACCAGTCTTCTAAATGTCTCTGTGCTTTTTACCTCTGCCCCCTACAGTCTGTTCTGCACAGGACAGTGAGAATAATCTTTTTAAAATGTACAGTCATGTCACTCCTCAATTCAAAATTTGCCACTTGCTTCCTAGCTCTTACAGAGGAAGATCTGAAGTCTTCCAGTGGCCTACAAGGCCTTCCCTGATAGAATGTCTCCTTGCTTCTGTTCTGGGGTACAGGCCAGAAGGAGGAGAGGCTAAAAAGGGGCCCTTCTAAACCAAGTCAACTGTCTGTCTTTTTTTTTTTTTTTTTTTTTTAAGCAGCAGCAAGATTTATTGCAAAGAGCGAAAGAACAAAGCTTCCACAGAATGGAAGGGGACCCGAGCAGGTTGTCCCCCAAGTCAACTCTCTTTCATCAGTCTTGCCCAAAGATCATCCCAGTACTTCTGTCACTTCACCTCACTGTCCAGAACTCAGACATGTAGCTGTAAGGGAGACTTGGACATTTTGCTGTAAGGGAGACTTGGACATTTTGTCTTTTATTCTAGATGGCAATGTACCCAGCTAAAAATGGCATTTTCTTATTAAGGTGAAGGAACAGGATGGATATTTTGGGGGGCAACCTTTGTCACCTAGAATAATGCCCTCTTTTGTTTTTTAAGTTTGTAGGACTGTTTGTGGATTCATTAAGGACCTCTAAACTGCTAGGTGTTTTGAGATCTTATGTCTGCCTTGAATAGATTTTATAGCCTCTTTTCTTGTTCTCAGATGACAAGTCACAATTGGCAGGGTATCTGTCCCTACAAGCCTCCAACTTTATCTTCAGATGCTTTCTTTTAAATTGCTCTGGAAAGCCAGATTATCCTGGTGATAAAATTGTGTATAAAATAAAGGTAAATAACTGTTGAAGACATGAAAACTGTCCTTGTGAGTAAATCCATGGACATCAAGATCTCTATATTGATTATGTATAAGACATTTTTGTTTAATTTCTGGTTCTTCACTATTTCCTAATTATTTTTATCTCTGAAAGATAAGAAGTCTATTTTTTCCTTAATATAACCATAAGTTCATTACCATATTGAAAAGTGTAGTAAGTAATTCCAGCTACAGTCAGTATTCATATTTTTTCAATTGCTTTCTTGCTTCTTTCCTTCCTTCTTTCCTTCCTCCCTCCCTCCCTCCCTGCCTCCCTCCCTCCCTCCCTCTTTTTCTTTACAGTTGGCTTGTTCAAAGAGTGATCCAAACAGGGTCCACACATTGTATTTGCTATGTCTCTTTTGTCTCTTTTTATCTATAAGTTCCCCTCTCTTTATTCCTTTTAATATACTGAAGAATTTCATTGTTGCTCTGTAGAATTAACAACATTCTAGGTTTGGCTGATTGAATCCTCTTGGTATTGTTTAGCCAGTTTCTCTGTCCCTTGTATGTGCTTAAATTATCTCTTATTTGGTCAGTGGAAGCCCTTTCAAATTGGCTTCTAAATCCTTTTGACATGGCTTCAGTCATCTTTGGTAGCTTCCTTGCTTTTGCCATGTAGAGCCTGACAATTTGAGGTTGTCAGCTAAGTGAACTTGAGATGAGTGTATGTGATTGAGCTTTGTATGTCAATCCAAATATTTGCCAGCTTTCTATTATTTTCCTCCTTCTCCTTCCAGTAAGGAGTAAGATTCAGCATTATTTGCCTTTCGTGTACTGTAAATTATTACTATATAGGTAGTGTGGAATCTAAGACAGTGTTCAAATTCAGGTCTAGGTTGACTTAATTTCTCTAAGGTCTTACTTAATAAGTTACTTTGTAGGGATAATTTCATTCATTTTGAAATTATACATATTCAGATCTTAGGTTGCAAGAATGGGTTTCCTAAGCTTTAATAAACCTTATATAGAAACAGATACTCTTCATTAAAAAATGTTTATGCTGCATATTAAGTAAAACATCAGGAGAAACTGATGTCCTGTAGCTAAAGATGGTCTGAACCATATCTAAATATAAGATTGTACTATATAGGCTTTTTTGGGTTGCAAGGAACAGAATCACATCAGATTATATTTTGTGATGAGGGTTTGCTATGTGGATTCTTGGCAAGTGTGAGAGCCCAGAAACCCCCCATCTACTCCTTGGATAAGTGGAATGTTATTTGTAGAATTCATGGCTGTGACCCATCTTCTCTCTTTAAATATCTACTACTGATGTTTCTATCACTGTTACTGCTGACCTCCCTTTGATTACCTCATAGCTGTGCTTACAAATAATATTTGCACTGATCTACTCTCCTTGTCCCTCTCTGTGGGTCTCCCATTTAAACTCCTTGAGAGAGAACCCAGTGGGTTGAGTAGTCACTGGCCAACATAGAGCGTCCTTGGACAGAGTTCCTGTCTAAGTCATCTTATAAGGTGCAGCTGCTAGTTTTCCTTGTCTGCCCTGTAGATGATTGTCCTTGACACAGTTGCTGATCCCTTGTCTAAGTGGCTGAGTGTGTAGAGTCTTAAGATACAACACTTAGAAATTTATGAGGCATTGTGTGTGGCCAAATTGCCTGGAAGGGAACTTTGAGTGTGGCAGGCCATCAAAGTGTCTAGGATACAGTTGTTCTTCAAAATAGCTAATTACTTCCAATTTTGTTAAAAGTAAGGGCAAGGAGACCATAACCTTGCCCTTAGTTTGAAGAATGGAGTCAGCATGTGGAGGGATCTCTAAACCCATTTTTTTTTCTCCTACAAATCAACTAAGCTTGTTATATTCCTTGAAGAAAGCCAATTGATTAAATAAAATATTTAGAAGTTTCAGAAGAGTAGGCATAAAAGTTTCTTATAATCTACCACAAAAGTCAAAGAATTATAAGTATGAATCAGGAACATCATTCTGAACAGCAGCTTGCATGTGTGGTATATTTTGAAGAAAAGATTGCTCCTTTCAATTTTCTGAAATCTGTTTTTAAACATTTTTTGTTTGTTTTTTTACCAAATATATATTTTTTTTGCCTTTGCTTGTTTCTAGGAATTCCATATAAGCAACTGACTGTTGGAGTCCCCAAAGAGATATTCCAAAATGAGAAGCGAGTGGCATTGTCTCCTGCTGGTGTTCAGAACTTGGTCAAGCAGGGTTTTAATGTTGTCGTGGAATCGGGTGCGGGCGAAGCTTCCAAGTTCTCAGATGATCACTATAGAGTGGCAGGTGCCCAAATCCAAGGGGCAAAGGAAGTGCTGGCTTCTGATTTGGTGGTCAAAGTAATTATTCCTTTTTCCTCTCCCATTTACAGCATGCTGACTTTTTGAAATCTTTTCATAGAAAAATTAAATTACTTTATCTGGAGTTACACCTTTTCCTATTTTCAAACAGTGTATTTTTCTCAAAGAAATGACTGCATGTCGTCATATTCTTCATGCTCCAGTAAAACTTTTATCAGACAATATGATCTATGTTTAACCATGAGGAGAGAAAAAGTGATCTTCATTTTTACATTTGCTATATGGACATTTTCTTTTAATTGGCTAGGAAAAATTTGTTCTACATGGTCCATATATATCCAGAGTACCCACACGTGAACATTTACTGCTAGAATGGAAAGAAGGTATGGAACTTAGTCTGGGACTAAATGTTCAGTGATCTTCTGACACCTGAAGGCGCAATGACTTACACTGACATACGTGCTATTTCTAGAGAGGGCATGACTATTTTGGAGAAAGCAGCTTTGGGCTGAGTGGCGAGTAGCTTTACCTACTCTAAAATAAGTTCTTAAGGTAATATATAACAGAAATCTATATACTAAATGACTTGAGAATTAAAATATTAAATAAAAAATCCTTTAGAGAAAGGGGGAGAGACTGTATCAAGGGTCTAGCACAGATGATAACTAGAGTTGAGCATTAAATTAAATGCTAAGCCTCCTGCAACCAAAGCAAACAGGGAAGTAACTCATTTTTTCAGGAGATACAGCTTTTTTCTACATTAATTTCTATGAGGTATCAATCACATAGTTTTTTTATTTCCTTACATAAAGCCCACTGAATAACTTGACAGGATCCTAACACTTGACAGGTGGTTTTTGCTAAAGTTACAAAACCAATTTTTGCTATTGAAAGTTAATAGTAAAATTTGTGGCATGGGGGTTAACTGTAACTCAGCTAAAGCTTTTTAAAGGTTTAAGTTTACAAATACTTGGTGATATAGCTAGATATATAGTAAAATTACTTAGAGAAAAAAGAAGAGTATAATTCATTCTCATATATATTCTAGGGATCATCTTTTGAGATGTCTTGAAAAAGCCCTATAAGGGTGTGCTTACATTTTGGAAGTGCTATGTGTTCCTTTTAGGGATTCACAATGTATATAAGCAGTTAATGGTGTGCTCAGAAATCCTATAACATAGAATATTGTATGACTTTATACAGTACTAGCATTAACAAACTTCTTGATCTTGGGGGCCTCTCATTTGAGCCAAGTCTGTTAATATCCTGAGGAGCGCATTCAGGGAAACATTCTATTGGCTTGACTTACTCAGATGACAGCGGTCTCAGCTGAGCATTTGATAGGGGCCAGTAGAATCAATTCAGAGTTGTTTTCTAACTTTTACTAAATCTATGTTATAGATTTTCTTGGAGGAAAAGTAGACCTTGTCAGAGAGCCTTAATTAAAGTCCAGAACCTAGAAACATATGCATCACCAGATCAACAACTGAAATGGGAATAGCAGACAAAGGTGTCTCATAGGTAAATTGAGGTGAAATGCTGTGAGATAAACTTATTGACCCAATGTTTGTGTTTGTATTTAAAACATAAGTCCCAGAGGCTGTGTTTTCTGTGTTTACTTGCCTAAAAGCACTATTGCTAACTAGGAACTAATGAAATGGGATATTTTATTTGAAGGTTGATTTTAAACTTGGATATAAAACATTTTAAAATACATTTAAAATACAGTTTTAAAAATTTGGCTTTAAAAAATGGATGGCCGGGCGCAGTGGCTCACGCCTGTAATCCCAGCACTTTGGGAGGCCGAGGCGGGTGGATCATGAGGTCAGGAGATCGAGACCATCCTGGCTAACAAGGTGAAACCCCGTCTCTACTAAAAATACAAAAAATTAGCCGGGCGCGGTGGCGGGCGCCTGTAGTCCCAGCTACTCGGGAGGCTGAGGCAGGAGAATGGCGTGAACCCGGGAAGCGGAGCTTGCAGTGAGCCGAGATTGCGCCACTGCAGTCCGCAGTCCGGCCTGGGCGACAGAGCGAGACTCCGTCTCAAAAAACAAAAAAAAATAAATAAAATAAAAAATAAAATAAAAAATGGATATTGGAAACTTTCAAGCATATGGAGTGTATATTCATTGACTTAGTTGATACTTCTTAATGTAACAGAATATATTGTAGCTTTTGGCTTAAACCCAATTCAGCAAGGTTACTAGTGTGAATTGTGTTCATCTAATAAATAGTCATCTGGAATTTTAAAGTGACATAAATCTATACTTAGTTTTAGTTTATGATGTTCTTAATGTCTCATCACTCCAATTATTCATGCTTGCCAAAATTAGCAAGGACTGAATCTTGCTTGAAGGATTGAACACACAACAAAACTTCCTGTCTGTTTATTCTAATATCTGTTAATTTTACCAGGGTAATAAGTTTTGGGGACTGCAGGTTTGCTGTAGAGCTTCCATATATTTTTTCACCTCTCTGCAGTTAATTGTCAAACCAGTCTCAGTATTTTGTATTTCCCAGGTGTGTGTGCCCTTTACTCAGAGCAGTCCACAGGTCATTAGGCAGGGGATAGATGGTATACCTCTGTGTGTGCCTTATATTGCTTAAGAATTTAGTCAGAAATTATTGATGGAAGATTTATTTCTGGAGTATTATTTCAGTCATGGCATATTATCTAAGTTTTCCTGTTTGCTTAAAAATATGATTAAAGTATTTATATTTATAATCTGTGACTTGATTTTTTCCCCAGGTGCGAGCCCCTATGGTTAATCCAACATTAGGTGTTCATGAAGCTGACCTTTTAAAGACATCAGGAACGCTGATTAGTTTTATTTACCCAGCCCAAAATCCAGAGTTGCTAAATAAACTTTCCCAAAGAAAAACTACAGTTCTGGCAATGGACCAGGTTCCAAGAGTCACAATTGCTCAGGGATATGATGCGCTAAGCTCCATGGCCAACATTGCGGGGTAGGTTCTTTTCCATTTCAATTGAACAAAAGCGCAATAGTGCTACAGAAACCTTCACACTGTAGCTCTTCTGTCTTACAGTGATTTTATTTGTAATTATTGTTGGAGATTACAGCCTTTTGAGAGTGCATTTAAATTATTTTTGACTCATTTTATTGTTTTACAGTAATTAGATAGGAAATGAACTCTATTTATATTCCTTTTTAATCTTAATGAGTAGAAGAGTAGTAATGTTTCCATTCACCAAAGCAAATAGCTGTCAGATTATTTGTATGAGGAACACACTGTATTTCATAAATGTGTGTGTACATGTATATGTAAGGTTGAAGTTACTGTTTTTATAGGTCAAAAATGGTAGAATAGTGACAATTTCATGTGGTTAAATTAATATGCATATATTAGTGGATTTGCTGTCTTAATTAGGTTTTGCTTAGGTAAATTTATAAAATATTTAAAGAATAGGAAAAAGGTCTGGACTAGAGGAAGTTTCATCTGATGTCAAAACCCATATTGATAACTGAGGGCTATGTCTTCGACCTTTAAGGTCAAGATGGTAATAAGCTTCATTTGCCCAATAGCACTAATACATTCTATGTTGATTGCCTGGAGTACTATGTTGAGAAGGATTCTAAGGCCCATTCTGCTTGGAGGAATGTGGCTATGATTGAGTAATCATGCCTGCCATGGGTGAGGGACAGGAATAGCTACATGAAAGCAGTGTACTGCTGACTTTGCCTTAAAGGGTGGGAACAATCTGGAAATGGGATAAGGCTTATGAATCAACTTCTCTAAGAAACTAATTAAATTAGATTTTAATCATGAAAACTATTAGTAGTTGAGAATTTGCTAATATTAATGAGGCACAAAGAAAATAACCTTTTTAAAAAAACAGTGCATAAAAAGACACTAACATGACTAACATGAATAAAGCCTTCTATAGCCTGACACCTAAGCAGAAAGTTTTCTTAGGTTTTATATTTTAGCATAGGAAATATGTCATAGATTCTACTTTGTGTTTTAGCTGCACACTTTTAAATTTATTTAGCCTGTAAGGGAGTTATATTATGCAATGTGTGACTTAAAATTTTATCTAGAAAATGTATAATGTAAAGTTTTAAGGGTGCTGTTGATTCTGAAATACACATATGTGAAAGAATATCAAAACCAGTCGCTCTAGATCAAGTGGTTTTAGCTGTTGAATCTTTTGAGCAAATGAAATATTATGAGACAATATAAATAAATCCAGTAAGAGCTGAGTAGCTTTGGGTACACTGAGTATGGCAGGATTGTGCAGAAACATTCCTACTCTCCATCTCATCCACTATGGCCCCAGATTTGTCTGAAGTTTAAACCTTCAGGGACCCAGGGATCACAATTTGAGGAATCACTCTTCTATGTCCTGAGCTGATATATGCAGAGAGCATAGTGTGAAAGGAATCATCTAGTATACATATCCATACAATGTATGATAAATCATTATCCGTCTCATTCATACACACAGCCATATTACAGTGAAGATGTGCTACTTCCACTTCATTACTGTTCATTCTGAACTTTTTTGCTGTCATGAAGAAAATGTCCAATTTATTACTTTTTTCACTATCAATGTTTCCTCGTACATTTCCTGTGTAATCTCCTTTTATTATTTATTTTTCAGAATAGCAACTGAATCTTTTAGAGCATTAATTCCACAATTAATTTCTTACAGTGGCCTTTGAATCTTTGTCATATTTGCCCATTAAAAATTGCTGTCATTTGAATTCAGGAGAGCAACAGATACTGTAATCTCTAAAGTATTGTTTTTTGCTCCAGTGTGATTAACTTAATAATGGTGACTTTATATGTTTTTGCATCAATTATTGTATCAAGTATTATTATGTAAAAATATGATCAGGGAGAAGATTTTCTTGTCACCTAGCAGGGGAGTTTTAATAGTTGCTTTATAATATTGAGCCAGTGTATATATTACCAAGTAAGAATGCAAAAGTGCCTTTTACATATAAATTGCTATGAAAATGAAATTAGTGTAGCATGTTAAAAATATCCTGTTAAAGAAAAGATGATGCATATTATTTGATTTATTAAATAGTTTGTTTCTTTGGCTAAAACACTTAATATTCACTGAGCATTTTCTATGTGACAGGCTTTATGCGAAGTGTTTCACCTGCGTTATCTCATTTAGTCCTCACGACCCTAAAAGATAGATGCTTTTTGTCCTTACTTTATAGATGAGGAAACCAAGGTTTAGAAAATTTTAAAAATTTGCCCAAGGTCACAAAGGTAATCAGTCAGAGAACTAGGACATGAACTAAGGTCAGTATATCGGAAAATCCCATACTTTGAACCATTAGAGATCAAGGGAAGTGTTTCTTCTGTTCTCCGAGGTTGAAATCTTATTTTGTACAAGCCTATGGCTGACCTAATTTTTTTTATTTTAAGGATTTTCCCCCCATTACCTAAGCACTACCCAGTCATCAAACAATATTTGGACTATATAGTAAAGTAAGTGTGAAGGATGTATAGTCCTAGTACCCAAAGAAAACCATTGTTAGTATTTTCCTATCTTTCTTTCATTACATTTTCTATTATGTTCTACAGTACTTGTTATGAAGAGGGTGGGTGCATAATGGATAAGAGAGTGCCTCTGTAGGCAGACTGCCTGTGTTAGACTTCTGGCTCTACCATTTACTAGCTGAGTGACCTTAGGCAAGTCTCTCAGTCTGTATCTCAGTTTTCTCACCTATGGGATGAAGACAGTAATTGTACCTTTCCATAGGCTTGTTGTGCAAATTAAAGGAGCAAGTGTATATACAACACTTAGAACTGTTTTTGACACATAGTACATACTACATAAATATTAGCTATTATTCTTTGACAAAACTTCATTGATGACTTATGATGATATGTGAGTCTGAGATCTCTCCTTTTATGGAATTATTTATTTATTTATTTATTTATTTTTAAAGTTATAAGGCTGTTGTCCTAGCAGCAAATCATTTTGGACGTTTTTTTACTGGTCAGATCACAGCTGCTGGAAAAGTTCCTCCAGCTAAGGTAGGTACAACTTTTAATGTTTCTTTATAATATGCATTGATTAAAGGAAAGGGTATGTATAGTCTTAAAATACAGTTATTTAAAAATTTTTATATGTTAACCTCACTGATGACTTTTTGGTGTGTATAAATATTTCACGAAACCTCAAAGCTTAACGTTTAAGATTGCTAGAAAAAAATGAACTTTGACTTTCTGAAAGTTCTAGTCTTTTCTGTTTTTTGACTTTACTAATTTGAATTTTTAAAAGAATTTTGGATAACTTGTTCTCTGTAGCCTATATATTATTAATTTTTAAAAAAAACTTTCAAGATACCATTCAGCAGATTCTGGGTTTCTCAATTTTTGCAACATTTTGGCACATATACAAGGTATTTTTGGTTTCTTCACTTCTTGTCAATTTTTGGATCAAGAAGACAGGAAATGGGAGGTGGTGTAATCAGAGTATTTGGCAGAGAGAAATGGTGCCAGTTTCTTTAATCCACACTGAAAGCAGAGAGGAGCAGTTAACGATGAGAGGTGACGATGGCTTGCTGAAAGAATAGGAGGTCATATTGTGATCCTTCAATCCTATGTACACTCAGTAACAATGGAAACCCTGAGGCTAGGTGTCTTAGTCCATTTTGTGTTACTAAAAGAGAATACCTGAGACTGGGTAATTTATTTTAAAAAAGAGGTTTATTTGGCTCATAATTCTGGTAGCTGGAATTCAAGATTTGGCAGCTGCATCTGGTGAGGGCCTAAAGGCTGCTTCAACTCATGGTGGACAGTGTAAAGGGAGCAGGCGTGTGCAAAAAAGATCACATGGTGAGAGAGGAATCAAGAGAGAGAAACTGAGGGAGCCAGGCTCTTCTATTAACCCCCAGAGTGAGAACTCAGCCCCCCACTCCCAGGGAGGGCATTAATCTGTTCATGGGAGATCCACTCCCATGACCCAAACACCTCCCACTAGGCCCCACCTCCCAATATTGCCACATTTGGGATCAAATGTCAACATGAGTTTTCGTGGGAACAAAGCACATCCAAACCACAGCACTAGGTACAGGAAACCTGACTTTAAATGTGATCATTTACCTACCTGTAGGTTACAGGTTAACTGGTGCTTCCTGCTCTTTTTTTTTGAGACGGAGTCTCACTCTGTCACCCAGACTGGAGTGCAGTGGCATGATCTCGGCTCACTGCAAGCTCCACCTCCCGGGTTCATGCCATTCTCCTGCCTCAGCCTCCTGAGTAGCTGGGACTATGGGCGCCGGCCACCATGCCCGGTTAATTTTTTTGTATTTTTAGTAGAGACGGGGTTTCACCATGTTGGCGAGGATGGTCTCGAACTCTTGACCTTGTGATCCGCCCGCCTTGGCCTCCCGAAGTGCTGGGATTACAGGCTTGAGCCACCATGCCCGGCTGCTTCCTGCTCTTAAGTACTTTGTTATATAAAGCCCAGAGTTCTCACACAAAATAAATCTCCTGGAAAAAAATTAAAACAAAAGCAAATAGTAGCTTTGAGAAATTATATTGTTTTGAAAAACAGGCCAGGTGAAAAAAATGGCAGGCTGTTTAAGTGTAGGCCAGAATACTTAGCAAGAAAGTGTGAGCAAACAACACAGACGTGAGATGTAAAATGATTAAATTTTGACTTCTTTCTCAGGATCATACAAAAATGTCTGGCATGCATAGTGGCCAGAAGTTCGATGCTGTTCTTAAATTGACTGAATGCTTTGATGCACAAGTCTACTACTAATTTTGGTTATAATCTTTCTAGATATATGTGGAAGTTGAGAGAAAAGCTGTGAATAAAAGATATTAAAAAGTGAAACAAAAGAGGCTTAAAGAAAAGAGAATCAGCCTTTAAAAGGTGGAAAAGTGACTATCTTTATTGAAAATTTAAATTGCAGCTTAAGGGACTTTGGTTACATGACAGAAATAGTTTTCTGAAATTGAAGGCACTGGTATAGCTCATTAAGGTGGATTGCATAATACTGTCTTTTATTTGGATTTCCTTTAAACATGGAGGGTTCTTACCTGTCTAGAACAAGTTTGTTCAAGCCGCAGCCTGTGGGCCACAAGTGGCCCAGGACGGTTTTGAATGCGGCCCAACACAAATTTGTTAACTTTCTTAAAACATTATGTGATTTTTGTTGCCATTTTATTTTTTTGGCTCATCAGCAATTGTTGGTGTTAGCTAGTGTATTTTATATGTGGACCAAGACAATTCTTGTTCCAGTGTTGCTCAGGGAAGCCAAAAGATTGGCCCCTGGCCTAGATTGAATGAAAATCAATCAGTTGAAGGCTTATGATATGCGAGGCATTGTTCTAGGAGCTGGGGATATGGCATGAACAAGACAAAATTCCTGCTGCATAAAACTTACACTCCAGTGGGGGTCATAGTGAGGAGACAAAAGATCAAATAAATACCTGAGATAATTTTATTATTATTATTATTTTTGACTTGGTTTTTTTTTTGGAGGCAGGGTCTCACTCTGCCTGGAGTTTTCACTCCAGGCTGATCTGGAACTCCTGAGCTCAAACAATCTTCCTGTCTTGGCCTCCCAAAATTTTGGGATTACAGGCATGAGCCACTGCACCTGGCCATGAGATAATTTCACACAGGAAAAAAAATGAACCGGATGATGTGACAGTAATGGGCACAGGCCACTTTAGTAGAGTGATGGGGAAGCTTCCTCTGACCTTTGAGGTGAGATTTGAAGCATGGAAGAAGGAAACAGGAGTTTAAGGATTCCAAGCATTTAGGATTCCAGTATTTAGGTTCTGGAAAAATAAAGAATACCATTGGTCTTGGAGTGTGGTGAACAAGATGAAGAGTGATCTGAGATCATGTTGGAAAGGAAGGTCTAGGCTGGATCATGTGGGTCCTCTCTTCTAGGTCATGTTATAGACTTTGGATTCTCCTGCAGGTGAGGGAAATGTTTGGTTTAGGATTTAAAAAAATCATGTGGCTGTTCTGTGGGGGAATGGATAGTAGGGTGAAGGCAAGATCTGTCAGCAATTGGTTGCACCTGGGACGATGGCGGCACCAGAAATGTAGAGAAAGGTGAAGGATTTTATCTGGATTAGGGATGATCTTTGGGAGTTAAAACCAGTACTACTTGTTGATGAACTGGAAATGGAAATATGTGCAAAGGGAGGAGTTGATGAATTCCCCATTTTGGCTTAAACAATTGTGCATAGTTACTGCCTTTACTCAGATGGGGAAGGCCAGAGGAGGGGAAGGTTATATGAGTGAACACGAGCATTGTTCCTAAAGTTATTTCCTTTCTCCTGCCCTTTCCCATACTATTTCTTTTTTTAAAAAAGTTTTTATTTCTTATTTTTTAATAGAGACAGGATCTCACTATGTTGCTTAGGCTGGTCTTGAGCTCCAAAGCTCAAGCGATCCTCCTGTCTTGGCCTCCCAAAGCGCTGGGATCACAGGCCTGAGCCACCTGCCTGGCCCCGTACTATTTCTTGAGCATATGCCTACGGTGTAACAGTTAGCAGTAAGTGCTTCGGTTAGATTCCATTGTTTAATATAACAACAGTCTGAGAAGGCACTTTGATTGCTGTATTGCAGATGATAAGCAGCTTGCCGAAGATCACCCAGAACTAGTTAGTAACAGAGTCAGGATTTTGACCTAAGCTCTCTGACTCTTACTCACTGTGTCTTTTTCTTTACTCCATGCTTTAGAGAGAAAAAGTAAATTTCGATAGTAAGATCTGCTGCTTTTGTGCGATTCTGCTTTTTTAAATTATGGTTTTTTTTTTTTTTTGTTATGTCTTGATTCAGGATAACTTGGCCAAGTCCTGTGACTTTTACTTATTTTTATTTACTTTTTCTTTCTTTCTTTTTTTCTTTCTTTAAGTGGTGATGGAGCTTCTGTGTGGAAGAGTTTGGTGCTTTGAAGCCTAGAGCCTGCTTATTCCCTCTGGTCACTCTTTGCCCCATTTCCTATAGACTTACCCCTGTCCCCAAACACAGCACCAAACACCCCATTATCAAGATCAATTCACATGACCTCTGAGACACTGCCCAGAGCTCACTGGAGCACAGTCTGACTAGCCTAGTCTTTGTAAAGGCAGAAGGACATGTGGGCATGATGGGTGGGTGGCAATTTGTAAGCTTCACTGATTCTGTGGGTGGCATTTTTTTTCTACAGGAACAAAGTGTTGCTTTCAATTGACTGTTTATGGGATATATAACAGGACTTTACTCTGGAAGGCCCGTTCCAGACTGGAGACAATGTTCTTACTTTGTTTCTTAGAAGGCGGGGGTAGGGGGAGACTTGTTTCTGAGGAATTTTTTGGTTCTCTTGTTGCTGATCCTTCCATGATTAGGGACATTAGTTACATTGCTTCAGACTTACGGAGAGTTGCTCAAAATGGTTCAGAATTGTGGTTGCTCATCAGCTGTTCCTTTCAGAAGCATTTTGGCTGAAAATAGAGGTTGGGGTAGATGTTTCACCAATGTTGTACCCATCTTTGAAATGTGTTTTGATGTTTGATGAACAAAGAAAAACCTTATAATTTGATAGGGTAAAGGTAGTTAGAATGCCACACTGGGACTTTTAGTAGAAGGAACTTTTAGACAGTGGAAAAGAATCTGTTAATCTTCAACATACGTAATGCTGATCATGCTTAGGTAGTTTTACACGGATATTCTGATTATTAGGCTATTTTTAGTGAATTGTTGTTGGCCTTTGCTAGCAGTTGTTTCTTTGATAAAATTTCAAGATCAGTGGTGGTTCAGTTAAAGAATAGTCTATGTACTCCATACAGTTACTAAGGGCTGATCATCATTATCACCATCTGCACCGCCATTTATTGATGCTAAACTTATACTAGGCACCAATAATTGTTAGCTGATGATTTTTCATTATTAGTTGATAATGAGCCTTAACACATAACTGGGTCTGTCTTCTAGATTCTGATAGTTGGTGGTGGTGTTGCTGGGCTTGCTTCTGCAGGCGCAGCAAAGTCGATGGGTGCAATTGTTCGAGGATTTGACACAAGGTGAGTGCTTTACTAGTGACTGATGTTAAGGTAAAAACATTTTGTTTCAGGGGCATATTATGATTGCCTTAAAACTTGTAAATTGAAGTAGCACATTGCAACTGGTCTATAAGCTCTTTCCATTTAAAAATGTTTCCACTTTTTAAAAGTTAATGCAAAGTGAAAATGTATTACTTAAACTAACAACTCACAGCTCTGTTTTCTTGGGTGGATTGACAGTGGGACCAGAATTCTTTCTATCCTGAGTTTCTAACATGTTGCTTTACCTATTTCTGTTCAGAATGCTTTTAGGCACTAGTTAGGGCATAAACAAAGATGTTTGTGAATCTGAAGAAAGAGTAAAATAGCAGGCTGAGTTGGGGGCATGCCCTACCGTGAATGAATAGAAGCAAATAAAGCTGACTGGCACTTCACCTGACTAGCAACGCATGAATTATTTATGCTGCATTATTTATGCTTTCTGTGTTTTATGTTAAGATAGAGCTGCATATATTTTTCTGATAATTTTTGAGCCCCTGGGTGAAAGTACTTGGTTATGTATACTGTGTATTTCTTTAATGCAGACATATACACATTTTCCTAGATTGTCTTTAAAGAGAAGTTTGATTAAAATTCTTCTTCATTTCAGAAGACACTAGACACTGGATTTTATTAAATGTCAGTCGAGTACAGTTAATATGTGTTTTAATAATTTTTGAGGTTGAAAAATGTAGTCATTTATTATCAGCTGAGGGTACTGGAGGAATAATACTACTGTTAATCTTGAACATAGAATGATCAAAAAAGAAAAAAGCAACCATTCAAAGTTGGAAGAATGTGACTTTTCAGAGTAAAGAATGTTCCATAGAATATGGTTAATAGTCTTTATCTAGAGTTAAAGTGATATACTGATAAAAAGCTGTCCTGCTGAAATGAGAAAATAAGGCATTTCCAAAGTAACCAGGACACAAACCAAGGATAGCTAGAGTTAAGCATGCCATTGATCCTGTCATTTTATTTTTACTGTTTGTTGATGTGAAGTTTTCTCAAGACCTCCAAGCCCATAGAAAGCCGGTCGTTTAAGTTTTCATTGTAGTGGACAGTAGTATTAAAATGGAAATGTATGTATTTGACTTAAAGGTGATTTGAAACTTGGTGGTGGGTGAACTACTGAGAATTTAGTATATTGATGTCATTTTTTAGATTGTGTACAGAATCAACAGCTAGAATATGGCTGTTGCTTATATTAGAAAAATACAAAAACTCAATTTTTCTTTATAATTTATTAAGTTTGTTATACGGGTATCTCAAGTGTACAATGAAGAAAGATGTGGCTGAAGTGATTTAATACTTTTCTAAGAATTATAGCTCATTAGTTACTCTAGTCACTATTTTGAGATGGGTTTGGTTTCATATTATAAATATGAAATCCAAATGTATTGGAAAACATACTTGATTTTAAATTCTTGTTGGAAGATTGAGTGGTATGTATTTTCAGTTAAATATCCTAAAAACTTACAGACAGCTCATTGCCCAATGGTATTTAAATGGTCTGATTTTTGAATTCTTTCAAACAATAACTAGGAGATACCCCTCTTAGCAATAGTGATTATCTTGCCTAATGCTTGTATCACAAAGTTTAAATATATAAAATCCTTGCTTTCTTTCCTATCATAAAATAGTACATGATTATTCTTCCAATTCGGAAAAATGTGAAAAAGCACAAGAACAGAAAATAAAATACCTTAAAGTCTCACTGCCTAGAGATTTTTTTTATGTGTTTCCTCATCTACACATTAATTAAAAATGTAATTTTACTGTTCCATTTATCTTTTTTCAATTAACAGTAGATCATGAAGATCTTTCCTTACCTATAAATATTTTTAGTGGCTGCAGAAGATTCCATTGTATAGAGAAGTACAGCAATTTATTTAACTAGGCCTCATTTTTTGCTATATTTAAACAATACTCTGTAGGTCAATATACATATACATGTACATACAGTAAGCCCTCTATCCATGTTCTATTATCTGTGGGTTCAACCAGATCAAAAATATTCAGAAAAAATGATTGTGTTTGTACTGAGCTAGTACCAATTTCATTTTTCTTGTCATTATTCTCTAAACAATATGGTATAACAACTATTTACATAACATTTACATTTATTAGGCATTATAAATAATCTAGAGATGATTTAAACTATTTGGGAAGATGTATGTAGGCTACGTGCAAATACTACACTGTCTTTTATAAGGGGCTTGATCATCCGTGGATTTTGATATCTCAGGGGGATCATGGAACCAATTCCCCATGGATACTGAGGGATGACTTTATATCTGAGAACATACATTTATGGAGATATCTCATTATTTCCTTAGATAAATTCTAAGGAAATATTGGAATCAAAAGATATACACATTTTAAATGCTAATATGTTATAATGTTTTTAAATTATGAGATTATTTTATGGGCAAAGATATAACTACAAAGATTTAGAAATAGCTTATATTTCTAATGATGCATATTCATTATTGAAAAATAGAGAGAAACATAAGGATGAAAGTGAAAATACCTTTTATTATTCTATCAGCCAGATATAATTGCTAGTGATATTTTGGTGTAATTTCTTATAGAAATTATATATATATAACTTTAGAACAAAATTTGGATTATTTTATATACATATATGTATGTGTATATATATGTATATGTGTATATATAATATATATGTCTGTGTATACACACATATACACACATATATGTATGTGTGTATATATATAACATATAAATACAAATATAACATTTTGAATTCATCTAATTCTTATTAATATTGGTAGACAATTCTGAAGCTTTTTAAAGAACTATATCCCTATGGCTGCCACAAATGGAACACCAACTCAGATTGGCTTAAACCATTAGAAAATGTATTATTTCTTCTAACTGAGAATCCAGGGGAATGACTTCCTTTTCACATTAGAGTGAGATGCTCCTCCGTGCTATCAAGGACCAGTTTCTGTCACTCCTCTCTGCTGTCCTTGGCTTTGTCTTCCTCCTAAGGCTGATTCCACTTGTGGTTGCAACTTTACCTCCAGGGGGCAATCTGGGCTACCAGATTCCTTGCTCAAGCCAGCAGAGGGAGAACCTCTTGCTCAACCATGGACTGTATGTCCTACCCTTTATGCATACTCTTGAACATGATGGTTGCTAGGGATTTATTGGCTCAGATCACGGTTTCCCAAACTTCCCTGATGACAAGGATGAACTGCAGCTCTTGCTAAAAATAATATAGTGTCTGGCCTGCTTGCTGGAGATTATAATTCACTGGGTCTGGGAAGGGGCCTGGGAATTTGAATTTTTAACAAGTACCCTGAGTGATTATTGTCATTAGGGGGGTTTGAGATTTACCATAGTGGAATGGATATTGATGAGTTACATGCACGTCCACCACAGAACTGAGGTGTTTGTTGGCTGTGGTTTTCCAACCAGGAGACAGTACTTGGGTAGCATTTATTTATTTATTTAAAACTGAATTTATTTTTATATAATTTAAATGTGTTGGCTTTTCATATTTTACCCTTTACTACTATTTATAGGTTACTTTTTGCAAACACAATTTAATAAGGACTGGTTGGGGGGTAAAAATCACTTTATTAGAATAATTTTACATATAAAGAGTTATTTTTGTGGGAAAGGTCTCTAGTAAGAACAAATTCAGAATATTTACAAGTGAAAAACCTCATCCTGAGTGATTTGAATGATATCAAATCCTGATGTATATGAGGTATCACATCATCATCCACATCGGGGTCATAAGGAACATAATTGATTACTGGAGTTGGCAATTGTGAAATCGCTTTTGCAACTTAACTAAGTAGAAGTTGGAATTCTCAGTAGTTTTTTTTCTTTCAGAAAAGAATATTCTCATAAATATGTTACTTGCCTTTAGAAAAAAATTGGAACAATTAAGTACGAAATCAAAGGGACTGTTGACTTTTGAATATATAGTTTGTTGTTCTTAAAAAGGTATATGTAAATGATGATCTTGACTTCTTTATTAGGGCCTGAAATAACTACTCTTTCCACTTTAACAATCACCCTAGAGCTGCAGCTTTGGAACAGTTCAAGTCTCTTGGTGCTGAGCCCTTGGAGGTGGACTTGAAGGAATCTGGTGAGGGACAAGGAGGATATGCAAAAGAGATGTCCAAAGAGTTCATTGAAGCTGAAATGAAACTCTTTGCTCAACAATGCAAGGAGGTAGACATCCTTATCAGCACAGCACTTATTCCAGGTATGCCATTAAGTAAACGGTTATTTTAAAAGCACTTTTACTCTTTTTTTTTAAAAAAAAGCGAGAGTGAATGATTGCTTAACATTTGAATTTCTTTAAGGAAGGATCTAGTACTTTCTATTATAAAAGTACTAGAAAACGAGAAAATATATGACAAAATTCATAGTCATTAATAATTTCCTTCAAGTATTTTTTCTGTGAAAAAATTTTTTTTTTGAGATGAAGTCTTGCTCTTGTTGCCCAGGCTGGAGTGCGGTGGCATGGTCTCAGCTCACTGCAACCTCCGTCTCCTGGGTTCAGGCGATTCTTCTGCCTCAGCCTCCCAAGTAACTGGGATTACAGGTGTCCACCACCACGTCTGGTTAATCTTTATGTTTTTAGTAGAGTCGGGGTTTTGCCATGTTGGCCAGGCTGGTCTCAAACTCCTGACCTCAGGTGATCCGCCCGCCTTGGTCTCCCAAAGTGCTGGGATTACAGGCGTGAGTTACCACGCCTAGCCCTTTTGTGAATTTTTATATAAATTCATAGATTATACTGTGTGTACAATGTTTTTTTTTTTTTCCGAAGAATAAAACGCCATTTATTTAGAAAAGATTATTATTACTATTATTTTCTCTGCAACTTAAACAACTTCAATAGCTTTTGGGGAGCAGGTGGTGTTTGGTTGCATAGAAAAGTTCTTTAGTGGTGATTTCTGAGATTTTGGTGCACCTGTCACCTGAGCAGTATACACTGTACACAATGTTTAGTCTTTTATCCCTCACCCCCCCTCCCACTCTTAACCCCTGAGTCCCCAAAGCCCATTATATCATAGCTTAGCTTCCACTTTTAACAATGTTTAGTTTTTAATTCCTGAGTTACTTCACTTAGAATAATGGTCTCTAACTCCATCCAAGTTTCTGTGAATGCCATTATTTTGTTCCTTTTTGTGGCTGAGTGGTATTCCATGGTGTGTGTATATATGTATATGTATGTTTATCTACTCGTTGGTTGATGCGCATTTAGGCTGGTTTCATATTTTTGCAACTGTGAATTGTGCTGCTATAAACATGTGTATGCAATGTCTTTTCTATATAATGACTTCTTTTCCTCTGGGTAGATACCAAGTAGTGAGACTGCTGAATCAAATGGTAGTTCTACTTTAGTTCTTTAAGGAATCTCCATGCTGCTTTCCATAGTGGTTGTACTAGTTTACATTCCCACTAGCAGTGTAAAAGTGTTCCCTTTTCACTACATCCATGCCAACATCAGTTATTTTTTGATTTTTAAATTATGGCCATTCTTGCAGGAGTAAGGTGGTATCTCATTGTAGTTTTGATTTGCATTTCCATGATCATTAGTGATGTTGAGCATTTTTTCATATGTTCGTTGGCCATTTGTATATCTTCTTTTGATAATTGTCTATTCATGTCCTTTGTCCACTTTTTGATGGGATTATTTATTTTTTTCTTGCTGATTTGTTTGAGTTCCTTGTAGATTCTGGATATTAGTCATTTGTCAGATGCATAGTTTGTGAAAATTTTCTCCCATCCTGGGTTGTCTGTTTACTCTGATTATTTCTTTTACTGTGCAAAAGCTTTTTAGTTTAACTAAGTGCCATCTATTTGTCTTGGTTTTTGTTACATTTGCTTTCTGGTTCTTGGTCATGAACTCTTTGCCCAAGCCAGTGTCTAGAAGAGTTTTTCTGATGTTATGTTCTAGAATTTTTATCGTTTCAGGTCTTAGATTTAAGTGTTTGATCCATTTTTGAGTTAATTTTTGTATAAGGTGAGGGGTGAGGATCCAGCTTCATTCTTCTGCATGTGGCTTGCCAATTATCCCAGCACCATTGCTTGATGTATGTACAATATTATATTCATAAGCAGGTTCCTCTGCTCAAACCCTTGATAAATTGATTGTTAATTTATTTACATTTTCTTTGTTAAGATACTACCTTCTCCTTGTAGGAAATTCAAACTGTGGTGATAAATAAGAAAAAAAATACAGATCATTTGAAGTTCTACCAGAGAGATGACTGTTATTAATATTTTGATCATATTTTTCTATATATGTGAGAGAGAGGGGACTTTGTATGTATATGTATTTATGGAATTTTCAGTGTATATTTTTACTTATGGGAATGACCCTTTGTCAGTTTTAAATTATTTCCTTTGACATGTTTTCAGCCAAATTGTGAGCTTTTTGATGGTAGGAATTACTTTCTAGTCCCTTTACAAATCTCCTTCTAAAGAGTATTTTGTACTCAGTGCATGACTGATGTCAAACCAATAAGTGTTTATTAATCAGTAAGCAGTAGCTTGATCTAACAAGATTTGGGAGTGAAGAAACTGTCCACCTTTTATAGTCTCACCTCTTCTCTTCACCTATCCTTTCCTTTTGTTATTGAATAATGAATACCATACTGACTCTAATTTTTTCCTTTCTGAAAGAAAGTGGGTCATATAATGAGAGCTTAAAGGGTTCTTGGTTGCTTATGTTAGATCCTAGTGAAGGAGCCTCACTTTCTCTGAGGTGCTGTGGAGAATTAGAATTTGCTTTGTCATGAGGCTATGAAAGAGGAGAAACTCTCCTCCAGTAGCTTCCCCCACAACAAAAAACCTGGCTAATATAAACCCAAGGACAAAGAATTGATTGGCATCAGATCTGTGAGCTTGTTGGGGAAAACAAGCCTTCCAAATGTGTTTTTCTTTCTGTCCTCTGTTAACCCAGGTGATAGGTGAGCTCGTCTCTCCAGATAACCGCATCCCCCCAGAGCGGCTAGATGAAGCAGACAGGTAGGAGTCTGATATGGGGGTTTCGGCAGGGCTCAGGCAATGGGAGCATCTGTAAGTGTAGGAATGAGGCCTGTGGTTGGTTTCTGGAGGTGCATGCAGATCAGACAAACCCCGGACCCAGGATAGTGTTTGTGAAATCTGTCAGTGAAGACATAACTCAGGCACAAGCAGTGTCAGGAGAGCACTTCAGGATTCATCCTTTCCTTGTGTGGCAGTGGCTCCTGGCTCAGCTGTTTCACAGGTGGTTCTGAGGAAGGAATGGGGTGACATATGCTGCAGCCACCATCTGACCTCTGAGAGGCAGCTGCGCATTAGCGGGGAAGTTATGAGAGGATTAGATGTAACAAGTGGCCAGTAGAGGGTGCTAAAACATTTACTCATGGAGTAAGCCATGTGGATAGGAAGCTAGTTTTATTTAGTCAACTCATACTCTAAAGAGCTAGGGATAATTTGAATAGAGTATATAGATTTATTATTGATTACAGAGCTAGATGTCAGTGATAGTACTCAAGATTTATTTTATAAACACATACTGACTTTCAGGGCCTTCCCCTCTCCCCATAATATTTTATTTTTTATAAGTAGTTTATAGTTAGCATACTTTAGTAAAAGGTCAGACTGTATGACAGTCTTGAAGACTAGTTGAAGAAGTTTTATTAATCTGTTCCACTAAGCCTTTCTTGTTTTCTGAAGCCACGATCTGAAGATTAATGTGAACATTAAATTTACAGAAAGTCCTTGATCAGTACCTCAGCCCAGAGCTCACCCTCAAAAGGCTGGCTGAAAAAGGCCTTCAGTTTCTTTTGGGAAAAAAAAAAAAAAAAAAAGGGAAGAAAGAAAAAAGTGAATTAGAATATTATATGGAAGAAGGTGATTTTTCTAAAGATCTTTCCTATCTCTGGGGCACTGAAAACGGAAAGCATGAGCATTTAACAAAAATGACTGAAAGAGTACATGAAGGTACAAATGCCCTTTGGAAAACAATATCCTTGGCATTATACCTTTACTGGTTTATGTCCTGAGCCTTTGCCTGGGTCCCCTGATGATGTATCTGACTCTTGAATGACCCTCAGAGCAGAAATTGTTCTGAAGTTTTCCTTGAGTGGATTCAAAGGGGATTAAGTCAAATGTCAGAAATTCTCTAAGCTAAGATTTATAGACTGAGATCCCTGGAAGGCTGGACTGAAGGCCTGGTGTGGATAAGAATGTTGAGAGGCAGACACAGGTAAGTAACTAGTTTCAGGGAGCAACTTTACGGAGTTAGTAAATTTTTATTGTCCTAGGTATACGTCACTTGGTGGTCTTGAAAAAACAATGAACTTGTACTTACGTAGATTGTATGTGGAATGAGATAGTTCTGTAGCTAGCTAGTTGTTATGCTGCCTGATATCTTAAACCGTCATCTCACCCCCCTATTGGGTTGAGTGATGGGTTAAAGGTGAGAATTTCACTTAATGCAGGTAACTTGAGGATGGGGCCAAGCTGACAGCCCCGCTTTGTGGTGCTGTGCACACAAAGAAAAGCTCTCTACTTTCCTGTCCAGCTCGTTGACCTTTGGGGCTACCATTAAAAAGTAAGGCAGCCCTGCTGTCTGGTAATGTTCAGGCTGTGCTCATAATCTTTTCTGCTAAGCCTTTTGAGACACAGGATTTTTTAGCATCCCTAGTGATCTGAAACCCTTTTAGAGAAACTTTTCATAGACATAGAATAGTTAATCAGGAAGGGACTGAATCAGGTTGAAAATCTGATAAGTACGTTGGGGAGGGGAGTATGGTGTGGGGTGAGAAGGAATCATGGTGATTTTGCACTGACTGTGTCTTGGGCAAATTTCACCTAAGTTCCAATGAGAATGAAGAGAACTATGGAGCACATGCTAAGTCCTATACCTTCCCAGCTCTCCCGTTTCCCACCTCAGGTCTAGTCCTTACTAATTTAGGGGAACCATAGCTATTCTAAGGCCTGGGTTTTTGTTTAGCAATGATGACAGTAGCTTGGGCGACTTGGGTTCCCAGCATCATTAGATGAAACAAGCCATCTAAACTGAACAGAGTTGGATCATAGTCTCCCACTCCCCAATTACCTGTGGTATAAAGTTTGCATTCCTTGGAGGTATTTCTTGGCTTTCATTATCTGGTCCTGATTTAGCTTTTGGGTCTGGTGTTAAACTAATATCTTATTCTCTGGGCCTGATTTCAGCCATGTTGACTGCTATTATCTCCTCAAATGGGCCAAGATACTTTTTTGCCTTTGCACATATTGCTCCTTCTCTTTGGAATACTATCCTTGCCCTTCCCTGCTTTTTGAAATCCTACTCAACTCAATTACTACATCCTCCATAGTTTCTATTGCCTCCTGCTCAGCAGTAGTGTTCTTTTTTCTTTTTTCTGCACTCAAAGAACTTTGCTTGTTCTTCCTATTACAGCAGTGCTTAGTCCCATCATTCCTCAGTTATCTTGTCTCCCAGTGAGTGCAGCAGGAGTCTTTGATTTATGCCAGCGCTTGGCATAGTGGTTTGTACACAATGGTGGCTTAGCAAATGTTGCTGAACTAATAATTCTGGATACCTTCCTTAGGTCTTGGTTGGTACAGTTCCTTTCATTTTTTTCAGTGCTGTCCCCAAATTCTTATAGAACACTCTGTTGGTTCACTTTTGGATAGGAACATTGCAGAGGCTAATTTAAGCTTGGGAACTTAACTTTCTTAAATTATTCAAAACTGGAACACATGCCCAGTCTGCAGTTTGAGGTGGCTGGCTAGCTAGACCTCTCAGGAGATAGAATTAGGAAGTAGTGGAAGGGCTGTTTGGGAATTAGAAAGTGTCCTGTCAGAGAGGAAGGAACATATTCATTGCTTGATTGTAAATTAAAATACCTTATGCCATATGTACTTGTGTCTCTTTTTAGGCACAATCCAGATTAGGGTGGCCATACTTTTTGTTTTTATCTATACTTGTTAGGATCTGTAAAATACACCCCTCAAAGGATGTGGACTTCTGTGGTAATTTTCCATGTCTCTGGAGAATTGGGTGGGAGGTGTTTTCCTCCAATATGCAAGTTCCTTACATATATGAACCTGAGATGTTGCTTTGTTCTCCATCTGTCTTGTTAAATTTATCTTTCATATGGAGTGGAAATATAGCGCAAAAGAATGACTTTCCATAGTAATTGTTGAAACCTGTGCTTTCGGGCAAGAGAGTGATTGATACAAGAATAACTATACTCTCTAGTTGTGTAATTCCACAAAGAAATATTGTTTTTGATGACTAAAGTTTTTCCCAAAAGTAAGGATTTATTATTCATTTTCTTATTCTGTATGCATTATGATCATAAAGGACAAAACTATATGCTATAGATCAGTTATTCCCAATTCTTTTATATTACTTTTTTTGTTATCTGATTCATGTTCGGTAATTCCTTCCCTTCAATGTATTTTATGATTATATAGACTTTTGTAATATTGTTATATAAAGTTTCATTTGTTTTGAGGATATTGAAGACATTTTGAAGAACAGAGAGAAACTTAAGTGTTGCAACATCAAGGGTTGGTAACCACAGGCTGTCTACACACCTCTTCGTAGCTTTCAATGCAGATAGAGCAACTTGTCCTCAAGTGGAAGATGCCAAAACTGTGAAGTTTTCCATTGCTATTTATCAGTCTTGTTCTTAGGGTGTATTTGAGCACACTTTGTGAGTGACTGGGCCAGATTTAACAAATGTTCTGTTAGGAAAATTTATGGCATCGTTATACTTTGGTTTGGTTTGTTATTTCTCCAAAAGCATGTTGCAATATTGGTATGCATTATGCTTCCTTCCTGGCTTTCCCTGGGTTGTAAAGGATTGGGAGACTGAGGCTGTCTTTGGCAAAGCAGCACAAATAGCGTTACTGCTAATGTACTAGTACTTCCCTACCATATGCATTGCTGTATCTCCTTCCTTCCATTTTCCTTATAGTTTCTTGTGCTTCAGTATTAGTTAGGGTGGTCTAGCCCTAAATCTATGAGTTTTGCTATAACAGATTAATCCAACAATGCATAATGGCTCTGATGTTACAGAAATTAACATCTTGCTTAGTAATAGATAGGTTCACATATTGATGGGCAGCTCTTTTTCATATGGTCATTTGGGATTCGGGTTAGGACAGTGTTGCCATCATCATTATGAGGCTATGAAGGTTGCTCTGGGACTGTCTCTATTTAAGCCAGCTATAGGGAAAGTGGGATGGAGGAGTGTGCATGGAAGGCCAGGAAGTGGTACACATCATTCTTGCTTTGCATTCTTTTGCTAAGACTTAGTCATGTGGCCAAACTTAACTGTGAAGGAAGCTGGGAATTGTCTAGCTCTGTGCCCAGGAATAAGAGAACATTGTATTAGTGTGCTAGGGCTGCCATAACAAAATACCACAGACCTAGTGGCTTAACCAACAGAAATTTATTTTCCCAGAGTTCTGGAGGATAGATGTATAAGGTCAATGTGTCTGTGGGGTTAGTTTCCTCTGAGCCTCTCTCCTTGGCTTGTGGTTGGCTGCCCTCTTGCTGTGTCCTCACATGGTCTTTCCTCTGTGTGTGTGCATTCCTTGTTTCTCTTTTTATGCTTCAATTTCCTCTCCTTTTAAGGACACCAGTCAGATTGTCCTAGGGCCCACCCTAATAGACTCATTTTAACGTAATCACCTCTTTAAAGGCCCTGTCTCTAAATACAGCCATATTCTGAGGTATTGGGGGTTAGGGCGTCAACATAGGAATTTTGCAGTGGCCACAATTCAGCCCATAACAAATGTAGATTTTTGTGCACAGCTAACAGCCTCTTTCCTCTTCTCTACTTTGTAATTTTATGTGTTAATGTTTAATCTGTTCATTGGAAAACAGAGGAAGGGTCATAGATTTAGAGCCAGATAGAGTAGATTAAAATTCTGGTTCCACTACTTAACAGCTGATTTGTCTCTCTGAATATCAGATTCCTTATCTCTGAAATGTGGATAAAAATTTCTACCTTGCAAAGTTGTTTTGAGGAATGAAGAAAAAGCCCAGTGTAGGGCTGGGCATAGAGAACATTATTGTAATTCTTTCTTCCATTGGCGATGCCTCGTCTTCTGGATGGTACCCAGGACACAAATCTTACTGACTTTTGCAATAAAAGTCCAGACATTCTCAAGGATTATGTGGACCATTGAAGATGGTGCCTCATGAATCCACCCATGAAGTTACATAACCAGTATTTATTGGATGGCAATGTGGCATGGGTTTCCCTGGGGAGAAACATGACTTAATTGTTTTTGATATGAATTTGCTGAAGATATCCATTTTATTAAGGCTGTTTTCCCAGTTAACCTCATTCTGACCTAAGTTGAAAGACGTGAGAAAGAAAATAAGCAGTACTGTTTCTATTTTTTAAAACACTTTTAAATTCTTTTGTAGTAACAAAATAATAACATCAGAATGCGTAATACAATTTTATTGCTTCAATTTTTAAAGGATTTTGGTAGCTAATGTACATCTATACATATGTTGGAGAGAATTCAAAGAATGCTATAGTTTCTATGAGAATGTATATTTCCTTATTTGTGCTACCATTTAAGTTTGGAGAATTCCTGTAACCTGTGAAACCATGGTAAAATCTTGACTAATTTTGCTTTTTATTTATACAGAATTTTGCAGCTATGAGAGGTAAATTATTAAGTTAATCCTTTCAAAATTTTTATAAACATGTTCTTTAATTATGAGGTAAAAGCTTGTGTTTAGGTTTCTTCTTTAAATAGATCTTTAGGAATTTTTCTAATTTTCTAAAATATGCTGTTGACTAATCATATTTCAGAAGTATTACATTTAGAAATATCTCAAGGGGTCCAGTTTGTAAAAGCCAACTATTTGCCAGCCTGACTTTCTGTCTGGTTCCTTATACAAATAATTATGCAGACAAAGTTTTCCTGTGGTTCCAGGGATAAAGCTCACATATAAAGTACTCTGCTTGACTGTTTAAGCTTGGGCCAGAATCTCTTTAGGCTCATGAACACAGCTTTCATATCTGTGATAAACAGAGTAGAGGGGTTGCTGTATGTACTATGGAGCCAGCTAAATCAGAGACTCATTAGATAATGGATCAGTGGATTAGATGTTCAGCACTTTCTTGCCATATTCTATATTTTACATAATCTATCATTTCTTATTCTCACATGCATACATATATGTATAAAAACCCTTTTGTTATCATTGGTAACATTTTAAAAGCTTAAGACTCAGTACTTTAACCCCATCAGTGATTTTGAAATGCTAAAAGAGATTTTGGTATGGATCCATTAGGATGCCTTTAGCTGCCAGAAACAGAAATTCTAATACAACCTGCCTTAAGGTAGGTGATTTCTTGGGTTCTGTTAACAGAACGTAGTCCAGTTATAGCTGTGGATAGGTGTGGGCTGGGACACTCTGACTGTGCTCCTTCATGCTTTCCTCTCTGAGTTGGCTTCATCCTCAGTGCTGTGCAGAAGGCAGCAACAATTTCAGGCTCCAGTGTGTACAACACAATATCTAGAGGAGGTAGTCCAGTGCTGATGGCACCCTCTTGAAGAGCAAAAAGAAGGAAACTTCTTTTTCAGAAATCCTTAGCACATTTTCCCTCATTTATATTAACCTTGATTGATTTATGACCATTTCTGAACCAATCCTTGTAGGTAGGGCAATGAGATGCACCTCGGCTTACACCTGGATTTCTGAACCAGTCACTAATAAGGTGATAAGATTACCCTTAGGCCTTCCAGGCCTGCCTCTGGAGTGGTGATATGATTTGGTTGTGCCCCCACCCAAATCTCATCTTGAATTGTTGTTCCCATAATCCCCACGTATCACGGGAAGGACCAGGTGGAGAGAATTGAACCAAGGGGGCAGTTTCCCCCATCCTGTTCTCGTGATAGCGAGCTAGTTCTCATGAGATCTGATGGTTTTATAAGGAGCTTCCCCCTTCACTGGGCACTCATTTCTTTCTGCTTCTGCCATGTGAAGAACATGTTTGCTTCCCTTTCTGCCATGATTGTAAGTTTCCTCAAGTCTCCCCAGCCTTGCAGAACTGTGAGTCAATTAAACCCCTTTCATTTATAAATCACCCAGTCTCGGCCAGCAATTTATAGCAGCGTGAGATCAGACTAATACAAGTGGTTTCTGAAGTCATGTCTCCTGAAGCTTGTGGACTGGGTGGAAAAATGAAAATCAGCATAGTGATAAAAGGAGGAAATGGATACTGAGTAGATACTAACAATACTCAGTGCAACATTATGTTGTTATAATGAAGGTTCTTACTGTGTAAATGATAAAGTTCAGCCTATCTTTCTTTACCTGCTCTATTTTACATTTAGTCAATATAGAGACTACATTACATTAAAAACTGTCCTTGTCTGCCTAGTACTTGTTCATGAGAAATCTATTTTGGTTTGGATTAATAGATTCTATAATTCATATTATTTATTTGCTACTGTGGAGCTAAATATCTCATGTTTTTGTTAAAGCAGAAAGTTTTGTTTTTTTTTTTTTTTAGACCCTCTAATTTGATGCCTTACAGGTCAGGAAGTTAGGAATTTCCCCATCTGATTACATGCTGTTGAGTAATTCCAGTAAATGATGCTGAATGCTCCTTGGAATCATTATAAAATTTTGTGGTAAACCCATTTCATCTTCATGTCTTGTTATTTTAAATATTTTTAGTGGTTTCTTCTTAATTAATTAATTAATTTTTTCTTTTTGGTATGATTAGAGTGTGAGGGCTTGGTTCTTTTCCCATTAAGATAGAATCTGGGAATTTATTGATTTCAGATGATCATGTTAGGCCTGATTCATTCAAAAAGATACAATATATTACAGAATTTTCTGGTAAATCTTTAGTCTTTGGTATTTAATTTAAGCTGTGTGACTCTTTTTGAATTTAGTGCTGTAAAGAAGCCAATGATATATTCTTTTGCTACATAGCAATGAGTTGTTAAAGCCATTTTTAGAAATTAGTAATTTTTTCTCCAGTCACAGATGAGAAAAAACAAAAAAGCAGAACTTAGTTTTTCTAGCAGCTCCTTATTTTAATACTTTCAAAATTGCATCTTAGTATTCATTTATTGAGAAAATACATGGTTGAGAAAAGATACTGTGAATTCAGTAACATTTAAAAATGAATTTACGTGAATCACAGCCATATGTGCATATATCAATAAATAGAACACATGCATGAGGCAGTTTTTCAGTCTACAGTCAATTCATGGTGCACATGGAGATTCAAGGATGCCTTACACTAACCTGTGGTACACTTATTCACTCCAAATAACTGCCAACCAATTGGGAAACTATAATTCAAATTTTTACATGAGTGCTTTAAATATCCAACTCTTCTAGTAATAAAATTGTTGACCAACCTTTGAATGCAGCCACTTTTAGTTGTAAAATATTAGACTCTAGAGCCTAAGTAAAATTTTTCTTCCTCCATCCACCCTGCATATGGGAGGCACTAAATAAGTATTAATTATGTCAATGAATGAATGAATATTTGAATGATGACTGTGAGAGCTTGATGTCCTACAGTTTTCTTGGCAAAAGTGTGGAAATAAGTCCCTCTGAGAGGGAACTGAGTAACCCTTCCAGGGGAACTTAATGTCCATGAACCAGAAGGGAGCAAGAAATATTTCATAAAGTTGGATATCATGCCAAATCCTTCACCCACAGTTGGTATTGTGTCAGAAAATATTTCTTAAAATTTTCTCTCCTTGTTAATTTTATTCTGTCACAGTGACTGATTTTTTTTTTAAGCGGGCTGGTTTAGGAAATATAATGATCTTTTTGTGTATCTCATCTTTTGCAGATAAATGATAAAATTAATAGAAAAGTTAAAGCCCAATTGGGCTTTAAAAATGCCTCTCATCTGCCTTCTTTTATTAATTTTCCTGTTTCTTTTGCAATTATGTCTAAAAATACCTGATGTGCTCATTATTATTTTCTTTTTTATCAGCCTTTGTCAGAAAGATGTGCTTATTTTCTCTTTTATATCTAGGTCTTTCACCAAGCTGTCTCTGGGGTGTAGAGGGCATCTCTTTATATTTGAAGAATTTGTAAACATTGGATATATTCATTTCCATGTTATACATGTACAAAATCCGGACACATCTTCCTGTTTGTATTCCATGTTTAGTTATGCCCATGTCTCCCTTTATTGTGTTTTGGTACACTCCTTGAAAGACTGCCCTAACCGCATAGCTTCATTTGTTGTAGAAGGGAGGGCAGGTGACTTTGAGCCAGGCTTTTCAATTGGTAAGTAAGTAGGTTGGGGTTTTTCTAAATTCTTCTAGTTCTCCTAGTACCAACTTTTAAACTGCCACTTCTTGACTTAAAGGAGAAACTGGTTGTGATTATCCAGGAGTACTTTATTTTATCTTTAAAATAAAAATGATATGTGGTTTTTTTGGAGATGCTGTAAAGTACAAAGTAGAAAATAAAGATCACCTGTGATCTCTCCACATCATACTAAGAGTGAACTTTTTTTTTATTTGTTTTTACTGTTTTTATTGAATTTTCCATTTGTATTTGTTTTTCACTTATCTATAGGATTATAGTGTTTTGTTTTTATTGAAATTTCTGTGAGCTTTTCATCAATTTTTGTCTGAGAATTGTAATATATACATTTTTCATATATATCATATATACACATATATAATATATACATTTTCATATACATCATATATATCTATATTTTCATATCTATTGATGTTTTCTTTTGTAATTTTCTTCATTGCTTTAAATTTAGGAAGTGCTTTTTTATCCACAGACTGGAGAGATATTCCCCAAGGCTTCCTTTTTTGTCTTTTCTTTCATTTTATGGATTGATTCTCTTCTTTTACAATTAATTCTTATCTTTCTAGAGTTTAACTTATGGTATTAGGTTTGGGTAGATATTTTTTACCCAGATACCTAACTAATCATCATATTACTTTTGTTCTTCATTGTGTAATGCTGCATTTATTATGCATTATACTTTATTATATTAGGCTACCAGGGTAAGGTAGTATTCTGAAATTGTCTTCTCAGTCTTTCTCTCTCTGGACTTATTCTTTTGGGGTTTTGCTTATCTGGAGCTTTTATTTACTATTCTGCTTCTTTTTTGGCTTTATTTTTTTCCCTTCTGTTTTCAATTTTTATTTCTGCACTTTCCAGAATTTTCAAAAAATTAATCCACATGTGAGTGCTTGAAGGCAGCTGCACTGTTACATTCATGACTGTATTCCCTGTAGCCCTTATTAAAAACGTTTAATTTTAAAATTAAAACATTTTGGAGATAAGGAAAAGCACAGAGAAGAAAATAGTCTCACCACTCAAATATACCCTGATTTTGTTAAATTTTATATGATATAGAATTTACTACAAACTGTATCATATATGTATTGTATTATGTAATATTAATCTATGTATATATAAATGAGAAACATTCATGTATATAAATATATATCTAAACTGACATACTATTTTGTTATGTGCTTTTTACTTATAATAATTCCATGTCTTTAAATTTTCTTGTGTGACTTAAGTAAAATTTTAAACTTGTTATAGTGATACCCTTCAGTCTGTACACCAAATAAGTTAACCTATGTGAAAGAATATGCTATTGTTTTAAAAGTGATTGAATTTCTGAGCAATAATAGGGACAAAACACCCAACTTATCTCTGTTAAGATGCAAACATGTCCATGTGTTTTTCAAAGTTGTGTTAGCCACTGTACAGTTGTTCTGTGGAGGTTGAATGAGTGAAATCAGAGGAGATAAATGGGTTGTATATTTTGATGTTTCTAGGGAGCCTAAAAATGGTTTTGGACACTTGATGTCTTGCAAAGTGGTAGCATACAGTCCAGGGACTGATCCTTAGCTATGGATGTCTCAGGAGAAAGAAGGAGTCTCACATATCTAGGGCAGGAGAAATTAGTTAGATGCCAAATCAAATATGTGCAATCATTGGCCAAAGTTGGGTACAAATAAGGTGGGAGGAAAAGCTGTGCTAAACAACAGCTGATAAATAGAGAAGAGGCTCTGGCCCTAGAGGGTGGGGATGGTGATGACAGTAAATACCTGGAAAGTACAGGTAGCCCTTTAAATGCGCCCCTCTATGTTGAGGCGGCCATATGATCCATAGCTTTAAGTCACTGGAGAGCCGAGCAGCATGACCTTTATTTTGGGAATAGTCCTCAGATGGATGTGGTTTGCTTCCTCAAATTCTCATGGTTGAGTAAAGTTTAGTTAAGTATTCAAGGTGCCTTTGTTAGATTACAGTACGGAGGGTAGAGGAAAGGAATACTTTTGGAGAATTTTGAGAAGTGGTGAAACTACCAGCACTTCAGGGTATTGTCTCTGGGCAAAATGTCTCTTGATTCTTGCTCTTTCTTGGAAACTCAAAAGAAAGAACAAGAGATCTTATAACAAATCATGTGGCAGCGAGCCCAGTGTGGCTGAAATAGAAGAAGGTCCAATGGTGCAGTTTTGAGAGGGCATGTTAGAAAAAGCACTTCACCCAGGGTGAGAGGCATTTAGTCCCAGGAGCCTTAGGATTTGGACTTTATCTCAAAACTATACAGTTTGTAGCAAAAAGAAGGAAGTACTACATAAACACTTCACTTGTATCTTCACAACCTTTTATTTCCACATGTACTACAAATGTTATTTTTCCTTTTTGAATCAAATTCTGTAAACACAGAATTGAAAGCTTTCAGAAGAACTAAAGATAATCAGGCTACTAATGCTCTGCTTTCTTTTTATAAAAAATATGTATATTTTAAAGAGATGGAGTTTCACTCTGTTGTCCCGGCTGGAGTGCAGTGGTGCAAAAATAGCTCACTGCATCCTCGAGTTCCTGGGCTCAAGTGATCCTCCTTTCTCAGACTCCTGGGTGGTTAGGACTATAGGCATGTGCCACCACGTCCAGCTAAGTTTTTTTATTTTTGTAGAGATGGGGTCTTGCTATGTGCTGGTTTGGAACTCCTGGGCTCAAGTGATCCTCCCCACCTCAGCCTCCCAAATTGTTGGGCTTACAGGCTTGAGCCACTGCACCCAGCCATGCTCTACTTCCATACTACTAACATTACAAGTTTATTTCCGTTATCTTTTGATTTAGGTATTTCCATTGTTTTATGAAATGTGAACACGATAGTATGCTGACAGTATAAGCCCCTGTTGAACATATTGATGTATATTAGCTCGAAAAGTCCTAAGGTCTGGGTTTTCATCTTCTATGTAAGAATTAGTGAACTTCTTAAAAAGACATTGTGAATTTAAAATGTGAACTATTAAATGAGGAGAATGCACACCATGAGAACAAGGACTTTTTTTGTTTATTTACCACTGTATTCCCAGCACCAGGCATAGATAGGGCTTGACTCACTGTAGACACCAATACATAGTTGTTGAGTGGGAATAAAAGTGTATGAGGGAACTCCTAAACCTTTTGGAGTTGTAGGATTCCACTGTTTTGATTTATTGGCATTTTCCTGTCTCTCCTCAAAGTTTTCTGTGTTAAATTAAGGTAGGTTAATATGATGTGTTAGAAAATCTGGTGACATATGTTAAGATAATTGGCAATGTTCTGTTTTGTAATTCATAAATTAGTATTAACTGTACTCTTGACATTGGTGACCTTTACGAATTGTTCAATTTGGGTGCATATAGTTTCCATAGTGGTTTATTATTAGGCATTTTTTAAAAAACAGTCAAACTGTTTATCTGTTCATGAATGCTGTGGTGTATAAACCGGGTAGGGAGAGCAGTGCTGAGATTCTCATGCTGAGCAGATGGCAGGGCCTGCTTGCCAGCCACATGGCTTCCTCCTGCACACTGCCTTTGCTGCTCACACTCATCATATATTTTTCTGAATGCCCAGTCTCACCCATGCTATGGTCTTTAGGGGTCTCTTGGAAAGAGTTAAAATTTCAGATGTTAAATTCCTGAATGCCCAGAGACTACTGTAATAATTAGACTTTAAGGTGTTAGAAAATGATAATACAAATTGTGCTGCTTTCTTTGATTTTATTAGGTAAAAAAGCTCCAGTTTTATTTAATAAAGAAATGATTGAGTCAATGAAGGAAGGTTCAGTTGTTGTGGATTTAGCTGCTGAGGCTGGTGGAAACTTTGAAACCACTAAGCCAGGAGAACTCTACATTCATAAGGTATAGCAAGATGCGTTTTCTATCTGTGATCACTTCTCATGTCTTGAGTTATGGGGGGGTGTTTATTTCTTTAAATATTTAGAGACATTAAGGCTTGAAATTTTAAAATTAAAAATAGGCATATTTAAAGCTCCTGTTGAAATATGTATTTGTTTATGGGTATGTATGTATATTCATAAAGATATATAATTACAAAACTTAGCATTGAATATGAATGATAATTGTTCTAGAATGAATGTGAACATAGGGTGATAGACCTTTTTGACTATAATTTTGTTCATTTAGGGAATTACTCACATAGGCTACACAGACCTGCCCAGCCGAATGGCCACTCAGGCCAGCACCCTATATTCCAACAACATCACCAAACTCCTGAAGGCCATCAGCCCGGACAAAGATAATTTTTATTTTGATGTGAAAGATGACTTTGACTTTGGTACGATGGGTCATGTCATTAGAGGAACTGTAGTGATGAAAGTAAGTAAAGAGATCTATTCCTTCCTTTGCTTTTAATGTAAATTTGTTTTAGAATTTCTGTTTATGGAAGAATTCTATTTTGGAATTGAGACATATTTTAATAAGGTATTGGTATGCCAGCTTTATGCTGATAAAAATTATTTGTAAATGCAGAATGATTTAAAGAAAAATATTTCAAAGACTTAAAAGTACATGACTTAACCAAAAATATACACTCCTTTTGAAAAACGGAGATGAACAAACAAATTGAATAAAGTAAAAATTAAACATTCCCCCCACTTATCTGCTTTCAAGGGTTTAATTTGCACTCTTGCTTATATGGTCCTGTACACATACAAATTACATATATATGATTGTATATGTAACATGGATATTAGTATTTGTATATGTATGTGACATATTTATGTAAAATGATGTTACAAATTATATGAATTTATATATTTACATAAAATTATATTTAAAAGAACAGGGTTTTAAAAAATAGTATATTCCTTAAGCAATTTTGAAATGCTGGATTGACTTTTTAATACGTACTATTTTTTAATGTCTATTAGGATGGTAAAGTGATTTTCCCAGCTCCCACACCGAAAAATATTCCTCAAGGTGCCCCAGTAAAACAGAAGACAGTGGCTGAGCTGGAAGCTGAAAAAGCAGCTACCATTACACCCTTCAGGAAGACAATGTCAACGGCTTCTGCATATACAGCAGGTGAGGATACCATTTACCAGGGTTTAGTCTTGATTGTTTGATTTTGCAAGTTATATATATATATATCTATAGATATATGTGTAGCTATATATACGTATATATAGATATATATACACATATATATCTACACATCTATCTATCTATCTCTCTCTCTCTCTCTCTCTCTCTCTCTCTATATATATATATATATATATATATATTTTTTTTTTTTTTTTTTTTTTTGAGACGGAGTCTCGCTCTGTCGCCCAGGCTGGAGTGCAGTGGCGCGATCTTGGCTTACTGCAAGCTCCCCCTCCCGGGTTGATGCCATTCTCCTGCCTCAGCCTCCCAAGTAGCTGGGACTATAGGCACCCACCACCACCCCTGGGTAATTTTTGTATTTTTAGTAGAGACGGGGTTTCACTGTGTTAACCAGGATGGTCTCGATCTCCTGACCTCGTGATCTGCCCGCCTCAGCCTCCCAAAGTGCTGAGATTACAGGCGTGAGCCACTGCACCCGGCCTGCAAGTAATATATTAATTGTCAAAATTAGTAAATGAAATGCTGTTGTCTTTTTTGGATTCCATTAGTAATCGGGCCTGACAGACTTGGTTTTTCAGCAACATGTTACTTGTCCCACCTCTACGGAATTGGAGATTACATTTATTGACTCAGTAAATAGAGGCACTGTGCTAAATACTGGAATGAAAGCATGTGAAATAATATGCAGACAATAAACATTTTTCCTGTTATAGAAAGCATTTTAAATGCAGTCATTTATATATATACTAAAAATATACATATATGTATTTTTGAGACAGAATCTTTTTTTGTTGCTCAGGTAGGAGTGCAGTGGTGTGATTACGGCTCACCATAGCCTCAACTTCCTGGGGTTGAGGAAGGAAGCTTCTCACTTCAGCCTCCTGAGTAGCTGGGACTACAGGCGCATGCCACCACGCCCAGCTAATTTTTGTATTTTTTTTTTTTTTTGTAGAGACGGGGCTTCACCGTGTTGCCCAGGCTGGTCTTGAACTCCTGAGCTCAAGTGATCCTCCTGCCTTGGCCTCCCACAGTGCTGAGATTACTTTTATCTACATCAAATGTATTGAGAAGTGATGTATGCCATATTGTGCTGGTGTTAAATGCGTATAAATATAATTACGTTTTTTTCTGTTTTTTATTTTTATTTTTGTGAAATATCAGTTGTGATTATCTGCACACATGGGTAGGACAAGGGAAGCAAAGTTTGCCTTAAAGAATAAATACTACAATATAGGCTATAGCCCCTGAACATTTGACTAACATTTTAAGTTACTCAACTTGTAAACAAATTCAACATTTTCATTTAGATCTCTTTCTTTGTAATTTAACATAAATTCTTTTTTTAAAATTCATCTTTACAAAAACACTAAATAATTTATTGTAAAGTGATGATTAATATTCATTCTGGCTATGCATTGTTGGAGGCTGAAATACGGATATTTGATTTTAAATTGGTTTCTGTCTCAAAGAATGAATTAAAAATGTTTAGATCTATTCAGAGCCAAAACAAAAACAAAACAAAAGCAAACTATAAAGAATTAAGGACCAGCACCAGGCGCATAGAATTCTTGTAGAGTCATCATTCTCCAAATTCCCATGTGAGTCCAGATGTTTTAAAGCTAAACATGTAACTCTCCTTGAATAAAGAGTAAGTCTCAGCAAAATGACTGAAAAAGCCTCTAGTGGTGAACACTGTGAGTAGATAAAGCAGTGTCCCTACTTGCACTTATTTGTTAAAAAAACAAAAGAAATGAGGTTATTGTGTTGTACATGGAACATATTATGAGTAGGATTGTAAATTTCCATTTCTCTTTCAGATTCATAAGGAAATGTAGCAAGGCACATATAATGATTTATTTTTCTCAGTTTCTCTTATATTTCTTGAATCAGGGCATATTGCTTCTTAATATATATGACAGTGGCATATTCCAGTGAATGAAAGGATGAACTTATATGTGTTTTTCTTTATCTTGAACTCCCTCTTTCATATTAAAAATAAGTATTTTTCTTTTATATGTATCAGGAATGTATTTGAACAGCATTCTTCAAAGAATGTGATTTGCTTTCTCTTCTTTTGTCAGCCTTTCTCTTCCTCTGTTATACAGATATAGAAATATAGTCTGACATACGTTACTAAATATATTATAGAAAATACATTAGTTTATTGAATAGTTGATAAGAAAACCTTCAGGTGTATGATGTAATTTTTATCATAGATGCCTAACACAAAAGACTGTGGATTGTGATAAGGTAGTGCTTCTTGACTAATGTGGTCATGATAATAGCTAGCATTTAGTGACTCCTAGGCATTGTGCTAAATACTTCACATGTCTTAGCTCATTTATTTTTTACAAGAATTCAGCAGTGGGTATATTATTATTTTCTCTTCCAGATGAAGACAGAGAGGGTTGATAATTTTACCTATGAAGACACTGAAGCACAGAGAGGTTAAGTAACTTGCCTGAGATGACACAGCTAGGGAGCAGCAGAACCAGGATTCAAACCAGACTGACTTAAGAAAACATATTCTTATTCACAACCCTATGCAACTTCTCTAATTTTTAACTGGAAGACAAAATAGTGTTGTATCTAACTCTCTCACCAGATGGTTAATGGGCTATGCACTGGAACTTTGGATACATGATATGTGGGTAGGAAAATAAATTAAAACTACAGTCATATTGAATGATTTAATGTAAAATTAATGTCAATCCCTAGATATTCCAGTGGTGCCACTTCCAAAGTAATAGTTTACATCAAGGAAAAAGGTACCTTATTCAGGAAAGTTAACTTCTAGTTCCCTGGTCACCCACTGTCATTTTCTTTTTACTGACCACTAGGTAACACTTTCTTCTGTTGCAGAACAACTGTCCACATGTTTGCTATCAAGGAAGGCGATAATTAAAGATGTATGTTCAGAGCTGTTTGTATTCTGCACATTCTTAATTTAATTTGTATTTTTTTTCCTTTTGTTTGTAAAATCCTGTTTGCTGACTTGGTGTTGAGGCTGGAGCTGACTGCCCTGGCCAACAGTCCAGTCCAGATTCAGGAGCAATTGCAAAATTTGTGTCCCGGGTGGGTGGAAGCCATATGTTTTGGGGAGGTGCTGGAGTGAATGAAATTCTTCCTACTCTTTTAAAACCCCTATTCCTCAGCCAAATCTGAGAGTGACATAAAATTGCCTTCATAAAAGTCTTGTCTTATAAAGGTTGTGTCTTGCCCAAGTAGAAAATGCTTTGGTAGATCCTCTGTAGGCCTGTAATCGGGAATAAAAATGCTTATATAAACACATGTGGCATTGTTAATAAAAGTTAAAACAGGGAAGAGGACAAACTACACAGAGGAAAATGTGCAAATTGTTATTAGTGTGACTCATAAATATTACTAGATCTTTATAGCTTATTTTGGGGGGGTGGTCAGAAAGTTGGGTTTTGTCCACAGTATTCCTCCATCCCCCCACTTCTCAACTGTCAAATGTCTAAAAAATCTGCTCATTACTGGCAAGGGAGTGGAATTTAAAAGCATTGGCTATTCCACATATTTATGTATGTGCTTTTAATCTTACTGAGATAACTGGATGTCAGCTCAAACACACTCTTTACTCTCTTTCTCTAGGTCTCACAGGGATACTGGGTTTGGGCATTGCGGCTCCCAATCTAGCCTTTTCTCAGATGGTGACCACTTTTGGCTTGGCTGGCATTGTGGGGTATCATACCGTCTGGGGAGTGACCCCTGCTCTCCACTCACCACTGATGTCTGTGACAAATGCAATCTCAGGTTTGTTCCTCTCTTGTTTTTCCTCATCTCAGGTTTTCATAGGGTTACTCAGCTCTAGGAGGACTATCAATGCCGTTTATAAAGTGTGTTTTCAAGTTGTTTTGCTTGGCATCTGAGTCATCTGCTTTGGTGATCTAAGGGCTCCCAGACTCTGAGAGGGTATGGGATATGGGCCTGCAGAGTAAGAGGCCGTGGGAGTGTGTCAGCTCTTTGGGCTGCTCCCATTTCAAGCAGTGCAGAGCCACTGTTATTTCTTCCAAGTTTGATCCTTTTTTTTTTTTTTTAAAGAAAAGGATTCCACTGATAAAATTTGAAAACCAGTGTTCCACAGAATCATAGCTGCAACATCCTATAGGGCTCTCCTTGGATTCAACTCAGCATTCAGCCTAGCAAGGCTACAATAGGCCCCATGTGGCATCAGGTTCACCATGAAGCTATGGGACAGGAAAACACAGCTTTCCAGTGAGGTGGCATCAGGCATTTCTCTTTGGTGCCGGTCTTTTCAGCAGTTCATGCAGCAGTCCATGTGGTTGCCCAGGATCTATTCTCTTTGTCCCCTAGCAATGGGTCAGATATGAGAGAATGAGTCCTACATTGGACAAGCATAGGAGCTGTCCTGGCTTGAAAGCCTCAGGGCCAATAGTCATCTTTTATAACATTGCCATAGGCACAGCTTCGAGGATCTCTGCAGGGAACATGTCTAGCTCCAAGAGGTGCTGTAGTCAGGAAAACCCAAAGCTAGGCATCCCCAGCAGGCATTTACAGTTCATGAATACTTTCTTCCAGTTTACATGCAAATTATCTACCAGGGTCACTTTTTAACCATAAGCAATGTTGTCTATAACACTGGTGGATTTATATCTGTATTAGAGGAACATCGCTAGAAAGTTAAAAGAAAGTCCAATTCCAATGCAGAAGGAGAAAAAGTTTTGTTAACCCTTTTCCCACAGTAGTAATTTCAGTGAGAATGATGTGAAGATGTGTTGTCAACAGTCTGCATAAGCAAAATTGTTTATTTCATTTTAATGAGGGTGTAAGAAAGCTGCCTTGTTTTTTAATATTGAGAACTTTACCCTCTATGAATCTATGTATGTGAGGTACTTCAGCTATGATATTTGATTTGGTGGTGTCACTATCACTATTAACCATGTTAATGCTTTCTTTCTAGGGCTGACTGCAGTTGGTGGGTTGGCACTGATGGGAGGACATTTGTATCCTTCCACAACTTCTCAGGGCCTTGCTGCTCTTGCTGCATTCATATCCTCTGTCAACATTGCAGGTATGATGTCAGTGAAAGGTCTCAGTACTATTTTCAATGGAGACATACAAAGCAAATATAAATCCATATAAAATAGACATAATTGTGCCTTCAAAAAATGTTTCACTCTGACCGTAAATGCTCTTTTTGCAGGAAAATTAGTTATTTTGCCCATCTGTAATTTTTAGAAACTCTTGATAAAAGAACAACCCCCAGATCCCCAAAACAAACAAACAAAATGATGTCTTGCTACAAGTTAACTGGAAAGTTATTGAATGCATAGTTTTGAAGTTGGGTTAGAGCTATCACCGTAACATCTATAAATTAGTATAATTTTAGATAAAATTTTAGTCTTTTGCCTTATCCCAGCCAGGGTTTGTTACTGGAAACTGAAAGCCTAGCACATCACTCATGTGTGAGACTCATTTGATGCTATTTTGTAGCTAACAATTCTTTAATGTGTCCAAGAAACCTGGTGCCTGTTGATATGGTATTTTTTTCTTTTATAATTTATTATAGGGTTTTACAAATGTAACAACCTACTAGGAAAAGATACCAATCTTTGATCTTTCACATTCTCAAGCTTTTTGAATGGCTTTTTTTTCCTTTTAGTCATGCAGAAATAGTTTTGCATTCTGATAGCAAGTTTTCTTCCTGAATATATTTAGTGTTTTTTCCCCCACCTCTCTAATGGAACTGGCTTGAGTAATAGAATGACTTTAAATTTTGGCTGGGCACGGTGGCTCACACCTGTGATCCCAGCACTTTGGGAGGTCAAGGCGGGTAGATCACCTGAGGTCAGGAGTTCGAGACCAGCCTGGCCAACACGATGAAACCCCCCTCTCTACTAAAAATACAAAAATTAGCCCAGCATAGTGGCGCGAGCCTATAATCCCAGCCACTCGGGGGGCTGAGGCAGGAGAATAGCTTGAACCTGGGAGGCGGAGATTGCAGTGAGCCAAGATCGTGTCACTGCACCCTAGCCTGGTCAACAGAGTGAGACTCCATCTCAAAAAAAAAAATTTGAGGTTGCAAAATGTTACTTTAAATTATATTTGTTCCTAGGTGATAAAGATGTGCTTAAAACAGAAAAATTGTAGCACTTTAAAAAATCATGTTGCTCAGTGAGCTCAAAGAGGTACTATGTTTTTTATTTCCTTTGGTTTGCTAAGGTGGCTTTCTGGTGACTCAGAGAATGCTGGACATGTTCAAGCGTCCCACTGACCCCCCAGAATACAACTACCTGTACCTGCTCCCTGCCGGCACCTTTGTTGGTGGATATTTAGCTGCCCTCTACAGTGGTTATAACATTGAACAGGTAAGATGCTCTTTGTAAGTTTTTATATTTACCACAATATTTTCTTCTCTATTAGATTTAACATTGTTAGTTATCCTAATTCAAAGTATCGAGCAAATACAACTCTGTCAAGCAAATACAACAATAACCCTAGAAACATCTTGGTCAAACTGAGCATTCTCTTCCCCTAAGGATCAGGACCCTGGATTCTAGAGACAGATTTTTCTGGTAACTGAGTTTAAATATGGGTTTATGTCTTTGTTTTGATACATTTTTCCACATGTAAGAGGAGTTAAGGTTATCAGTATCTTCATTATGTATCTAGCTAGATTGCGGTGGATTTATAATGAAACAATACAAAATTTGAAAAATTATTATTAAGTACTATTAGTTCTTTTCCTATTCTTCCTCTACAAATCCAGCACATCATCTCTTGCTACTAAGAGATGTTATATATTCATAAAAAAATCCATAAAGAAAAGGATAGTTTAAACTTAATGTTGTATAGAAAAACAGAAATAATCCAGCTGGACTTTGAAAGTTCCAACTTGTAATATAACAGACCTTCAGCTTTGTTCTGAACTCTGTATTTTCTATTTCTTTTCAATGGCTGTCTTTTAGTTTCTTCTATGTTTCCAACCTGCAGTATTTATTGAATGAACAATTTTTTTTTTTTTTTTGAGAAGAGTTGGAGCAGTGAGTCAGAAAGACCTTAGTCTGAATTCCAGATTTCCAATTTATTGATCATTTGCCTTGGAGAAAATATGCAACTTCTTTAAGCTTTGATTCTGTCTTTTGCAAAATGAGGATAATGATTTTTCCCTCTTGTGGATCTCATGACACTGTGACAACACAAATAAAACATGTGGCAAAGCCCCTGGCACTTACCTCAGGGGTTGGCTCTTTTACAGCATTTGGTCAGGTTTAGTATTTTTAGATCCAGTAATGACTCCATTTAAATTTAGGTACTTTTATGTGTATTTGTGCATGATAGCAAATCCAGAAAAAATCAATTTATATAAATGGTATAAGTGCAAATACAATATAAGTATTTAATATGTTAATATTCCTAATTGGCAGGAAAATATATTGAAATCTCTAAGCTAATAGACCAAAGGTTTTAATAATCTCTCTCTCACTTTTCCTTTGAAAAGATCATGTACCTAGGCTCGGGTTTGTGCTGTGTCGGTGCCTTGGCTGGCCTCTCCACCCAGGGAACAGCACGTCTTGGCAATGCACTGGGCATGATTGGGGTTGCTGGAGGACTGGCAGCCACCCTCGGAGTCCTAAAACCGGGCCCAGAATTACTAGCTCAGATGTCTGGAGCGATGGCTTTGGGTGGTACCATTGGTAAGCACTTGTGGGCTTCTGCCTTCATGTGAACTCCAGTTTCTCAATATATATTTCTAAGGTCCATATTGATGAAATAATTAAATTTTGTTCATGGAAGTTGCTTCAGTTAATATTATTTTGGTGAAAATTCATTCCAGTTGGTGTAATTCTCATTCAAATACATTTTAGAACACTGAATAAATGCATCAACTGAGTCAAAATATCCTATACTCAATTCTTATCTTCCTTTACTGACTGTGTCCCGTTAGCTGATAATGGAATGGGGGATTGGAATCCTTATGTATGTACTATACATAAGCTAACTTTTGTTCTGCTGGGTATAAATAACAGCCAAAGATTCTGCTTCATAGACCTGTTAAAAATGAAAAAAAAAAAAAAAAACATGTGCCAGCAGAAAAACTACTGTTTTAATTTTATTCAGTTGTTTGCTGGATTGTTAAATTTTCAGGAATTTTTAGGCTGGGCATGGTGGCTCAGACTGTAATCCCAGCACTTTGGGAGGCTGATGTGGGTGGATCACTTGAGGCCAGGAGTTTGAAACTGGCCTGGCCAACATGGTGAAACCCCGTCGCTATTAAATATACAAAAATTAGTTGGGCATGGTGGCGTACAACTGTAATCCCAGCTTCTTGGGTGGCTGAAGCATGATAATCGCTTGAACCTGGGATGTGGAGGTTGCAGTGAGCTGTGATCATGCTGCTGCACTCCAGCCTGGGTGACAAAGCGAGACTCTGTCTCAAAAAAAAAAAAAAAATTTTTTTTCCAGGAATTTTTAAAGTTGATTGTTAAACACAGCCATTATTAAATACTAAATTACATAAACTTAAATGAATCAGAAACAAAGTTAATAATATTAAAAACTCGTAACTTTCTAATTAATTTACTAGGTTTTATTGTCTATGCTCTTGAGGTTACTTATGTCTATTGTATGTGTATAGAAGAAATACTATGTATCAGTGGGCTGTGGTACATCTCTTTCCAATTCTACATTCAATGACATCACATTGGTAGATTGAAATTTGACTTGGTAGCAGTATTGCAGTGTGGAAATAAGCAAACGCTACAAATCTGGGCTTGATTTATTGTTTTGTTTATTGTCCAGACGTGAGAAAGTGATGGAGAAAATGTTAATGATGCAGCTTAAACTTGAGATGTTTTGACTGTAGCTGTGACATTGTGAATAGCACAAATAATTGAGCAAATAATCTTCCAGTATTTGAAAACTATTATCAGATTCAGCAATAAAGTCATTCATATGGTTGATAAATGAGTGAAGTTCTCGCATACATTCTGTTGTTTTACTTTCGTCTTACTTATTAAAGCAAATAAAAATATCAAACAATGTTCCTGTTGGAAGTATGCTTGTTCATCAGTTGCAAACACTAGGTTGGCTACAGATGTAAGAGTTTAGCAAAGATCCATAAAAACATTCTTTGAAAGTCAATTTGTCTACATGGAATTTTCAGTAAAGAGCACTATTTCTTATTATTTGAAAATTGTGTGCTAGCCACCTTTATATCAGTTAAAGCTCATGTATTTGTATGTGCATGTATTTTTTTCCCCTGGAACTGGTTATTAAATGTTTCCCAGTGGAACACTGGCTTTAGGCCTCCTTTTATACTTCCTCAGGAAAGCTTTGACTCTTTTCTTGATAATCTCTGGGGAAAGGGACTTGAAGGAAAATGTTTGCTCTGTAGGTTCATGGCAGGAAAACCTTTAGACATGATCTTAGCAAATATTCTGAGCCCCACTCCTTCTGTATCACCTACCTATAGCCATGCAGTTCCTTCAGAGGCTCCTAATTTGGGTATTTACTGCCCAGATTTTTGCATTTCTTTACCTTGGGACTTTGCTCCCACCTACCCACCTGAAAACCAAGGTCTTCTTCATGTTCCAGGTGTTTCTTATGTGCTCAGGAGAAAGCACTGGCTATAGAGAAGAGGGCCTGGGTTGCAATGGGGAGAATATAAGGGAATTTGATTAGAGATTTAGGTAGTCTGAAGAAGTGTTGGCTAGGGGAAGGTTGGGAGTTTGTGACGGGAAGAGGCACGCATTGATGCTGGGTGTTCATTGGAGTTGGGTCGTGCTTAGGTGTGTGGAGAAAAACTGCTGTTTTGAAAGGGTATACAAGTTGAGCATCTTTAATCCGAAAATCCAAAATGCTCCAAAATCCAAAACTTTTTGAGTGCTGACATGACATCACAAGTGGTGAATTCCACACATAAATACTTAACACAAACTTTGTTTCAAGCACAAAATAATTTAAAATGTTGTTTAAAATTACTTTCAGGCTATATATATATGAAACATAAATGAATTTTGTGTTTAGACCTGGGTCCCATTCCCAAGATATCTTATTATGTATATGAAAATATTCCAAAATTAAAAAAAATTAAAATCTGAAACACTTCTGGTCCCAAGCATATCAGATAAGGGATACTCAACCTGTATACAACTAGTGCCCTTACCTTCTGTACAGCCCCTGTAGAGAATATTTAGCCCGTACTAGGAACTAGATAATATTTATTTGTGACAATGGTGGAAATCCTTAAGGGTGATCTTTGTTGTGGTTACTTCTCAAAAGTTTGTCAAGTTTTAATTTATTTTTGACCTTTCATAACAGGATTGACAATTGCCAAACGCATCCAGATTTCTGATTTACCTCAATTAGTTGCTGCTTTTCACAGTTTAGTGGGTTTGGCAGCTGTACTTACTTGCATAGCTGAGTACATTATAGAATATCCACATTTTGCTACGGATGCAGCAGCAAATCTCACCAAGATTGTGGCCTACCTCGGCACTTACATTGGTGGCGTCACCTTTAGTGGGTCTCTCATTGCCTATGGAAAATTGCAGGGTAAGTGATTCAGCATAACATAGAGGTAAATATCTACTGTTTAGGGCATTTAGGGATCCATTTTAATTTCAGAAAATACATTAACAGGGCTGGGCGCAATGGCTCATGCCTGCAATCCAGCACTTTGGGAGGCTGAGGTGGGAGGCTCTCAAGCCCAGGAGTTCAAGACCAGCCTGGGCAACATAGCGAGACCCTATCTCTACTTTTTATAAAAAATAAAATATTACTACTAATAAAAAAGATTAAAAAAAATGCCTTAACAGTAAAACTGTTAGGTGAAGAGTATTCGTATAGCACTCAGAAATTGTAAGAGTTTTTTTCCCCTCATCCTTCCCCTTTATTGATACTTAGTAAGTCTCATAAAGCTTTGAAGCTGTTTCATTTGCAGACAGCTAATGGAGGAAATTAGTGAACAGAAATTTGCATGGAGGGACTAGTTGACTTTTGATAATATATGTGAACTAAACAGCATCCTCATAATCCTTGGTTAGAGATGACTGTGTAGAATTCACAGAAATGAACTTTATGTATTTTCTTACAACACATTCTGAATTGTAACTACTATGTGCTTGGCTCTAGGTCTCCTGAAATCTGCCCCTCTCCTACTGCCTGGAAGGCACTTACTCAATGCAGGCTTACTGGCTGCTAGTGTGGGCGGGATAATCCCATTCATGGTGGACCCAAGCTTTACTACTGGCATCACCTGTCTGGGTTCAGTGTCTGCTCTCTCTGCTGTCATGGTAAGAAGTCAGAGATTGAAAAGTACATATTTGGTGAAGAACTGGGAATATTTTGTTAGATTAAAGTGTAATCATATTTTTATCTCTTCAAGAACCTTGATGGAATAAAAATGTTTTAAAATTACGTCACATGTGCATCTTTTTAGAATCTGGAAAACATAGAAGAGTGTAGGAAGAACATTATTCTTTCTTGCAACTTAATTGTTCATTTTAAAGTTGTCACATGAGACACCTTTATTGCTCTGGAGTCTTTTCACCGGATCAATGTGTTGGTGAACAGGAGCTTAAAAAGGCCAAGGGTTTCAATGTATTAGGTGCCTACTATATGACAAGCCCTACAAAATAGTGCTTCGGGGTTTATACAATACAAGTAAGATAGTCTCTGCCCACCAGTTGCTCTTACATCATTGGAAGATATGACACGAAATCAAATAAGTATAAAATGAAATGCAGTTAAAAAACCCTGTATGCTCAGTGAGAGTATTCAGTGAAGGCTTTTATGATAGGTTTGGCTTTCTTCTTTCTCTGCAATTTTTATATTTAGTGTATTGAAACACACAGTAGTTTTTAGTTGTCTATGTGACAGTCTGGCATCTTATATCAATGTATGATGCTGTTTTATGCAGCGCTATTTACTGTTATTCACTGTTACTCATGTTCTTTCAGTGTGTAATCCGTAGACAAGGTTTATATTTAAGTTAAAAAAATTATCTACAGTAACTAACACAAAGTTAGACACATAGCAATTGCTTATGAAATACTTACTGGCTCCTTGATTGAGAAACACCTAATTTATAGTGTAAAAATGATACTTATTTTTGTGTGATCATGGCAGTTAGGTCATGATTTTAACACAGAAATTTTAGAACACTGAAAAGTAAATTAAAATCTCATCTTTATATTCACACTCATGGTCTAATTTTATTCTGGCTTATTGCACTGGTTTTTGTTTTAAACAAAAGAAAAATAATTTTGATATTTTTAATCTAATAAAGCAGAATAGGTTGATGAAGTCTCAAAATAAAAGATATACAAATGTGATTGGGTGAGGTGGCTCATGACTGTAATCCCAGCACTTTGGGAGGCCGAGGTGGGTGGATCACCTGAGGTCAGGAGTTTGTGACTAGCCTGGCCAGCATGGTGAAACCCCGTCTCTACTAAAAATACAAAAATAAGCCGGGTGTGGTAGTCTGCGCCTGTATTCCCAGCTGCTCGGGAGACTGAGGCAGGAGAATCGCTTGAACCTGGGAGGCGGAGGTTGCAGTGAGCCGAGATCATGCTATTGCACTCCAGCCTGGGTGACAAAGCAAGACTCTGTCTCAAAAAAAAAGAAAGAAAAAAAGATATACAAATCTAAAACTTTAAGAATTGTTGTTTTTGGGAAGCAGTGACTATGATATTTAAAGGATTTATTGGTTCTATGAGAATGTCTGACTAAGACAAAGTATTTTTTGAATTTATTTTATTGCTTTTGGCTTAAATGAGTAATACATGAATATGCTCTCATTGTAACAAACAAAAAAAGGTAAAAACATGTGAAATAAAAAGCAAAAAGCTTTTTCCTTTCATGTGTTTAGTAATTTCGAGTTGTATCACGGACATTGTTAATGATACATTATAGACATTTTGGATGTTATGTTATATTCCTTCAAAGGGTATTGATTATTATTATTTATTTATGTGTTTTTGTAGCCAGCTAACTTGGCTAAACTCAAATTCCAAATTTTGACTCCCTTATGGTGGGTGGTGGGGGGCAGCTGAAATCTATTGTTATTTTATCCTTAACAGGATTGCTTGGAGTCTGTCTCACATATGTGTAGTTCAAGAGTCATCCAGAGATTTGAGTAGAATTTATAAACAGAAACTGGGACTCCTTCCCTCTAGCCTGCTTCTTTGTGGGATTCCCCTTATTACTTTCCAGCTGCCTTAGTCATCTCAAATGCTATCTTCAGGATCTTCAAGTCAGTAAGACTGTGGGCTTATATTTTATAATTTCCTTAACTGGTACCAACAGGGGATTGCCCTCAGTCTAAAGCCATAAAAACTGGGAAATTCACTTAGTGTCATTGTATTTTTCCAAATGTAGACGCTTCTCCAGTTTCTGCCTGCTTTTCATCACTGAAAAGTGTTTTTTTAAAATGTAGGGATTTTTTTTTAGGGGGGTGGGTGGCTCAGTGTTTATAGTTGTTATACCTGTGGAAGTGTTGGTCAGATGGGAGACACTTATTACCGGAAGTGGAACTTATATGTAAATATATTAATGGGAAAACTAGAATAATTAAGGAGCAAAATGTTAAATGTCAGAGGTTTTATTTTTATGTTATTAATTTTGAGTTCTGATTTGATTGTTGTTCTAGGGTGTGACTTTGACAGCTGCTATTGGGGGTGCTGACATGCCCGTCGTTATCACTGTGCTGAACAGCTACTCAGGCTGGGCCCTGTGTGCAGAGGGCTTCCTGCTCAACAACAATCTGCTGACCATCGTGGGTGCACTCATAGGCTCGTCTGGTGCTATCCTGTCATACATCATGTGTGTGGTAAGAAACAACACATACATGAAACAAAAGGAAATGGCTTCCTGAAAACATGGATGTGCATGTCATTTCTTTTATTACCCATAAAAATGAATATTGTAGGCTGGGCATGGTAGCTCACACCTGTAATCCCAGCACTTTAGGAGGCCAAGGCAGGTGGATCACGAGCTCAGGAGTTCAAGACCAGCCTGCCCAAGATAGTAAAACCCTGTCTCTACTAAAAATACAAAAATTAGCCAGGCGTGGTGGTGGGTGCCTGTAATCCCAGCTACTTGGTAGGCTGAGGCAGAGAATTGCTTGAACCCAGGAGGCAGAGGTTGCAGTGACTGAGATCATGCCACTGTACTCCAGCCTGGGTGACATAGCGAGACTCCATCTCAAAAGAAAAAAAAAAGAGTATGGTAGCTTTGAATTCTCTTCAGCAGACATAGCAGAGTATTTCATTTGCATAAATTTCCAAGACTGCCTTTAAGGTACCCAACTGTAAATAATTAGGAAAATTAAATAGAAAGATGAAAATCTTCTAGTGCCTCTCTCCATCTGGAGATAAACAGGTAAGATTTTGGTTTATTTCCTTATGTATGGCATATCTGTGTATTTACTTGTCTGATCGTGTTGTATATTGTCCTACATTTAAAAAAACTTATATACTATATTGTTGACTTTTTGTCATTAAAAATTCTTTTAAAATATTATTTTAAGAGACTTTATCGTGATCCATCATATGGATATACAAAATTTATTTAATTTGCCCTTAATGCTATACATATGAAGTTGTTTGATTTTGATTTCTCTTTGTACATATCTTTGACATTTCAGATTTTTGTCTTAAGATAGATTCCTAGAATTTATAGGCTCATTATACTTATAGCCATGTTTCTGGAAAGGTTGTTCTAATTTACACTCCTGTTGGTCATCTGTGAGAGTTTCTACCTTAGAAGTTTTGTGGTCAGCATGATGGTTTTTTAAAAGAACAGAAAAAAGTAACAACACTAATACTTCCTAGCTTTTCTGTTTGTTTCAAGTTCTCTTCTTGATGGCAAGAAGATGTTCTGCAAATATTATAATTAAAGGTTTGAGTAGAACTTTTTTTTTCAAATTATGGATGTTATTTTCTAAATAATAATGAAACTAAATGAAAGCAGAACGTGATTTTACACTGATAAATAATTTAGACAAGAAAGGGATCTGTATTAGTCCATTCTCACACTGCTGTAAAGAACTACCTCAGACTGGGTAATTTATGAAGTAAAGAGGTTTAATTGACTCACAGCTCCACAGGCTTAACAGGAAGCATGACTGTGAGGCCACAGGAAGCTTACAATCATGGCAGAAGGTGAATGGGAAGCAAGCACATCTTACCATAGCGGAGAAGGGGAGAGAGTGAAGGGGGATGTGCCACACACTTTTAAAGCACCAGATCTCGTGAGAACTCACTAGCATAAGAACAGCAAGGCGGAAGTCAGCCCCCATAATCCATCACCTTCCACCAGGTCCCCCCGTGGCATGTGGGGATTACAATTCGACATGAGATTTGGGTAGGGACTCAGAGCCAAACCATATCAGATACTTACTCTACCTTCATTCTTTTATTATAATATTTTAAAAAACTCGCTTATTTTACAACTCAGGATTTTTCTTATGATTTAACTGAAAATCTCATTGTAATTTGGAAGGCTGAAGTATCTTTTCATAGTAAAAAATATTTTTGTTTCTTAGGCTATATTGCAAAACAAAGGATTTGATAGCCCAAATTCAAAACAAGCTAAGGGGTTTTAAAATTAAATAGCCTAAATTACCTGGGGAATTTGGAAAGGTGAAGGTTTATGTATCCTATTTGAAAAGTGTCAGGCTTTGTGACAGAAAGAAGAAACATTTGTGAAGAAGAAATGTTTATGAAATTGTACTAGAAATACAGTTTTCTGTAAAAGTAAACTTTTAACCCTTAGTTTGATTTTGCTTCAGTTGATGAATTTGAATGACCAGCAGGGGGCAGCAGATTTTCATTATTACTTAAACTTGCGGTTTGTCAGAAAGTGGCTTTTATTTATTTATTTATTTATTTATTTATTTTTATTATACTTTAAGTTTTAGGGTACATGTGCACATTGTGCAGGTTAGTTACATATGTATACATGTGCTATGCTGGTGCGCTGCACCCACTAACTCGTCATCTAGCATTAGGTATATCTCCCAATGCTATCCCTCCCCCCTCCCCCCACCCCACCACAGTCCCCAGAGTGTGATATTCCCCTTCCTGTGTCCATGTGATCTCATTGTTCAATTCCCACCTATGAGTGAGAACATTCGGTGTTTGGTTTTTTGTTCTTGTGATAGTTTACTGAGAATGATGATTTCCAATTTCATCCATGTCCCTACGAAGGACATGAACTCATCATTTTTTATGGCTGCATAGTATTCCATGGTGTATATGTGCCACATTTTCTTAATCCAGTCTATCATTGGTGGACATTTGGGTTGGTTCCAAGTCTTTGCTATTGTGAATAGTGCCGCAATAAACATATGTGTGCATGTGTCTTTATAGCAGCATGATTTATAATCCTGTGGGTATATACCCCAGTAATGGGATGGCTGGGTCAAATGGTATTTCTAGTTCTAGATCCCTGAGGAATCAGAAAGTGGCTTTTAAAGTTAAATGGGAGGATTTGAAGGATTTGAATGTTAACAAAGCCTATGGCATGCTGATATGGGGAGAGGAGGGAAGAAGACTTGTTTCTAGTTCTTGAAATGTCAGCATGGGTAATTTCTCATTTTATCCTTTTTTAAAAATGGTTTTCTTTAGGTTTTTAAATTTATAAAGAGTATTCCCCACATTTCTGTCTGTGTCTCTCTTATTACTCTCTTTTTCCTTCTTCACTTAGTGTCTTTTATTATTATTAGTTATAGCAACCATAGTAAGTCTTACAGTAACTCTTCTGTAACACTAGAATAAGGTAGTAAGAGGTACTTGTTGAAAGTACTCTCTTCTACGTGTTCTGCAATTATATCATCTTTCTCTTATTTTTCTTACTCTTTTATTTTTTTGATATGTTTTCTCTAGGTCTTCTATTTCTTTTCTTTCCATTTCACTGCCACAGGCATGCCACTTACCATCAGCATTCCATAGATATTTTGTACTCCTATTCTGTATATAGAACTACCAAATTATTCCGATAGCTGCCTGAGACCATAAATATCATATTGGGTCAGATTAATAATTCGGATTCAAGAACAGTTTAAGTTTTAATTAAAAAAAAAATTCTGGCCAGGCGCCGTGGCTCATGCCTGTAATTCTAGCACTTTGGGAGGCTAAGGCAGGTGGATCAATTGAGTCCAGGAGTTCAAGACCAACCTGGGCAACATGATAAAACCCTGTCTCTACAAAAAATATAAAAGTTAGCTGGGCATGGTGGCACATGCCTATAGTCCCAGCTACTTGGGGGGCTGAGGCAGGAGGATGACCTGAACCTGGGGAGGTTGAGGCTGCAATGAGCTGTGATTGTACCACTGGACTGCAGCCTAGGAGACAGAGTGAGACCCTGTCTCAAAAAAAAAAAAAAAAATTCCAATTAGTTAAAGATGTTTAATGTAGGAAATTTGGAAGAATCAGAAAAGGATAAATAAAAAAATAAAATCACCTAAACTTCCATTACCACTTAACTATTAACATTCTAGTCTTTTTTATATGAATGTTTAAATACATTCTATTTAATATATTATGTAATTGTCTAACCTTAATTTTAATTAAGGTTTAATTAATGTTTAATTTTCTAATAATTTTTAGCTCCTAGTATTATAGCAAACAGATATTACCATAGTCTATTTATTCAAATTCATATTAGTTGTTTTTAACTTTCTTTTTTTCTTGGTTGCAGTTTTCCTTCTTCTACATCCTTGATTATTTCCTTAGGTCCAGTTTTTATAAGTGCAATTACATGGTCAAAGGGAGTAAGAACTTTTTGTTGGCTTTTGATATTACTAAATTGATCTTCACAAAGGATTCACCAGTCAAAGCTCTTACTTGTGATGTGCAATGTGTTTGTCTTACTGTATGATCTCTACTCCTAGGCATTGTTACAAAACAAGTCAGAAACCAACAAATACAAGCCTGTCATATTTTTCGATTTTGAAGATGGAAATTATCTTTTCTTCTACAATTTTCTGATTTCTCACTTTTTACATTAACCTTCGTTGATAAACCTTCTTTATGCTTCTTTATTATAGGAAATTATAGGAGATTTATTCAGTTTCTTCATGGCTGTGCTTAGCGGCTCTAGGTAGATCGGTATAATCATAAAAATGAAATAGCTACTTAAAATTGGCCATTAGTGCAACGTAGCAGGCATTATGCTGGGTGCTTTACAAAATATAGCTCATTTAATCCCCGCACAAATTCTGGAGGTAGGAAATATTATTCTCATTTTACTGAGAAAGTATTGTAAGGCACCATTTATTATTCACCTTTGTGTTTGTGGAGTTTGGCCAAGTACCTGGCACATTCACACAAATTGGTTTGTTAAATGAACATTAGAGAAATATTTTATTTGTTAACTTATTTCATGTTTTAGAATCTTCTCCAGATAGACTATGATAGCAGATATAGCAGAGTTAATATGGTACCAGTATGTTGACCTTCACTCTTATTTATTGAAGGAAACACACAAGTCCAAACTAGAACAGGGTGATTTTATTATGTGTGAGGGAATGGAATGCACCCCAAGTGGCTAACCAGCAATCCCTAAAATTGAATTTTTGTTCTGTTGGGTGTCCTCTGAGCTCAGTGCTATGGTTACACAATACCCAAGATTATAAAAACTGAAAAATGTTGTCAGTGTCCAAACAACCAATTCAAATGAATGATATCCAAATATCATATAGACATTAACCTCTTTATGATTTTACAGTTTCTTTGTTTGTGATAGTATCCAGATTGCCTCAGAAATAGAGGTCTTACAAAAATTGAACAGCATTTTCAGATCGAATTTTCTGATTTTTGCACTTTGCTGCTTGGTTCCAAATAAAAATAGAACAGAATGAAGTGGATCAAAAGCCAAATCAAAAATATTTTTTCCTTTGTGATTAATTAATTAGTATCTACAAAGCATTGAAATGAGAGATGCTAGTAAATGGTATATATGTTATTATTGCTTTGGCTTTGTCAGTTTTATGACCTTTCTTTGGCTTTCAGATTTATTTCTTACAGTGTATTCAGAATTATGTGAATTAGGATTCTCTTTAATGTAGAATGCAATTTTAATTATTGGCTTAATAGCTTAAAATGAACAGTCTTAAACAGTCTTGCAAATTCTTTGTCTTGGAAGCTGGGAACTGTTCAATCTCTGGAACAGTGGTCATAGGATAGTCTCATTAATCATTTAAGCCGGCAAAAAAAGAAAAAAGAAAAAAAGAGAAAGAACCAAAACAAAACCATAAATGCTAAACATTTGTTGAGAATGTGATGTTGCAATGGTAAATTTAGAGATAAAAATAATTTCGTTTTTAAGAGACCACATGGAATTGTTATAGCTTAATGGTGATGTAATTGTGGATACATGTTTAACAAGTTGACTATGATGGTTAAACTACTGTGTGGTTCCTTTTTTTTCTCCCTAAGATGCCATCAGAAGTGGGTACCCATTAATTAAATGTCCTCAGAGATTCTTTCCTTCTTCTTCATTCAGTTTTATAGGAGGAAATAATGGTTCCTTTTAAGCCGAGTTAGAATAAAATGGTTTATTTATCCCTCTCCTCTGTCCCTCTACATCTGTACAGCGGTACATCTACTGCTGTGATCTTCTGCAGGACTGTGTAATAAGGGTGATGAAACCTCTTTGTTCACTGGATTTTTTTTTCTGGTATTTTATTTATTTATTTATTATTATTATTATTATTATTTTTTAGTATTTATTGATCATTCTTGGGTGTTTCTCGGAGAGGGGGATTTGGCAGGGTCATAGGACAATAGTGGAGGGAAGGTCAGCAGATAAACATGTGAACAAAGGTCTCTGGTTTTCCTAGGCAGAGGGCCCTGCCGCCTTCCACAGTGTTTGTGTCCCTGGGTACTTGAGATTAGGGAGTGGTGATGACTCTTAACGAGCATGCTGCCTTCAAGCATCTGTTTAACAAAGCACATCTTGCACCGCCCTTAATCCATTTAACCCTTAGTGGACACAGCACATGTTTCAGAAAGCACCGGGTTGGGGGCAAGGTCATAGATTTACAGCATCCCAAGGCAGAAGAATTTTTCTTAGTACAGAACAAAATGGAGTCTCCTATGTCTACTTCTTCCTATATAGACACAGTAACAATCTGATCTCTCTTTTCCCCACATTTCCCCCTTTTCTATTCGACAAAACCGCCATCGTCATCATGGCCCGTTCTCAAGGAGCTGTTGGGTACACCTCCCAGACGGGGTGGTGGCCGGGCAGAGGGGCTCACTTCCCAGACGGGGCAGCCAGGCAGAGGCGCACCCCACCTCCTGGACGGGGTGGCTGGCCGGGCAGGGGCTGCCCCCCATCTCCTGGACGGGGCGGCTGCCGGGCGGAGATGCTCCTCACTTCCCGGACGGGGTGGCGGCGGGGCAAAGACGCTCCTCAGTTCCCAGACGGGGTCGCGCCCCGGCAGAGGCGCTCTTCACATCTCAGACGGGGCAGCGGGGCAGAGGCGCTCCCCACATCCCAGACGATGGGCGGCCGGGCAGAGACGCTCCTCACTTCCTAGACCGGATGACGGCCGGGAAGAGGCGCTCCTCACTTCCCGGACTGGGCGGCCGGGCAGAGGGGCTCCTCACATCCCAGACGATGGGCGGCCAGGCAGAGACACTCCTCACTTCCTAGACGGGGTGGTGGCAGGGCAGAGGCTGCAATCTCGGCACTTTGGGAGGCCAAGGCAGGCGGCTGGGAGGGGGAGGTTGTAGCCAGCCGAGAGCATGCCACTGCACTCCAGCCTGGGCAACATTGAGCACTGAGTGAGCGAGACTCCGTCTGCAACCCCGGCACCTTGGGAGGCCGAGGCTGTCAGATCACTTGCGGTCAGGAGCTGGAGACCAGCCCGGCCAACACGGCGAAACCCCGTCTCCACCAAAAAATACGAAAACCAGTCAGGCGTGGCAGCGCGCGCCTGCAATCCCAGGCACTCAGCAGCCTGAGGCAGGAGAATCAGGCAGGGAGGTTGCAGTGAGCCGAGATGGCGACAGTACAGTCCAGCCTCAGCTCGGCATCAGGGGGAGACCGAGCAGAGAGGGAGGGGGAGGGGGAGGGAGAGAAGGAGAGGGAGAGGGAGATCTATTTTTTTTTTTCCTGCCTCAGGTTTATTTGTACAAATAGCACAGGAGGACCCCAGCCCCATGCAGATGGTAGCCCAGGGACGGGGGTGGGGGGTCGCACCAGTCCTTCTGTCCTCACGTTGGCAGAGATATCTACTCTGAAGGCTTTGTAGGGGCCTCGGTACCTTTGGGAGCCTGAGCTGGAACTGAAGCTGGAGCTGCAGCCTGGGCCTTGGTTTGATCCTTGGCCTTGGCCTTTGGCCAGCACAGCCTGGGCCCCTTGGCAATACAGGCACAAACACGCTTCCCAAGCTTGGGGTGGGCAATGTAGGCAAGTGGATCGAGCTTGCGGCTGACACCCTTTGGGATCTTGGGCTTAACCTCCTTGGGCTTTACGAGGGCCTTGATAGCCTGGGCACGTGCACTCATGGCCTTGGCATTGTTGGCCTGCATCTTCTTTAGGCCCTTCTTGTTGTGCTTCTTGGCAAAGTGCATGTTCCTCAGGAACTTGGGGTCCACCCCCTTAAGAGATTCGTATCTTTGTGATCGGGGTTTCTTGATACCATTTCTGTGCCATTTTCGGGACTGGTTGTGTGTAGTGTGGTTCTTGGACTTGGCCATGTCTGCACCTTAAGCTGCCGGTCCCGAAGTGCCTAGAACCCTATTTTTTATTATTATACTTTAAGTTCTAGGGTACATGTGCACAACGTGCAGGTTTGTTACATATGTATACATGCGCCATGTTGGTGTGCTGCACCCATTAACTATTTACATTAGGTATATCTCCTAATGCTATCCCTCCCCACTCCCCCCACCCCACGACAGGCCCTGGTGTGTGATGTTTCCCTTCCTGTGTCCATGTGTTCTCATTGTTCAATTCCCACCTATGAGTGAGAACATGCAGTGTTTGGTTTTTTGTTCTTGCGATAGTTTGCTGAGAATGATGGTTTCCAGCTTTATCCATGTCCCTACAAAGGACATGAACTCATCCTTTTTTATGGCTGCATAGTATTCCATGGTGTATATGTGCCACATTTTCTTAATCCAGTCTATCATTGGTGGACATTTGGGTTGGTTCCAAGTCTTTGCTATTGTGAATAGTGCCGCAATAAACATACGTGTGCATGTGTCTTTATAGCAGCATGATTTATAATCCCGTGGGTATATACCCCAGTAATGGGATGGCTGGGTCAAATGGTATTTCTAGTTCTAGATCCTTGAGGAATCGCCACACTGTCTTCCTCAATGGTTGAACTAGTTTACAGTCCCACCAACAGTGCAAAAGTGTTCCTATTTCTCCACATCCTCACCAGCACCTGTTGTTTCCTGACTTTTTACTGATCGCCATTCTAACTGGTGTGAGATGGTATCTCATTGTGGTTTCGATTTACATTTCTCTGATGGCCAGTGATGATGAACATTTTTTCATGTGTCTTTTGGCTGCATAAATGTCTTCTTTTGAGAAGTGTCTGTTCATATCCTTTGCCCACTTGTTGATGGGATTGTTTGTTTTTTTCTTGTAAATTTGTTTGGTTTAGTTCTTTGTAGATTCTGGATATTAGCCCTTTGTCAGATGAGTAGATTGCAAAAATTTTCTCCCATTCTGTAGGTTGCCTATTCACTCTGATGGTGGTTTTTTTTTTTTTTTGCTGTGCAGTAGCTCTTTAGTTTAATTAGATCCCATTTGTCAATTTTGGCTTTTGTTGCCATTGCTTTTGGAGTTTTATACATGAAGTCCTTGCCATGCCTATGTCCTGAATGGTATTGCCTAGGTTTTCTTCTGGGGTTTTTATGATTTTAGGTCTAACATTTAAGTCTTTAATCCATCTTGAGTTAATTTTTGTATAAGGTGTAAGGAAGGGATCCAATTTCAGCTTTCTTCATATGTCTAGCCAGTTTTCCCAGCACCATTTATTAAATAGGGAATCCTTTCCCCATTTCTTGTTTTTGTCAGATTTGTCAAAGATCAGATGGTTGTAGATGTGTGGTATTATTTCTGAGGGCTCTGTTCTGTTCCATTGGTCTATATCTCTGTTTTGGTACCAGTACCATGCTGTTTTGGTTACTGTAGCCTTGTAGGATAGTTTGAAGTCAGGTAGCATGATGCCTCCAGCTTTGTTCTTTTGGCTTAGGATTGACCTGGCAATGTGAGCTCTTTTTTGGTTCCATATGAACTTTAAAGTAGTTTTTTCCAATTCTGTGAAGAAAGTCATTGGTAACTTGATGGGGATGGCATTGAATCTATAAATTACCTTGGGCAGAATGACCATTTTCACGATATTGATTCTTCCTATCCATGAGCATGGAATGTTCTTCCATTTGTTTGTGTCCTCTTTTATTTCGTTGAGCACTGGTTTGTAGTTCTCCTTGAAGAGGTCCTTCACATCCCTTGTAAGGTGGATTCCTAGGTATTTTATTCTCTTTGAAGCAATTGTGAATGGGAGTTCAGTCATGATTTGGCTCTCTGTTTGTCTGTTATTGGTGTATAAGACTGCTTGTGATTTTTGCACATTGATTTTGTATCCTGAGACTTTGCTGAAGTTGCTTATCAGCTTAAGGAGATTTTGGGCTGAGACAATGGGGTTTTCTAGATATACAATCATGTCATCTGCAAACAGGGACAATTTGACTTCCTCTTTTCCTAATTGAATACCCTTTATTTCTTTCTCCTGCCTGATTGCCCTGGCCAGAACTTCCAACACTATGTTGAATAGGAGTGGTGAGAGAGGGCATCCCTGTCTTGTGCCAGTTTTCAAAGGGAATGCTTCCAGTTTTTGCCCATTCAGTATAATATTGGCTGTGGGTTTGTCATAGATAGCTCTGATTATTTGGAGATACGTCCCATCAATACCTAATTTATTGAGAGTTTTTAGCATGAAGAGTTGTTGAATTTTGTCAAAGGCCTTTTCTGCATCTATTGAGATAATCATGTGGTTTTTGTCATTGGTTCTGTTTATATGCTAGATTACGTTTATTGATTTGTGTATGTTGAACCAGCCTTGCATCCCAGGGATGAAGCCCACTTGATCATGGTGGATAAGCTTTTTGATGTACTGCTGGATTTGGTTTGTGAGTGTTTTATTGAGGATTTTTGCATCGATGTTCATCGAGGATATTGGTCTAAAATTCTCTTTTTTTGTTGTGTCTCTGTCAGGCTTTGGTATCAGGATGATGCTGGCCTCATAAAATGAGTTAGGGAGGATTCCCTCTTTTTCTATTGATTGGAATAGTTTCAGAAGGAATGGTACCAGCTCCTTCTTGTACCTCTGGTAGAATTCAGCTGTGAATCCATCTGGTCCTGGACTTTTTTTGGTTGGTAGGCTATTAATTATTGCCTCAATTTCAGAGCCTGTTATTGGTCTATTCAGGGATTCAGCTTCTTCCTGGTTTAGTCTTGGGAGGGTGTATGTGTCCAGGAATTTATCCATTTCTTCTAGATTTTCTGGCTTATTTGCATAGAGGTGTTTATAGTATTCTCTGATGGTAGTTTGTATTTCTGTGGGATTGGTGGTGATATTCTCCTTATCATTTTTTATTGCGTCTATTTGATTCTTGTCTCTTTTCTTATTTATTAGTCTTGCTAGTGGTCTATCAATTTTGTTGATGTTTTCAAAAAACCAGCTCCTGGATTCATTGATTTTTTGAATGGTTTTTTGTTTGACTATCTCCTCCAGTTCTGCTCTGATCTTAGTTATTTCTAGACTCCTGTAGGCTTTTGAATGTGTTTGCTCTTGCTTCTCTAGTTCTTTTAATTGTGATGTTAGGGTGTCAATTTTAGATCTTTTCTGCTTTCTCTTGTGGGCATTTAGTGCTATAAATTTCCCTCTACGCACTGCTTTGAATGTGTCCCAGAGATTCTGGTATGTTGTGTCTTTGTTCTCATTGGTTTCAAAGAACATCTTTATTTCTGCCTTCATTTCATTATGTACCCAGTAGTCATTCAGGAGCAGGTTGCTCAGTTTCCATGTAGTTGAGTGGTTTTCAGTGAGTTTCTTAATCCTGAGTTCTAGTGTGATTGCACTGTGGTCTGAGAGAGAGTTTGTTATAATTTCTGTTCTTTTACATTTGCTGAGGAGTGCTTTACTTGCACGTATGTGGTCAATTTTGGAATAAGTGCAGTGTGGTGCTGAGAAGAATGTGTATTCTGTTGATTTGGGGTGGAGACATTCTGTAGATGTCTATTAGGTCCTGTTGGTGCAGAGTCGCGTTAAACTCCTGGATATCCTTGTTAACTTTCTGTCTCATTGAGCTGTCTAATGTTGACAGTGGGGTGTTAAAGTCTTCCGTTATTATTGTATGGGAGTCTAAGTCTCTTTGTAGGTCTCTAAGGACTTGCTTTATGAATCCGGGTGCCCCTGTATTGGGTGCATATATATTTAGGATAGTTAGCTCTTCTTGTTGAATTGATCCCTTTACCATTATGTAATGGCCTTCTTTGTCTCTTTTGATATTTGTTGGTTTAAAGTCTGTTTTATCAGCGACTAGGATTGTAACCCCTGCTTTTTTTTGCTTTCCATTTGCTTGGTAGGTCTTCCTCCATCCCTTTATTTTGAGCCTATGCGTGTCTCTGCATGTGAGATGAGTCTTGTGAATACAGCACACTGATGGGTCTTGACTCTTTATCCAATTTGCCAGTCTGTGTCTTTTAATTGGAGCATTTAGCCCATTTACATTTAAGGTTAATATTGTTATGTGTGAATTTGATCCTGTTATTATGATGTTAGCTGGTTATTTTGCTCGTTAGTTGATGCAGTTTCTTCCTAGCCTCGATGGTCTTTACAATTTGGCATGTTTTTGCAGTAGCTGGTACTGGTTGTTCCTTTCCATGTGTAGTGCTTCCTTCAGGAGCTCTTGTAAGGCAGGCCTGGCGGTGACAAAATCTCTCAGCATTTGCTTTTCTGTAAAGGATTTTATTTCTCCTTGACTTATGAAGCTTAGTTTGGCTGGATATGAAATTCTGGGTTGAAAATTCTTTTCTTTAAGAATGTTGAATATTGGCCCCCACTCTCTTCTGGCTTGTAGAGTTTCTGCTGAGAGATCAGCTGTTAGTCTGATGGGCTTCCCTTTGTGGGTAACCCGACCTTTCTTTCTGGCTGCCCTTAACATTTTTTCCTTCATTTCAACTTTGGTGAATGTGACAATTATGTGTCTTGGAGTTGCTCTTCTTGAGGAGTATCTCTGTGGTATTCTCTGTATTTCCTGAATTTGAATGTTGGCCTGCCTTGCTAGGTTGGGGAAGTTCTCCCGGATAATATCCTGCAGAGTGTTTTCCAACTTGGTTCCATTCTCCTCATCACTTTCAGGTACACCAATGAGACGTAGATTTGGTCTTTTCACATAGTCCCATATTTCTTGGAGGCTTTCTTCATTTCTTTTTACTATTTTTTCTCTAAACTTCTCTTCTCGCTTCATTTCATTCATTCGATCTTCAATCACTGATACCCTTTCTTCCAGTTGATCGAATTGGCTACTGAAACTTGTGCATTCATCACGTAGTTTTTGTGCCATGGTTTTCAGCTCCATCAGGTCATTTAAGTACTTCTCTACACTGTTTATTCTAGTTAGCCATTCGTCTTAATATTTTTTCAAGGTTTTTAGCTTTTTGTGATGGGTTCAAACTTCCTCCTTTAGCTTGGAGAAGTTGGATCGTCTGAAGCCTTCTTCTCTCAACTTGTCAAAGTCATTCTCCATCCAGCTTTGTTCCATTGCTGGCGAGGAGCTGCGTTCCTTTGGAGGGGGGAGAGGCGCTCTGATTTTTAGAATTTTCAGCTTTTCTGCTCTGTATTTTCCCCATCTTTGTGGTTTTATCTACCTTTGGTCTTTGATGATGGTGACGTACAGATGAGGTTTTGGTGTGGATGTCCTTTCTGTTTGTTAGTTTTCCTTCTAACAGTCAGGACCCTCAGCTGCAGGTCTGTTGGAGTTTGCTGGAGGTCCACTCCAGACCGTGTTTGCCTGGGTATCAGCAGTGGAGGCTGCAGAACCGCGAATATTGCTGAAAAGCAATGTTGCTGCCTGATCGTTCCTCTGGAAGCTTCGTCTCAGAGGGGTACCCAGCCATGTGAGGTGTCAGTCTGCCCCTACTGGAGGGTGCCTCCCAGTTAGGCTACTCAGGGGTCAGGGACCCACTTGAGGAGGCAGTCTGTCCGTTTTCAGATCTCAAACTCCATGCTGGGAGAACCACTACTCTCTTCAAAGCTGTCAGACAGGGACATGTAAGTCTGCAGAGGTTTCTGCTGCCTTTTGTTCGGCTATGCCCTGCCCCCAGAGGTGGAGTCTACAGAGGTAGGCAGGCTTCCTTGAGCTGCGGTGGGCTCCACCCAGTTCGAGCTTCCCAGCTGCTTTATTTACCTACTCAAGGCTCAGCAATGGTGGGCGTCCCTCCCCCAGCCTTGCTGCCACCTTGCAGTTCGATCTCAGGCTGCTGTGCTAGCAATGAGCGAGGCTCTGTGGGCATGGGACCCTCTGAGCCAGGCATGGGCTATAATCTGGTGTGCCATTTGCTAAGACCATTGGAAAAGCGCAGTAGTATTAGGGTGGGAGTGACCTGATTTTCCGGGTGCCCTCCATCACCGCTTCCCTTGGCTAGGAAAGGGTATTCCCTGACCCCTTGTGCTTCCCAGGTGAGGCAATGCCTCGCCCTGCTTTGGCTCACGCTTGGTGGACTGCACCCACTGTCTTGCCCACACTGTCCGACAAGCCCCAGCGTGATGAACCCGGTACCTCAGTTGGAAATGCAGAAATCACCCGTCTTCTGCGTCTCTCATGCTGGTAGCTGTAGACTGGAGCTCTTCCTATTCGGCCATCTTGGAACCCAATCCTCACTGGACTCTTTTTTTAAAAAAGTTATCTATGACAGAAATATCTTAATGTCTGAAATAGTCCTTTAAATCAATTTTAAGGGCAAAAATTTGGTAGAACATATATTTTGATAACAATTTCAGAACTGTATAATTCAAAACTAGAAAGGATTAATCTAGATCAATGAGTTGAATGTTTGGGACGTCTCAGATGTGGCTATTTGTGTTTCCATTAAACGTTGGTTTTAAATATGGGAGGAATGTGTTAGGAATTTAAAACACCATGTCAGCTAGGGATTGTGAACTTAATTAAAAGCATTTCTTTAGCTGGGCACTGTGGCTCATTCATGTAATCCCAGCACTTTGGGAGGCCGAGGCAGGCAGATCACTTGTGGTCAGGAGTTTGAGACTAGCCTGGCCAACATGGTGAAACCACATTTCTACCAAATATATAAAAAGTTAGCCAGGTGTGGTGGCATGCACCTGTAATCCCCACTACTCTGGAGGCTGAGGCAGGAAAATCTCTTGAACCCAGGAGGCGGAGGTTGCAGTGAGCTGAGATCATTCCACTGCACTCCAGCCTGGGTGACAGAGCAAGACTCCATCTCAAAAAAAAAAAAAAAAGACATCACTTTAATTCTTTCACCCTCTTATCCTTTAATAATACACGTAAAGACATTTCAGGTTTTATTTTGTATGTAACAATCTTAGACAAATTTGTCAGACTTTGGGCTCTGTAAAATGTCAATGTTGTGTCTGATAAACGAGTTTAGATTGAAAGAACAATTACAATTCTGGCAACATTTTGATTCATCATCTTTGAAATTTACGTTATTTAGGCTTTATTAAAGTATGGCTTCTTGCTTATCTTCTGTGTACCTTTTCCTCCCTGCCTTTGTCTGGGCCCTACTCAGCATAATGGAAATGTCTCCACCAAGCTGGTAGCAGGCTGAGCCATCATTGTGTGGGGTGGCCATAGTTGTCTCGATGTGGTACTTATCATTGAAGATCTTGGTGCTTTTTTACCTTTTTAATACTAAAGTGTTGTATTTTTAAAAAAAGCAATAGATTGACACTTATATAGCCTTTAAGTTGTATAACGAAGCAATAATATATTTATTACAGCACTTAAAATAGAGTTCAGTAAGTTTTTGGAAATTTGTTCTGAAGTGATAAAGTCAGTTATGATTATGTAGAATGACAGTTTCAATCACATGCAGTGATTTGAATTCTTAAAATGCATTTGATTACTCAGAACAACTAGTTTTTTTTCCCCTTTCTTTTACTACCCCACCTCCAGAGGTCTACAAATGAACTGTTTTCAAAACCAGACCAGTTACTGTAACATATTTCAGCAGTGGCATTCCTATGGTACATTCTTGAGTGATTATAAATGAGCATGAGAAGTTCATTTATTTTATTTTTCTTTTGAGATTATTTTTCTAGTTAAAAGAGTGAGTATAAATTTTAAAGAGTATATAACCTTATTCTTCTACCTATTTGGAAGTGAAATATTTTAGAGTCCTAATGATGAACCCAGTTACTTCTATTAAAACTTAGGTATGGGGCTTTGTGGAGCTATAATTGATTTGGAAAATAAGACAGTATCAACCCCCATATTTCTATTTTCTTGATGACAGAGGGCAGCAAAATTCTAGATGAAATGGATCTTTACTGTTTTGATTCTTACCAGTTGCTTCTTCACAGCTGGTATCTGTGAAGATGGAATCTGTAGCAGAATTCAGCTGAGAGATAAAATTGTTCAATCAGCATTCAGACAGTAATAAATAGATGTGATTTTTTCATTAGTTTATTAATTTTATTGATAATTTTTTCTTGGTTTCTATTTTTTTTACTGAAAATATATCAGTGTGCAATTGATTTGATAGGGAAAAAGATAATGTGGTTCTCAGATATCTTCTGTCATTTCAATTTTTGAAGTGATTTTCAGAAACCAGCTGAAATTTATCTGATTAAAGTGTTTTAAATGATCAAATAAACCTTTTAAAATGATTCCAAATATCATATACACAACATTTGTACTATTCTCACAAAGTTATGTGTGTTAAACTCTCACAGCTGATAATTTGGCTTTCTAGGCAATGAATCGCTCCCTGGCTAATGTGATTCTTGGAGGCTATGGCACCACTTCAACAGCTGGTGGAAAACCCATGGAAATTTCTGGCACACATACGGAAATCAACCTTGACAATGCAATTGACATGATTCGAGAAGCTAATAGCATTATTATTACACCAGGTAAAGAAAAAAAGCAAAAGCAAATAACCTATAATAGCTGTTATAATTGATGACATTAAAATTTCTTATAATAGGAAAGTAGAATTGAAACTTCTTTAGTTTTGAAAATATAATGGAAACAATAGCAAATCTATGATTACTAAGTGAAAAATACTGAGAATTCTCAGTTTAAATTAATATTTTGGAGATCACATGGAAATTCTATAAATTCTTACAGTGGGTTCTAGCCATGTCTTTCTGTGATTATGTGTACATGTTTACATCATTTTCGAGTCTTTTTTCTTCTCATTGGTAATTTTTGGGCCCGTTGTCAAGATTAAATTAGATATAGTATATGAAAGTCTTTAGCTCACTCATTAGAGTTGCTTAATAAATGTTGTTTTTTCAAAAATGATTATTTAAAAAATGATCAAGAATCATGTGGTTTTCAACAAAATGAGGCAATGTGGCCTAGTAGAAAGAGCTTGGTATGGAGTCACGATACCTCACTTTTGTTCTTAATTTTGCCTCTAACAATCTATGTGACATTGCCCAAGTCATTTAATCTCTCCAGGCCTCAATTTTCCAGTTTTCTGAGTTTTAGCTCAGTTCTTCTTCACTGTTATCACAGGATGCTGTGGTATTATGAGTCATACATTGGTTTCAGATTAAGATTTTAACTCTATCATGTTATCAAATGAGTTTTCTGTAAATAAAATCTACTGATTTGACATGTGAGTAGTTTACTAGTTAGTTATGTACTGAAGTAAAAATAGGAGACATTAGCTGAATTGAGTGTTAAAGTGTAAGCCTTCTCAACTTGGGACAATATCACTTTTTAGGGGCATTTGAAATAGGTGGATTTGGGTTTTTGGTTGTCCAAAGATGGGAATGCTACTGTCAATTAGTGGATGGAAGCAGATAAATGAAATGTACTGTAACGTGTGGGACACTGCTGCATAATGAATCATCACACCCAAAGTAGCATTGGTCTTACCTATTGAGCAATGCTGTTCTGGAGTGTAAAGGTGTAAAGATGTAGAGGACACAATCTATTTCCTCTAGGCACTTTCCATCTAGTGATTAAGTCAGATAGGTAGATCAGTAATGCAAGGTGGGTTATGATAAGGGCTAAACTGAACTATGTAGACAGTTTTTCAATCACAAGAAACCTATGAAGGTTTGTAGGGAGGCGACGATTTGTTTTTAGGACTTAGAGAATAGATGGTGTTGGGATGGGAGAAGCCAACGGGAATAGCTTGAGCAGAGACTTGGCATTTGAAAAAATGGGGATAGAAAAGTGGGGACAGATGTGAGATTCATTGTGCAGGTAGAATGGACAGAAAGGAGGGTGAAGATGACTGAAGTTCTTGGTTATACCTGTAATAACATCAGAAATATGGAAACAGTTTTTAGAGTGTGGGGTGGGGGGAAATTTTGAGTTCTTTTTTTGAGACATTAAATTTGAGGTGAAGATGGGACAAGAGCCATGTTATACTGGCGCTCAAATGACAGGTCAAGCCTGCAGACAGATTGGGAATCATCAGATGGTTGTTGAAGCCATGAGAGGAGCTGAGATTTTCAAGGAGAATGTGAGGGGCAAAGTTAAAGCCCTTTGGAAACTTATATAAGCGGAGAAAAGAAGGAGAAAAACTATTCAAGGAACTAGAGAAAGAATAATAACAAAGTTAGGCTGGGACAGGGGACCGCAGTGTCGTCAAAGCCAAGTATGAAGAGAGTTTAAAAACATGAGAGAGAGAGAGAGAGAGAGAGAGAGACAGAGACAGAGAAAGAGACAAGAGAGGGAACACCCAAGGGTGTGTGCAGTGTCGGGGGTGGGGTTGCACAGCAGCATGAGACACTACAGAAGATTGAGGAGCAATCATTACATTTTCAATTTCAAATTTAGGGCAATATTTTTAAAAGCCCAGCTTATAAATTTGCTTTCATTTCTAGTCCTGTTAAATGATTGCCTCTGTTGGCATAAACATGTGTTTTCATCAAGAGAGAAGTTGTACTTCATGTAATTTCAAAATAAAAAACACATTCTTCTGTGTTCTTAATGTTCCTTGCAGGCTATGGTCTCTGTGCAGCCAAAGCTCAATACCCCATTGCTGATTTGGTAAAGATGCTCACTGAGCAAGGCAAAAAAGTCAGGTAAGCGTTTGCAGTGGAGAGGCTTGCACTATGTGTAAAGATGTGTGTGTGGAGAAAAGGAAATACAGTGGACCCTTGAACAATGTAGGGGTTAGGGCACTGACCCGCCCATACAATTAAAAATCCATATATAACTTTTGACTCTCCAAAAACTTACCTACTAATGGCCTACTGCTGATCAGAATGCTTACTGATAACATAAACAAAATATGTATCAATTAACAAATTTTGTATATTATATGTATTAAATAGTAGAGAAAGGAAAATGTTACTAAGAAAATCATAAGGAAGAGAAAGTATATTTACTATTCCTTAAGTGGAAGTGGATCATCATAAAGGTTTTCATCCTTGTCTTTACGTTGAGTGAGATGAGAAGAAGGAGGAAGAGGAGTTGTTGGTCTTGCTCTCATGAGTGGCAGCGGTAGAAGAAAATCTGTGGATAAGTGGACCCTCTCAGCTCAAACCCATGTTGTTCAAGGGTCAGCTGTATATGGCTTCTGAAAAAGATGACTGTTTCTTAAAGTGGTGTTTTACATGTGTAATCCTAGGTAAAGAAGTTAAGTTGTTAATGAACAAGCCATATTCTGGTCTTAGTCTTACTATTTAGATTTTGCTGTTCCTGGATTAGCGTCAACTCAAATATTATCGACTCATTTTAGAAAAGGAAAATGTGTTATTCCAAATTCTTGGAGATTTATTAATGGGGAAATCGGATGTCTTGTTTCTCTGTGGTTTGATTTGAGGAAAGAGGTCAAGCGAAGCATTTTAACTACATCAAGTTGTATCTTTTTGGTTTCCGGTCACACTGAATAAAAACAAAAGGTCTTAAAAGAGAGGCCTTGAAGAGCAAGACCAAGTAATAAACCTGTGCCCTGGTTACTGTTTTGCTGAGTTAGCTGAGTTAGCCAGTCAGAGTACTTGTGCTGGACTGGATGCAGAATCTTAATCTCTGGCTGGAATGTCCCAGCTACTAGTAGTGGTGAAAGAAACTTAGATGATGAAATCAGGGGGCTACCTTAATTGTATTAGTGTCGGCAGTTAATTGTATTAGTGTCAGCTGCACTTTATTTCTTCCTTCCTTTGTTTCCTACACTTCCTTTCTTGTCTCACTCCTTCTCCACTCCTTCCTCCAATCTATAGTCTGTGTTTGTCAAATATATAGAATCAAAATACTATTTTGTGGTGGGACCAGCATTTCTGTGACAAGATTTTCATGTTTATTGAGAGTCTTAGATGAATTGAAGGTAGAAGATGAGAAAAGTCATTGACTTTATTTTTAAATTTTTGTATAAGAAGTCTACTTTTTAGTTACTTATTCCAATTTTTACATAGGATATTAAGCTGTGCTTTTTAAAGCCATCATTTTGCTGCTGAGAACATTTGTAGGCCTGCAAGTGAAAATGATATGTTAAACAACGTTTTATGATTTTCCTAAAAAGAAACTGTTTTCTCTATTTAGTCCAGATGTGAAAAAGTGTAATGTATTCGTAATGCCCTCTTTCACCACATAAATATTTAGGAGATGGGTGGCAATCATAATAGAGAAAGAAAAATGCCTTTCATGTCTTAATTATCCTTAGGGAAGGGAAGGATTAATTTGGCATACCTCTCTTGTTACCTGTTGATCAGCCTAGGTTAACCAGACATCTTGGAAAATCAGTCCAGTGTTAAATAGGTGGATGTGGAGTGAAGAACATCGTGACTGTAGTGTAGCTTGAAGGAAGGCAGCATCTTAAGGGAAATGTCAAAGGAAATAAGAGAGATGGGAAAAATGATCTGAAAGGAAAAAGGATAAGACAAATGAATTTTTTGTTTCTGATCTGATTAAAATTAGAATTTTATCTATGAGGACATGATATAAACTACTGTTGTAGGATGATTTCTGTGACAGTGCTTGGGAAGAGTAATTATTTGATGAAAGGTTTAAGAGAAATATTTAATTATACATATATGAATAGTTTTTCAGTTCTACATTTTTTATTGAAGTAATTGTGTGAATAGGACCAAAGCCTTTTCATGAGAGAGCTTTTCATTGCTTCACATAATTATTAACATAGTTCAAATAATTTTATAAATTTATTAATAATTTATTATGTAGGATCAGAATAAGATTATTAATTCAGTCTAGTTTCTCTATTTGTAAGTTATTTATAGTCATCTTTCTTTCATATTAAAGGTAAAATATATTAATATATTGTAGTTTTTTTTTACTATAGTATGTTGAATTTTCAACATGAACTTTGTAACAAATTATGTAAATCTTCCATTTGAATTAAATGGAAGAGGACTATTCTTGCTAAAATTATGACAGCAGATCATCATATTTTTCTGTGTGAATTTTTTTTATTGAAAGAGATTTGTAGAAACTTTGTGATTTTGCTTTGTGCGTGTGTTAGCTTTTCACAGGAGAAATGCAAATTTTCTTTACGAAGTTAGGAATATGTATATACATAGATGCTAGCTTTTTTCCTTTTTTTTTTAAAGGGCAAACGTCTGTTTGAACAAGAGATGGCTGCAGCAGTTACCTCATATTTTAATGAAATAAATCTGTATTTACAGTTTGCAGTAATTTAGTCCTTTCATCACTCTGTGGAGCTCCCACGGTGTTCATTGAGTACAGCTGCTGGGCCTCTGGAGTTAGCAGGTCTTTGTGCCTCAGGACCCCAGCATGCCTAGCATCCAGATGTGGTGACATATTCACACACATCCCCTGTGGAAATGTGCCAGTGTGGACATATGATTGTCATCAATTAGTTATACCCAAGTGGTGCCAAGAAAAATCGCATCTGTCATACAGTCTGTCTGGCTTCATGGCCCATGATTGATTTAGAGACACTCCTGTTTTCCTTTACTTTGCCCATAGTCATAATATGCTCACGAGCTAAGATTATATAATGAAGCACATGACATTTCATGACAAGAACTCATTTTAGAATGTCATGAAAGTTCACTGGCTTAGACTTTTGTTAGTGGCCAAGATATCATTTGCTTCCCAGTAGCCCAGAATGCCTGTATAGCTTACCTAACTTCTGCTTGATGTCTAAAAGGATTTTATGACAACAATCTTACGACGTAAGAGCCACAGATATTTTGTCTTTTTCCTTCCCAATTTTTGGACTGATTATATGATAGGCTTTTCATTATAAGGCAGAGATAATGTTCCCATTGAGTAATTAGGGAGGGGTAGAATATGCCTGTAATCCCAGCACTTTGGGAGGCTGAGGCAGGCAGACCAAGAGGTCAGGAGATCAAGACCATCCTAGCTAACATGGTGAAACCCCGTCTCTACTAAAAATACAAAAGATTAGCCAGGCATGGTGGCGGGCACCTGTAGTCCCAGCTACTCGGGAGGGTGAGGCAGGAGAATGGCGTGAACCCAGGAGGTGGAGCTCGCAGTGAGCCAAGATCGTGCCATTGCACTCCAGCCTGGGTGACAGAGCGAGGCTCCTTCTCAAAAAAAAAAAAAAAAAAAAAGAAAGGGGTAGAATTTTTTTATTATAATTACTGCTTGATTTTCTTTCTATAAATCATTGCTTGAATTATCACAGAAGTCATTTGAATTTATTGAACAACTTTCAACTTATTTTTTTTAATTATTATTTTGTTTTTGAGATGGAGTTTCACTCTTGTCACCCAGGCTGGAGGGCAGTGGCATGATTTCAGCTCACTGCAACCTCTGCCTCCCGGGTTCAAAGCAATTCTCCTGCCTCAGCCTGCCAAGTAGCTGGGACTACAGGCGCATACCACCACACCTGGCTAATTTTTGTATTTTTGGTAGAGACGGGGTTTCGCCACGTTGGCCAGGCTGGTCTTGAACTCCTCACCTCAAGTAAACTGCTTGCCTCAGCCTCCCAAAGTGCTGGGATTACAGGCGTGAGCCACCGCACCCGGCCTCAACTTCTTTGATTGACTAGCTGATGTTATGTATTGCTTTCATGTTAATGTTCTGCTATATCCTTCTACTAATAACTTACTGAGAAATTTATTGCTAGGTACTGAGCATACAAGGATGCGTAAGTCCAGTCCTCAAAAGTTTATAGTTATGAAGAAATCTCTATTAACAGATCAATCAATGAATGAATTCCATTTAATGTGATAGTATGCTAAGACAAGTAGAGTAGTAGTAAGAATGCAAGGAGTAGTTAGCTGTCCAGGAGATATTTTAAACTTTTTACAACCTGAAATATCTTGCATGTTTTTAAAAATAAATATTTTCATTTATTTTTTATGTACTGTCTAAACACATCTAGCTGCCTGTGGTATTTGCAGTCTAATAATGTTTTACAGTCTTGTGTAATATGGCTATAAGTTTAAATACATATTATTTTTACTTAGAAATTGATTCTTTGAAGACACTTGAAAATATAAAATATTTTGTCCATCTAACTGTCTAACTGGATTCTTTTTTTTTTTTTTTTTTTTTTGTTGGAATCTTGCTCTGTCACCTAGCTTGGAGTTCAGTGGTGTGATCTCGGCTCACTGCAACCTCCGCCTCCTAGGTTTAAGCGATTCTCCCACCTCAGCCTCCCAAGTAGCTGGGATTACAGGCATGCGCCACCACGCCTGACTAATTTTTGTATTTTTAGTGGAAATGGGATTTCATCATGTTGGCCAGGCTGGTCTCAAACTCCTGACCTCAGGTGATCTGCCCACCTTGGCTTCCCAGAGTGCTGGGATTACAGGCGTGAGCCACCACACTCAGGCAGGATTTTCCTGTTTTTCATGGATAAGTATGATTCAGATAAACAAAGTCCAGCCTTCTTGGATTTGTTATGTTTTTGGGTGGAGGAAGAGTCAAGGCTTGCAAATTGGTAAAGCAATAAAGTCATGTATTTCTGACGAGAATAGAAACTAGGCCAGTTAAAATTATCTTGTATAGTATTTGAGTAACGAAATAGACATTATTTAGCAGTTTCATGTCAGCTTTGTAATACTTTTATAAAATAAAGATACCACTATTCATATCCATAACCATTCATTGAACAAATAATTATAATATATACTACTCTTTCCTAAGCTACTGTTGTAGGTCCAGGGGATACCTCAGTGAAGACAACAGCTGAAAATTCCTGGTCTTATGGAATTTACATTAGTTAATTAATTGATTAATTAATAGGCTTCAAGATAATCTGACTTGGAGATTATAAGCCCATTTGTCTCCCAATTTCAATGCTACTTGAAACACCAGAGAACAGCTGTAACATAGGTTATTGTATCAGAGTTTCAAAGTTATAGCTGCCACTATTTGGCCTTGAATTAGCCAGCGCTTTTGGTTTTCTCAAAGAATGTGGTGTGTTTCTTTGCACTTTGCATTGGGGCTGCCTTCTCGAAAAACATGGTGGCAGGATAGTGGGTATGGGTTATTCGTGTAACTGGTCAAATGAGTGAAACTTTGATGGAAGAGAGGAAAACCAAAGAAAGTATGTGCATTCACTCACATCTATGTTCAACCTATTGTGTGGAGTTGCTAGTAATCTCCCAGATCAAAGGTGTCTGTTATGCTCCTAGAAAGTGGCCACCTTCATCCCAGATTGGCTTTATCTTGTCCACAGCATATTGGTATGGTGGAAAGAACAGAAGACTGCATTAAAGCCTGTGCTTTAGGTGCTTTGTAAAGCCTCTTTTGGTCATACCACTCTAGGATGCATTCCTTATAAACTCTTGTCACAGGCATTCCTGTGATCTGAGGAAAAAACTTTCACTGTTGATGAAATCATTGTCACTGACCATCAGGGTGATTTTTGGCTTCTGGTTTTAGTATTAGTTACAGGAAACTCTTTGAGCTGAGTTTTTACAATGAAGTTCATGTGAACAAATAAATAAGGATCTTGCTTATAAATAATTTTCATTTTATTGAGCTCATTAGCCATTGCATTCCAGCAGCCATTTAATAGCATCATAAAAATTATTCAGACAGAAAGATGAAATTATGTATAATTTTAACTAAATCTCTATAATATGCCAGAATGTAATATTCAAGAGTTAGTTGCAAATTGAATTTTTTTTTTCTGGTATCATTCTTCATAATCTTGTTGCCTATTTTAAAATCAAAACAGTGTCAGTAGTCATACAGTTTCTATTCTGGGCCTGGTAGTTGGATTTGGTTAAGCGATGGGAAAGCCAGATTTGGGCACAATCTATAATTACTCTCCTCAGGATGGAAAAGGTAGTTTTGGGACATGGTTTTATAGAGGACTGCGTTGATGTTTGCACCAGACCATCTGAGCTGATCCTTCTTAGGTGACAGCTCATCTCTTTGGGTGGCCTCAGTGTCACAGGCCACATGTACAGATGGAAAATGTGACTGTAGCCTGTCAAATATTTCCTGATTCACATTCATAAGACAAGGTCTATTATTCTGCATTAGAAAAATTGTTCCCCTGAGATATTTTCGTAAGCTTTCTTTCATAATTTTTTTTTTTTTTTTCTGAAGAAGGGAAGGCCATGGATGAACAACAGAATTCAGAAACAGAGTAGCAGTTCAGCCCTTATTTGCCTTCAAAAAAAGAAAAGTACAAAGTGTTCTCTAATTCTGGCTTTTAGAAAGTTCTAGGAAGTTAAATGAACACTTTTTTTTCACTATGAATTATATGAGTGAATTCATCAGAACGGCTGCTTCTAAGAAGGATTTTGGTGGTTTTAGAAAGGTAGGTGTTTATTCCTTTGCCTGGGAAGCCTCACCAGAGATGTTGACTCTACAACCCATCTCATTCGTTAGTTTTTGTGGACAGCAGTTGCCTCATCGGGAATTTTTTTTTTTCACTTCCTTACCATGTTTCCCTTCGGATGGATAGACTAGCCCGACCCAGTTGGTCCAGGCCTTTTCACTACCAAGGATAATTTATCTAACAGGAACAATTACCCTGCTGACACCATGATTTGGAAATTTTTATTCAGAACTGATTCACTAAAATGATTGCTTAAAAAAAAAACCTTTTCCTTGTAGTTTTAATAAGTATGATTTATAACTGTCACCAGAAGTTCTGATCAGCATGTGATAAACCAAAGAAACTTGCCTTTTCAGGGAGTCTATCATATTTTTCACAGGTGAAATGCATAATTAAATGTAAAAAAATACTGAATATAGTAATGAATCATTTGATTACCTCCAGAGACCCTCCTCAGAATGTAACACTGCCACATACAAACAAAATTCCAAAGGTCCTTGAGCTATAGCCCATACTACGGACTTTTTATTGTATCCACAGTGGAATTTCCAGCCTGTTTTTGGGACAAAACAGTGTGCAAACATTTTTGGTATAATTTCTAAATGAAGAGTTCCTACCTTAAGAAGCAGTTGGATTGGAAGATCTTTAAGTTCTATTTAAACCATTAAGGTTTTATAGATTTATAAATATTTATAGTTTTAAAACAGGAGAAGTTAGTAGATGTTTAACAAATGAGCCTTCTTTTTATTTTCTGTTTATGTATTTTGCCTAATTTGTCAACCTCCTAGAAGGTTATCATTAACATATTTAGAAAAATTGTGGGATGATAGTATTGGGAAGGCAGAATTCCAAAATGCTATCAGTGTACATTGCCCTATATCCAGCTTGATTTTAAAATGTAAAACAGAGTAAAATAAGGGAAAGTAACTGAACATTTGGAGTATGGACATAAATTTTGCATGGTGACTCACAAAACATGTAAGCAAATAGTTGAAGGTTGTAAAGAGCTTATTTTTTTTAAAAAAATCTGTTGATCCTTGTCACTATTTATAATAGCAAGAAGCTGAAAAATGGAAAAAGCACTCTAAATAGTTTAGAAAGGGGCCCAATTGTACTTACAGTTTCTTTGTGTAACTGTTGAATTGGGATGCTTGATTTAATTAAACATTCTTAATAGTTTATTGCTGAACTAGGTCTGGATATTTCCATAATACAAGAAGCAAAACATAGTTTATTTGAACAGTTGTGGTAGGACCCATGTGGTGAATGTTTTATATTCTTCAATAGCCTCACATGCCCAAGAAAACTGCTGCTGTGTACTCTGGTAGGACATATTGTCTCCATGGTCTGTGATCATGGAAACTTCTGTTGTTGTGTCCCCTTTAAAACATGTGGTATCTGAAATCTAATGTGAAGTTGTGAAAAACTCTAAAGAATGAGGTTCATGTCACCATATATTATAAAAGAGGCTTTTAAAAAATAGTACTTTTTGAATTGCTTCTTCTTCATATTTTACCAAGTATACTCAGTATTCGTGAATAGTTCTTGTATACACTTATATTAGTTTTTATTCTTCCTTGGTTAATTTAAAAGGTTCTGAAGATCAGGTTGTTTCATTTGAGTAGATTATTCTACTTTTTTTGAACTGTGCCTGGGTCTATTCTTAATTGATGACTGAAGCCTGAGCTTTTTTATTATCTAATGTTCCATGAAAGGCTCTATTGTTTTCATATTTGAGAGAGGAAAATAACAAATACTGTTGAATTTTTTTTTTTTTTGCTTCAAGATATTGAAGAGATTATCCTAATTTGATGACATTTGTTGTATCTGTCAACCAAGGAAACAACATTTTTGCCTAATCATATCTGTTAAATGGTTAAAAATGGCCTTTTGAAATTTGACTGTATCAAAATAAATGTGTATTTGAATGTTAGTTTTGTTCAAGTTTCCAGGGAGCCCAACGTTTATAATTATTGGCCTCAATCTAGATTGACTATACAGTTTTTTAGTATTTTTGATGTAGCTGCAAATACAAATAATTTCTGGCTTTTATTGGACTTTATTGATTTTTACTGGCATTACAAGATAAAAATTAGAAAAGCAACCCAGTAAGTGTTGACATTAAATCAACATTTGTTTTAATGTGAAAATGTATGCTTCTTTGTATTAAGTGATTATTAAAAATATGCATTTATTTGAAAAACAGATGAACATTTATATTATTATACAAAAATGTATTTGAACAGGATAATTGCTGTGTACATTTATTGAACAATTGTGTCTGCCAGGTGTTGGCCTAAAGCACTTTGTATGAAAAGCTTTTTATACAAACTACATCACTTAAATCCCTCAGTAGTCCTCTGAGGAGATTTTATTATCAATCCCATGGTACACATGAAAGAATGGAGGTACACAGAAGTAAATTGTTCAAATGCTTTGAACCTGGCAGTGGCAATCTAGAACTCTTAACTGCTACCCTATACTGCTTTTCTAAATCCTTTCTCTAAAAAGAGACATAGATAGTGTATAAATCAGTATACTTTATTGGGCACACTGTGTTGTTTAAAACCCCTTCTCTCCTTCTCTCTCTTGAATGGAGTCCTTGCAATAGAGTGGCAGGAACTGGTAAATAAGACATGGTTTGTTCCTATTCTCAAGGAACTCTTAGGAGAGCACAGTCATGTCAACCAGTTATGTTATTGTATAGTAAGAAGTAGATGCATAAAGGAAGAATTCTGAAAGCCTGCAAGATCTTTCTATGACCTCATTTTAGTTATTTTCCTCTGTAGAATCTTGTCATGGTCAGGGATAGCTCATTCTTTTTTAAGCATATACATAATAAAAGATAATGTTCATAGTTGAAAGAGAAGAACTAAAAGGTTGGTAGGCTTTGCATGTTGAAATTCTGGATATTCTTCATGTGATGATGGAATATCGATGAGCTTTGGCCATCAGTTCCGGGAAATTGCTCATTATGGCCAACCAGTGTCTGATATAATTAATTTTAATACATACTTTGGGGATTAGCCTGTTACATTGTGCCAGAATTTTTTATAAACTCACATTGACTCATCAGTGTGCATATATATCTCTACACATTTGACTGTATTCTGTTATTCTTCTCAAAACATTGGCATTCTCTTGTAATAATCTTGCACGTGTTTTTCTCTGACTTTAGAGTCATAAAGTTTAGTGTAATAAATTACTGTGCAAGTAGATATAAAATGATAGGTCCTTTGGGATATTAGGCATAACATGATGGTTATGTTGGTAATTATTTACCCTTTACAACTAGCTCAACAAAAACATTGTCTTTATGCAGTCTGCAGCTAATCAAGGCATCAAAATGAGAACAAATATATTCAGAGGTCCTTAATTTCTAATTTGGTCCAAGATACCTCAGTTAAAGCCTCAAGATGGTAGCCAGATGGATTAATTTAAAGATGACAAAAACAGTATTAAAAACAAATAAAATTAAACAAAATAAGCTAGAATCAAGGAAGGATATAAAATTGAAATCCAAAAGTAATCACAACGTATATATTGGGTTATTTAGCTAAAATAGAAGTCCTAGTTCACTGAATTTCAGGACTGGAGAGCTTTGTGGTAGGCAGAATAGTGGCCTTCCAAAGTGTCTATATCTGAATCCCCAGAACCTAATGACTATTTTACCTTACATGGCAAAAGGGACTTTGTAGATTTGATGAAGGTGAGGATTTTGAGATGGGGAGATTTTCTTGGATCATTGGGTGGCTCAGTGTAATCACTAGGGTCATTATAAGAGGGAGGCAGGAGGATCAGAGTTAGAGAAGGACATGTGACAGTGGAAGCAGAAGTTGGGGTGATGTAGCCCCCCCACCAAGGAAAGAGGGAAGACTGCAGAAGCTGGAAAAGGCATGGAATGGAGTTTGCCCTAGAATCTCCAGAAGGAATTTTTAAAATTTTTTTTCAATTTCAATAGGTTTTTGGGGAATAGGTGTTTGGTTGCATGGAAAAATTCTTTAGTGGTGATTTCTGAGATTTTGGTGCACCCATCACCCAAGGAGTGTACACTGTACCCAATGTGTACTCTTTTATCCCTTGCCACCCCCACCCTTTCCTCTGAGTCCCTAAAGTTCAATGTATTGTTCTTATGCCTTTGTGCCCTGATAGCTTAGCTCCCACTTATGAGTGAGAACATATAATTTTCCATTTGGTTTTCCATTCCTGAGTTACTTCACTTAGAATAATAGTCTCCAGTTCCATTCAGGTTGCTGTGAATGCCATTGTTTCATTCCTTTTTATGGCTGAGATACCACATTTTCTTTATCCACTTATTGATTGATGGGCATTTGGGCTGGTTCCATATTTTTGCAATCGCAAATTGTGCTGCTATAAACGTGTGTGCAAATATCTTTTTTGTATAATGAATTCTTTTCCTCTGGGTAGATACCTAGCAGTGGGATTGCTGAATCAAATGGTAGATCTACTTTCAGTTCTTTAAAGAATCTTCACACTGTTTACCATAGTGTATTGTACTAGTTTACATTCCCACCAGCTGTGTAAAAATGTTTCCTTTTCACTACATCCCCACCAACCTTTATTATTTTTTGATTATGTTCATTCTTGCAGGATTGAGGTGGTATTGCATTGAGGTTTGGTTTTCATTTCCTTGATAATTAGTGATATTGAGCATTTTTCCATATCCTAGTCGGACATTTGTATATCTTCTTTGAGAGTTGTCTATTCATGTCCTTAGGCCACTTTTAGATGGGATCGTTTGTTTTATTCTTGCTGATTTGCTTGAGTTCTTTGTAGATTCTGGACATTAGTCTTTTGTCAGATGTATAGATTTTGAAGATTTTCTCCCACTCTGTGGGTTGTCTGTGAATGAACTCTGTTGATTATTATTATTTTTGCTGTGCAGAAGCTTTTTAGCTTAATTAAGTCCCATCTGTTTATCTTTGTTTTTGTTGCATTTGCCTTTGGGTTTTTGGTCATGAAATCCTCACCTAAGCCAATGTCTAGAAGGGTTTTTCTCATATTATCTTATAGAATCTTTATGGTTTCAGGTCTTAGATTTAAGTCTTTGATCCATCTCGAGTTGATTTTTGTATAAGGTGAGAGATGAGGATTCAGTTTCATTATTTCGCGTGTGGCTTACAATTATCCCAGCACCATTTGTTGAACAGGGTGTCCTTTCCAGACAAAATCTCTGAATTGCCAGAAAAAGAATTCAGAAGGCCGATTATTAAGCTAATCAAGGAGGCACCAGAGAAAGGCGAAGTCCAAGTCAAAGAAATCAAAAACATGATGCAGGATATGAAAGGAAACATCTTTTGTGAAATAGAAAGTATAAATAAAAAGCAATCACAACCTCTGGAAATTAAGGACACAGATAGAGAAATGTAAAATGCTTTGAGTGTTTCAGCAATAGAATCGAACAAACAGAAGAAAGAACTTCAGAGATCAAAGATAAGCCTTTTGAATTAACCCAATCCGTCAAAGACAAAGAAAAAAGCATTAAAAAAAAATGAACAAAGCCTCCAAGAAGTTTGGAACTATATTAAACATCTAAAACTAAGAATAATTGGTGTTCCTGAGGAAGAAGAGAAATCTAGAAATTTGGAAAACATGTTTGAGGGAATAATCGAGGAAAACCCCCCTGGCCTTGCTAGAGATCGACACATCCAAATAACACCTAGTAAAACTCAAAGAACACCTGGAGAATTCATCACAAAACAATCCAGAAGGAATTAAGCCTTCTCGATATCTTGATTTTTTTTTTTTTAGTCCAGGGAAACTGATTTTGGACTTCTGACCTTCAGCCCTTAAGTGATAACAAATTTGTGTTGTTTGAAGGCACTGAATTTGTGGTAGTTTGTTACAGCAGCAATATGAAACTAATACAGATTTTAAATGTCATGTAGAACAACGATTCTTAGTCTTAAGTTCTCATCAGTCAGGTTTTGGGAAGAGCAGTGGGCCTGGTGGGCCTGGGGGAATTAGGAGATGCTTATTGGTGATCTGGATTGAGAAATTAGGAAACATTTTTGGTGTCCAATATTACTTTTAATACCTCAAAAGAGCACACATGATTAATTTGAGAGGCAGTTAGTACTGTAGGATTGAGCTAGGGCAACATCATGTAGTTATTCTGGAAATCCTGGGCTCCCTCTAAGCTGCTTCTTGCTCTTACTAGTGGTTAAGACCATTGGTTGAAATCCCTCCCCCACCTTCCATAAATAAAAGGCTGTCCCAGCTTCCATAATGGTCTTGATCATGCCCACTGCCAACCGTCCTTTGAGTTATATGTAAAATACTCTTGGATTCATTTTGGATTGAACTGGGGGTTATGCATGAGGGCAGATTAATGAGCCTCTCTCCCTCTGACCCACAAAAAAGAAGACTGAAATTTCCTAGATAAGGCATTTGTTTTAAATTGTTAACAAAAAGCTTTTTTTTAGTAAAAAAGATTTTAAATTCTTTCTTTTGCATTTGAATATTTTCTTCTCTTCTGTGCAAATAAGAAATATTTGGTCATTTTCTGTGGTTTATTTGAAAATCACAGTTTTGCCTTTTTTTCTGGCCAACTGATCCAGAATTTTTTTGAGAGAGTGTGTGTGTGTGTGTGTGTGTGTGTGTGTGTGTGTGTGTGTGTTTTGAGATGGAGTCTCGCTCTGTCACCCAGGCTGGAGTGCAGTGGCGCAATCTTGGCTCACTGCAACCTCCGCCTCCTGGGTTCAAGCGATTCTCCCAACTCTGCCTCCCGAGTTAGCTGGGACTATAGGCATGTGCCATCATGCCCAGCTAATTTTTGTATTTTTTAAAATAGAGAAAAGATTTCACCATGTTGGCCAGGCTGGTCTTGAACTCCTGACCTCAGGTGATCCGCCCATCTCGGCCTCTTAAAGTGCTCGGATTACAGGTGTGAGCCACCATGCCCGGCCAGAGTGTGTTATTTTTTAAGTTGTTAGCTATTTTGTCTTTCTCTTGAACCTTATCCAAGTGCCCTCTGATCTTTTAAATCTGTAGTTCTATGAGCTAAATCTAGTTATTTAGTTTCATCATTGGGTTTAGTCAGTGATAGAAGAGTACCTTTGGTAACTGGGGGAAAAAGTCTCTGAGTTAATTTGAAATGTTGATTTGAAATTGATAACAGTTGAAATACAACTTGGCATTAACTTTGAAAGAAAATCAGCTGATTAATAATGCAATGTGATACTTTAGATATATTACTAAGCATCTCTGTTAAAGTGAAATGACTTTTTCAATCTAAAACTTTTTATTTTAAGATACATTCTTTTGGAAATGATTTTCTTCCATTATTATTCAAAAATAATCACACGCTAGGGCTCTAGAATTTAATTATAGGATCTCTGCCTTTGTTGGAGCACAATCTCTGTGCCTTTCTTTGGTTCATAAAATAGAACATTGAGTTAAAATATTGTCAGTACCTGTGTCTACCAAACAGTGCATTAAAATACATATTAATAAACTATAGTTTCAATGTAAGTTCTTCTTGGCAGAGATTTGGATGTTAAACTTGGTAAAATCTATTTTGTTAGGTATTTACAAGGAATTATTATCTGGGGAGAAAACAAAAATATGGACTCTGTCCACATAATTAAATGCCCATTCAGCAAAGTGTACAGGTGGTTAATATTTCTAGCAACTACTGTCTGATTATAGATCAGTTTTCATTGACGTAGTTATCAAATAAAGCATTAAAAGTTTTAATTTTTTTTTTCTTTCTCAGTTGAGGTTAGAGTAAGGGAACAGGGGCAAACTGCTTTGAGCTCTCTTTAAGACCATGCAAATATCTTGCTCTTCATCAAACTTAACTCCCTAGACTGAACATGTGCTGATTTTTTTTTCTTTTTCTTTTGAGATGGAGTTTTGCTTTCTCGCCCAGGCTGGAGTGCAGTGGCGCGATCCCAGCTCACTGCCACCTCCGCCTCCCGGGTTCAAGCAATTATCTTGTCTCAGCTTCCCAAGTAGCTGGGGTTACAGGCACCCACCACCATGCCCAGCTAATTTTTGTATTTTTAGTAGAGACAGGGTTTCACCATGTTGGCCAGGCTGGTCTCGAACTCCTGACCTCAGGTGATCCATCCGCCTTGGCCTCCCAAAGTGCTAGAATTACAGGCGTGAGCCACTGAGCCTGGCCATGCTGATGATTTTTACGGTACCAATCTTTATTATGATGATTGCAAAATGGTGATGTAAAAACCCCATCACATTTATCAGTTCATGGTCTACCACTGTAAGGGAGAGTGCTTCTTTCTTTCTTTGTTTATTTCTTACTGACTTATGAATCTGTTATCAGTATTGATTCCTGGTTTCCCACTTTCTGCAGTGGGTTATAATCTCTTACTATCCTTTCCATTTTGATGTTCAAATAACTTTCTTATTTTTAAACACTTTGTGTCATATGTGCCTTTAAAGCCATGTGTTTGTGTCAATCTCATGTGCATTTTGCTTTGTTTGCATCCTTCTTTCTCACATACTCAAAGATTACACAAATTCAGCCCTTTCCTCTTTTTAAAAAAATTTGAATTGTTATTATACTTAAGTAAGCTTTATTTATTTTTTTTTTCTGGATCTGTTATCTTTTTCCTAGTTCTTCTTTTATTGTCCCTGAACCTGAGGGATTATTCAGCTATCTCCACCGTAGAAGACAAGGTTAAAAGTCTGGAACTTGATGAAAACAGTGATGGTTATTTGTAAACTCAGGCACCTTGGAAACTTCCATTCATCATGTCTTTTCTCAAATTCCTGGTGATCAGTAGTCTTGGGAGTATATTTTGGTTATTTCAATATAATGCATTTTCTTTCTAAATCTATTTTTAATTTTCATGCTTAAACCTGCATATGAAAAGATATTTATGTTTAGAGCTGAGGTTTAGAAAAATACCTCTTATTTAATGAGCATGCACTTTGATTGCTGGAGAAATTTTTTTCCAAATATTTTCTTATTGCTGCTGTAAAATATTACATTTTTAAAGTAGAGATCTCAGCAGAAGAATCCTTGTAACATTTTGGAAATGCTTTCTCTGGAGCAGTTTGAAAACAGCTGTAGTAGTACTGAATATAGCTTGTATTACTACATGAAAAGTATGCACATAAATTGTCAGTATTTTGCCTCATTCATTTGTTGTCAAGAGTGACTGAAACTCTGATTTGGCACAGATGGTGACATTAGGATAGCAATGTTTGGTTAAAAAAATAAACAATCTTGTTTCTAGAGAATTAAAAAAAAATTAACTTAAGTGTTGAACTAGCTGTAATATTGCCAAAAGTGATAGAATAATTCATGGTTGAAGAACCTAAAACCTGCATTAAGATGGTGAGGTTGGATGACCACCTAAAACTAATGAATGGCTTTAATTTTATTCTCACTTAAATAAAACTGTCAACAACCCACTGAAGGAAGGGATGCTGGATTCCTTTTAAAATAATCTTAGAGTATTAATAGTTCATTCTCTGCAGTTTGTTTCTACTTGCTATCAGTGCTAATAAAAAATACCTATTTAGTCTTTGTGTCCCATTCCTGACATAAAGCTTATAAAACCCATGGAATTTCGTAATGTGGAATTTTGTAATGTTCCTGATTTGGCTAGAGTTGGCTATTGTTTGTGTATAGGAATGCTAGTGATTTTTACACATTGATTTTGTATCCTAAAACTTTGCTGAAGTTGTTTATCAGCTGAAGGAGCTTTGGGGCCAAGACTGTGGGGTTTGCTAGATATAAAATCATGTCATCTCCAGACAGGGATGGTTTGACTTCCTCTTTTCCTATTTGGATGCTCTTTATTTCTTTCTCTTGCCTGATTGCTCTGGCAAAGACTCTCAGATTGTGTTGACTAGGAGTGGTGAGAAGAGGGCATCCTTGTCTTAGGCTGGTTTTCAAGGAGAATGCTTCCTGCTTCTGCACATTCAGTATAATGTTGGCCATGGGTTTGTCATAGATGGCTCTTACTATTTTGAGGTATGTTCCTTTAATACCTAGTTTAGTGAGAGTTTTTAACATGAAGGGATATTGAATTTTATTGAAAGCATTTTCTGCATCTATTGAGATAATCATGTGGTTTCTGTCTTTAGTTCTGTTTATGTGATGAATCACGTTTATTGATTTGCATATGTTGAACCAACCTTGCATCCCTGGGATGAAGCCTACTTGATTGTGGTGTATTAGCTTTTTGATGTGCTGCTGGATTTGGTTTGCAGGTATTTTGTTGAGGATTTTTGCATCAATGTTCATCAAGGATATTGGCCTAAAGTTTGTGTGTGTGTGTGTGTGTGTGTGTGTGTGTGTGTGTGTGTGTCTGACAGATTTTGGTATCAGAATGATGCTGGCCTTACAGAATGAGTTAGGGAGGAGTCTATCCTCCTTGGTTTTTTCGAATCATTTCTGTAGGAATGGTACCAGCTCTTCTTTGTACATCTGGTAGATTTGAGCTGTCAATTCATCAGGTCCTGGGCTTTATTTTGGTTGGTAGACTATTTATTACTGATTCAATTTCTTTATTGACCTGTTCAGGGAATCAATTTCTTCCTGGTTCAGTCTTGGGACGGTGTATGTGTCCAGGAATGTGTTCAATTCTTTTAGGTTTTCTAGTTTGTGTGTATAGAGGTATTTGATAAAAAAGAATATCTGTCATTTGATGTATTTTTCCTCCAATTACAAGACCCCTAATGGTAGCTTAGAGTCTTCATTATTAGCTTTAAAGATGTCGAAAACAATTTCTCACTTGTCTGGGCAAAATAAATCACCATCTATAGCTCTTTTCAGGTCTTCCTTTTAGGAAGGGGTCAAGTCCTATGCTCTTTAACCTCTTCCCTGATGCGCCTATATGAAGAGTGGGGAGGCCTGGCTTGCCAACAGTTCTTGTGAAAAATAACAAGGCATCTTAAATGACCATAATTTTTGTGTGAGGCAGCAGTGTGTTGTGGTGGCCATAAATGCTGATACAGACTTAGGCTTTATCAATGAAAGATGTGAGGATATGGTTTTCTTACTGTGCCTTATGCATCTAGATCATGTCTAGCACACTGTATTCACTTTGAGGGACTGAGGCTTAAGCTGGGCATTGACAGTATAGGATACAGATGACTAGGACAGCAGTAGGTCAGGATGTCTGTCATTCATTAAATGGTTGAAAGGACTGAGGATGTTTTGCTTAGGAGGCATCCAAGGTGTATTAGTCCATTTTCATGCTGCTGATAAAGACTTACGTGAGATTGGGCAATTCACAAAAGAAGGAGGTTTAATGGACTTGCAGCTCCACATGGGTGGGAAGGCCTCACAATCAATGGCAGAAGGCGAGAAGGATCAAGTCACATCTTACATGGATGGGAGCAAGCCAAAAAAGAGAGCTTGTGCAGGGAAACTCCTTCTTATAAAACCACCAGTTCTCATGAGACTTATGAGAACAGCACAGAAAAGACCTGCCCCCATGATTCAGTTACCTCCCACTGGGTCTCTCCCACAACACACGGGAATTCAAGATGACATTTTGGTAGAGACACAGCCAAACTGTATCATCCCACCTCTGGCCCCTCCCAAATCTCATATCCTCACATTTCAAAACCAATCATGCCTTCCCAACCATCCCCCAAATTATTAACTCATTTCAGCATTAACTCAAAAGTCCACAGTCCAAAGTCTCATATGAGACAAGGCAAGTCCCTTCTGCCTATGAGCCTGTAAAATCAAAAGCAAGTTAGTTACTTCCTAGATACAATTGGGTAAATACACCCATTTCAAATGGGAGAAATTGGCCAAAACAAAGGGACTAAAGGCCCCTTGCAAGTTTGAAATCCAGCAGGGCAATCAAATCTTAAAGCTCAAAAATGATCTCTTTTGACTCCATGCCTCACATCCAGGTCATGCTGATACAAGAGGTGGGTTCCCATGGTCTTGGGTAGCTCTGCCCCTGTGGCTTTACAGGGTACAGCCTCCCTCCTGGCTGCTTTCATGGAATGGCATTGAGTTTCTGCAGATTTTTCCAGGTGCACAGTGCAAGCTGTCAGTGGATCTACCATTCTGGGGTCTGGAGGATGGTGGCCCTCTTCTCACAGCTCCACTAGGTGGTGCCTGAGTAGGGATTTTATGTAGGTGATCCGACCCCACATTTCCCTTCTGCACTGCAGTAGCAGAGGTTCTCTGTGAGGGCCCCACCCCCGTGGCAGACTTCTGCCTGGGCATCCAGGTGTTTCTATGCATCTTCTGAAATCTAGGCAGAGGTTCCCAAACCTCAGTTCTTGACTTCTTTGCACATGCAGGCTCCACATCATGTGGAAGCTACCAAGGCTTGGGGCTTCCACCTTCTGAAGTAACAGCCCAAGCTATACCTTGGCCCCTTTTAGTCATGGCTGGATGGCTGAGACACAGGGCACCAAGTCCCTACACTGCACACAGCAGAGGGACTCTGGGCCTGGCCCATGAAACCATTTTTTCCTCCTAAACTTCTGGGCCTATAATGGGAGGGCCTGTTGCAAAGGTCGCTGACATGCCCTGGAGAGATTTTCTCCATGGTCTTGGGGATTAACATTAGGCTCCTCATTACTTATGTAAGTTTCTGTAGCTGGCTTGAATTTCTCCTCAGAAAATGGGATTTTCTTTTCTATCACATTGTCAGGCTGCAAAATTTCCAAACTTTTATGCTCTGTTTTCTTTCTAAAACTGAATGCCTTTAACAGCACCCACGTCAGCTCTTGAATGGTTTGCTGCTCAGAAATTTCTTCTGTGAGATATTCTAAATCATCTCACTCAAGTTCAAAGTTCTGCACACCTCTAGGGTGGGGTAAAATGCCGTCATTCTCTTTGCTAAGACATAACAAGAGTCACCTTTGCCCCAGTTCCCAACAAGTTCCTCATCTCCATCTGAGACCACCTCAGCCTGGATTTCATTGTCCATAACGTTATCAGCATTTTGATCAAAGCTGTTCAACAAGTCTCTAGGGAGTTCCAAACTTTCCCACGTTTTCCTGTCTTCTTCTGAGCCCTCTAAACTGTTCCAGCCTCTGCCTGTTACCCAGTTCCAAAGTTGTTTCCACATTTTTGAGTATCTTTTCAGCAGCACCTTACACCCAGTACCAATTTACTATATTAGTCCATTTTCATGCTGCTGATAAAGACATACCTGAGACTGGGCAATTTATAAAAGAAGGAGGTTTAATGGACTTACAGTTCCACAAGGCTGGGAAGGTCTCACATTCATGGCAGAAGGCAAGGAGGAGCAAGTCACATCTTATGTGGATGGTGATGGTGGAAGGCAAGGAGGAGCAAGTCACATCTTATGTGGATGGTGGCAGGCAAAAAAAGGAGAGCTTGTGCAGGGAAACTCCTTCTTATAAAATCATCAGGTCTTGTGAAACTTATTCACTATCACGAGACCAGCATGGGAAAAGAGCTGCCCCCATGATTCAGTAATCTTCCACCAGGTCCCTTCCACAACATGTGGGAATCAAGATGAGATTTGAGCGGGGACACAGCCAAACCATATCACTAGGATAGCTGACAGGAATCTGCAAATGAAAGAGGTTGTAGATTCATTATGGTTCCAGATGGCACAACTATAGACCTTGGAAAAAAATGAGGTGGAGTTTCTCTTTGGATATATACACACACACACACACACATATACATACATATACACACATATAACTTATTTATCTGGCTTAATATGGATGAATATATTATATAATATATAATCTTGTATTAAGACTGAATATATTAATATATGAAAATATATATATATTGCAAATCCTCAAATAACGTCATTTTGTTCAGTATCATTTTGTTACCACTTTGATGAGAAAAAAAATCAATTCCCAGCTGGGGCCATTGTCTCTGTGGGGTCTGCACATTCTTACCATGCCTGTGTGGGTTTTCTCTGGATTCTCTGCTTTCCTCTCATATCTCAAAGATGTTCATGTTAGGTGAATTGATGTGTCTACGTGGTTCCAGTCTGAGTGAGTGTGGGTGTCTGGGAGTGTGCCCTGCAATGAGATAGTGTCCTGTCCAGATCTGGTTCCTGCCTTGGGCAAATAATTATCTTATTTGATTTTATTAATCTTTCCTAACTGTATGTATAGCTCACATTTATTTCAATGTTTAATATTAGAAGTATTTTGGTCTTTATTTAGAAGTTTGGTGATATTTCTGTGGCCAGAAATATGCCATAGGAACTTAACTCTTGTTTATATCAATTAGCCTAGAGTAAAATTGGTTTCATTATATCTTGTTTCACTTAAAGTTGCACTTTCTAAAAAGTTGCACTTTCTAAGAACTTATGGATGATAAGTGAGGACTTACTGTATATGAATGAATATATTACTATATGAATATATATGCATACATACACATATATACACATACTTGCACACACATGCACACACACACATATATATGTAGACTATATATATATATACACTACATATATATATATATATATGTAGTCTAGTAATGGATTAGACCTTAGAAGGGTCATTGAAGGTATTTAGGCTGAGGTTGGATGGATCTCTTCCAAGAGATAGTATAAACTGCATTTATTTTTGGATTCATTCATTCATTCATTCACTTCTTATGGAGCCCTTTCTATGTGCCACACACTGTTCTTAGTACTGTGGAGACAGATAAATACTGGGCAAGAGGTTGGATTAAAAAACTTTAAAGACCTCATTATATCTGTGGTCAAAAGAAGTTGCTTGATGCTTTGGGGTCCTTTACCTTAAGTGTAGAGCTCTGCTTGTGTATTACCCACTCTGTGTTTTAGATGCTCCTGTGTGTTCCCATCACATGTCTTCTGTGATGTGGAGTAGTATTTTATATCATTCTCTGAGTGGCTGTAGGCTTTAACATCATGTGTATGACAACATTTTATCTCCCTACCTTTTTTTTTTTTTTTTTTGAGACAAAGTCTTGCTCTGTCACCCAGGCTGGAGTGCAGTGGCACAATCTTAGCTCACTGCAATCTCCTCCTCCTGGGTACAAGTGAGTCTCCTGCCTCAGCCTCCTGAGTAGCTGGGATTACAGGTGCCCACCATCATGCCCGGCTAATTTTTGTATTTTTAGTAGAGATAGGGTTTCGCTATGTTGGCTAGGCTGGTCTTGAACTCCTGACCTCAAGTGATCTGCCCGTCTTGGCCTTCCAAAGTGCGGGGATTACAGGCATTAGCCACCATGCCCAGCCATCTCCCTACCTTTGAACAAAGTGGTTAAAGTTGAATGTGAAGTCAGCTTTTGATAGAATAATGTTGATTTTTCGTGGGAAACATTTAATTCCAGGCTAGGTAAATAGGTTTTTAAAGATTCAATATTTACCAGAAAGTATGAGAGAACACAGTGATTTTTAAATGTAAGGTGATATTATTTATTAACATTATTGGAAGTTCACTGCACTGAAAACAAAGTTAAGCTTTTATTTTTCTGAGGGAAGTTATAGTTTCTGCACACTAAAATACTGAAACTTCAGCTTCAATATTTGTAAATTGACTATATATCTGGACTACTGCTGTTTCATTCTGTAGAGATCAGATAGTACCAGAAAAAAGCAGAGGTGCCAAGAACAAAGTGTGCAGATTTGGAGGTGATATTGGGGTCTCTGTACATTATGTCCTGTCAAGTAAGGCCAGCTCTTCATTTGTTTCATGTCTAGGTTTGGAATTCACCCAGTTGCAGGCCGAATGCCTGGTCAGCTTAATGTGCTGCTGGCTGAGGCTGGTGTGCCATATGACATTGTGTTGGAAATGGATGAGATCAACCATGATTTTCCAGGTAAGTGGTGGGGGCAATTGTGAAGTTTAAATATTCTTACTATGAATAAAGCAGTGCAGGTGTGGGATATGAATTGTAGATTCAGTGAAGACTGACTAGTCAGATGAAAAAGAACTTGTACATGGTAGATAATAAGTTGAAATTAAATAAGTGAAATATAGTATTGAATAAGGTACAAAAGATTCGTAAACAGCACAGGTAAATTTTTCTCCTCCGTGAAGAACTGAAGGATGGTGAAAACCTTGGTGTGTAGTATAGAAATGTTGAAGACTGGGGATCTGGGCAGACCTGGCTTTTGAATCCAGATCCTGATTCTCAGTAGCTTGTTACCCAACCTCAGGCTCTTCATTTATGAGTGCTTCTGTTGATAATTTAGTGTCTGATTCTTGCCAGTCTCTGAGATTTTACTGGTTTTCAATTGTACTAACGTATGACTGGTGAAGTAATTTTCTCTTTCTTTTCTTTTTAAAAAGTACTAGAATTTCCCTAGATAAGGTGCTGTACGTTATAGCTGTCATAGGGTAGATGTTGAATGGTAATGACATTTGGCCCAAGCCTATGCTTGTTAAAATTAAACCACTTCCCTCTGGCAAATATCCACTGTAAACTTAAAAAAGGCTGTTTATTAGAAAAAGTATTGAAATTGTGTGTATGTCTAGATTCACATAGCATTTTTTTGGCAACAGTCTAAGGTAGTTTATATTGCAGTTCTTGAAGAGAAAACTTAGGCCATTTTAATTTTATGTCCCTTTTCAGATTCCACTGTTGTTAAATTATGTGTGACACCACCCAGTTCCAGGAATTATGGACATGGCTTTAATGCAGATTTTGAGACTCTCAAGGAGTTATCTTATTTTATTTTTATGTATTTTTTTAACTTTTATTGTAGATTCAGGGGTACATGTGCGGTTTGTTACCTGGTTATACTGTGGGATGCTGAGGGTTGGAGGTAGTGAGCATAGTACCCCACAGTTTTTCAACCCTTGCCCATATCCCTCACTCCCCATTCTGGTAGTCTCCAGGTTCTATTGTTGCCGTATTTATGTTCCTGAGTACCCAGTGTTTAGCTCCCACATATAAGTGAGAATGTGCAGTATTTGATTTTCTTTTCCTGTGTTAATTTGCTTAGGATAATGGCCTCCAGCTGTTTCCATGTTGCTGGAAAGGACACGATTTCCATCCTTTTTATGGCTGTGTAGTATTCCATGGCACATATGTACCATATTTTTTTTTATCCAGTGCACCATTGATGGACATCTAGGTTGATTCCATGTCTTTGCTATTGTGAATAGTGCTGTGATGAACATGCTAGTGAATGTGTCTTTGGTAGAAAGATTTGTTTTCTTTTGGATATGTACGCAGTAGTGGGATTGCTGGGTCAAGTAGGAGTTCTAAGTTCTTTGAAAAATCTCCAAATTGCTTTCCACACTGGCTGAACTAATTTACATTTCTACAAACAGCGTGTAAATGTTCCATTTTCTCCACAGCCTTGCCAGCGTCTGTTATTGTTTTGACTTTTTACTAATAGCTGTTCTGACTGGTGTGAGATAGTAATTTCATTGTGGTTTTGCTTTGCATTTCTCTTATGTTTAGTGATGTCGAACATTTCTTCATGTTTGTTGACCACTTGTATGTGTTCTTTTGAGAAATGTCTGTTCATGTCTTTTGCCCAGTTTTTAAATATTTTTTAAAATTTTTTTAAAATTTATTTTATTTTATTTTATTTGCTTGTTGAGTTGTTTAAGTTCCTTATAGATTCCGGATATTAGAACTCTGTCCAATGCATGCATAATTTGTGAATATTTTCTCTCATTCTGTAGCTTGTCTGTTTACTCTCTTGTTAGTTTCTTTTGCTAAGCAGAAGCTCTTTAGTTTAATTAGGTCTCACTTGTCAATTATTGCATTGTTGCATTTGCTTCTGAGGACTTAGTCATAAATTTTTCACAAGGCTGATGTCCAGAATGGTGTTTCCTAGGTTTTCTTCTTGGATTCTTATAGTTTGAGGTTTAAGTGGTCATTTTAAAGGTTGAAAGTGGAATGCAAATTTCATAAAATCATGTGACCCTATTGCAAGATCATTTTGAGATCATAAAAGTTATAGAGTCAGATTAGGTAGATTTATTGAGAAGGGAGAAGCATAATAATGCAGGCTGTAGTCAAGATAGTCAAGTTCAAATGCAAGACCTACTGCTTTTTAGCTGTGTGAAATTGGCCGAGTTGCTTAACCTCTCTGATAAAGTTCTTTGTAAAGTGCCTGGCACAAGTGCGAATCCTATATTTTTGTTATTGTTATTATAAAGTAAAGATCACTATAATTTGTCTGAAAATATGTAAAAGTGACCATTTGAGTTTTATATTCTTTCTTTTTTGTTTTATTATATAGATACTGATTTGGTCCTTGTAATTGGAGCTAATGACACTGTTAATTCAGCAGCTCAAGAAGATCCCAACTCTATTATTGCAGGCATGCCAGTCCTTGAGGTCTGGAAATCAAAGCAGGTAAAGTTTCAGACTTGTATTTCATTCTGATAATCAAAGGTCACTTCAAATATACACACAGAACTTTCTTTGATCATTTGATAAGAAATGATGATGCCTTCTAGGAGGCCAGGAGTAAGAGCATGTTTAGGGCCCAGTTTCCTATATCCAGCTTCTGTCTGTTCTCCGGCCACCAGAGAACCTGAGTGAATGCCCTAATCACAAGTAGAACCAGATGAGATTATGTGGGTGGATTAACACAATCTGTAACCACAGCTGAAAAAAGAGCTGTGAGCTTTTGTAATGAGTCTGGCTAAATTCCAGATCGAGTCCTGTGAAGCAGATGGCTTCCCTCTGGGAAGTATCAATCGCCTTCATATGCCAAGATGAGCATATTTTTTTCACTTAACTTTTTGAAAGGGAATTTATAAGTTGTTATAGAGTGTCTAGCAGAAAGGTGATTTGGAAATCCAAACAATAATGTGGCATAATGAAGCAAGCTTCGCTCATGTGTATTCCTCCTGAAAAAGCTAATTGCTAGATTTTAGATAACTCAAAGGCTTGTAAATTTTCCTCTGCCTCAGCAGTAGGCACATTTTACCACTACTGAGTCACCTCTGCATTTAAAAAATCATAACATAATGTACATTTCCATTTAATTTCGTTTCTTTTTATTGTAAATATTGGAGTTTAAAACTTAATATTTGTGATGAATGAGTAGACATAAAATATATTTGTTTATGTGTGTATGAAAAATTGTGTCAGTAGTCAATATTTGAGAATTTGTAGAGTGCATTACTATACTAACGCTATAAGAAGAAGAATACATTTGCACTGCTTCTGTTTTTTAATAGATTACATGTCCTAGTAGACCATAGAAAGACTTTTCATTTCATTAAGAAATGACTTGATATTCAGCAGGACAGCAACATCCATAACACATGTCATTGTAAATGTCTATAACATATCAATATTATAGATTGACTTACCTCTTCCATTTTGATTTATAGGAACATTCTGTTAGTTATAGCTCTGCTATTGTGAGAAGCTGGATTGCTCTTTGGGCTTTTGTTCTAGAACTTTCTGATATACTTTAAAGTCATAGAAAAGAATAACATTGTTTTCCCACTCAACCTCATCTGTTTTAGAATTTGTAGTGGAAACTTATGCACTAAACTTGTTTTCTTTAGCACATTCATAGAAAGATGCTTATTTTACTGACTAGAAAATGGTATACATGGTCTTTATAGAGAAGAAGCACTAAGAAGAAAATAATTGTAATCTTATCACTCAGAGATAAATTATTAACATGACTTTTTCTCTAATGGATATAAGAATAAGGGCACACTTAAGTATTAAAGTTAATACAATGTAAACATATGTTAAAAATATTTCTTGTGTATTTTTAAAGTCCCTGCACTAAAGAATTAGTAGTGGTACATGCCTTGTTCAAAGGTAGTGAAGAGCAATGTTTGTTTGCCTAACATGTCCTAGGTTGGTCTGTTAAATACACTCTCTCATTTAATCTCTGGTTCTCAGGTGATTGTTATGAAGAGGTCTTTGGGTGTTGGCTATGCTGCAGTGGACAATCCAATCTTCTACAAACCTAACACGGCCATGCTTCTAGGTGATGCCAAGAAAACATGTGACGCGCTCCAGGCGAAAGTTAGAGAATCCTATCAGAAGTAAATATTAAGGATCAAGCTGTTAGCTAATAATGCCACCTCTGCAGTTTTGGGAACAGGCAAATAAAGTATCAGTATACATGGTGATGTACATCTGTAGCAAAGCTCTTGGAGAAAATGAAGACTGAAGAAAGCAAAGCAAAAACTGTATAGAGAGATTTTTCAAAAGCAGTAATCCCTCAATTTTAAAAAAGGATTGAAAATTCTAAATGTCTTTCTGTGCATATTTTTTGTGTTAGGAATCAAAAGTATTTTATAAAAGGAGAAAGAACAGCCTCATTTTAGATGTAGTCCTGTTGGATTTTTTATGCCTCCTCAGTAACCAGAAATGTTTTAAAAAACTAAGTGTTTAGGATTTCAAGACAACATTATACATGGCTCTGAAATATCTGACACAATGTAAACATTGCAGGCACCTGCATTTTATGTTTTTTTTTTCAACAAATGTGACTAATTTGAAACTTTTATGAACTTCTGAGCTGTCCCCTTGCAATTCAACCGCAGTTTGAATTAATCATATCAAATCAGTTTTAATTTTTTAAATTGTACTTCAGAGTCTATATTTCAAGGGCACATTTTCTCACTACTATTTTAATACATTAAAGGACTAAATAATCTTTCAGAGATGCTGGAAACAAATCATTTGCTTTATATGTTTCATTAGAATACCAATGAAACATACAACTTGAAAATTAGTAATAGTATTTTTGAAGATCCCATTTCTAATTGGAGATCTCTTTAATTTCGATCAACTTATAATGTGTAGTACTATATTAAGTGCACTTGAGTGGAATTCAACATTTGACTAATAAAATGAGTTCATCATGTTGGCAAGTGATGTGGCAATTATCTCTGGTGACAAAAGAGTAAAATCAAATATTTCTGCCTGTTACAAATATCAAGGAAGACCTGCTACTATGAAATAGATGACATTAATCTGTCTTCACTGTTTATAATACGGATGGATTTTTTTTCAAATCAGTGTGTGTTTTGAGGTCTTATGTAATTGATGACATTTGAGAGAAATGGTGGCTTTTTTTAGCTACCTCTTTGTTCATTTAAGCACCAGTAAAGATCATGTCTTTTTATAGAAGTGTAGATTTTCTTTGTGACTTTGCTATCGTGCCTAAAGCTCTAAATATAGGTGAATGTGTGATGAATACTCAGATTATTTGTCTCTCTATATAATTAGTTTGGTACTAAGTTTCTCAAAAAATTATTAACACATGAAAGACAATCTCTAAACCAGAAAAAGAAGTAGTACAAATTTTGTTACTGTAATGCTCGCGTTTAGTGAGTTTAAAACACACAGTATCTTTTGGTTTTATAATCAGTTTCTATTTTGCTGTGCCTGAGATTAAGATCTGTGTATGTGTGTGTGTGTGTGTGTGCGTTTGTGTGTTAAAGCAGAAAAGACTTTTTTAAAAGTTTTAAGTGATAAATGCAATTTGTTAATTGATCTTAGATCACTAGTAAACTCAGGGCTGAATTATACCATGTATATTCTATTAGAAGAAAGTAAACACCATCTTTATTCCTGCCCTTTTTCTTCTCTCAAAGTAGTTGTAGTTATATCTAGAAAGAAGCAATTTTGATTTCTTGAAAAGGTAGTTCCTGCACTCAGTTTAAACTAAAAATAATCATACTTGGATTTTATTTATTTTTGTCATAGTAAAAATTTTAATTTATATATATTTTTATTTAGTATTATCTTATTCTTTGCTATTTGCCAATCCTTTGTCATCAATTGTGTTAAATGAATTGAAAATTCATGCCCTGTTCATTTTATTTTACTTTATTGGTTAGGATATTTAAAGGATTTTTGTATATATAATTTCTTAAATTAATATTCCAAAAGGTTAGTGGACTTAGATTATAAATTATGGCAAAAATCTAAAAACAACAAAAATGATTTTTATACATTCTATTTCATTATTCCTCTTTTTCCAATAAGTCATACAATTGGTAGATATGACTTATTTTATTTTTGTATTATTCACTATATCTTTATGATATTTAAGTATAAATAATTAAAAAAATTTATTGTACCTTATAGTCTGTCACCAAAAAAAAAAAATTATCTGTAGGTAGTGAAATGCTAATGTTGATTTGTCTTTAAGGGCTTGTTAACTATCCTTTATTTTCTCATTTGTCTTAAATTAGGAGTTTGTGTTTAAATTACTCATCTAAGCAAAAAATGTATATAAATCCCATTACTGGGTATATACCCAAAGGATTATAAATCATGCTGCTATAAAGACACATGCACACGTATGTTTATTGCAGCACTATTCACAATAGCAAAGACTTGGAACCAACCCAAATGTCCATCAATGATAGACTTGATTAAGAAAATGTGCACATATACACCATGGAATACTATGCAGCCATAAAAAAGGATGAGTTCATGTCCTTTGTAGGGACATGGATAAAGCTGGAAACCATCATTCTGAGCAAACTATTGCAAGGACAGAAAACCAAACACTGCATGTTCTCACTCATAGGTGGGAATTGAACAATGAGAACACTTGGACACAAGGTGGGGAACACCACACACCAGGGCCTGTCATGGGGTGGGGGGAGTGGGGAGGGATAGCATTAGGAGATATACCTAATGTAAATGATGAGTTAATGGGTGCAGCACACCAACATGGCACATGTATACATATGTAGCAAACCTGCACGTTGTGCACATGTACCCTAGAACTTAAAGTATAATTAAAAAAAAAAAGAAAACAGAAGCTATTTATAAAGAAGTTATTTGCTGAAATAAATGTGATCTTTCCCATTAAAAAAATAAAGAAATTTTGGGGTAAAAAAACACAATATATTGTATTCTTGAAAAATTCTAAGAGAGTGGATGTGAAGTGTTCTCACCACAAAAGTGATAACTAATTGAGGTAATGCACATATTAATTAGAAAGATTTTGTCATTCCACAATGTATATATACTTAAAAATATGTTATACACAATAAATACATACATTAAAAAATAAGTAAATGTATAAGTTTTTACACATTATATATATGTTTATATTGCTACTCATGTATCTATCTGGACAGTTTTCTGGCATGTAGACTATCATTTTATATTCTCTTTTTTTTCTAGGAATTAGAATAGAGAGGACTAATAGAGACTAATAGTCTCTTCGTGCAGTAGGCTTTTAACCCTTTACTGAGTCAGGAAATATCAGTTAAGTATTTGGTAATGAATTTGGAAAGTGAACCGTTGCCTTTCTGATTCTACCCAAGTCATGACCCTAACTTTTAGATTTTGCTATATTCTCGCATCCAACATAAATATAAAATATATTATATATCAGTAAACTTTAAGGTTTCATAAAATTTATCTGATCCCAAAGGTTGATTCTTTAAAAGTAGTAACTTGTGACTCATATGTTCATCTAACCTAGGGACAAATTTTTTAGTCCCCTAAGGCATAAGTCTTGTGAATTAAAGCATTTTAGTATTGGAAAGCTCTTTTGTGTAACTAGGCAGAATAGTTCAAATATCTAATTTATAGTTCACCAGTTTTTGAGAGCATTTGCCAACAAATATTATTCAGTGAGAATAGTAAACAACAACAACAACAAAAACTCAAAACCTTTCCCTCCAGTGGCAGCAGCTTGCATAATCCAGGTATTCTTTAGATTCTCAAAGGAAAGAAGAATTAGGTTAATTAACAAGGAGGAAAAAAATTTTTCTAAGTGAAACTTTTAAAGTGTTGTTTAGCAAAGTAGCAGAAATGGTCACATTTGGATTTTGAAGCACTCAGAGTTCTTGAACTTTTGTCTCTTAGAAGTTACATATTAGGTTGAGGAATTGAACTGTTTTCTTTATTATTTAAGTGATTAAAGGCATTTAGCATGGCATATGTGGTAATTCTGAATGAAAATCTTTTGGCTATTGGCAACAAAATGATGTGTATGATGAGAACAGTAATTAGAGCAACCAATATTTGAAACTCCTATATATAATGATTAAGATAGTGGTAGAAAAAAATAGTCCATGGGCCGGGCGCGGTGGCTCACGCCTGTAATCCCAGCACTTTGGGAGGCCGAGGCGGGTGGATCATGAGGTCAGGAGATCGAGACCATCCTGGCTAACAAGGTGAAACCCCGTCTCTACTAAAAATACAAAAAATTAGCCGGGCGCGGTGGCGGGCGCCTGTAGTCCCAGCTACTCGGGAGGCTGAGGCAGGAGAATGGCGTGAACCCGGGAAGCGGAGCTTGCAGTGAGCCGAGATTGCGCCACTGCAGTCCGCAGTCCGGCCTGGGCGACAGAGCGAGACTCCGTCTCAAAAAAAAAAAAAAAAAAAAAAAAAATAGTCCATGGAAGATAATTTATTTGGGGGAATAGTAGGGAATCCTAACAATGGTAGAGAAAGCTAAGAACTTTAAAAGTTCTTTAAAGCTAAAAACTTTAAAAGTTGAAACCCTAAATAGTGGGGAGATATTACATCACTGTCATGTTGATTGTCAAATCATGTGACTGCCTCATCATTCTGTAGGAAATATTTGTACTTCATATTTTGCCAAAGATTACTGCCTTGAGCTCTGCCTTCCAGTTCTTGCCAAAAGCATATTTACGAAGGATAACACTAGTGTAAAAATTGCCTAAAAGATATAGAGTCCAGTTTGTCCCTGGATATTTCATATTTTATCCATAGACAAAACCAGACTTTCAGAGAGCTGGACAGTTAGGCCACATTGTTTGGGTCACTGTGAAAAGCAGACATAAAGACATTGGAATGAAGAGAGTCAAAGTGATCTTGCTTGCCTAAGGTGACTATGAATTCAGAGGGGAGTCCACATGGCAGCAATAGGATAGTGGGGAGAAGAAGTGGTTGTCATGGACTTTGAGAAGAATTGAGGAAGGGGATGTGGATTTGGGGAAAGTAGGTGACCCTTAGGATGATGGTGGCTAGTTCTTTCCCCCCATAGAGAGAAGTGAAAAGGAAGTGGGAGCTCAGAGCAAGGAAGTTTGGGATGCGTAAGTTTCCCCTATGTAAAGATGGAATATGAAGATCTAATAAACTTTTTCTCACCCTCCTTCCTGTTGCATTTGGGAATATGAAAAATACAAAGTATCAGTGAGATATGATGTAGGGAATAATAAAAACCTTTGGAAAAGGACCATTTAGAAATTGAAATAAGGCCATTTTTTTCTATTCTCTTACTTCATTTTTGGTTTACTATGGGAAAAGCAGAACTCAGGAATGTCTACAGTCAGGGATAGAATTAGATTCCACCAGTGAAGTTTTGCACTTCATATTTTGCCAGTGATTACCACCTTGTGTTATGCTTTTCAGTGCCTTTCTGGAACTGAGTTTTTAAAAGCCAGTGAGTTATTGTCAGCCAGACTTGTCTTTTTTTTTTCCTCCCAGTTAGGGGGTGCACTTTTCACAAAAATACAGTGATTAACACTAATGGAGCAGGGTCCTGTGCCTGGTTAATTCTCTTTAGACTTTGATTCTAGTCCCCAGTTATACACATGGAGGCAGCAGCATCAGTGGGTTAGAACTGAAAGGTCATGTGTAAAACTCTCCAGAGAAAAGGGAGAATGTGACACTAAATCACCCCTTTGTGCTATGACAGGAGGGAGATAATTTCTTCCCCAGAGGGATGAAGCAGAATTTCATCCCTTTAGGATGTTTTGTCACTAGTCTGAGTTTAATGGAACACTGTGCTTCAGAAATCACTCCTTCTAGAAAGAGCCTTTTAAAGCTTTATTGACTCATGGAAAATTTTGTGTCCTTAAATTATAGCTAATGCTCTGGTTTTGTCCCATTGGGATATATATGGGCATGGAAGCTTACACCTAGTTCAGGTCCACATCCTTGTGTCTGATTGGGAGTAACTGCCCCATGAGCACTGGGTATAGCTATAGTAACTAGGAAATGTGTTTTTTTAAGGATTAGAATCACTATGGTAAATGAGACCAATAGAACATTCAAAGACTATAACACAAAAATCATATAGGTATACTATATGTGTAAGGATGTCAGAATATCTGTCCTGCCTGTGGTCCTTGTTGTAATGTGTCTTTCCCAGAATACTGTTTTGTACATGTTGCTCCAAAGGGTGGATTTTAGTGATGAACTCTTGATGAATATTTAGATGGTGGCATCGTTATGAAAAGTGTTACTGTTTTCTACAAAATGAATCACTTTTGGTTATGCTTACATTTCTAGAGTGTATCACCTCTTGATAAATTAAGCACAAAGGCATTTATATATAAAATATATATAAACACATATATAAAATATATATTATGTATGTATATATTATGTAAATAAATATACATATATAACCATGCAGGGTGGAGGAAGGGAAATGTATACTATATATGTTTCTCATTGTCTTCTGTTCAGGACTCATCTGGAATTTTATTCTGGCTCAATTTTTTTTCTTTTTTTAAGGTTATAGATAGAAAGACCTTGTTCCTTTATTTAAAGTGTTCAATGGGTGGATAATAGTAATAGCATCTACTAGTTAATGAGTACTCATTTTGTGCTAGGCAACATTCTATTAACAACCTATGGGTTTCAGTGCATCCTACAATAGCAAATGGCAGAGTTGGACTTAAACTGAAATCTGGCTGATGGCAAGGTCCACTTAACCATTCAGTTGACTTCTGTTAAAAAAAAGGGAAGCATGCAAGTCGTAAAAGGGAAAAAAAGCAGTTAAATTTCATCAAGAAGATGCCATTTATTTATAAAATGAGAGGAAGAGATGTTTCCAATTTCATAGAGAAAATAAGAGCATAATTATATGCCATTTTTACATAGAATTATGAAAGTTGCTGGTTATATAGTCATAATTTGCATTTCCACCCATTCTCTCTGTAAGCAGCTATTGCCATTTTTTTCTCATGCACAAAATCCTGTATCCTGAGAATGCATCTTCCTTAGGAGCAGAAAAGAGGCAGCTTTGGAGCAGATTCGCCACCTTTCTGGGTTTTGCTTTCCAGGACAGTACCGGCTCCGCCTCCTCGCTTGCTTTGACTTCTTGCACATTCTTACCTCACAGCTGGTCAGACAAAAGCTTTTTGCTGAGGATTTTCATTTCTCAAAGACTACAAACTCGATGTGCCAAAATATGACTTCGTTTTCCTATAAGTTAAGTGAATTCCTCTCTTGAGCCTCTATATTCTCTGTTGATGTAAATTTGACCTTAATTTGGCGTGTTTCCTTCTCGTTCTCCTACTGCTGGGGACACGTCTTCATTCAAAGGCAAAGTGGGTGGGGACCAAGGTAAATGACGTAACATCACAGTTTGGTGGAGTGAGTTGTGTCCTGGTCTTCATCCATCCTGTCTGGCATTCCTTAGATACCTATTGTCATAGTCATAGCTAGTCTTGGTTACTGATATCTTTGCACACTGACATCCTCTGATTCTTCTTTGGTCTAAATGAAATAGAAATTACAAGATGTTTAATGCAGCGTGGAATGGGAAGGAAGAAATGCATGAAGTAGAGGGTATGGTAATCTCAACAGATTCTGGCAAATTTCTCCTATGACTACAACTTATATTTGGGGTGAAATTTTAAAAAGCCTCTGTAGGAAAATAGAATATTAGTGCTATTTTCACAAGGAAAAGAGTAGGCATTCTATTCAAATAATTTATGAAGGAATTGATCTAAGCAAAAAAAAAAAAAAAGTTAAGGAGGTGCCATTTAATTCATCTCCTGAGACTAACTCAATTGCTTCAGAAATCTTTACTTTGAGAAATTTAGCGAGACAGCGAATTGTTTGGGGGAAGGAATAAAAAGTGCTGCCCTAGGAGGAATGAAAAGTGCGCTGTCATCTCATTCCTGTTAGTTTTTTTTCAGCAATGCTTTGGTATTAAATGTATAGCCAAAAGTTGAAAGGAACCATTAATTCATAGTTGGAACACATCTCAAAACAAACACAGAAAGGTCAAAACACAGCTCTTTTGGTAAGTATTCTTTTAGGAACACAAGTTAGCATTTGTAGCCCATCTACTTTTTTCATACTGATGTATTACTCAGGAAATCTTTTCAAAAAAGTGATTTCTATGTATGCTGTTAATTGTAATTTTTACTAGAGAAATTGGAGCACAAAACATCACAACCTTCCTGTAATTAACCTGTGGCAGATGGAAGTTCAAGAATTACATCTTCTGCCAATTAAGGATATTTTTCTTTAATTACAAGTACTTGGGCATTTCAGTAAATGTAATGGTTTATATTTTATGCATAAGGGTTTTGCTTCTGTGGAAAAATATTTTTTTCCCCATAGAAATGAAGTTGAGCAAAATGGAACAAAGAAGACAGATGTGTAAAATTGCCATGATTTAATATTTTTATACCACCATCTGAGCATAAAATTAGACTATACTACAGGGAGAGCATAGAACAATAGCATCATTGGTGTTTTTGATGGACTTGAGCCTGTGGGATGAGAGGGCTTGTTGAGGTGGGACACAGATTGAGAAAGGTGAAGTGGCTACTGGTACGCATGGGGACCTTTCATTTTCCATGAGATGGGGAGGAAAACTCCCTGGAAAGAAGAGAGACCAAACAACCATTTGTGAGATGGGGGTGAAACCCAAACTGTGATAGTTCTTTTCAATTCAAAATAGTGGTAGGGGATATCAAAGGGGAGAAGAATCAGAGAGACCATGAGCATGAGATTTTTGGAAGGGATGTGGAGTAAGGAGTTGCAATTCAAACTAGAAGAAGCTATAAAAGGAACTAATGGTAGCAGTAAATGATATTTTCTAGATTATAAGGAGATGTGAGAAATTGCTTGTTTTGAAATGTTTTGAATTCTGTTCCTTCCACTGCTGACTTGGTTTGGTCTCCCATCTGTAAAATATATAATCAGGTAGCAATGATGAGCCCTAACATTTGTTATGTGCCATGTGCCAGGTAACATACACACATGACATGGCACCTGTCTCAAGAAGCTTGCAGTATAATATGGGATACATATAAGACATTAAATTACAATTTGGTGCAAAAACCAAATGATTTACAAGTTATGGCAGTGGCTTATAGAGGAATGATTCTCACTGCCTGTGGCAAGAGGTGAAATCTGAGTAGGGGGTTCTGGGGAGTTTCTGCAGAGGAAGTGTTCTAGAAGATACAGAAGAGATGGTTAGAGAAGGAAGGAACAGGAATTTTAATTTTCTTTTCCTCCTCCTCTTCCTCCTTGTCTTCTTCCTCCTCTTCCTCCTTCTTCATCTTCTTTTTTTTTTTAGAGGTGGAGTCTCACTATATTTCTCAGGCTGGAGTCAAACTTCTGGGCTCAAGTGATCCTCCCACTTCAGCCTCAAGCCAGGTAGGACTACAGGCATGCACCACTGTTCCCAGTTAGGAACAGGAATTTTTAAATGGAGGAGAAAGCATGTGGAAATTCACCAAATCAAGAAATTTCAAAGAAAACAGTTATCTTCAAATACGTAATATAATGTAGATTTTTAAATTAATTGTTATTGTTTTAAATCAAATTCTTGTGCTAGAGAACTGTATCATTTTTCAGGTTATTGTGAGGGGGAGGCATGGGGCCATGACTCTTGGAATAGTCATTATTTTTTTAATTGACTTTCAAAAGTTATTTGAAGATTTTGGCATTGACCAATGTCCCTTTCCTTACGCAGTTCTCAAGCAAAACTAAAATAAAAACTAACACTCCCAGTATTTTTCAAAATCTATTTTTTACTCATTTGTTAGAGCATAAATGAAGAAGGCGTTCTCTGTTCTTTTTGTTAGAGAGGGCTCAACTTACCAAGAAAATATTGAGTCAGTTGAAACCAGGCATCAGCAATTCAGTAGTACCAGTTTCTCCATTTTCTTCTGATGCCTGGTGTCTTGTTTGCCCTCTAGCTTGATCGCAGATTAGTCTGTTAGACAAGAAGCAGCCCTGTTTCTGATGGATGGTGGGTATGGTTACGGTAGTTTTGGAATATATTTGGCTAAGCTGGAAGTATGTTTCCCAGAATTTCCTTCCTCTTTGATTTGAGGTTTGCCCCAGGAGTAGCCCCAAGAGAAATTGTATGAAATTTGGAAGACGAAGTGAAGCTGCTGCCATTTTGCTCTGAAGGTTTGTTCTGAGCACCAGGCATGACTGCTGCTCTGTGCACATTGTGCCTGATCTCTGGCCTCCCTTTTTGGCCTGGCGTGGCAGCTGGGACCACAGCTCCTCCTGCCCCTGCAGGATCTCTTTTTCAGCTTCTCTACGTCCTGGGAAAAGCTCATGTACAGCCCCATGGTGAAGGGCACCAGCTTCTGCAGGACATGTGTGTCACTGGATATGAGGGCAGTGAGAGACAGATGAGGGAGGGTTCTGTTTTTTCCTCACTCTCTTGACTTTGTGTCCATTGGCAGCCCTGCTCACACCAATCGTCACCTCTGGCCCACCACCAGAAACAGAGCCAAGAGAATTTCAGAGGCTTCTTCACCAGCATCCACAATTGTGGGAAGTCTAATTCCTAGTAAAATCTCTTCTTTTCCATCACACATAATGGTTCTGCTTCTCTGATTGAACCTTAACTGGTACAGTTCCCCTACAATACATCATGAATGCAAGTGTGGCTAATTTGTGCTTATTAATAGTGACGAGCAATTGGGTGGCATAAATCATTAAAATTACAGGTGATTAAAACGTGTTATTTAGTAATTTCAACCACTTCTTCTAACAAATATAAAAATTAGGTGACTTCTATTTCACTGCCTTTTATGAATTGAATGATGAATACAGTTAATGGTTCTCCTATGTAAATCATTGCTTTTTCCATAGGGGACAATTTAATACCGAGGGAACTTCCAACACTGGTAACATCTGTCTTCTTTGTGTCAGAGAGTGGAGATATGTGTGGAGACTGTTTACAAATGTGAGAAAAGGAGGAGGCTAAATATTTTTAGTGACACTTTTGGTGATAGTATGTGTACACATATATCATTTTCAAAAATCCAAAGAGCACTTATTCCTGCAAATGTGAATTAATCCTTTTCTTACTTTGAGCATGACCATATAACTTGCTTTGGTCCATAGGACATTAGCAAGAGAGTGCAAACCAAGACTTCATAAGTACTTGTGCATTGGAGCTTGGCTATCTAGAAAGTTCCCTTTCGGGAGCCAGTTACTATGTTGAAAAGATGCTTGGGCTGAATCATGAGAGGCAACATGGAGAGAGGCATGGGGAATTAGGAGACCCACCAGCTGAACCCTGCCAGAATTTCTGAGAAACAGAATTCTGAGAAATAATAAATTGTTGTTTGGGGGTGGTTTGTTATATGGCAATGGAAGACTGAAACAAGCTATAACAGCCTTCACAACAAACTTTCTTCTTTCTTTAAACAAACAAACTATGCATTAACTTAGTTCTGATTATTCCTTTTTAAACTCCTTCCCTAGTTTTCCTCTTATTGTCTCAACTTCGTCTTTTCTCATGGAGGTGTGGATGGCTGGTGCTATAAGCATTGTGAGTTGGGAGATACTGGCAAGCCCTGCTTACCAAGAATCTTTTCCTTATCAGCCTGTCCTGGTACTTGAAACTTCACCATTATATAAATAAGGAAAATTTTCTCCTAAACTAAAGAATTTTCATCTCCAAGAATAAATATGCAACTATCCCTGGACACATACACTATTCTTTGTCATTCACCATTGAGCCAGGATTAATTTGTAAGTTTGCTTTCCTGGGAAACAGCTAACTGAGAAGGAACAGAAAGACTTGCCCACACATTGACTTCTGATTGGTAGGCTCTTCCCCTTTTTCTCTATCCAAATAACTCCTGCTCTTTCTTCAGCTCTTTTTTTTTTTGGGAGACGGAGTCTCGCTCTGTCACCCAGGCTGGAGTGCAGTGGCAGTGGCGCGATCTCAGCTCACTGCAACCTCCACCGCCCAGGTTCAAGTGATTCTCCTGCCTCAGCCTCCCGAGTAGGGTTACCGCAGGCATGAACCACCATACCTGCCTAATTTTTATATTTTTAGTAGAGACGGGGTTTTGCCATGTTGCCCAGGCTGGTTTTGAACTCATGGCCTCAAGTGATCCATCTGCCTTGGCCTCCCAACGTGTTGGCATGAGCCACCATGCCTGGCCTGTTCCTTCAGCTTTTAACTCCCTGAACCCTGTGATTAGGTTAATTTTCCCATTATAGGCTCTGATAGTACCAAAAAACTCCTCTTTGAGCACTTATCGCAGTGGCAATTCAACCTTTTTTATGTGTAATTATATTTATATCTCCTAGAACTGTAAGCTCCAAAGGGTCAGAGACCTTGTCTGTTTTGACCACTGTAGTATTCCCAATTCTTCCCATATACGCTGACACACAGAATGTACTCAATATTTGTTAAATGAATGAGTGAATGAATGAACTGTGATTCTGAACAATTAAATTCTCTCTTTCTTTCTTTAGAAATTCTTGTGCCTGGACTTGGTTTTTTATTACTATTGGGGGCAAGAAAGCAGTCACTTGGCATTCTAAAAGCTCTATGAGATGTTTCAAGAGGAGGAAATTAAAGCTAAGTGTGCTATGCTTGAAATGAAGACTTATTAGACCAATGTAGGCTCCCTTACAATGCCTGACCCATTTCAGTTGTAGCCCATGAACAAAATCATTTCCAGAAGTGAGAAAACTAATAAGAGCTAACATGCCTTGTACTAGCAGGCATTGTAAAAACATCACTGGAGCGCCGTCAATATTATTCCTGTTTTTCCACACCATAATAATTTATAGCTTCCCTTTCTTTTATAATTAAATAATTTCAGACGTGTTAAGGAAGAACCATAATGGTTTAATACACTTTGCAGTTCTCTGATTTATCTTCACTGAAGCCTGTAATAATTAAACATAAAAATTATATACAGTGGGTTTATTAATATAAGAAAAAAGGAAGTGATGGAGCTTTAGATTTTCTTTTAATATTGCTATTCCACCTTTGAATGGGTTGAGCAAGAATAGCAATCATGTTTTAACCAATGTTTATCTTATGAATAGTATTTTTGTCATTTTCTGAGGGGTGTGTGTCAAAAGCTGCCACTTTTATTTCCCTAGGGATAATTGCTGCTTGTTCTTCAATTTAGAATATCTGGGGTAGTAATTGATCTGGAGAAGCACTTCTTAAAGTGCAATGCTAATTGCAGGAAAGAGAAAAATGGGTTCTGTGGTCACACAGGTTTGGGAAATGCTGCCTTAAATAAAATTAAATAGTGCTTTTTTTCTTTTGTCACAGGATTGATAATAATATGCTCTGTAAATCTCCAAAAGGAAGGTTATAATATACAGCATTTCCCATTGTCATCTGATCATTGAATTTTAAATTTAATTAAACACTTTTTTGGTTTGGTATGTTCTTTGACATTTAAATGTGTTCTCTCAGTTTAAATTTTGGGAGACTTAACCCTCAAAATGTTTGTGAGATATAAATAATCCTCTTCTTATGCATGTAGAGAGGTGTATACAGGCATAACTTGGAGATATTGCAGGTTCAGTTCTAGACCACCACAATAAAGTGAATATCACAATAAAATGAGTCACACAAATGTTTTGGTTTCCCAGTGCATATAAAAGTTATGTTGGTGGGAGGAGCCAAGATGGCCAAATAGGAACAGCTCCTGTCTACAGCTCCCAGCGTGAGCGACGCAGAAGACGGGTGATTTCTGCATTTCCATCTGAGGTACCGGGTTCATCTCACTTGGGAGTGCCAGACAGTGGGCGCAGGTCAGTGGGTGCGCGCACCGTGCGTGAGCCGAAGCAGGGCGAGGCATTGCCTCACTTGGGAAGCGCAAGGGGTCAGGGAGTTCCCTTTCCAAGTCAAAGAAAGGGGTGACAGACGCACTTGGAAAATCAGGTCACTCCCACCCGAATACTGCCCTTTTCCGACTGGCTTAAAAAATGGCGCACCACGAGATTATATCCCGCACCTGGCTTGGAGGGTCCTACGCCCATGGAGTCTCACTGATTGCTAGCACAGCAGTCTGAGATCAAACTGCAAGGCGGCAGCGAGGCTGGGGGAGGGGCGCCCACCATTGCCCAGGCTTGCTTAGGTAAACAAAGCAGCCGGGAAGCTCCAACTGGGTGGAGCCCACCACAGCTCAAGGAGGCCTGCCTGCCTCTGTAGGCTCCACCTCTGGGGGCAGGGCACAGACAAACAAAAAGACAGCAGTAACCTCTGCAGACTTAAATGTCCCTGTCTGACAGCTTTGAAGAGAGCAGTGGTTCTCCCAGCACGCAGCTGGAGATCTGAGAATGGGCAGACTGCCTCCTCAAGTGGGTCCCTGACCCCTGACCCCCGAGCAGCCTAACTGGGAGGCACCCCCCAGCAGGGGCACACTGACACCTCACACGGCAGGGTACTCCAACAGACCTGCAGCTGAGGGTCCTCTCTGTTAGAAGGAAAACTAACAAATGGAAAGGACATCCACACCAAAAACCCATCTGTACATCACCATCATCAAAGACCAAAAGTAGATAAAACCACAAAGATGGGGAAAAAACAGAGCAGAAAAACTGGAAACTCTAAAAAGCAGAGTGCCTCTCCTCCTCCAAAGGAATGCAGTTCCTCACCAGCAACAGAACAAAGCTGGATGGAGAATGACTTTGACGAGCTGAGAGAAGCAGGCTTCAGACGATCAAATTACTCTGAGCTACGGGAGGACATTCAAACCAAAGGCAAAAAAGTTGAAAACTTTGAAAAAAATTTAGAAGAATGTATAACTAGAATAACCAATACAGAGAAGTGCTTAAAGGAGCTGATGGAGCTGAAAACCAAGGCTCGAGAACTACGTGAAGAATGCAGAAGCCTCAGGAGCCGATGTGATCAACTGGAAGAAAGGGTATCAGCAATGGAAGATGAAATGAATGAAATGAAGCAAGAAGGGAAGGTTAGAGAAAAAAGAATAAAAAGAAATGAGCAAAGCCTCCAAGAAATATGGGACTATGTGAAAAGACCAAATCTACGTCTGATTGGTGTACCTGAAAGTGATGAGGAGAATGGAACCAAGTTGGAAAACACTCTGCAGGATATTATCCAGGAGAACTTCCCCAATCTAGCAAGGCAGGCCAACATTCAGATTCAGGAAATACAGAGAATGTCACAAAGATACTCCTCGAGAAGAGCAACTCCAAGACACATAATTGTCAGATTCACCAAAGTTGAAATGAAGGAAAAAATGTTAAGGGCAGCCAGAGAGAAAGGTCGGGTTACCCTCAAAGGGAAGCCCATCAGACTAACAGCGGATCTCTCGGCAGAAACCCTACAAGCCAGAAGAGAGTGGAGGCCAATATTCAACATTCTTAAAGAAAAGAATTTTCAACCCAGAATTTCATATGCAGCCAAACTAAGCTTCATAAGTGAAGGAGAAATAAAATACTTTATAGACAAGCAAATGCTGAGAGATTTTGTCACCACCAGGCCTGCCTTACAAGAGCTCCTGAAGGAAGCGCTAAACATGGAAAGGAACAACCGGTACCAGCCACTGCAAAATCATGCCAAAATGTAAAGACCATCGAGACTAGGAAGAAACTGCATCAATTAACCAGCAAAAGAACCAGCTAACATCATAATGACAGGATCAAATTCACACATAACAATATTAACATTAAATGTAAATGGACTAAATGCTCAATTAAAAGACACAGACTGGCAAATTGGATAAAGAGTCAAGACCCATCAGTGTGCTGTATTCAGGAAACCCATCTCACAGGCAGAGACACACATAGGCTCAAAATAAAAGGATGGAGGAAGATCTACCAAGCAAATGGAAAACAAAAAAAGGCAGGGGTTGCAATCCTAGTCTCTGATAAAACAGACTTTAAACCAACAAAGATCAAAAGAGACAAAGAAGGCCATTACATAATGATAAAGGGATCAATTCAACAAGAAGAGCTAACTATCCTAAATATATATGCACCCAATACAGGAGCACCCAGATTCATAAAGCAAGTCCTGAGTGACCTACAAAGAGACTTAGACTCCCACACATTAATAATGGGAGACTTTAACACCCCACTGTCAACATTAGACAGATCAACGAGACAGAAAGTCAAGAAGGATACCCAGGAATTGTACTCAGCTCTGCACCAAGCAGACCTAATAGACATCTACAGAACTCTCCACCCCAAATCAACAGAATATACATTTTTTTCAGCACCACACCACACCTATTCCAAAATTGACCACATACTTGGAAGTAAAGCTCTCCTCAGCAAATGTAAAAGAACAGAGATTATAACAAACTATCTCTCAGACCACAGTGCAATCAAACTAGAACTCAGGATTAAGAATCTCACTCAAAACCGCTCAACTACATGGAAACTGAACAACCTGCTCCTGAATGACTACTGGGTACATAACGAAATGAAGGCAGAAATAAAGATGTTCTTTGAAACCAATGAGAACAAAGACACAACATACCAGAATCTCTGGGACGCATTCAAAGCAGTGTGTAGAGGGAAATTGATAGCACTAAATGCCCACAAGAGAAAGCAGGAAAGATCCAAAATTGACACCCTAACATCACAATTAAAAGAACTAGAAAAGCAAGAGCAGACACATTCAAAAGCTAGGAGAAGGCAAGAAATAACTAAAATCAGAGCAGAATTGAAGGAAATAGAGAAACAAAAAACCCTTCAAAAAATTAATGAATCCAGAAGCTGTTTTTTTTTGAAAAGATCAACAAAATCGATAGACCACTAGCAAGACTAATAAAGAAGAAAAGAAGAATCAAATAGACGCAATAAAAAATGATAAAGGGGTATCACCACCGATCCCACAGAAATACAAACTATCATCAGAGAATACTACAAACACCTCTACGCAAATAAACTAGAACATCTAGAAGAAATGGATAAATTCCTCGACACATACACTCTCCCAAGACTAAACCAGGAAGAAGTTGAGTCTCTGAATAGACCAATAACAGGATCTGAAATTGAGGCAATAATCAATAGCTTACCAACCAAAAAGAGTCCAGGACCAGATGGATTCACAGCCGAATTCTACCAGAGTACAAGGAGGAGCTGGTACCATTCCTTCTGAAACTATTCCAATCAATAGAAAAAGAGGGAATCCTCCCTAACTCATTTTATGAGGCCAGCATCATTCTGATACCAAAGCCGTGCAGAGACACAACCAAAAAAGAGAATTTTAGACCAATATCCTTGATGAACATTGATGCAAAAATCCTCAATAAAATACTGGCAAACCGAATCCAGCAGCACATCAAAAAGCTTATCCACCATGATCAAGTGGGCTTCATCCCTGGGATGCAAGGCTGGTTCAATATATGCAAATCAATAAATGTAATCCAGCATATAAACAGAACCAAAGACAAAAACCACATGATTATCTCAATAGATGCAGAAAAAGCCTTTGACAAAATTCATCAACCCTTCATGCTAAAAACTCTCAATAAATTAGGTATTGATGGGACGTATTTCAAAATAATAAGAGCTATCTATGACAAACCCACAGCCAATATCATACTGAATGGGCAAAAACTGGAAGCATTCCCTTTGAAAACTGGCACAAGACAGGGATGCCCTCTCTCACCACTCCTATTCAACATAGTGTTGGAAGTTCTGACCAGGGCAATTCGGCAGGAGAAGGAAATAAAGGGTATTCAATTAGGAAAAGAGGAAGTCAAATTGTCCCTGTTTGCAGATGACATGATTGTTTATCTAGAAAACCCCATTGTCTCAGCCCAAAATCTCCTTAAGCTGATAAGCAATTTCAGCAAAGTCTCAGGATACAAAATCAATGTACAAAAATCACAAGCATTCTTATACACCAAGAACAGACAAACAGAGAGCCAAATCATGAGTGAACTCCCATTCACAATTGCTTCAAAGAGAATAAAATACCTAGGAATCCAACTTACAAGGGATGTGAAGGACCTCCTCAAGGAGAACTACAAACCACTCCTCAAGGAAATAAAGGAGGACACAAACAAATGGAAGAACATTCCATGCTCATGGGTAGGAAGAATCAATATTGTGAAAATGGCCATACTGCCCAAGGTAATTTATAGATTCAATGCCATCCCCATCAAGCTACCAATGACTTTCTTCACAGAATTGGAAACAACTACTTTAAAGTTCGTATGGAACCAAAAAAGAGCCCGCATTGCCAAGTCAATCCTAAGCCAAAAGAACAAAGCTGGAGGCATCATGCTACCTGACTTCAAACTATACTACAAGGCTACAGTAACCAAAACAGCATGGTACTGGTACCAAAACAGAGATATAGATCAATGGAACAGAACAGAGCCCTCAGAAATAATGCCACATATCTACAACCATCTGATCTTTGACAAACCTGAGAAAAACAAGCAATGGGGAAAGGATTCCCTATTTAATAAATGGTGCTGGGAAAACTGGCTAGCCATATGTAGAAAGCTGAAACTGGATCCCTTCCTTACACCTTATGCAAAAATCAATTCAAGATGGATTAAAGACTTACATGTTAGACCTAAAACCATAAAAACCCTAGAGGAAAACCTAGGCATTACCATTCAGGACATAGGCATGGGAAGGACTTCATGTCTACAACACCAAAAGCAATGGCAACAGAAGACAAAATTGACAAATGGGATCTAATTAAACTAAAGAGCTTCTGCACAGCAAAAGAAACTACCATCAGAGTGAACAGGCAACCTACAAAATGGGAGAAAATTTTTGCAACCTACTCATCTGACAAAGGGCTAATATCCAGAATCTACAATGAACTCAAACAAATTTACAAGAGAAAAACAAACAACCCCATCAAAAAGTGGGTGAAGGACATCAACAGACACTTCTCAAAAGAAGACATTTATGCAGCCAAAAAACACATGAAAAAATGCTCATCATCACTGGCCATCAGAGAAATGCAAATCAAAACCACAATGAGATACCATCTCACACCAGTTAGAATGGCAATCATTCAAAAGTCAGGAAACAACAGGTGCTGGAGAGGATGTGGAGAAATAGGAACACTTTTACACTGTTGGTGGGACTGTAAACTAGTTCAACCATTGTGGAAGTCAGTGTGGCGATTCCTCAGGGATCTAGAACTAGAAATGCCATTTGACCCAGCCATCCCATTACTGGGTATATACCCAAAGGACTATAAATCATGTTGCTATAAAGACACATGCACACGTATGTTTATTGTGGCATTATTCACAATAGCAAAGACTTGGAACCAACCCAAATGTCCAACAATGATAGACTGGATTAAGAAGATGTGGCACATATACACCATGGAATACTATGCAGCCATAAAAAATGATGAGTTCACGTCCTTTGCAGGGACATGGATGAAATTGGAAATCATCATTCTCAGTAAACTATCACAAGAACAAAAAACCAAACACCGCATATTCTCACTGATAGGTGGGAATTGAACAATGAGATCACATGGACACAGGAAGGGGAATATCACACTCTGGGGACTGTTATGGGGTGGGGGCAGGGGGAAGGGATAGCATTGGGAGATATACCTAATGCTCGATGACGAGTTAATGGGTGCAGCGCACCAGCATGGCACATGTATACATATGTAACTAACCTGCACAATGTGCACATGTTCCCTAAAACTTAAAGTATAATTAAAAAAAAATAAATTAAAAAAAAGTTATGTTTACACTAAACTATAGTCAACTAAGTGTGTAATAGCATTATGTCTTTAAAAATGTACATACCTTAATTAAAAATACTTAAATTGCTACAAAATGCAATTATCAGAGCCATAAATGAGTCATATATATATATAGTTTTTTGCTGGTGGAGGGTCTTGCCTTGATGTTAATGGCTCCTGACTGGTCAGGGTAGTGGTGGCTGAAGATTGAGGTGATTGTGACAATTTCTTAAAATAAGACAACAATGAAGTTTGCTGCATTGATGGACTCTTCCTTTTATGAAAGATTTCCCTGTAGTATGTGACGCTGTGTAATAGCATTTTACTCTCATAGAACCTCTTTTCAAATTGGTGTCTGAAACCCTGCTCTTTCTTCATCAACGAAGTTTACTCTAAATCCTTTGTTGTCATTTCAACAGTGTTTACAACATCTTCACCAGGAGTAGATTCCATCTCACTTTCTTTGCTCATCCATAAGAAGCAACTCCTTATATGTTAAAGTTTGATCATGATACTGCAGCAATTCAGTCTCATCTTCAGGCTCCACTTCTAACTCTAGTTCTCTTGCTATTTCCATCACATCTGCAGTTACTTCCTCCATTCTGCCTTGAACCCCTCAAAGTCATCCTTTAGGGTTATAATCAACTTCTTCCAAACTCCTGTTAATATTGATATTTTGACCTCTTCTCATGAATCATGAATGTCCTTAATGGTATCTAGAATGGTGAATCCTTCCCAGAAGCTTTTCAATTGACTTTGCCCAGATCCATCAGAGAAATTACTATCTATGGTAGCTATGGTCTTACAAAATGTGTTTCTTAAATAATAAGATTTGGAAGTCAAAATTACTTCCTGACTCATGGGCTGCAGAATGACTCTTGTGTTAGCAGGCATGAAATAACATTAATCTGCTTGCACATCTCCAGCAGAGCCCTTGGATAAGTAGGTGCATTGTCAATAAGCAGTAATAGTTTGAAAGAAATCTATTTTTCTGAGCAGTAGTTTTCAACAGTGGGCTTAAAATATTCAGTAAACCATGCTGTAAACAGACGCACTGTCATCCAGGTTCTGCGGTTTCATTTCTAGAGCACAGGAAGAGTAGGTTTAGCATAATTCTTAAGGGCTCTAGAATTTTCAGAATGGTAAATGAGCATTGGCATAAACTTTAAGTCACCACCTGCATTAGCCTCTCACAAGAGAGTCAGCCTGTCCTTTGACGCTTTGAAACCAGATATTGATTTCTCCTCTCTAGTTACAAAATTCCTGGATGTCATCTTCTTCCAGTAGAAGGCTGTTGCATTTATATTGAAAATCTTTTGTTTAGCGCGATCACCTCCTTCAATTATCTTAGCTAAATCTTCTGGATAACTTGCTGCACTTTCTACAACAGCACTTGATGCTTTACCTTGCACTTTTATGTTACAGAGATGGCTTCTTTCCTTAAACTTCATGAGCCAATCTCTGCTAGCTTTCTACTTTTCTTCTGTAGCTGCTTCCTCACCTCTCTCAGCCTTCAGAGAATTGAAGAGAGTTAAGCCTTGCTCTGGATTAGGTTTGGCTTAATGAAAGGTTGTGGCTGGTTTGATCGTCTCTCCAGGCCACTCAAGTTTTCTCCATATCAGCCATAAGCCTGTTTCACTTTCTTATCATTCACGTGTTCACTGGAGTAGCACTTTTAATTTTTTTCAAGAACTTTTCCTTTGCATTTACAACTTGGTTAACTGGCACAAAAAGCATAGCTTTCAGCCTGTCTTGGCCTTCAAGATGCCTTCCTCACTTAGCTTAATCATTTCTATCTCTTTACTTAATGTGAGAGATGTGCAACTCTTCCTTTTACTTGAAAACTTAAGAGGCCATTATAGGGTTATTAATTGTCCTAATTTTAATATTATTGTGTCTTAGGTAATAGGGAGGGCCTGAGGAGAAGGCGAGAGATTGGGGAATGGCTGGTTGATGGAGCAGTCAGAACACACACAACATTTATCAATCCCAAAACGATTACAATAGTAACATTAAAATCACTGATCACAGATCACCATAACAAATATAAAAATAATATAAAAGTCTGAAATATTATGTGAATTACCAAAATGTGACACAAAGACACAAAGTGAGCACATGCTGTTGGAAAAATGATGCTGACAGACTTGCTGAATGCAGGGTTGCTACAAACTTTCAATTTGTAAAAAAGCACAATATCTGCAAAATGCCTTAAAGCACAATAAAATGACTTATGCCTGTTTATCATCAGTTTCCTGGTGACATGGTATTTCTCTCCTGTTTTTTTCCCATAGCCACGGCCCTATTATGCTCCTGTTCCTCTTTCTATAAGGATGCTAATTACAATAGCTAACATTTGTTTAACACTGATTAAGTACCAACCACTGTCCTAAAGACTTTCAATATACTAACTTATTAATTACAGCAGAACAATCCTTTGAGTAGCTATCCCATTTTATAGATGTGGAAGCTCAGGGCCCAATTAATTAAGTAGGTGGTGGCATCAGGATTTGAATCTGGGCTGTCTGGCTCCACTCTGAACCACAACACTTTGCTGTCATAGAACTGATTTGCCAACTAACATTTAGAAAACAACTTCTTAGTAAGTTGAAACTATTTGTAATTTTTGAACTCTTTGTGATACTAAACAAAGAAGCAAAGAAATATAGTAATTGTACCAATTTGACATTTGCTTAACTTCATGCATGTGTTTGGTAGAGTCAATTTTTCAGAAAGATTTTTTCACCCTTTACAAATACAGAATCAGTTGTTTTGGTGTGGTGCCATGAGAAGGATCATGTGCTTCACTCCCAGGGTCTGTAGTACTCCTTTTTATGGGCAGGCTGCTCTTGAGTAGTTTTCCCTGTCTTTCTTCCCTCTCTTTTCCTTTCTCTCTCTCCCTCTCTCTCTCTCTTCTTCTCCCTCTCTTTTTCATGGTATAGCTGTAGTCCTCATTATCTACCTAAGCATACATATCCACATAACAAGCTACAAATTATTCAACTAGAAAACCATATTGTGGTTCGGTGTTAACTATTACTCTTTCCTTATTCAAAAATTATGAAGCTTGTAGTCTAGCCTGGTTTGGGCAGAATTTCTGTCCTCCTTTTACTTCTAGTGCTCCTCTTTTTATTGTCTGGGTTCTTCATCATCTTCTGACTCTTTTCTCTGTTCCATTCTGGCCCATGTTTCCTATACAGGTTGTTTCTTTATGGTAGAGCTGATAGGCAGAAAATTTTCTGTCTGCTGTTGCTCACAGTTTAGATTCCTCTTTTCTTTTTACTACTCCAATAATTCTGCTAAACCATATTCTAGTTCCTTTGTATCACCCAGAGTTGGTCTTTCTGATATGCTTATCTTAAAAAAAATTAAAATAAAATATAAAAATTACTGATTATTAGAGACAGCACAGCTGAAGCTGGATAATAATCTAGGAATACTAAGCATGTAGTTTTTGAATTTTAATTGTTTTACTCTAAATTGCATAAAATTTCAAAGTTTTTTTAAAAAAACAAGAGTACTTAACATTAATCTAATATTAGCTTATCTTCTCTATCTAAAAGTTATTTTCTTCCCTTTACCAATCAAAGCCCTCTAATGGGTACTTTTGCTCACATTCTGTTTGCTCCTTAAAAATTTTTTTTTTGGTCCCTACCTTAATTATTTAACTGAAATCACTTTGGAAAGTAAACAATAACCTCATCACCAAATACATATCTCAAATGCATTTTCTTGCACATTTCTGTAACATTTGACACCACTGACAGACTATTCTGGGCATCTCCTCTCTAAGCTACTAATTCTTTAATTAATACAGTCTATGATAACATGAACTCTTTTGACACTTCTTTTTCTTACAATGAACTTAACTAAAACCCTTCATCTTTTTCTACACATGCTGCTGATGTGAATCCATTTCTCTCCCATTTACACATGTAGTTTTTTTTTTTTTTTAACTTGACTCATTTGAGCCCATTTTCTATCCTCTGAGATCAGGTTTCTGATTCTGTTTCATCCAATGTGTTGACTGTTCCTTCTAATTTTGTGTCACCTGCAAATACAGCATCAATTTTCTCACTGGATTCACTGAGGGAAAAAAGATGTCATCATTTTGTAGGGCTTAGGCTAAAACTGGGCAACATGCATTCCAAGCTCTTCTCCAAGGCTGACTCTGATCTGTTAATCTGGGTACTTTAGGTAGAAACAACTGTGTATATTGAACTCATATTTCTTCACTTTTTGTCCAGAAAAATATCTTAGAAGCTTTGTCAAATATCTTCTAAAAGCACACAAAAATAAGAAACTGACTAACGTAATAAATACACAAACCCAGAAATGAGTTAGTTCTGGTAGGACTTGTTTTCTATGAACTAATTCTGATCCATACTCAACATGGTTCCCTTTAAAAATTCTCATAGTCTAAGATTTTAATAATTTGTTCTGGAATGTAGCTGAAGATGATTAACAGTCCAGTCCATCATTTGCACTATCCACTTCTTGCCATTTTTGGTCAGGAATATATTTGTAACACTTGTAACACTTTTCTAGTTTGTCTTGATTCTTTAAAGATGGCTGACTACAGATTCCGTCAGCTCAAAGCATGCTCTGGAATTATGCTTGGAAATAGCATGTGAAAGTTTCATTTGAACGCAATTTAGAGGAGTTATGAGGTCCTTTGTAAGGGTCTTTTTTCCATCTAAGTTTCACTCTCTTTTACAGGAAACAGAGGAAAATGGGATTTGAGATCAACTTTCTCTCTGCTACTTACTATGACATCATCTACCATACTCCAAAGATGTGCACATCTCCTGCTCTCATTTTTCGCTAAATATGATTTTAAGGGCGAAGTTTATTGTTTTTTTCCACAGCCTTGAGCTCCCTTTGTGCTTTTGCTTTTTTTGACATTATTCTTAAGCCTCTTTGCCACTTTTTTATATGGTTCTTGGTTATTAATCCTTTTGTCATCATTGTTCACTTCATCTTAAGGTTTGAGATACTAGAAATGCTGCACACTGTCTCTCTTGCATAAAACATATCTATAGACATCAAGTAAGTTTTTTTTTAAAATTAGAGTAAAAACCTAAAAACATCTTCAATGCAATTTGAATGCAGAATTCTTTTAGTTTTTATGATTTTCCTCAAATCTTTTATAGTTGTTTCACTCCAACCTGATTTGACAATAGTACTTAAACTTATATTTTATTGGTTGATGTATTATTTAATTAAATTGTGTAATTAATATTGTGTGACTGCAAGTAAATCTTGCATGAACATGTTTGGAAACAAAACCCAGTTGCCTCTTGTTAAGCATACAATTAGCTGGTAGCAACAGAAGTCCACGAGCATTTTAGAGTAGCCTACTAGCCCAAAGCATTCAGTATACAGTGGGAATTAATCAATATATTTTACAGATGCAATGAAGAGCTTCAGTTAATGTAGTGAGTTGGTTAAGTGGAGGCTGGCTAAAAGAGTTTCTGCTGTATAATAAGATGTGCTTCTTGATCTACAATAAATTGCAAAATAGTAGCCAATTCTATCTGAATTGATTAATTCTACTATACACTATACACTATCATAATACCTGTAATACTTTATTTCCCTAACATCTAAATCTACTAAACTGTGAACTTCTTGAGGGCAAGTGTTGTCCTCAATAGATGGTTTGGTGAATATATTTTTAAAAACATAGCACGAGAAATGAAAAGGAAAAGGGAGAGAGCAAAGGGTGGGCTGATACAGAACAATAAATTTCAAAAACAATTCTGCAATATTGGTACCATAAAATTTATCACTTAAATGCTATCTGATAACTCATAGTCCCTGGTAGTGGGAAGGCCAATAGGGGTTGGAAATAGAAAGCAAGCTAGTTCTCAATATCTGCAAATTCAAAACAATAACAACTTTTGAATGCAAATTTTAGCCCTGTCTATAACGTTTCATTGAACACATCTCATTCTGTTTTAGAACAATGAAAAAATGGTATTGTATTGGGCTTTGTTAATACAAAGTAAATAGTGATTCCCATGAGAAACTATTCTGTAATTATTCTGTTTTTTCACTAGATGGTGCTTGTGAGCCAATGAGAAGAAAAATATTTGAGTTTATGGTTTATTCACTTAAGGGGAAATGAGAAATTTGTGAATTAAATAGAAAAAGACAATGAAAAATTAGAACACTTTAAGACAGACCTTTATAGTTAAGTTAAACTACTTGGAGAAAACCTCATATTACTTTCTGGTAACAATGTTAAACTCTTGGAAGAAAAAAATACTCATTCTCATTAAGACGATTACAATCACCAAATTCTGAAAGTTTTGTGGGCTGACTGTACAATCCTAATGAATTAAAAGATTTTCTTTACTCTCCTTAAAATACAACATTACCTTTGGTTGGGGGCAAAATCATTTAAATTGTTACCATGATGAGATTATAGCTTCATTACCTAATGTTATCTTGTGAAATGGGTTGTTGTCTAGATTTCTAATGCTGTCTGATAGGCAATATTCCTTTACTTTTATTCAGGGACATCAAAGAGTAGAGGTTAAAAGGAAAGTCTCTGGAGTCATACTACCTGGGTTTAAACCCCAGATCTGCCACTTACTAGCTGTGTAATCTTGGCAGTTCACCTCCCTAACCTTCCTTTCCCTCATCTTACAAAATGCAGTTGTCATAATTTCTACCTCATAAGATTGTTGTGAGTTAATACATGTAAAAGACTTAGAACTGTGCTTGGCACATTAGTAGGTATTTAAAAAATGTTAGCGATCATAACATTTTTCATGTTTCACTTACAGTGAAAACTGATTTATTGCAGCTCACAAAACAATCAGTGGTAATACTAATTTAATTTTGTGCTTCTTTCCTTCCTTTCTCTTATTCTAGTATTCTAACCTATTATTATTCTCCCTCTAGATATGAAACTGACTTATATTTTACTAAGTGTATCTTTCATTAGAAGTAATCATGTTCTAATCGTGGACTTTGGGATAGCTTAACTTCAGCATTCCAGGAAGAAAGGGGTTTGTTTTCACAATATAATTCCTGGGACTGAGCTACTGCAGTGACCACTAGGAAACTTCTGCCAGTGGAACAACTTCTCCTCCTCCCTCTCCCCCTCCCCCTCCCTCTCTCTTCTTCTTCTTCTTCTTCCTCTTCCTCTTCTTCTTCTTCCTCTTCCTGTTCCTCTTCCTCTTCTTCTTCTTCTTCTTCTTCTTCTTCTTCTTCTTCTTCTTCTTCTTCTTCTTCCTTCCTCTTCTTCTTCTTTCTTCTTCTTCTTCCTTTTTTATTGAGACACAGTCTTGCTCTGTCTTCTAATCTGGAATGCAGTGGAGTAATCATAGCTCACCGTAACCTCAAACTCCTAGGCTCCAGCGATCCTCATGCATCAGCCTCCTGAATAGCTAGGACTACAGGCACGAGCCACTATGCCTAGCTAATTTTTAAATATTTTTGTAGAGATGGGGTCTCACTATGTTGACCAATTCCTGGCATCAAGCAATTCTCCTGCCTCAGCCTCCCAAAGTATTGGGATTACAGGCATGAGCCACTGTACCTGGCACTGAGTGGAACTTCTGTTGCTGACAGATTTCTGACAATGATTGATCAGTAGCACAGCAGAGAAAGAAAAATATAAGAGGAACAGATTATTCAAAAGAAATGTCCTTTCTTCTAAAAGTGGTGGTGGTAATATGGGTGTGAGAAAGAACACAGAAGGACAAACATTTGAATAGATATATCAAAACTAAACAAATGTTATGTTTACATTGGGGAAGAATTATGAACACATTCATCAGTCAGTTTTTTTTATAGTTCTATTTTTAGTGTATATGAACCCCTGCACTCCAATTCACAGTTATCGACATGTGATATGATTGAGAAGACCTGTGTTCTTTCCTCTCAAATATAGGAGATGATATATGAAAATTAAATAAATGATTTTTTTCATGGACACCAAAGGCAGCCAGCATATACCAAAGGCTTACTCTGTGCTTGGTGTGGAGATAGGAATTCTACCTGAATTATCACAGTTAATCCTCACTACAGCTCCACAGTGTAGCTAGTATTAGCATCCCCGTTCTAGAGTTGAGGAGATTGGGGTCTGGAGAGTTTAATAACTTTTCCTCAAAGACGCAGTCAGTGAATGGAGGAGCTAATACTGAAACCCAATTCTGCCTCACTCCAGACCCAGCATTTAGTTGTTCTTTTCAGATGTCAGTTCAAACAAAAACATTGAGTTGATTCTGGAAGTATAGGCAGTGCCTTAAATGACACATTTCTTAATTGGTCTTTCCTGTTGAGACATTAACTTGTCAACTAGGGTATTATCCTTCATTGGTTCCCTGCATACCTCGATAAAGAATCAAATTGTCCTTCATAATTTGAAGATGATACCATCGCATATGAGCCTGTGGCTGAGAAAAACCAGCCTCTGACAAGCAATTCTTTCCACGTCTATATACATGCAGATTGCTCTTTGGTTTGTGGCTCAACCCTTGCTTCTGTATTTTGTTCTGCCAAAGCGTGGTTAGCTGAAGCTTAGTTTGAAGAAAGCTATACTGTCATGGATCCTATATATTCACCAGGGCATCCTCTGTTCTTGTTCTTAGCCATTTCTAGCTTTGTCACCTGCTGGATTGCAGAATCTTCAGAGATCTTTTGGCCTCACAGGATTTATATGGGAGAAATGTTTAGTGTGATATGGTCCATTTTTAATACATGCCTGGTTCATTAGACATGAGTTGTATGAATCACTCTTTCAAGACTAGTGACTGAGTGAACTGCTGGCTTTCATGGTTGGTTATTGGGTCTTGCGATTTACTGTTCTCACGTCTGAGTTGATTTTTTATGGGACAGGAGATGGTGCCTATGTGTTAGAGTTACAGGGGAGTTTGGTCACTCATGCTTCCTGTTTTATAAACTTATCTTTGGTCAGATGCTTGACTCCCCTTTCAGGGCCCACCAGTTTGTAATTCTTATCTAATCATCCTATGACCAATTGTATAAGTAGAAGAGTAAGTGGTGGCTGGGATTAGGGGGTGCAGTCAATGACAAGCAGGTCATGATGTCTTAGCATTCACCATAGCAGAAAGCAGCTGCAGTAAGCTCATCTCCTGTGCACAGCATCATTCCTCCTCCTCCTCCTCCCACCACTTTTTCCTTCTCCTTACTTCGTCCTCCTCCTCCTCCTCTTTCCGCATAACATTTATTCACTGTATACTATAAGTTAGGGTTTTACAACTTCAGAACTGTTAATATTTTGGTCCAGAAATTCTTTGTGTGAAGGATGTCCTGTGGATGATAGGATATTAAGAACATCCTTGACTTTTACCTACTAGATAACAGTAGCAGCCTCCCCACCTCCCCAGTCATGATAACAAAAAATGTCTCCAGACATTACTAAAAGTCCCTTGGGGGCAAAATTACCCCCTGGTTGAGAATCACTGGTCTAAGGGAATTATATGATTTAATCTTCATAATAAATCTATGAAATAAGTAGAAGCAGTTACTATTTCCAATTTTACAGGTAGAGAAATGGAGGTATATAATGTTTAGGAATTTGTCCAGGATCGTACAAAGAGTAATTTCCGAAGCAGAAATAATAGCGCAAATCTAACTTCAGAACTGGATATGATACCTATATGCCATACTCACTACTACTACATGGTTGTTGGGTTCTCTGATTTATCTAGGAACTGTATCTTCTCATAATCTACTGTTCAAATTGAAATTATGTCATTCCAGACTTTAACTAGTTTAAATTACTAAATGGATGACATTTTTTATGATTCTACATCTTTGCAATTCCTTTGGTGTAGATTTACTTTGCTCCCTCTCTCCATCTAGGGAAAGCAAATTAATCCTTACAGTCCGACAAATATTGTCACCTCTTCTATGATACTAGACCTGGCCACCACTCATGTACCTACCCACTCCCATTCCAACAAGTTGCCACAGTATTTTGTATTTATAGGTAGAACATGGATATAACAGTAAGTGAGCTTGAAAAACACATACTATATCAGGTTAGAGATTTTGAAAATTACTTTAAAGAGACCAAATAGGTCCCTGGTTTAAAAGATGCCTGGATATCCTCTTCATCCTACTTAGATCTTGACCCTGTACCTGGTCACACATCTGTATGGACACACTGTAGTGTCTAGATAGTAGTACTAATATGAACATCCTCCTTCCCTCACTTGCGCTGAACTGTGGTACTCTCTGCCTGGCCACACTGCCTTGGGAAGGTCTTCCTCTTCCTGCCTGGGCTTTTGTGTTTCATGGTCCATCCCTTATATCCCTTATTCATCTTGTATAGACCACTCCGTGGTTGGACTCCTCATGTCAGACTATCCTATTGCATGAATATCCTTCTCACCATATTTGGGCTCTGATACCCCATGCTGAATTTCTCTCCCACACTGATCCCCTCTTAACCCTGCTTGGACTGTGATTCTTATCCTGGACGACCCTTCTCTATGGATGCCCTCCTCACCCCAGTCTGCCTCCCCTCAATAAAGCTCTGAATCTTCATGCTCTATATAAGAGACAATAGTTCAGGGGAGAGGTTGGGACTGAAGAGTGTGAAAGTATAGATGGAATTTATAGACGAGCTCACCTAGGAGAGAGCAGAAGAGGTCTTAGTACTTCTACGTTTATAGTTTTAGAAGATAAGGAAAAAACAGTGAAGGAGACTGAATAAGCAGCCCCTGAGGTAGAAAAAGAACTGAGAGAGTGGTGCCTCATAAGCCAAGGGAGGAAAGCGTTTTAAGAAGAAAATGTTATTGACTCAGTAGAGAGAAAAATTCGTGATGGTGGAAGAGAGTAGGAGTAACGGCAGAAGCAATGCCCTTGACTAAATGAGAGCAGATGGGAACCATTTACAAGTGGAGGAGTTGGCCCCCAATAGGATCTTGGGTGGTTCACCATTTTGAACTGGCAGGATGGCAGGATATATAGAGTGGCAGTTGTGGTGGAGAAAACAGGATGTAGAAGTTACTCTTCTGAAGGGTTCTATTTTTTGGTGAAATTGGAACAAAGGCCAGAGCTGAGAGCAAGGAGGCAGAAGAGGTGTTTATCATTTGAAGTGAGATGTGTGAAATAGATTTTTAGGAGAGTAGGACAGTAGGGAAGTGAGAATTGCCAGGCAGTATCAAGAGCATTTTTTTATTTTAATTTTTTTTTTTAGCTTACTAGAAATAAGTGTAAAGTGAGATCTGTTGCATGGTGGTTTGCTTTTCTCCAACAACATTGAGTTGTTCAGGCTATGCACAGGGTAGACAGTTGCATTTAAGTAGAATTGGAGTCTCACCCAGAATTTATGAAAGGAGCAAGGAAATTGAGAGCATATGTAAAAAAGCGAATTTAATGATGAGTCTTGGAATTGAAGTTGGGTAATGAAGGAAAAGAAGACAGGAGTAGGGTGAGAGACAGTGTAAAAGTGATAGAGTCTGTAGACTGGAGGTCCTGTATTGGTCAAAAAATTGTTGATAGGGTATTGGATGGGGTGCATAAGAATCACTTGAGATGTTGATTGGAGAAGGGAATGGTGGAAAATTAAGATAATGGAGGTGTTGCAATGATTCGTTATGCTATTCCTCTTGCTTGGAAAGCCTCCTCAATACCTTTCATTTGGTAGTGCTTACTTATCCTTTTGGATTTAGCCTCTCCTGTCCTCTCTTACTTTGGTTTACATGCTGTTTTTATATGCTCCTAGTACGATTAGTGTGTACATTTATTACAGCAACTTTCACAGTTTCTTATAAAATTTTAATGTATTTATTTGTTTTCCTAGCTTTATTTATTTTTGTTTTGAGAGACAGGCTTTTGTCTAATTTATCTTTAGGTTCCCAATGATCAGCATAGTGCCTGACATGTATTAGGTGTTTAATAACTTTTTGGTGAAAAAAGTGAATGAATGACAACAGCCTAATTGAATTCATAACAACCTAAATCTACAGAGTTGGGGACTATGGATTATGAGACTCATTTTGTTTATCTTCCTTCTTTGTGGATCTTCCTAGTTCAGACATATTTGAAACTTACATCTTTGGGTGTCTGTCCTTAGGATAATCAGGACTTGCCTTTTCTCTTTTGTCCAGGACTTGCCTTTGCTTGATGGGGAGACTAGCCTATTTCTCAGTCATCTGACCCTCAAGCAAGATGTCAGAGCTTATCAAAGATCTGGGCTTCTTGATTTCAAGTCCCATGTCTCTCTCATTGTGCTGTTTAGTATTGCTTGCTTCATGTAAGTTTAATATGATACCTAGAGGTAAAGATATCTTGAGTTTATGCAGAATCTTTAAACAAAAGTCTCATTTTAAATTTTACTAAATCTCACAACTCTGTGAAGTATGAAGAGATAGAAATGGACGCTCCCATTCTACAAGTGAAGAGATAATTGCACAAAATAGTTGAGCTACCAACTCAAGGACATACAATAAGAGTTCATATTATGTTAAAACTAATCTCTTCTTTGGCTGTTAGTACTACGTCTTACACATAGGAGTTACTCAATAAATATTTCTTTTAGATAATGATATTTAATGATGATGAGAAGCCAAATAAAAGGATTTTTAGTTCTAAGTTTTTTATTGATGCTTAATATTTGTAGATATTTATGGGGTATAAGTGATATTTTGTTAATATGTATGGAATACACATGCATGGAATGGGTAACAATCAAATCAGTGTATTTAAGGTATTCATCACCTCAAGTATTTATCATTTCTATGTGTTGGGAATATTTCAAGTCCTCTCTTCTAGCTATTTTTAATTTTTTTAATTTTAATTTTTATGGGTAAGCATATATTTATGTGGAGCATATGAGAAGTTTTGATATAGACAGCGGCTGCTTATGGGGGAGCCTGCCCTAGGGATCTTGCAAATGCGTGGCATATCCACTACTGTGGGTGAAGGGGTTGCTCTCAGTAGCTTTCATTTTGGCCCTGGTGGCAGCAGCCAGAAGCGTGGAGGCTGTGGATGGGAGATATCAAAGGAGCTTTAGGGATGAAGAGATGCGGGGACTGTTGGGCCCTAGAAAAGATGAAATCTGGTAGGGGCTGGGCTTTCATATGGTGCATTGCTGTAGCTCGTTAGGTCTTGGGCAGTGTGAAGGAGGCAGCATGAGCTCCGACTCTGCACCAATACCTTTGTGTGTTCTCCAGGCAGCTCCCTATGTTAGTCTCGGTCCACGAAGACGGAGGGACTGTCTCATGGTGAGGATTACAGGAGTCCACAGTGGGAATGCAAACTGCTGGGATCTTTCCCTTACTCTTTCCCTGCACTAGGGAGCCTCTCTGGGCTCCCAGCTGTTCCTAGGACAGCAGGCTGCCTTGCTTCTCTCTCCTTCCTTGCTTTAGGTGGTTCCTGTCACTTCTCTGTTAATTCTAGTGTTCTCTCTTAGAAATCTATTCAAAGTATTCTACTCACTACTTTGATTCTTCTCTGTGGAAGATGCGAGTGCCAGATGCCTCTATTCAGCCATCTTGAAGCTCCTCCCACCCTAATCAGTTCTGTTATTTGGTAGTTATTTTTTCAGTGGTGTCTGTGTCCTTGATTACTATTATCATGAAAAAGAATTTGCTACTTGCCTAAATTCAAAAGTTATTTCCAAATTCTTGACAATATTAATTTTATTGAGTTGAAACACTGTGAAAGTATAGGTATTCATATATATATTTTCAACATATATATGAATATATTGAAAAATATATATTCATATATTTTTGAATATATTGAAATATATATTTTCATATATTTTGTGAATATATTTCAAAATATATATTTCAATATATTCATATATATGTTGAAAAAATATATATGAATAAATTGGGCCTATATATACTCTAAATAGTGGAATAAATTGGGCTCATATATACTCTAAATAGTGGAATAAAAATATAAATAGTGGAATAATTGGGCTTATATATACTCTAAATAGTGGAATAAAAATATAAAGCCAACAGAACACCACCTAATTAATTTGGTCTAAGTAAAGTGGGAAGTTTACTTAGATTAAAAGTTGGATAAATAAAAAACATTCCCAGAGTATTTTGGAAAAAATATAATACTGGTTTTGTGACTTTGAAGTGCCTAAAAATACTAGGCTACTAAATGAGGCTACTAAAATACTGCTAATGAAAGATTCTCAGGGGGTTTGCATTAAATTAATGGATCAGAATATTTAACACAATTACTATGTTAGTCTGTGAATAAATAAGTGGTGATACATTCTTCAGATTTGATTTCAAAACAAAACATAGCAAGAGCTAACAACTTTGAAGAATTTATATTTGATATCAGTTGTTTTTTTCATTCATCAAAGATTGATTTTCTATGTATGGCAGGATGTAGGTTAAGGTACTGGGGATACACAGATGAATGAGATATAACCTTTACTAACTTGGAGCTTGTGTTTTTATTCTTTGATAGATAATATGCTTAAGAGCTTATACAGTAATTGTAATGCAGAATCCTTAATACAAATGAATGATAAAGTCTAATGGTTAAGAGTAAGGGTTCGTGAATCTGACCACTGACCTGTTATACCAATTCCTCTATGTACTAGCTATGTGAACTCCAGGAAGAATTGAGATTTTTAAGCCTCAGTTTCCTTGTTATACAGTGGAAATAGTAGTAGTATCCTCTTTTTAGGGTTATCAGGATAATACTAGTTAATGCATTTTAGGCATTTATTAATACATGTTGAATGCTCAATATATATTAGCTATTTTTATTATTAATACAAACTTCTACAGTGTTTTCAGAATGCCAAAGGAGCAACTAACTGAAGATATATCTACACTATTACCTGGTTCCATAAATGGTAAGTTTGCAAAACAATACGTAAAAGCCTATCCAAATTATTATGCATCATAAGTGACCATATTAATAAATTGATAAAGTTATACTACATAAAAATGGCAGTGTAGAATTGGGATACACAATAGTTAAGGAGAATCAAGTATGTACATGACACAAAAGAAAAGGTATATGTACTTTAGAGTTGAGATAATGGATTAGCACATGGGCATAGGCCAAGGGAATTGCACACCAGGCTGGGCAGGAATTGATGGGAAGAAATCAAAGTCATGTGGCAAAGGAACTGATGGAAATTTCATGAAATGGTAGTAGGAAATAGAGAATTGCAATTTACACTGACCAACTGATTGTTCTCTTCACTCAAGGCATTTTCAGTAATGTAATTTTGCCTTTTGTTTGTAGAAATATCCATTTCTACCGCATTGAGGAGACATGTATTCAGCATTGATAAATGATTTATAAAGTGCTCATGTTTTGTTATGAATAGTAAATAGTCTTAAAATGGTTTGTTGCATTCCTTTTTAGTTTTCTAGCAAAGTAGTTTTGGAGCTTCTTATCTTAATTGGATAGAACATTTCATCACTCTAATTCATGTAACAGTTACTATTTTTTAGTACTTATGTGTTTTACTAAGCACTTGTATATATGTGTAAAATTTTCTTAAATTTTTACAAAAGTCCTATTAAATAGGCATTTTCATATCCACTTGACAAATGAGGGAAGTGAAACGTGGAGAAGTTTAACATCCTGCCAATGGGATATACACCTGGTCAAGACATAAAAGTAGGATTTAAATGCAGGTTTATCTGACTCCCAAATCTGTGCGCTTTCTGCAGTGTTTTTTCAGAAGTTGATTTTTTATCATTTATAATGGCATCGTTGTGTTCTTATAGCTGATCTTTGTGTCGCAGTATTGTTTTTTCCATATTCTTTTTTCAACAGCACCAAACTTTTTTTTTTTTAAGAGATTTAAGTTGTTTGGGGAATCGCTTGATAGTGTTGCTGTTTGCACATCCAGCCCAGTAGGCCTGAAGCATCAGAGGACTGCAAAGTCTTCACATGCCCTTTCTGTGTGTTCGTCCATAGGAAAAGCAGTGGTGCCAGAAAGGGGCTCTAAATCCAGTTTATGAATCTTGGAAATGTCTCATTTTAAAATCAGCTTTGACATTTAAAGGTTGTCATTGTATTGGAACATCTGCATTAAGGGTCCTGACAAACACAGTTCTCATCTGACAAAAATAAACCCAATATTACCTTAAACCAGGCTAGCCCACACACTGAATAGTTTTATGATGTCACTAGCCTGTGGAACCAACTGATGCACATGGTCTATAATTTTTGGGTCTTATTCAATCCTTTATTTCCTTGGCCTGGAGGCAATTGGGATATGCATCGAGTAAGGAGAATGGGAGATGAACAGAGCATCATGTAAATATGTCAAATGTGTGGAATGTGTGCTTCTTACACATAATAGGGAAGACTGGTTAGCACAAGTTCTGGATAGCATTCCTGACAATTGAAAATGTCACACCTGAACTCAACCAAGAGTTTAAAGTATCTTTTTATTATGGAATTTTTTAAACATCCATGAAAGTATAGTTAGTATACTTAACTCCAATATATCCATTACTCAGTTTCAACAATTGTCGACAATTATCAATTTTAAGTAACGTCTTCCTCAATCCCTTGACTTGGTTCTCTTTCCCCCAACAATTTTATCTATGAATTAGTCATTTATAGATAAAACAATATTATTTTATCTGTAAATACTTCAGTAGGTATTGCTAACAGATAAGGGCTGAAAAACATAACCACGATACTATTGTTATACCTAACAAAAATAACACCAATTCCTTAATATCACTTAAAATGTAAGGCTTTTTAAAAATTTCCCAATTTTCTCAGAAATATCTTTTCCAGTTGGTTTATTAGAAGTGGGATTTAAGTAAAGACCACATTTATATTTAGTTGATATGTCTGTTTTCTTCAGTTTGTAACAGGTTCTCTTCCCCTCATCTCCCTTTTTCTTAATGCCATTACTTTGTTGAAGAAATCAGGTTGCTGGTGTCATCATTTAACATTCCTCACTCTGGATTTGGCTGATGGCTTCTTCATGGTGTCATCTAGTTTGTTCCTTTATCCCTCATACTTCCTGTAAATTTGTTGCATTAGAGATCTAGAGATATAATTATATTCAAGTTCTAGAATATAAGAACTATAGACAATTATATTCAAATTCTAGAATATAAGATCTAGAGACTTAATTACATTCAAGTCCAGTTTTTTTGAAACTAGTTCATAGGAAGCTCTGTGTACTTATTCTTTACATTATGAGGTGTATGATGTCAAGTTGTCCTACTCTTAATGATGTTAATGTTGATTAGTTGGTTCAAGTGTGTTTTTTTCAAATTTTATTATTATTGTACTTTAAGTTTTAGGGTACATGTGCACAACGTGCAGGTTTGTTACATATGTATACATGTGCCATGTTGGTGTGCTGCACCGATTAACTCGTCATTTAGCATTAGGTATATCTCCTAATGCTATCCCTCCCCCCAACCCCCACATCACAACAGTCCCCGGCTTGTGATGTTCCCCTTCCTGTGTCCATGTGTTCTCATTGTGCAATTCCCACCTATGAGTGAGAACATGCGGTGTTTGGTTTTTTTGTCCTTGCGATAGTTTGCTGAGAATGATGGTTACCAGTTTCATCCATGTCCCTACAAAGGACATGAACTCATCATTTTTTATGGCTGCATAGTATTCCATGGTGTGTATGTGCCATATTTTCTTAATCCAGTCTATTGTTGTTGGACATTTGGGTTGGTTCCAAGTCTTTGCTGTTGTGAATAGTGCCGCAATAAACATATGTGTGCATGTGTCTTTATAGCAGCATGATTTATAATCCTTTGGATGTATAACCAGTAATGGGATGGCTGGGTCAAATGGTATTTCTAGTTCTAGATCCCTGAGGAATCACCACACTGACTTCCACAATGGTTGAACTAACTTACAGTCCCACCAACAGTGTAAAAGTGTTCCTATTTCTTCACATCCTCTCCAGCACCTGTTGTTTCCTGACTTTTGAATGATTGCCATTCTAACTGATATGAGATGGTATCTCATTGTGGTTTTGATTTGCATTTCTCTGATGGCCAGTGATGATGAGCATTTTTTCATGTCTTTTGGCTGCATAAATGTCTTCTTTTGAGAAGTGTCTGTTCATATCCTTTGCCCACTTTTTGATGGGATTGTTTTTTTCTTGTAAATTTGTTTGAGTTCATTGTAGATTCTGGATATTAGCCCTTTGTCAGATGAGTAGGTTACAAAAATTTTCTCCCATTCTGTAGGTTGCCTATTAACTCTGATGGTAGTTTCTTTTGCTGTGCAGAAGCTCTTTAGTTTAATGAGATCCCATTTGTCAATTTTGGCTTTTGTTGCCATTGCTTTTGGTGTTTTAGACATGAAGTCCTTGCCCATGCCTATGTCCTGAATGGTATTGCCTAGGTTTTCCTCTAGGGTTTTTATGGTTTTACGTCTAACATTTAAGTCTTTAATCCATCTTGAATTAATTTTTGTATAAGGTGTAAGGAAGGGATCCAGTTTCAGCTTTCTACTTATGGCTAGCCAGTTTTCCCAGCACCGTTTATTAAATAGGGAATCCTTTCCCCATTGCTTGTTTTTGTCAGATTTGTCAAAGATCAGATAGTTGTAGATATGTGGCATTATTTCTGAGGGCTCCGTTCTGTTCCATTGATCTATATCTCTGTTTTGGTACCAGTACCATGCTGTTTTGGTTACTGTAGCCTTGTAGTATAGTTTGAAGTCAGGTAGCGTGATGCCTCCAGCTTTGTTCTTTTGGCTTAGGATTGACTTGGTAATGCGGGCTCCTTTTTGGTTCCATATGAACTTTAAAGTAGTTTTTTCCAATTCTGTGAGGAAAGTCATTGGTAGCTTGATGGGGATGGCATTGAATCTATAAATTACCTTGGGCAGTGTGGCCATTTTCATGATATTGATTCTTCCTACCCATGAGCATGGAATGTTCTTCCATTTGTTTGTATCCTCTTTTATTTCATTGAGCAGTGGTTTGTAGTTCTCCTTGAAGAGGTCCTTCACTTCCCTTGTAAGGTGGATTCCTAGGTATTTTATTCTCTTTGAAGCAATTGTGAATGGGAGTTCACTCATGATTTGGCTCTCTGTGTGTCTGTTATTGTTGTATAAGAATGCTTGTGACTTTTGTACATTGATTTTGTATCCTGAGACTTTGCTGAGATTGCTTATCAGCTTAAGGAGATTTTGGGCTGAGACGATGGGGTTTTCTAGATATACAATCATGTCATCTGCAAAGAGGGACAATTTGACTTCCTCTTTTCCTAATTGAATGCCCTTTTTTTTCCTTTTCCTGCCTGATTGCCCTGGCCAGAACTTCCAACACTATGTTGAATAGGAGTGGTGAGAGAGGGCATCCCTGTCTTGTGGCAGTTTTCAAAGGGAATGCTTCCAGTTTTTGCCCATTCAGTATGATATTGGCTGTGGGTTTGTCATAGATAGCTCTGATTATTTGGAGATACATCCCATCAATACCTAATTTATTGAGAGTTTTTAATATGAAGGGTTGATGAATTTTGTCAAAGGCCTTTTCTGCATTTATTGAGATAATCATGTGGTTTTTGTTTTTGGTTCTGTTTATATGTTGGATTACATTTATTGATTTGCGTATGATGAACCAGCCTTGCATCCCAGGGATGAAGCCCACTTGATCATGGTGGATAAGCTTTTTGCTGTGCTGCTGGATTCGGTTTGCCAATATTTTGTTGAGGATTTTTGCATCGATGTTCATCAAGGATATTGGTCTAAAATTCTCTTTTTTTGTTGTGTCTCTGCCAGGCTTTGGTATCAGTATGATGCTGGCCTCATAAAATGAGTTAGGGTGGATTTCCTCTTTTCTATTGATTGGAATAGTTTCAGAAGGAATGGTACCAGCTCCTCCTTGTACTCTGGTAGAATTCAGCTGTGAATCCATCTGGTCCTGGACATTTTTTGGTTGGTAAGCTATTAATTATTGCCTGAATTTCAGAGCCTGTTATTGGTCTATTCAGAGACTCAACTTCTTCCTGGTTTAGTCTTGGGAGAGTGTATGTGTCGAGGAATTTATCCATTTCTTCTAGATTTTCTAGTTTATTTGTGTAGAGGTGTTTATAGTATTCTCTGATGGTAGTTTGTATTTCTGTGTGATCGGTGATGATATCCCCTTTGTCATTTTTTATTTCATCTATTTGATTCTTCTCTCTTTTCTTCTTTATTAGTCTTGCTAGTGGTGTATCAATTTTGTGGGTCCTTTCAAAAAACCAGCTCCTGGATTCATTGATTTTTTGAAGGGTCTTTTGTGTCTCTATTTCCTTCAGTTCTGCTCTGATCTTAGTTATTTCTTGCCTTCTGCTAGCTTTTGAATGTGTTTGCTCTTGCTTCCCTAGTTCTTTTAATTGTGATGTTAGGGTGTCAATTTTAGATCTTTCCTGCTTTCTCTTGTGGGCATTTAGTGCTATAAATTTCCCTCCACACACTGCTTTGAATGTGTCCCAGAGCTTCTGGTATGTTGTGTCTTTGTTCTCGTTCATTTCAAAGAACATCTTTATTTCTGCCTTCATTTCATTATTTACCCAGTAGTCATTCAGGAGCAGGTTGTTCAGTTTCTATGTAGTTGAGTGGTTTTGAGTGAGATTCTTAATCCTGAGTTGTAGTTTGATTGCACTGTTGTCTGAGAGACAGTTTGTTATAATTTCTGTTCTTTTACATTTGCTGAGGAGTGCTTTACTTCCAACTATGTGGTCAATTTTGGAGTAGGTGTGGTGTGGTGCTGAAAAGAATGTATATTCTGTTGATTTGGGGTGGAGAGTTCTGTAGATGTCTATTAGGTCTGCTTAGTGCAGAGCTGAGTTCAATTCCTGGATATCCTTGTTAACTTTCTGTCTCGTTGATCTGTCTAATGTTGACAGTGGGGTGTTAAAGTCTCCCACTATTATTGTGTGGGAGTCTAAGTCTCTTTGTAGATCAGTAAGTACTTGCCTTATGAATCTTGGTGCTCCTGTATTGGGTGCATATATATTTAGGATAGTTAGGTCTTCTTGTTGAATTGACCACTTTACCATTATGTAATGGCCTTCTTTGTCTCTTTTGATCTTTGTTGGTTCAAAGTCTGTTCTATCAGAGACTAGGATTGCAACCCCTGCCTTTTTTTGTTTTCATTTGCTTGGTAGATCTTCCTCCATCCCTTTATTTTGAGCCTATGTGTGTCTCTGCACACTGATGGGTCTTGACTCTTTTTTTTAAATTTATTTTATTTTATTTTTATTTATTTTTATTTTTTTTTAGTATTTATTGATCATTCTTGGGTGTTTCTCGGAGAGGGGGATTTGGCAGGGTCATAGGACAATAGTGGAGGGAAGGTCAGCAGATAAACCTGTGAACAAAGGTCTCTGGTTTTCCTAGGCAGAGGGCCCTGCCGCCTTCCGCAGTGTTTGTGTCCCTGGGTACTTGAGATTAGGGAGTGGTGATGACTCTTAATGAGCATGCTGCCTTCAAGCATCTGTTTAACAAAGCACAACTTACACCGCCCTTAATCCATTTAAAACCTTGGTGGACACAGCGCATGTTTCAGAGAGCACTGGGTTGGGGGTAAGGTTATAGATTAACAGCATCCCAAGGCAGAAGAATTTTTCCTAGTACAGAACAAAATGGAGTCTCCTAAGTCTACTTCTTTCTACACAGAAACAATAACAATCTGATCTCTCTTTCTTTTCCCCACATTTCCCCCTTTTCTATTTGACAAAACTGCCATCATCATCATGGCCCGTTCTCAATGAGCTGTTGGGCATACCTCCCAGACTGGGTGGCAGCCGGGCAGAGGGGCTCCTCACTTCCCAGATGGGGTGGCCAGGCAGAGGGGCCCCCCACCTCCCAGATGGGGTGGTGGCCAGGCAGAGGGGCTCCTCACTTCCAGACGGGGTGGCCAGGCAGAGGGGCTCCCCACTTCCCAGAGGGGCAGCTGGGCTGAGGCACCCCCCCACCTCCCAGACGGGGCGGCTGGCCGGGTGGGGGCTGGCCCCCACCTCCCGGACGGGGCGGCTGGCGAGCGAGGGCTGCCCCCCACCTCCCGGACGGGGCGGCTGGCCGGGTGGGGGCTGCCCCCAACCTCCTGGATGGCGTGGCTGCCGGGTGGAGACGCTCCTCACTTCCCAGATGGGGTGGCTGCCAGGTGGAGGGGCTCCCCACTTCCCAGATGGGGCGGATGGCTGGGTGGGGGCTGCCCCCCCACCTCCTGGATGGGGTGGCTGCCGGGCGGAGATGCTCCTCACTTCCCAGACAGGCGACTGCCAGGCGGAGGGGCTCCCCACTTCCCAGACGGGGCAGCTGCCGGGCAGAGGGGCTCCTCACTTCTCAGACGGGGCAGCCGGTCAGAGACGCTCCTCACCTCCCAGACGGGGTGGCAGTGGGTCAGAGACACTCCTCAGTTCCCAGACGGGGTCGCAGCCGGGCAGAGGCACTCTTCACATCTCCGATGGGGCGGCGGGGCAGAGGTGCTTCCCACATCCCAGATGATGGGCGGCCAGGCAGAGACGCTCCTCACTTCTTAGATAGGATGATGTCTGGGAAGAGATGCTCCTCACTTCCCAGACTGGGCAGCCGGGCAGGGGGCTCCTCACATCCCAGATGATGGGTGGCCAGGCAGAGACGCTCCTCACTTCCTAGACGGGGTGGCAGCTGGGAAGAGGCGCTCCTCACTTCCCAGACTTGGTGGCCAGGCAGAGGGGCTCCTCACATCCCAGACGATGGGCGGCCAGGCAGAGATGCTCCTCACTTCCTATACGGGGTGGTGGCTGGGCAGAGGCTGCAATCTCGGCACTTTGGGAGGCCAAGGCAGGCGGCTGGGAGGTGGAGGCTGTATCGATCTGAGATCACGCCACTGCACTCCAGCCTGGGCAACATTGAGCACTGAGTGAGCGGGACTCCGTCTGCAATCCTGGCACCTCAGGAGGCCGAGGCTGGCAGACCACTCGTGGTCAGGAGCTGGAGACCAGCCTGGCCAACATGGCGAAACCCCATCTCCACCAAAAAATACGAAAACCAGTCAGGTGTGGCGGCGCGCACCTGCAATCCCAGACACTCGGCAGGCTGAGGCAGGAGAATCAGGCAGGGAGGCGGCAGTGAGCCGAGATGGCGGCAGTACAGTCCAGCCTTGGCTCAGCATCAGAGGGAGACCGTGCAAAGGGGAGAAGAGGACCGTGCAAAGGGGAGAGGAAGAGGGAGAGGGAGAGGGAGAGGGAAAGGGCAGGTCTTGACTCTTTATCCAATTTGCCAGTGTGTGTCTTTTATTTGGAGCATTTAGCCCATTTACATTTAAAGTTAATATTGTTATGTGTGAATTTGATCCTGTCATTATGAAGTTAGCTGGTTATTTTGCTCCTTAGTTGATGCAGTTTCTTCCTAGCCTTGATGGTCTTTAGAATTTGGTATGTTTTTGCAGTGGCTGGTACCAGTTGTTCCTTTCCATGTTTAGTGTTTCCTTCAGGAGCTCTTTTAGGGCAGGCCTAGTGGTGAAAAAATCTCTCAGCATTTGCTTGTCTATAAAGGATTTTATTTCTCCTTCATTTATGAAGCTTAGTTTGGCTGGATATGAGATTCTGGGTTGAAAATTCTTTTCTTTAAGAATGTTGAATATTGGTCCCCACTCTCTTCTGGCTTGTAGAGTTTCTGCCAAGAGATCAGCTGTTAGTCTGATGGGCTCCCCTTTGTGAGTAACCCAACCTTTCTCTCTGGCTGCCCTTAACATTTTTTCCTTCATTTCAACTTTGGTGAATCTGACAATTATGTGTCTTGGAGTTACCCTTCTTGAGGAGTATCTTTGTGGCATTCTCTGTATTTCCTGAATTTGAATGTTGGCCTGCCTTGCTAGATTGGGGAAATTCTCCTGGATAATATCCTGCAGAGTGTTTTCCAACTTGGTTCCATTCTCCCCGTCACTTTCAGGTACACCAATCAGATGTGGATTTGATCTTTTCACATAGTCCCATATTTCTTGGAGGCTTTGTTCATTTCCTTTTAGTCTTTTTTCTCTAAACTTCTCTTCACGCTTCATTTCATTCATCTTCCATCACTGATACCCTTTCTTCCAGTTGATTGCATCGGCTCCTGAGGCTTCTACATTCTTCACGTAGTTCTAGAGCCTTGGTTTTCAGCTCCATCAGCTCCTTTAAGCACTTCTCTGTAATGGTTATTCTAGTTATCCATTCATCTAATTTTTTTTCAAAGCTTTTAACTTCTTTGCCATTCGTTCGAATTTCCTCCTGTAGCTCAGAGTAGTTTGATTGTCTGAAGCCTTCTTCTCTCAACTCGTCAAAGTCATTCTCCATCCAGCTTTGTGAGGAGCTGTGTTTCTTTGGAGGAAGAGAGATGCTCTGATTTTTAGTTTCCAGTTTTTCTGCTCTGGTTTTTTTCCCATCTGCGTGGTTTTATTTACCTTTGGTCTTTGATGATGGTGGCGTACAGATGGGTTTTTGGTGTGGATGTCCTTTCTGTTTGTTAGTTTTCCTTCTAACAGACAGGACCCTCAGCTGCAGGTCTGTTGGAGTTTGCTAGAGGTCCACTCCAGACCCTGTTTGCCTGGGTATCTGCAGCAGTGGCTGCACAACAGCGGATATTGGTGAACCGCAGATGCTGCTGCCTGATGGTTCCTCTGGAAGTTTTGTCTCAGAGGAGTACCCGGCCATGTGAGGTGTCAGTCCACCCCTACTGGGGGGTGCCTCCCAATTAGGGTACTTGGGGGTCAGGGCCCCGCTTGAGGAGGCAGTCTGCCCGATCTCAGATCTCAAGCTGCATGCTCAGAGAACCACTACTCTCTTCAAAGCTGTCAGAGAGGGACATTTAGGTCTGCAGAAGTTACTGCTGTCTTTTTGTTTATCTGTGCCCTGCCCCCAGATGTGGAGCCTACAGAGGCAGGCAGGCCTCCTTGAGCTGTGGTGGGCTCCACCCAGTTCGAGCTTCCAGGCCGCTTTGTTTACCTAATCAAACAACTAACTCAGCAATGGCGGGCTCCCCTCCCTTAGCCTCGCTGCCACCTTGCTGTTTGATCTCAGACTGCTGTGCTAGCAATGAGTGAGACTCTGTGGGTGTAGGACCCTCCGAGCCAGGTCCGGGATATAATCTGGTGTGCCATTTTTTTAAGCCCCTTGGAAAACGCAGTATTAGGGTGGGAGTGACTCAATTTTCCAGGTGCCATCTGTCACCGCTTTCTTTGACTAGGAAAGGGAATTCCTTGACCCCTTGTGTTTCCCGGGTGAAGCGATGCCTCACCCTGCTTCTGCTCGTGCATGGTGCGCTGCACCCACTGTCCTGCATCTACGGTCTGGCACTCCCCAGTGAGATGAACCTGGTACCTCAGTTGGAAATGCAGAAATCACCCATCTTCTGTGTCACTCACGCTGGGAGCTGTAGACCGGAGCTGTTCCTATTCGGCCATCTTGGCTCCTCCCCCATAGCTAGTGGTTCAAGTGTTTTCTGTTTGATCCCCATTTTAAAGATTCCCAGGCCGGGCAAGGTGGCTCATGCCTGTAATCTCAGCAGTTTGGGAGGCCGAGGCAGGTGGGTCATTTGAGGTCAGGAGTCTGAGACCAGCCTGACCAATACAGTGAAACCCTGTTTCTATTAAATACAAAAAAAAATTAGCCAGGCATGGTGGCACGTACCTGTAATGCCAGCTACTTTGGAGGCTGAGGCAGGAGAATTGCTTGAACCCGGGAGGCAGCAGTTGCAGTGAGCCGAGATCGCACCACTGCACTCCAACCTGGGCAACAGAGTGAAACTCCATCTCAAAAGAAAAAAAAAAGATTTCCAACTACTTTCATCTGATGGCTTTAGCAGCCTTTAATGATGATGGTGTAGTTCTATTATTCCTCATCTGATGGCTTTAGCAGCCTTTAATGACGATCGTGTAGTTCTATTATTCCTACATTAGAGTAGAAATTCTTTTCCTTATTAACAGTTTGGTTACTCTCAAGTAGAATTTGTGGAAAAAAACAAGATAAATAATTATTTCCCTTTACTGTTAGTTTATTATTTCAGAATAATGAATTGGAGACCTAGAAATTAAATGATAACCAAGTAGGTAATTGTCATTTTTTTCTGTACTTGTAAATTTATGGATCTTTATATATTTGATATGCGTGTGTGTTTTATGCTCAAAATTTCTTTGCTCTGTGAGTCCTCTTCAGCCAGTGAGTCAATTTGAGTTGGTTTCTATGTTATTCTAGCATGACCCTGGTAGTTTCTGACAGCTTTCTTGATTTCTGGCATGATAGGTTCTCAGACTTATCTTGTACATTACTTGCCCAACTTAAAAGTGGTGTTTAGAGATCTGTGTGTTTGGTGTGCTTATTGCCACTGAGTTGTTATTATTCCCAAGCTTTTACAGTGGTCAGAGCTAATTAGTAAACATTTGTTTTTTAGAAAGAGAAAAGTAATTATTTTATTGTGATATTTTATATTCAAATGTAAGATTATAGGACTTTTATTTAATCATTTTGATTTTACAAGGGCATCTTTTTTCTTTTACACTGAATCATGATTCCTAATGATATTAATATATTATTTATTTTATCCGAATATACATAGTATTCAGGTTTTAAAAAATATACTTATATAGTAATTTCAAAATAACAATTATGTTGCTACTACTAATGGCATGACATTTAATGCAGTTTAAGATTTTGGGGGGGTTCTTTGTGTCCTTAGGATATATTCCACCACTGATGTACAATACAGATACTACATTTAAGCTATTCCATCAACTTTATGTACAATTAGGTTTATTTATTTATTTAAAACAGCTTGATTTTATCTTGCAGTTTTCACTTGTAGAATATACACCAATAAGGATATACAAATGATTGTCTTTTAAAGTCACTTGAAAAAAATAATTCTCTGTACAGATAATCTACCAACTTGTTGGTTAAATTTATTTGCTTTAGAGTTGCAAGGTACTTATTTTAATTTTTAATTTTTTTAAAAAAATTATTTGTAAAATCTGATAAGTAAATATTATAAATATGTTGTATAACATGTTTATATATATATGTATATGCAATGTGGAATGACTAAGCTATTTTACATAAGCATTACCTCACATACTTATTTCTTTGTGGTGAGAACGCTTAAATCTACTCACTTAGCAATTTTCAAATATATAGTATACTGTTATTAACTGTAGTCACCATGATATACAGTAGATCTCTTGAACTTATTTCTCCTGTCTAAACAAAATTTTGTTTCCTTTGACCGACATCTCCCCAATCTCTCCACCCCTCAGCCTCACTCTCTGTTTTTTTTTGTTGTTGTTTGTTTCAACTTATTTTAAGTTCAGGGGTACATGTGCGTTATGTGCAGGTTTGTTACATAGGGAAACATGTGCCATGGTGGATTGTTACAAAGATCATCCCATCACCAAGGTATTAAGCCCAGCATCCATTAGCTATTCTTCCTGATGCTCTCCCTTCCTGACACACTACCCCTGACAGGCCCCAGTGTGTGTTATTTCTTCCACCTAATGTGTCCATGTGTTCTCATCATTCAGCTCCCACTTATAAGTGAGAACATGAAGTGTTTGGTTTTCTGTTCCTGCTGAGGATAATAGCTTCCAGCTTGATCCATGTCCCTACAAAGGACATGATCTCATTCCTTTTTATGGCTACATAGTATTCCACAGTGTATATGTACCACATTTTCTTTATCCAGTCCACTATTGATGGACACCAAGGTTGATTCTACATCTTTGCTATTGTGAAGAGTGCTGCAATGAACATATGTGTGCATGTATCTTTATAATAGAATGATTTATATTCCTTTGGGTATATACCCAGTAATGGGAGTGCTGGGTTGTATAGTATTTCTGCCTTTAGGTCTTTGAGGAGTCACCACACTGTCTTCCACATGGTTGAATTAATGTACACTCCTACCAACAGTGTAAAAGTGTTCCTTTTTCTCCACAACCTTGATAGCATCTGTTGTTTTTTGACTGTTTTTCCTTTTCTTAACAATTTGGTATTATGTTTTTTGACTTTTTTTCTTTTTTGAGACAGAGTCTCGCTCTGTTGCCCAGGCTGGAGTGCAGTGGAGTGATCTTGGCTCACTGCAAGCTCCACCTCCCGGGTTCATGCCATTCTCCTGCCTCAGCCTCCTGAGTTTTTTGACTTTTTAATAATCACCATTCTGACCGGCATGAGATGGTATCTCATTGCAGTCTTGATTTGCATTTCTCTAATGATCAATGATGTTAAGCTTTTCTTTTCATATGTTTGTTGGCCACATGTATGTATTCTTTTGAAAAGTGTCTGTTCATGTCCTTTGCCCACTTTTTAATGGGGTTGTTTGTTTTGCTTATAGATTTGTTTAAGTTCCTTGTAGACTCTAGATATTAGGCCTTTGTCAGATGGATAGATCTACAAAAATTTTCTCCTATTCTGTAGGTTGTCTGTTTGCACTGACTGTATTAGTCTGTTCTCACGCTGCTAATAAAGACATCCAAGACTGGGTCTATAAGGAAAAAGAAGTTTAATGGACTCACAGTTCCACACGGCTGATGAGACCTCACAATCATGGTGGAAGGTGAAGGAAGAGCAAAGCAACATCTTACATGGTGGCAGGCAAGAGAGAATATGCAGGGCAACTGCCCTTTATAAAACCATCAGATCTTGTGAGACTTATTTCCTATCATGAGAACAGCATGGGAAAAACCCATTCCCATGATTCAATTACTTCCCATTGGGCCCCTCCCACAACATGTGGAGATTATGGGAACTACAATTCAAAATGAGATTTGGGTGAGGACAGAGCCAAACCATATTATTCTGTCCCTGGCCCCTCCCAAATCTCATGTCCTTACATTTTGAAACCAATCATGCCTTCCCAACCATCCCCCAAAGTCTTAACTCATTTCAGCATTAACTCAAAAGTCCATAGTCCAAAGTCTCATCTGAGACGAGGCAAGTCCCTTTTGCCTGTGAGCCTGTAAAATCAAAAACAAGTAAGTTACTTCCTAGATACAATGAGGGTACAGGCATTTGGTAAATACACCCATTCCAAATGGGAGAAAACAGTCAAAACAAAGGGTCTATAGATCCCACGCAATTCCAAAATCCAATAGGACAGTCATTAAACTTTAAAGTTCCAAAATGATTTCCTTTGACTCCATGTCTCACATCCGGGTCATGCTGATGCAAGAGGTGGGCTCCCACATCCTTGGGCAGCTCTGTCCCTGTGGCTTTGCAGGTTAGAGCCCCAGTCCTGGCTGCTTTCATGGCCTGGCATTGAGTGTCTGTGGCTTTTCCAGGTGCATGGTGCAAGCTGTTGGTTGATCTAACATTCTGGGTTCTGGAGGACTGTGGCCCTCTTCTCACAGCTCCACTAGGCGGCGCCCCAGTAGGGACTCTGTGTGGGACCTCCAACCTCACATTTGCCTTCCTCACTGCCCTGGCAGAGGTTCTGCATGGGGGCCCTGCCCCTGCAGCAAACTTCTGCCTGAATATCCAGGGGTTTCCACACATCTGAAATTTAGGTGGAGGTTCCCAAGCCTCAATTATTGACTTCTGTGTACCTGAAGGCTCAACACCACGTGGAAGCTGCCAAGGCTTGAGGCTTGCACCCACTGAAGCCACTGCCTGAGCCATACCTTGGCCCCTTTTAGCCATGGCTGGAATGGCAGAGACACAGGGCACCAAGTCCCTAGCTGCACACAGCAGGGGAGTCCTGGGCCCAGCCTGTGAAATCAGTTTTTCCTCTTAGGCCTCCAGGCCTGTGATGGGATGGGCTGCCTGGAAGGTCTCCGACATGCCCTGGAGACATTTTCACCATTGTCTTGGTGATTAACATTTGGCTCCTTGTTACTTATGCAAATTTCTGCAGCACGTTTGAATTTCTCCCCAGAAAATGGGTTTTTGTTTTCTATTGCATCGTCAGGCTGCAAATTTTCCAAACTTTTATATTTTGTTTCCTCTAGAACACTTTGCTGCTTAGAAATTTCTTCTGCCAGATAGCCTAAATCATCAGTCTCAAGTTCAAAGCTCCACAGATCCTAGGGCAGGGGCAAAATTTCACCAGTCTGTTTGCTACTAAAGTGTAACAAGAGTCACCTTTACTCCATTTCCCAACAAGTTCCTCATCTCCATCTGAGACCGCTACCTTAGTCTGGACTTTATTGTTCATATTACTATTAGCATTTTGGTCAAAGCCATTCAACAAGTCTCTAGGAAGTTCCAAACTTTTTCACATCTTCCTGTCTTCTGAGCCATCCAAACTCTAGGAAGTTCCAGACTTTCCCACATTTCTGTGTTTTCTTCTGAGCACTCCACCCACACTGCTCCAACCTCTGTCTGTTATCCAGTTCCAAAGCTGCTTTCATATTTTTAGGTATTCTTACAGCACCACCCCACTCTACTGGTACCAATTTACTGTATTAGTCCATTTTCATGATGCTAATAAAGACATACCTGAGACTGGGTAATTTATAAAGAAAAACAGGTTTAAGGGGCTCATTGTTGAAAATGGGTGGGGAGGCCCTGCAATCATGGCAGAAGGTGAAGGAGGGACAAAGGCACATCTTACATGGTGGCAGACAAGAGAGCATGGGTAGGGGAACTGCCCTTTATAAAACCATCAGATCCTGTGAGATTTATTTACTATCACAAGAACAGCATGGGAAAAACCTGCTCCCATGATTCAATTACCTCCCACCAGGTCCCTCCCATGACATGTGGGGATTATGGGAACTACAATTCAAGATGAGATCTGGCTGTGTCCTACTGATGATAGTTTCTTTTGCTGTGCAGAAGCTCTTTAGTTTAATTAGATCCCATTTGTCAATTTTTGCTTTTGTTGCAATTCCTTTTTGTATTTTCATCATGAAATCTTTACCTGTGCCTATGTCCTGAATGGTATTCTCTATATTTTTTCCAGGGTTTTTATAGTTTTGGGTTTCACATTTAAGTCTTTAATCTATTGCTTTAATCTATTTTGAGTTAATTTTTGTATATGGTGTAAAGAAGGGGTCCAGTTCCAATTTCCTGGATATGGCTAGCCAGCACTCCCAGCACCATTTGTTGAATGGGGAGTCCTTTCCCCATTGCTGATTTTGTCAAGTTTGTTGAAGATCAGATGGTTGTAGGTTTGTGGCCTTATTTCTGAGTTCTCTGTTCTGTTCCATTGGTCTATGTGTCTGTTCTTATAACAGCACCATGCTGTTTGGGTTGCTGTAGTCTTGTAGTATAGGTTGCAATCTGGTAGTGTGATGCCTCCAGGTTTGTTTTTGTTTTTTGTTTTTTGCTTAGGATTATCTTGGCTGCTTGGACCCTTTTTTGGCTCCATATGAATTTTAAAATCTTTTTTTAAATTCTGTGAATAATGTCAGTGGTTGTTTAATGGGAATAGCATTTAATTTATTAACAATTAATAAATTGTTTTTGGGAGTATGGCCATTTTCACAATATTGATTCTCCCTATCCATGAGCTGGAATTTTCTCCATTTGTTTGTGTCCTGTCTAATTTCTTTGAGCAGTGGTCTGTATTTCTCTTTGAAGAGGTCCTTCACTTCCCTTGTTACCTCTATTCCTAGGTATTTTATTCTCTTTATAACAATTGTGAATGGGAGTTCATTCATGATTTGGCTCTCTGCTTACCTGTTGTTGATTTATAGGAATGCTAGCAGTTTTTGCACATCGATTTTATATCCTGAGACTTTGCTGAAGTTGTTTATCAGTTTAAGAAGCATTTGGGCTGAGATGATGGAATTTTCTAGTTATAGGATCATGTCATCTGCAAATAAAGATAATTTGACTTCCTCTCTTTCTATTTGAATACTCTTTATTTCTTTCTCTTTCCTGATTGCCGTGGCCAGAACTTGCAATACTATGTTGAATAGGAGTGGTGAAAGAGGTCATCCTTGTCTTGTGCTGGTTTTCAAGGGGAATGCTTCCAGGTTTTGCCAATTCAGTATGATATTGGCTGTGAGTTTTTCATATATGTCTCTTAGTACTTTGAGGCATGTTCCTTCAATACCTAGTTTATTGAGGGTTTATTTATTTATTTATTTGAGACAGAGTCTCCCTCTGTCACCCAGGCTGGATTGCAGTGGCATGATCTCAGCTAGCTGTAACCTCTGCCTCCTGGGTTGAAGCCATTCTCCTGCCTCAGCCTCCTGAGTAGCTGACACTACAGGTGCCTGCCACCATGCCTGGCTAATTTTTGTATTTTTAGTAGACATGGGGTTTCACCATATTGGCCAGCCTGTTCTCAAACTCCTGACTTTGTGATCTGCCCACCTTGGCCTCCCAAAGTGCTGGGATTACAGGCATGAGCCACCATGCCCAGCTGTTTATTGAGAGTTTTTAACATGAAGGGATGTTGAATTTTATCAAAAGCCTTTTCTGCATCTATGAAGATAATCATGTGGTTTTTGTCGTTAGTTCTGTTTATGTGATGAATCACATTTATTGATTTGCATATGTTGAACCAACCTTGCATCCTGGGAATGAGGTCAACTGGATCATGGTGGATAAGCTTTTTGATGTGTTGCTGGATTCAGTTTGCAAGTATTTTGTTGAGGAGTTTTGCATTGAAGTTCATCAAGATGATTAGCCTGAAGTTTTCTTTTTTTTTTGTTGTGTCTCTGCCAGATTTTGGTATCAGAATATGCTGGCCTCATAGATTGAGTTAGTTGGGAGTCTCTCCCTTTCAATTTTTTGAAATAGTTTCATTAGAAATGGTACTAGTTCTTCTTTGTACCTCTGGTAGAATTCAGCTGTGAATTTGTCTGGTCCTGGGCTTATTTTGGTTGGTAGACTATATATTACTACTTCAGAACTCATAATTGTTGTGTTCAGGGATTCAGTTTCTTCCTGGTTCAGTCTTGGGAGGTGTATGTGTCCAGGAATTTATTAACTTCTAGATTTTCTAGTTTATGTGCATAGAGGTGTTTATAGTGTTCTCTGATGATTGTATTTCTGTGTGGTCAGTGGTGACATGCCCTTTATAATTGCTGATTGTGTTTAATGGATTCTTCTCTCTTTTCTTTTTTAATAGTCTAGCTAGCAGTCTATTTACTTTATTAATTAAAAAAAAACAGCTCCTGGATTCATTGATTTTTTTGAAGGGTTTTTAATGTCTCTGTTTCCTTCAATTCTGCTCTGATCTTGGTTATTTTCTGTCTTCTGCTGACTTTGGGGTTTGTTTGCTCTTGGTTCTCTAGTTCTTTTAGTTGTGATGCTAGCTTGTTAACTTGAGATTTTTCCAGCATTTTAAAAAAATTTTATTGTTATTATACTTTAAGTTTTAGGGTACATATGAGATTTTTCCAGCTTTTTGATGTGGGCATTTAGTGCTATGAATTTCCCTCTTAACACTGTTTTAGCTGTGACGGAGATTCTGGTATGTTCTCTCTTTGTTCTCATTAGTTTCAAATAACTTCTTGATTTCTGCCTTAATTTCATTGTTTACCCAAGAGTCATTCAGGGACAAGTTGTTCAATTTCCTTGTAATTGTGTGGTTTTCAGTGAATTTCTCAATCTTGAGTTCTAGTTTGATTGCATGGTGATCTGAGACACTGTTGTTATGATTTCAGTTCCTTTGCATTTGATGAGTGTTTTATTTCTGATTATGTGATCAATTTTAGAGTAAGTGCCATGTGGTGGTGAGAAGAATGTATATTCTTTGAATTTGGGTCAAGAGTTCTGTAGATATCTATCAGGTGCACTTGATCAGTTCAGGTCCTAAATATCTGTTAATTTTCTGTCTTGATGAAATGTGTAATATTATCAGTGGGGTATTAAAGTCTCCCAGTATTATTGTGTGGGAGTCTAAGTTTCTTTGTAGGTCTCTAAGCACTTGCTTTATGAATCTGGGTGCTGCTGTATTGGGTGCATATATATTTAGGATGGTTAGCTCTTCTTGTTGAATTGAATCCTTTACTATTATGTAATGCCCTTCTTTGTCTTTTTTGATCTTTGCTGGTTTAACATCTGTCAAAAACTAGAATTGCAACCCATTATTTTTTCTGTTTTTCCATTTGCTTGGTAATCTTTCCTCCATCTTTTTATTTTGAGCCAATGTGTATCTTTGCACATGAGATGGGTCTCTTGAATACAGCATACTGATGGGCCTAGGCTCTTTATTCAGCTTGCCATTCTCTTTTAATTTGGGCATTCAGCCCATTTACATTTAAGGTTAGTATTGTTATGTGTGAATTTGATGCCACCATCGTAATGCTAGGTGGTTATTTTATAGTCATGTTTATGTGATTGCTTCATAGTGTCACTGGTCTATGCACTTCAGTGTGTTTTTGTAGTGTCTGGTAACCATTTTTCCTTTCCATATTTAGTGTTTCCTTCAGAAAGTCTTGCAAGGCAGGCCTGGTGGTGATGAATTCCTCAGCATTTGCTTGTCTGAGAAGGATTTTATTTCTCCTTTGCTTGTGAAGCTTATTTTGGCTGGATCTGAAATTCTGGGTTGGAAATTCTTTTCTTTAAGAATGTCGGATATTGGTCCCCAATCTTTTCTGGCTTGTAGGGTTTCCACTGAGAGGTCCACTGTTAGTCTGAGGACTTTCCTTTGTAGGTGATCTGGCCTTTCTCTCTGGCTATCCTTAACATTTTTTCTTTCGTCTGGACCTTGGAGAGTCTGATGATTATGTGTCTTGGGGTTGATCTTCTTATGAAGTATCTTACTAGGGTTCTCTGCAGTTCCTGAATTTGAATGTTGGCCTGTCTTGCTAGGTTGGGGAAGTTCTCCTGGATGATAACCTTAAGTATTTTTTCCAACTTGATTCCATTCTCCCTGTCTCTTGCAGTTACCCCAATCAGTCCTGGGTTCAGTATCTGTACATAATCCCATATTTCTTGGAAGTTTTGTTCATTACTTTTTTTTTTTTTTTTTAATTGAGACAGAGTCTCACTCTGTGGCCCAGGCTGGAGTGTAGTGGCACAATCTTGGCTCACTGCAACCTCCACCTCCTGGGTTCAAGCAATTCTCCTCCCTCAACCTCCCAAGTAGCTGGGATTACAAGTGCGTGCCACCACACCCAGCTAATTTTTTGTATCTTTAGTAGAGATGGGGTTTCACCATGTTGGCCAGGCTGGTCTCAAACTCCTGACCTCGTGATTGGCACACCTTGGCCTCCCAAAAGTGCTGGGATTATAGGCATGAGCCAGTGCCCGGCCTTTTGTTCTTTTTTCTCTATTCTTCTCTGTCTGTCTTATTTTAGAAAGGTGGTTTTCAAGCTCTGAGATTCTTTTCTCCACTTGTTCTATTATGCTATTGATACTTGTGATCGCATTATGAAGCTCTTGTGTTGTGTTTTTCAGCTCCCTCAGGTCAGTTATGTTCCTCTCTAAACTGGCTATTCTGGCTGTCAGCTCCTATATTGTTTTATCATGATTCTTAACTTCTTTGCATTGGGATATGACATGCTTCTTTAGCTCAGTGAAGTTTGTTTTTACCCACCTTCTGAAGCCTACTTATTTCAGTTTGGCCATCTCAGCCTCAGCCCAGTTCTGTGCCCTTGCTGGAGAGGTATTGTGGTCATTTGGAGGAAAAGAGGCATTCTGGCTTTTTGAGTGTTCGGCATTTTTGCATTGAATTTTTCTCATCTTTATGGGCTTATCTGCCTTTGATCTTTGATGTTGCTGACCTTTGAGGTTTTTGTGGGGTCTTTTTTGTTCATGTTGTTGTTGTTGATGTTGCTTTCTTTTTGTTTTTTTTTCTTTTAACAGTCAAATCACTCTTCCTTAAGGCTGCAGCAATTTGCTGGGGGTTTATTCCAGACACAAGTTGCCTCACTTTTTCCTGTACCTGGAGGTATCAGCAACGAAGGCTGAGAAACAGCAAAGATGGCAACCAGCTCCTTCCTCTGGAAGCTCCGTTCCCGGGGGAACTGACCTGTTGCTGGCCTGAATGTGCCTGTAGGAGGTGGCTGGAGACCCATGTTTAGAGGTCTCATCCAGTTAGGAGGAATGAGATCAGGGACCCACTTAAAGAAACAATCTGGCTGCTTTTTGGTAAAGCAGGTGTGCTGTGTTGAGGGGGACCCTTTCTCATTAGGACTATGAATTCTCCAAAGTCGGCAGGTTGGAACAGCTAACTCAACCAAACTAAAGAGATGGTGGCCACCCCTCCCTCCAGGAACTAGGTCTCATCTCAGGCAGACCCCAGCTTGTTGCTGTTAGCTGGCTGGAATTCCAAGCCAGTGGGTCTTAACTTCTGAGTTGCCATGGAAGTGGGGCCTGCAGAACAATGCTTGCCTCCCTTCCTAGGGATATGTACAAATGGATCTCCTGCCTTGCCGGGGATCCTGGGGCATGAGTTTGTAACACTCCTGGGTCTCTGTGTGTGCCTGGGCAATGCTGTGCCGGGACTCCACACAGCTCTGTGTATTAGACCCAAGGCCCTGGTGGCATGGACTTATGAGGGCATCTGATCCATGGGTTGCAAAGATCTGTGGCATAAGCTGGTTTCCTGGGTGGGGTCCCACAATCACTCACCATTCTCTTGGCTGGGGGTGGGTGTTCCTTTGACTCCATGCTGCTCCTGGCTGGGCCATCGCCCCATCCTGCTTTTCTTCATTTTCTGTGGGTCGAGTTGTTTGCCTAGTCAGTCCCAGTGCCAGAACTTGGATATTTCAGTTGAAGGTGCTTAATTCACTTGCCCCTTTTATTCCCCTTTGTGAGTGCCATGGACCACAGCTGCTTCTAATTGGCTATCTTAGCACCTTCAGATTTGCCCTTTTGAGGCTATTTTGTAGATCCTGTAGGCATGCTTCATTGATTTTTATCCTTTTTTCTTTTGTCTCCTCTGACTTTGTATTTTCAAATAGCCTGTCTTCAAACTCACCAATTCTTTTTTTTTTGCTTGATCAATTCTGCTGTTAAGAGACTCTTAACACTTCATGTACTCTTCTGTATGTCAATAGCATTTTGAGCTCCAGAATTTCTGTTGCATTATTTAGTATGTCAATTGCATTTTTGAACTCCAGAATTTCTGCTTGATATTTAAATATTATTTCAATCTCTGTATTACAGTTATCTGATATAATCCTAAATTCTTTCTCTGTGTTGTCTTGAATTTCACTGAGGGTCTTCAACACAGCTATTTTGAATTCTCTGTCTGAAAGGTCACATATTTTTGCTTCTCCAGGATTGGTCCCTGGTCCATTTTTAGTTCATTTGGTAAGGTCATGTTTTCCTGGACGGTTTTCATGTTTACAGAGGTTCATCAGTGTCTGGTCATTGAAGAGTTAGGTATTTATTGTAGTCTTTGACATCTGGGCTGTTTCTCCCCATCCTTTTTGAGAAGGCTTCCCAAGTATTTGAAGGGACTTTGGTATTGTAATCTATGTCTTTGGTCACTATAGCCATATCTGTATTAGGGAGCATGTCAAGCCCAGTAATGCTTTGGCCCTTGCAGACTTATAGAGGTACCACCTTGGTAGTCTTGGTTAAGTTCTGGGAGAATCCCCTGAATTATTAGACAGAGACTCCTGTTCTCTTCCCTTAGCTTCTCCCAATCAAGTGGAGTCTCTCTCTTTGTGCTGAGCTGCCCTGAGCTGGAGTAGGGGTTATGCAAGCTCCCTTGTGGCCATCACCACCGGGACTGTGCTGGGTCACATTCAATGCCAGCACATCACTGGGTCTCACCTAAGGCCCACAGTGACCACTGCCTGGCTACCACCTATGTTCATGCAAGACCTAAGAATTCTACAATCAACAGTTGGCAAATCCAGGCATGTCTCTTTCCTTCCCTTTAGGGCAGTGAGTTCCTCTTGGCCCTAAGCAGGTCTAGAGATACCATCTGGGAACCAGAACCTGGAGTTGGAAACGTCAGGAATCTACCGGTGCTCTGTTCCACTGTGGCTTAGCTGGGACTCAAGCTACAAGAAAAATTCTTTCCTACTTTTTCTTCCTCTTCTCTCAGGCAGAGGAGTCTCTCCCCATGGCCCACCATCACCTGAGGCCAGTGGTAAGTACTTATTGGCTATTGCTGATGTTCACTCAAGGCCCAAGGGCTCTTTAGTCAACTTGTGGTGAATGCTGCAAGGTTTAGGTCTCTACCTTCAGGGAAGTAGGATCCTCTGTGGCTCAGGGAAGGTCCTGAAATGTCATTTAGGATTCAATGCCTGGGATGAGGACTCCAAGGGTCTGCTTGGTGCTCTGTCCCATTGTAGGCAAGCTGGTACCCAAGTTGCAAGACAAAGTCCCCTTACTCTTTCTTCTCTTTTCCTCAAGTAAAAGAAGTTTCTCTCCATAGCCACCATAGCTGAAAATGTACTAGGTCACACGTGAAGCCAACATGGCACCAGGTCTCACCCAGAGTCTGCAGTGAGTACTGCCTGCCTACTGCTGGTGTTTATTCAGAGCCCAAGGGCTTTATAGTCAGTAGGTGATAAATTTTGCCAGGACTGGGTCCTTCCCTTCAAGGCAGCAGGTTACCTTCTGGCCTTGGGTGTGTCTAGAAATGTTGTCTGGGAGCTAGGACCTGGAATGAGGGCCTCATGACACTGCCTCCTGCCCTGTTCTACTATGGCTGAGATGGTATCAAAGTTACATCACAAAGTTCTCTTTATTTTCCCCTCTCCTCTCGTCAAGGAAGAAGTGTTTCCTAGAGCTGTGAGCTGTACTGCCTGGCATTGGGGGACGGGTGATATAAGTACTTTCTTGGCTGATGCAGCTGGCGTTTCACTAGGTCACATGCACTTCATCTCCACTGGTCTGAGCCCAACACCGCAGCAGAACTTGCCCAGGAATTGCAGTCCTTGTGGTCTAGACTGTCTTTTAAGTTTAGTCTGGACCTTAGAGCACTTTAGCCCATGGTGATGAAGCTTGCTGGAACTCAGGTTCTGACTATTGGGATGGGTAACTCCTTTCTGGCTAGGGCTGGTCTAAATGCTACCTCTGTGGGCACTGGCTTAGTTCTACCTAGTGTTGCTTTCTAGTGACAGAGCAGCACTGAGTTCCAATGCAAAATTCCACAGTAACTGTGCTTTCCCTCCTCCAAGTGCACAGATTCTCTATGTGTGCCATGCGACTCTTGTTGGGAGATGGGGGAAGGGTGGTGTCAGGAATTGAAGACTGTCTTTTCTACTTCATTGTTTCTTTCCTTCATACAGTGTTCATAACAGGTACTGTAATCATTCACCTGATTTTTGTTCTTGTGAAGGTTCTTTTTTGTGTGGATAGTTGTTCAGTTTGGTGTTCTTGCAGGGGTATGGTTGCTGGAGGCTTCTATTTGTCTATCTTGCTCCATCTCCCCTTTTCTTCTCTGATTTCTCTTGCTGGTACTTCCAGTACCATATGGACTAGAAGTTGTGAGAATGGGCATCCTGCTTGGTACTGGATCTTCGTGGAAAGGTATTTAGCTTTTCCCCACTGGATATAATGTTAGCTGTGTGTCTTTCATAAATGGCATTTATCATATTGAGGAACTTTCCTTCTATAACTAAACCATTGAAAAGTTTTATCAAGAAAAGATACACTTTGTTGAGTGCTTTTTCTGCATTAATTGAGAAGATCATTGGTTTTTCTATCTCATTTTGTCAATATGATGTGTCACACTGATTGATGTGCATATGATGAACCAGCCCTGCATGACAGGGATAAATCCCACTTGATCATGATGTACAATATTTTTGATGTGTTGTTGAATTGAGTTTGTGAATATTTTATTGAAGATTTTTGTATCAATATTCATCATATTTATCATAGATATTTTATAGTTTTCTTTGTAGAAATTTTTGACATAACTTTATTGTGGGAGAGAGTATGCAAAGTGACTCTTTAAGGTATTTTTTATTGATACATATTAAATATACATAATTTGGGATACATATAATAATTTGATGCATTCATATAATCAAATCAGGGTAATTGGGATATCTATCACCTTAAATATCTCTTCTTTACATCAGAAATGTTTGAATTATTCTCTTTTATTTTGAAATGTACAATCAATTAATGTTAACTATAGTTTCCCTAGTGATCTATCAAATGCCAGCTCTTATTTCTTCTATCTAAGTATATATTTGTGTCCATTAATCAACCTGATTTCATCCTCCCACTACCTTCATAATTTTCTTTTCTTGTAATGTCTTTGCCTGGTTTAAATTTCAAAGTAATGCTGGCCTCATAGAATGTATATGTAACTATTCCCTCTAGCTCCTTTTTTTTTTTTTTTTTTTTTTTTTGGAAGTTTAGGAAGCAAGGCATTAATTCTTTGAATGTTTAGTAGAATTCAGCCATGAAGCCATCTGGGGCTAGGCTTTTCTTTGTTGGGAGTTTTTTTTAAATTACTTCTCCAATCTCTTTATTTTTGATTGGTCTGTTAAGACTTTATATTTCTTTCTGGTTCAATCTTGATAGGTTTTGTTTTTGTGTGAATTTTACCATTTCCTCTAGCTTATTAAATTTGTTGACATATAGTTTTTCATAATGGTTCCTTATGGTCCTTTTTATTTCTGAGGCATCTGTTGTAATGTTTCCACTTTCATTTTTTATTTTATTGATTTGTCTTCTATTTTATTCTTAGTCTAGCTAAGGCTTTGTGTTTTCCTTTTTTCAAAAAAAACCCCTCAGTTTTATTGATATTTTCTGTGGTCTTTACATTCTCTTTGTTTATTTCTGTTCTAGTCTTCATTATTTCCTTCATTCTGCTAACTTTTGGTTTTGTTTCTTCTTTTTTCATTCATTGAAGCATTATGTTAGGTTTTTTTTTGGGATTGTTCTTCTTTTTTAATGTGAGCTTTTATTGCTATAAAGTTCCATTTAGAACAGCTTTTCTGTATCCCATAGGCTTTGGGAAGTTGTATTTCTGTTGCCATTTGTGCCAAGATATTTTTAAATTCCCCTCCTGGTTTCTTCTATAATGCATTGGTTATCCAGGAGCATATTGTTTAATTTTTCCATATTTGCAAAATTTTCAAGATTCTTCCTGCTATTAATTTATGGTTTCATGTCGTTGTGATTGGAAATTATATTAGATATAATTTCAATCTTCTTAAATTTGTTAAGACTTGTTTTGCAGTGAACATATGGTCTATCCTAAAAAATGTTGCATGTATACTAGAAAAGAATGTGTCTTATGCTGCTTTTGGATGGAAAGTTTTGTAGATGTCTGTTAAGTCCTTTTGTTCTAACATGCAATTTGAAAAAAACTCTGAGAAAAAAGCTGAAAAACAAGTCTTCTGAAAAAAAGTCTGAGAATGATTGTTGTTTGGTTTTATTAAATTTATAAATAACTGTAGGGAGAAATGACATCCATATCATGTGGAGTTCTCTTTATGAACATGTAACACTCCTGGCTCTTAAGAACATGGTGTCTTTGCATTTGTTCTGTGTGAGTTTCAGAGAATTTTATAATTTCTCTCACACAGGTTTTGGACGTTTCTTCTAACCTGCTTTAAAAGTGTTCTTTGAATTATTGCTGTTTTGACAAGGCAGAAAATATTTCTTATTGGTTTCTTCATAAGTAGAAAATCTGAGTTTTTACTCAATCATATACTGGCTATCATACCCTAGACTACCCACAAATCTGTGATCAATTTTCCCTTTTGGAATAAAGAGAGAAGACCTTGTCTGAGATCTCAGACTGTGGTATGAGAGGAATTATACAATGCAAGTTAGTGGAATAATATTCTTCAATTCATCATTGTTAGTTCATGTATTTTATAAACAAATTTTCTTTAACATTTTCCTCTCCTAAAGCACGCAATCTTTTTTTGAGTTCCCACCTCATATTACATTGTATAAAACAAATTATCAATAGTACAGAACGTTCTGAAAAGTTGCTATAAAATAATATTAGATACAATAGGAAAATTGAGTGCATGTATTCTAAATTATATGCAATCAAATGTATATACAACATAAACCCAGCCTAATTTTGTTTGGAGAAATTGGAGTAAATGAAATTCTGTAAAAATTAACCACAGATTACAAGGCTTATAAATGGGTGTTCCTCTGAAATAAAACCACCTTCTGGAACAGGTTTTAAAATTAGCAATGTAAGTGAAATTATCATAGGCAAATAGTTGTGCTGTAACCTAAATCAATGACATTAACCATTAATATTTTACTCATTTTTTTCAAATACAACTTTACTCCTCAAGCTAAGTTTTGTCAGTGTTAGATAAGCTTTAAAACAGAAAATAGCAATTACTTTTTGTTATTTCCTTTTTCAATTGAAAATTTTTATGAGTAGCTTTTTTAGTTAAAAAGAGAAGAGTTGCAGAAAATATCTTGTTTTCCTTTCCACACTGTCAGATATATGTGACATCATAGGGCAGCACAGTCATTGTTATAAACATGGACTGTGGCATCAAAGTGCTAGGGTTCAAATCCTGACTCTGCTGCCCTCTAGTTAAGTGACTTAAATAAGTCAATTACCAAATAGATCATAGCTCTGACCTTATAGAGTTGATGTGAGGATTAAATGAGATAGTATTTTAAATGATTAGAGTGATGTTTGGCAAATAGTAAGCTGTATAATTCTTTGATATATTAAAAAGAAAAACTATGGACTCTACTGGCCTTGTCAGTATCTTGATTCAGATGAAGTTAAGTTAAAATAAATACCGAAGTGCCTTCAAGTAACGATAAGGATGAAGGGAAGAAGCAAACCAGGAAAGACACTGGCTTGAGTACACTTACCATAGTATTGGTGGATGGATACACAGGCTGCTTGTTCTATGAATCCCAGATTTCTCTATCATCTGGTGAACCTACTTTCTTCCATCTACTGGGAAATGTCTCTGAGTCTGCCCCATATAAATGGTAGGATCATACAAAGCTTGAGATGGAGCCAATCAGCTGAACTTGCTGCCTCTTAAGGAAAGCCCTGGAAGCAGAAAGAATATTAAGATCATGACTAGTAAGCAGATAGGATGTTCTATTAAGAATAGAGTTAGGCCGGGCACGGTGGCTCACGCCTGGAATCCCAGCACTTCAGGAGGCAGAGGCAGGCAGATCACCTGAGGCCAGGAGTTCGAGACCAGCCTGGCTAACATGGCGAAACCCCGTCTCTACTAAAAGTACATAAGTTAGCCGGGCTTGGTGGCAGGTGCCTGTAATCCCAGCTACTCAGGAGGCTGAGGCAGGAGACTCGCTTGAACCTGGGAGGCGGAGGTTGCGGTGAGCCAAGATCATGCCAGTGCACTCCAGCCTGGGCGACAAGAGGGAGACTCCATCTTAACAACAACAACAAAAATAATAAAATAAAATAAAAAAAGAAAAGAAAAGAAAAGAAAAATATAGAGTTAACCCTGTCTACTCATATTCTGCTTAATGGAATGAATCTTCAACCACTTCCCATTTTGTGACATTTGTTCTAAACTGATTAATGTGCTCTATTGACTGAAGCTCAATTCCATGTGCAATCTATCTTTGTAAATAGGAAATAATGAGGGTTGCCTGTCTTTCCAATTACAGTATTTTGGACTCACAGGAAAATGAGAAACAAGTCAATACAACTTAGCATCTATTTTCCAGGATTCTTTTTGATACAATACCCCAAAGTGAAACAGAACACCCCTCAAATGTAGAGATAGTTTTCTCTCCTGTGTTTCCTTTTCCAGTGTCATTAGCCTCCACTAACAACTCTGTAGTTCATGCTTGGGGAAACCATAAGGGCAAAATTAAATGGAAACTCAGGCAACTGAGTGCAATAGTACAAACGGCGTAATGAATCCTTAGGGCCATTACACAATTTTCTGTTTTCATAGAAAATTTTAAGTGTCTATGCTTGTGGAGAAGATTTAGTACATAAAGTGCTAATGCAGAGGGAAGTTAGTGGTAGAGTCAATGTAGGCAAAATGTCTACAAGTACAAACACTCGCAAAAGACTCAAAATCTACATGTGCTGTATCTGTCTTATAGTGTTCCCTTGTAAACCATTTTTGTGCATGTATTTGTTCAACACATATTTAACACCTATTCATGCATTGCACTGTTCTAGGAACTGGGGAAAGTATGGAGAACAAGGCATGGAGCTTATATTTTAATGAGGGAAAATAAAAAATTTCATAATTTTGCAATATATTTTCAGGTAGTGATCAGTGACTGAAAGACAAATATAGCAAGGTAAGTGGCCATTTTTAGATATGATAATTAGGGAAGGCTTTTCTGAGGAGAGGACATTTAAGCAGAGGCTTGAATAAAGTGGAAGAAGGAACTGAAGATTTCTGGGGAAGAGGGTTCAGGTGGGAAAAGACAGCAGGTGCAAAGGCAGGTAACTGGAGAGTGCTTGGTGCAGATGAGGAACAGGATGAAAGGCAATGTGGTTAGTGGGATGACAAGAGGTTGGAGAAGAAGCCAGGGGCCGTATTACATAGGGCTTGGTTGGCTATGACTTTATTCTTTGCATGAGTGGAAGCTGTTGGAAGTTTCTGAGCAAGGAAAGGAAATCAGCTGATTTATTATTTTAACAACTTATTGGCTTCTACTGATGAATGAAAGGCAGCAGGACAGGAGTAGAAGCGGAGGAACCAGATGGGGAATACTTACTGTTGTGCAATGACACCAGATCAGAAGAGGGACAAAGCAATTGAAGGTATGTACGTTTAGTTCCTCTTCGGTGTTCTACTTGAAGCAGGCCTCATGTGTCATTAGAGATTACATATATTTCTATTAGCAGTTTACATTTATTTCTATTGGTGCTTTACTTCTAACTGGATAGTATTGTTTTATGTGGCAAAAGACAGAAAATGGAATAAATCCCCATAAACAGAGGAATGGTTGATTAAATTTTTACCATGAATTTATATAAAATCCCCATAAACAGAGGAATGGCTGAGTAAATTCTTACCATAAATTATTATACAATCATTGGAAAGAGTGAGATAAGTGAATACTGGGAAGGACGTCCAGGATACACTTTTAAGTGAGAAAAAATGTGTATATTGTAGATATGTATACCTATAGCCTCATTTTTGAAAATCAAAGACAATTTCCAACTTCTATATATGTATCAAAATATGTATATATACATATATATGAATATATAAGCATGGAAAGGGTATACAATTATACACACGGGTTGTTAATAGATTGCCAACATTGGTTACTTGGGTAAGACTAGGTAGACATTAAGTACTTAAGTAGCATCTATGTACTTTGGTGGCAGAAACTCTGAAGTAAAAATGACACATCCCAGTACAAACCAGGTGGAATAAGCCTAGTGTGGGGCATAGGAGATGATCTAGAATTGTGTAAGAATTAGGCCTTTAGCCACAGTAATTAAGGGTTATTATCAGTTCGTTAAGGAGGGATTGGAGTTGGATCCTAAACTCCACTGTGTATCTTTTATATGTAGTTTTATACAATTATATATGAAAAAGTATGTAAAATTCTTGGTTAAAAATATTTCAGAAATAAACTAAGAAAATATTTAATTCATAATGTTTTGCATCTTTAACATATGCATGAATGCATGATATAATGTACTTTTGAGCATATTAAAGAATGAAGTGAGTAGGCACTGAATTTGGAATGGGGTGTATATGTGTTTTCAACCATTCTGAATGATCAAGTAGAAAAAGAGTTGTGCAGGTTGTTAAAGACAGACTTCACCCATTTGGCGTGGGGTCTGCTCAGGAGAGAGGTGTAGCCACTATAGGCTTAGATTTCTTAAGCTAGTATCATATACTTTATCTCTGGGGAAGTTTCTCCTCTATATTTTTGATATTTTTGACCTTCAGCCAACACACTTCCTATGAAATCTGTGTTTAAGCAAGAACATTTGGTCTCTATAGTAACATTTAGTAATGAAAGCAATGCCTGTATTCAAACCTTCGTCACTGTGACGGTAACTATACTCAAAGGAATTCTGGGAAGAGGAGTGGTTTCTTCACCTCCTGAACTCTAGCATGCGACCATCTTCGACAGACTTTTCATTCTGGCTAGAATAGCATGGCCTACGTAGTTCTCTGTGTTGAAATTTGGCAGGGTAGCTCGCTAGTGACCAAATAGTCATTTTAACAAGCTCTGCTGATCATTGAGCCATATTTCTTCATCTGCTTTGACTTTTAAAGTGATTATATGTGAGTAGTATCTCATGGGAGACCGAGGAAAAGAAAGAGGGTTTTTTTTTCTTTCTTTTTTTTTTTTTTTTTTACCTTTTGGAAAGGCTGTTCATTCAGTTTTTTAAAAATTGCCAGAAAACTCCATTGTTTATAATTTTTTCCATTGTAGTCTACTATATTTGCCAAGAAAAATCTTGCACCATACCAACTTGTGTTAGTAAAACAAATGGCTCCTTTCACAATACAGCTCAGTGTATTTGTATATTTATATGAGTTTTCCAGCATTGCTATGGGGGAAAGAATCAGCTGCATTCACACATATTTTGTTTTCCCTTGTGTGTAAGCTTTGACCCCCTAAAGTAGCTTCCAGTGAACCCATAGGCCATGGATTAGTTGCAGGCATTTTACTAAGGCTTCAGTTGGATGGAGTTTTCCTGGATTCCTTGAAACACATACGGTGTTTTTAGGGAGTTTGAACTAGTTTTAATATCTGGGTAAATTATGAGTGAACAAATGACATGAATTGTGCCCTGGGTGTCTCACATTGCTAGAAAGAACTGAAGGTTACTGACACTTAGTTGGCAATTATATCATTTGTATAGGCTAACTAATAGCAATTTGTGACCAACTGATAAACATGGTGCCAGGCTATTCAGCTGGTCTGGACTGGAGGCAGACCTTGTGCCATCCATGTGGCCTTCTATGCTTAATTGACTATGTTTCCTGACAGTTTCACTGTTGGTCAATATACAGTGTAGGAAAATTTTTTCAAAAGTCTCAAATAATTTATAATTTATATGATTTATTTCTCCAAGGAGCTAAAAGACATTTTCAATAGTCTCACACTTCACTTCTTATATCTAACCACTTGTTAGTAAAGTTATCTTGGACAAATGACTTCACTTTTCTGACTTTTGGTTTCCTCCACTGTAAAATAAGGGTAAAAATATCAATTTTATAAACCTATTGTGAGAACTGAGTAAAATAACATAAAATGTCTGAGGGCAGTATTAGGCACATAACAGGCCTTCTATAAATAGGAACTGCTACTATTATTAATATTTTGATTAGATTTAGCTAGGATGATGTCGGTTGGTTATTTCTATGGATATTTCTAAGGGATAGGTGAGTGAATCTGGATAAGAGTGAAAGACAACATAGGTAGGTTGTTATTCTGTTTTTTGATACATCAAGGAGGCCTCTGAAAACAAAACTGAGAAGCTCTGAGTTGTGCTTTAGCACTTTTTAACCGCCCAATGACCAGGATGTTTCAATTATAGCATGGAGAATTTGGCCATCTTCTGTGATATATTCCACTTTTGGACTGAAACCAATCTTGAGGAACTTTTGGAAATCTCAATTCTACACTGTGAAATGCTTCCAAGGGCAATATGCTTCCAAGGGCATTATGCTTCCAAGGGCAATATGCAGTATTTTGATGTTCAGTTGATCACATCTCACCACACTGGTGCCAAAAAAAAAAAAAAAAAAAAAAGGCCAACACAAATTACCTATGCCTTAAGGTGAAATATTTAACATAAGCCAGAATGTTGCCAGCATTTTGGCCAGTATAGAAAAGTCCATAATTCTTTCTCAGTTTTATTGTCATTGTAAGATAGAATAGCATAAAAAACCCCAAAGCATTTTAAGCAATTGAACTTCTCTTTGTGTCTAGAGTTCCGCATATCTAGCTTGGCGATGGAGGAAGCAGCAATAGGAAAAGAACTAGGGCAATTACCAACTCTTTGTCACTGGGGGTTTCCCAAGTGAAAGACAGCTACTAGTGATTTTGAGACATCATCCTGCCATGTCAGAACATGTCATGCACAGGATCTCAAATAGAATAATTTTGTGAATAGTTGGTTTCCTAGGTGCCAACTTCACAGTGCGTTGTAATAAATCATCGAAAACCATGGGAGGAGTATTGACTGCTTGTGTGGCTAAGAGAGCAATTTTCTGCTACTGTTTAATCTGGTAGTGAAATTTCTTCCATAAGTGTGCAAGAAACTGCTCTCTAGTCAACAGAGAGCTGGGTCCAGATTGCAAGTGTTATTTGATGGTGTCACTGCTCTTCTAACATTGGCATGAAATACTAGGACATCAGCTTTTATGATGCCAATCATGAACATTTCTGTTTGTGGGAAATTACTATGGCAAGGTTCTTAATTGACAAACATAAACTCACAGTAAAACTATTCTTTCAGGTTTAGCTTTAATATGTAGGAATTTGAGGACTAAAATGGTATCAGAGTATTTCCATCATAGAATATCCATGTTTACCTTCAACATAAATCAATCAGTTAGTGATACCAATGACTTTTCTATAATTCTACAATCTTTATTTCAGAAACAACTCTCAGAGGTCTTCAATCCTACATCCCCATTCCACAAGCAGTGGTATTGTTGCTTGTGGATTTATTAACTTATAGTTAATTAAAAATAATAGTAATAATCTGTGACACACCTTTAGCAAGAAGAACTTAATGTGAGTTTTATTTGCTGAATTCTGTGTCCCTTTTATCTCCATCGCCTTAGTTTTTCTTTATTTGATTTTCTTCCTAATGTGTTTTAAAGTTATTGTGTCTTGATGTGTTATGAGTTTCTTTTGAAGATGCTGTAAATCCTTTCTGGAATAAGTCATACTACCAACAAACAAATAAAAAACAAATATTCATTTGTAATAATTGGACCACCCAGTAGAAATATGCCGGTAGTCTTTCTCCTTAAAAGAGTAATAGCATTGTTGTTATTTCATCATTTCTCCTTCCTTTCTTTGAAATCATTATCCTGTGGCTTTGAGAATTCCCATAGAGGAACAAATAATCCATTTGCTTCTAGAATTGCTGACAAGCATAAGGAAATTTTGTCAGAGGTGGCTTGTGTATAGGGAGCAAAAATATAACTTTTGTTTTTGGCTTTCTGGAAACCTACAGACTGAGGTGTAGGCCATATCTTACACGGGTATTACATCAGTCAGGAAATTGGCTGTTGAACAAGTTTTTTTATCTTTTCATGAATGATGGCACAGCTCATTATGTCAAACAGGAAGTAGGCCCTTGCCAGAGGGTGGAATATGTCTTACAATGATAAAAAAAAAAAGTACGCTAACTTAGCAGATTTCAGTAAATGGGAGAAATTATAATGTGGTCTCCTTTTAACTATTTTAACATTCACTTAAATTCAATGAGAGAAAAGGAAAAAATGATTTAAGCACCAGACAGTGGGGTTGTAGAATGAAAATGGGAATTGCAGAGGCTTCTCTATTAGTTCATCTGCCAAATACCTGCAGAGTTGCTTTTCAATTATGTGTCTGGTTCAGGTAAGAACTGGCTGGTTTCTGACAGTGGTCTTTCAGATGGGACATTACCGAGGAGGCAAGATGCACAAGAGGCTAATGCTCATTTCCTGTGAAAGGAACCAAGGATGTCAATGTAAATTGGAAAGGATAGAAACTGGGCAGGCATGTGGGGCTTTGGCTTACATTTCAGGAACATGTTGTGTCTAGTGATTGCTCACAATTGCGAAAAGAAAAAGCGAAGGAAAGGGGCTCCACTTGACAACAACTGCATTTCAATAAATTCTACCCTTGAACCAATGTCAGGAGGTAGGTTTCCTTTCAAAAAGTTCTCAATAAAAGTCAAGTCTTCACTGAATTCATTATTCCACAGACATCTGCATTTGAGGAATACTTAAAATTCTTCTCATATCAATGGCTTTAAATGTTATTCAATAGTAATTCTTTGGGTCTTTGAAGCTTTCAGCTAAAGTTTTGGTCTATGACTCAGCGTTACCTTGTTATTGCCTAACTGTTGCCATCTTTCATGCCAGGAAGCTCTTTACTGAAACTATTTGTTAAGATATGCTATGCATTCCTCTCAAAAGAAAAATTATTTTAATGTGCTTTGTTTTAATCAAGCTTGTTTATTTATATTCATTTCAGCATTTTTATTTGAATCATCATAACAGAGGAGGTAATTAAAATGAAATACTGAGATATACATTTATTTTGAATTTTCTTGTGTTTCTTTAAAAATGAAATGTATCCTTTATGCATAATGATAAATGTTATAATAAATTTTGAATTTTATTCTTTCTGGATTTGGGAGGTTATTTTGATAAATATTAACAGAAGAGTGTTAAGAAATTATTCTCTAATTTCTGAGCTAGGTCATACATTTATTTAGCAATTACTTAAGGATAAAAATGAAGATTTAAAAAAAAAAACCTTTCAGAGCACTCTGAAGACCCAGTTTAAACTGCATACTTTAAAAGAATCAGCAAAGTCAGATTTCAGGGAAATCAAAACAGTTAGGAAGTTCTTTTCATCAGTGAGATTGGTGATGAATAATATATATGTCTTTCTGGTGGTGTGATACATTAACTCACCTGTGTGGGAAGTTAGTATAGCAATGGAACGATCTTGGTGGTTTTGTTCTATATGGGGAGGTTTAATTCTGTCTTGTTGCCTTAATGATGAATGTAGTCTGGTGTTGCTGACACAAACATCTCTTCTTTTCATCACCCTGACTTCCTCAATGGGGATAGAAAAAGGGTTTTTACAAACAGAAGTGTTTTATAGAGCAGATATTTACACCCTAGAATGATCTATATGTTCACTAGCACTATCCCCCAGCCCTAAAATTGCAAAGCAATGATGCTTGAAAAGGAGATTTTGAAAAAGCAATAATATCTTTTTTCATATTTTGCTTTTGTATCATCCATTTTAGACTATTTCTTTTGGTCTGTTTAAATCTTAAATTGTGGAAACACTGAAATCTCTATGGGTCCTGTAGAAAATGGAAGTATTTAAATAAAACTGCTGTAATTTGGGAGTATGATATTTATACCACTCCATGAATATTGCTTTTACTGTGTATTTAAACATTGTATTAAGGACGAGTGAACTGACCTACACAGTGTCAGCTTGACACAAACCAGAGGCAGACAAAATGAGGGGCCAGGTACTACATCTTCCACTAGAATATTGTACCATTTGCAAAAACACTGCATTTCACTATTCACACAGTAAGTGACCAATGGTGAACCCTGAGACAGAAATGATTTAGAGATATTGTGTAGAGGTATTACTAAAACTTAATGTAAAGACCTAAGTCTTACGCATTCAGGAATTTCATTTTTGATGTTAAGATTGGAATGAAGAAAACCATGGAAGAATGTAGCAAGATTTAAAAACTGTCTTAAAGTATCTATGAGAGTGAAATATTTGATGGTTATTTAATGCCAATTCCTTACAAGGATTAACATTTTTCTTGTGAAAGCTACCCTTTATAATGCAACAATGAAAACCTGACTCCAACAAGTGTATTTCTACACATGTGGCTAGTGTACTCTGTTTGAATCATTAAAAACAAAAAAACAAAAAAACACAGACCTTACTTTCCAAATGGGTAGAATTATTTGCCAAAAATTATAGTTCTCAATAGACTCTCTCCTCAAATCACTTTAATTACAACTCATGTTTGAAATGATCAGCAGGATCTTTTTTTATGCTTGATGTGGAAATTATATCTAGGCCTCTCATCATTTCTTTTCTGAGTTGAAGGGTTGGCTGAAGAGTTTTATAATGTCTTCCGGTTGGCATCTGGACTTAGTAGTAAGCAGTCAACACATGTTAGGTCAGGCAGGAGCAGGACCAGAAGGCAAGGCTGGGGACAGAGTGAATAATGAAGTTTTAGGGCTAAATTAGAGGTTAGAGCCTCATAGATGAGGCCAAACTGGACTTTTTCAAATTTTGAGAAGGCAGTTTGGGGTGGACATTCAGAGGTTCAAACAGAGCAGAGGTTATAGGCAAATGCATAGTTAGAGGATGCAGAACTCAGTGTGTAAGGCAGCTTGGTGACAGGGAGAAAACAGATTTGTATCCAGGGATCCCAGACAGGGTTTTGTACGGAGGTTTATGTTAGGCCAGTGGGCATAGGAAAAATAATAGGACCCAGGAGACGAGGGAAATTTTCTCAAACTCTGAACAGTTAGGTGGGTTCATACAATATCATGTTAATCTCAGGGCTGGGATAATTTCTCTTTTATTCCTTGAAAATAATTTTTTTAGAACAAACTTGGGCCCTTATAGTTTTAGTAATCCTTCCCCGCTTTTTTCTATACTAAAGAAAAAAGAAATAGGATGGGTTGCTACAATTTGTCCATAAAAAACTTGTACCATTATGAAGGTGGAGAGAAGAATGGGTTTGTTACATAGGATTCAAGACTTGTATTTGAATTGACCTCTAATTTTGTCTAGGAGAAGAGAAGCTCCTGGACTACCCTGGGGTTGAACTCCTAGTTTCTCTTTCATGATCTTTGTTTTCTCATGCTCATTCTGTTGCACTTTGGAAATATGAGTAGTAACTTCCAGAGGGATAAGAAGAACCTATAGATTAGGAGGGTTAGGTGAGGGTCTTGGTTGGAAGGGTTTTCTATGAGAAAGCAGTATGTTTAATCAAAAATGAATTCAGAACCATTTTATTTATTTACTTAAAAATGTTTTATTTTTAATTTTCATGGGTACATAGTAGGTATATATATTCATAGTTACATGAGATATTTTGATATAGGCATGCAATGCATAGTAATCACATCAGGATACATGGGGTATCCATCACCTCAAGCATTTATCCTTTGTGTTGACAAACCATCCGCTTATACTGTCTTAGTTATTTTGAAATGTACAATTAAATTGTTTTTGACTATAGTCAACCTGTAGTGCTAGCAAATCCTAGGTCTCATTCATTCTTTCTATTTTTCTTATACTCTTTAAACATCTCCAGTTTCCCTCCACCCCAGCTACTCTTCCCAGCCTCTGATAAGCATTTTCTCTCTGTGTGGGTTTAATCATTTTAATTTTTAGCTCCCACAAGTAAGTGAGAACATGTGAAGTTTGTTTTTCTCTGCCTGGCTTATTCCACTTAACATAACGACCTCCATTTCCATCCATGTTGTTGCAAATGACAGGATCTCATTCTTTTTCTACAGCTGAATAGTACTCCATTATGTATATGTACCATATTTTCTTTATGCATTCATCTGTTGATGGACACTTAGGTTGCTTCCAAATCTTGAGTATCATGAACGGTGCTGCAATAAACATGGAAGTGCAGATATCTCTTTGAAATACTGACTTCCTTCCCTTTGGGCATATACCCAGCAGTGGGATTGCTGGGTCATACGGTAGCTCAATTTTGAGTTTTCTTAGGAACCTCCAAACTGTTCTCCATAGTAGTTGTACTAATTTACATTCCCACCAACAGTGTACAAAGTTTCCTTTTTCTCCACATTCTCTCCAGCATTTATTATTGCCTGTTTTTTTGGATATAAGCCATTTTAACTGGGGTGAGATTATATCTCATTATAGTTTTGATTTGCATTCTCTGATGATCAGTGATGGTGAATACTTTTCATATGCTTGTTTGCCATTTGTATATCTTCTTTTGAGAAATGTCTTTTCAAATCTTTTGCCCATTTTTTAATTAAATTATTAGTTTTTTTAGAGTTGTTTGAGCTCCTTGTATATTCTGGTTATTAACCCCTTGTCAGATGGATTGTTGAAACTATTTTCTCTCATTCTGTGGGTTGTCTCTTCACTTTATTGTCTCTTTTGCTGTTCAGAAGCTTTTTAACTTGATGTGATCCCATCAGTTCATTTTTGCTTTGGTTGTCTGTATATGGAGGGTATTGCTCAAGAAATTTTTGCCCAGACCAATGTCCTGGAGAGTTTTCCTGATGCTTTCTTGTGGTAGTTTCTAGCGTGAGGTCTTAGATTAAAATTGAAGAAAAATAATTTACTCCATTTTGATTTGATTTTTGTCTGTGTTGAGAGGTAGAGGTCTAGTTTCACTTTTCTGCATATGGATATCCAGTTTTAACAGCAAACTGTTTTCTCCAGGGTATGTTGACAACTTTGTTGAAAATAAGTTCACTGTAAGTGTGTAAGTTTGTTTCTGAGCTCTCTGTTTCACTGGTCTGTTTGTTTTTATGCCAGTACCAGGCTGTTTTGGTTATTATAGTTTTGTAGAATAATTTGAAGTCAGGTAATGTGATTTCTCCACTTTTGTTCTTTATGCTTAGGATAACTTTGGCTATTCTAGGTCTTTTGTAGTTCTGCATACATTTTAGGATTGTTTTTTCTATTTCTGTGAAGAATGTTATTGGTATTTTTGTAGGGATTGCATTAAATCTGTAGATTGCTTTGGGTAGCATGGACATTTTAACAATATTGATTCTTCCAATATATGAACATGAACTATCTTTCCTTTTTTTCTTTCCTCTTCAATTTCTTTCATCAGTGTTTTATACTTTTCATTATAGAGATCTTTCACTTCTTTGGTTAAGTCAGTTCCTAGGTATTTCATTTTATGGGTGGCTATTGTAAATTGGATCACTTTCTTGATTTATTTTTCAGACTCTTCACTGTTGGCAAATAAAAATGCTACTGATTTTTACATGTTGCTTTTGTATCCTGCAACTTTACTAAATTCGTTTATCAGTTGTAATAGGTTTTAGGTGGAGTCTTCAGATTTTTCCAAATAGGAGATCAAATTATCTGCAAACAAGGCTAATTTGACTTCTTCCTTTCCAGTTTGGATGCCTTTTACTTCTTTAGAACTGTTTAATTTTGAAAAAATATGCATGAAAAACATGGATAGTGATGATCTTACCAAAGAACCATGGAAAAATATATGAACATTTAGAAGAAATGGTTTTGTAGGGACCAGACAATGCTGTGCTCATAGGTGGGAGAAAACATGTGACTCAGGCACCAGGTATTTTCTGTTCCAGAATCATTCACTTTCTAGCACACGATATTTCAGCTGAACTGTTAAAATCCCAGCGTCACTTTATTTCATGTATTTATCTTACTGATCTTGATTGGAAACTTGGAGTCTTAGAGCTCCTTTTATTTTCTTCAGTGTATTTCTTCTGGATCTGGTATTTTTCATGGGCCAGTAGCTATATTAAGCATCTTAAAAGGTATCTTCTTTATATGTTCCTTTAGGTGGTTCAGTTGTTTCTAACATGAATGTCTCTCATGGCTCTGAATTTTATGATGATTATATTTCTTTGATACATCTAGCATTATTTGAATGACGATCTCTTGGTCCAGAAAGTCTAGAAGGCATTTGTGTTTTTATATTACCATCTGTATTAGTCCGTTTTCATACTGCTATAAAGAAGTACCTAAGATTGGGTAATTTATACAGGAAAGAGGTTTAATTGGCTCACAGTTTTGCACGGCTGGGAGGCCTCAGGACACTTACAATCATAGTGGGAGGGGAAGTAGACACCTTCTTTACAAGGTGGCAGGAGAGAGAAAGAGTGCATGAAGGAGGAACTGCCAAACACCTTAAAAATCATCAGCTCTTGTGAGAAATCCTTCACTACCACAAGAACAGCATGGGGGAAACTGCCTCATGATCCAGTCACCTCCCTCCCTCAACATGTGGGGATTACAGGTCCCTCCTTCAACACATGGGGATAAAAATCAGGATGAGATTTGGATGGGGACACAAAGCCAAACCATATCACTATCTCTGAAAATATAATTGCCTTAGTTGGAAGCAAAAATGATCATGGGTTACTTTAGGCCTAATTCAAGTGTGTGGAACAGTTGAGCATCTAATTCAAAGTCCTGTTCAGCAATGCCTTGTCCGCATGTCTTTTTGAATCTCTTCTGGCATATTGTCTCCTAATTTCAAACTTCTTTGGTTTCTCTTTGGGCCATGGGTGCAACATGTCTGGTGTACTCAAGGTCCAGTGTCACCAGACCAAAGACTTGGGGGAGTACCATTTGAAAGGGAATAAGATGAAATAGAAAAGTAGACCTCATAGTGTGTTAGAAACAAGTGCATAGGAATAAGGATAATGTAAGAAGATATCTCTTTGACAAGAAGCTGAAACAAAAGCACAGGACATCAAGGAAAAGCTTTATATGCATTAACATTTCAAGACATAATGCAAGTACTCTCTAGGTTTTCAAAGTTTTGAGAAGAGAAGTATAATAAGTGGCTTGAAGGTTATTAAGGATTGCCACCAAGAAAGGCCTCCTACGCACATGCCTAACAATGGGATTCCAAACAACTGCCTATATTAAAATAATAACATAAGGAAATAATTGGAAGAACTGGCCTAATTATATTAAAGATGGGTGGCCCCTTATCACCTTCACGAAGGAAGTATAAGGAGGGAATCTGGATCAAGTCAAAAGAGGGTAAAACAGGAAAAGGGGAGGTGGTTTTACAGAAATACACAAACCCAACTGAATTTTCATGACTGAAAATTCTTGGACACTAGAGACCTATTATTGCTTCTGCTAACTGGTCAAATTTTTGTAGGTGACACATCCTTAACAGAACATTCATATTGCCTCAGAAATTCTTCTAATTTGCATCCCTATTAGAAAGAAACCATGGTGTAATAAAAGGAAAAATTCCATTCTCCTGGAGGCTTCTCTGGATTGGCTGCAACTGGGGCAGTTCAGGAAGGCTAGTGGGTTGGGCCTACCCCAAGTGTAGATTAGAAGAGAAACTCAACAATATCCTGGATGTTTACACTGACATTTGGAAAGTGGATACTTCCAAAATTTTAATGTTGAGTTCCATATCACAGTTGATTTTGTTCATCATGGTGCCACTGTTTGTATTAATATGAGTGACTTCTCCAGATGTGATCTTTCAAAGACTGTGGGGTCCAGTTTCAATCGTTTGATTTCTTTAGTTGTTTTGAACTTATAATTACATGGTTGGTGGATTTTGTGACATTCAGTCATGAGATTTCAATGTTCCATAGAATTTGATCCAAGAGTTCTACTTTGTAAACTTTCTTAATCACCTTTATCCTCAAACCATGGGGTGGTAATAGACTAGGGAATTGGGAATCACACATCATTGGCTGAGTTCCCAAACAGCACATCTGGGAAAAATGCACCCAAGAGGAAAGCCCAGGGCTTTAGCTCTATAAGCAGTGCTTTGGAAACTAGCAGAAAGTCCTTTTCTCCCCATTACTACTCCTAGAATGGAATCTTTGGAGTACATATGAAAATTGAGAGTCCTAAAAATCTCATCTTAGAATAAGTAGCACCTGGGGCACCTGAGATCATTAAAGGGAGCCAAGGAATTTTCCATTCCCGCAGCCCCAAAGCCTTTGGTGATGTCTAACTCCTCCAGGGGCCCCACTCTCAGTTTTCAGAAGAATACTTTCCCAAATTGTTTGGGTAGCACTTCATTTTTTTGTATCATTTATCTGAGTGACTGTTATTTCTATTCTTAGCTCCATTACCATCGACTTCCTTCCAAAATAAATTAAAAAGACTTTTATTCCTAAAGAAAAAGAAAAGTTCCTTTCTTCCTTCTCTCTTTAATTCTTTTTTCTTTTTCTTTTTAATTTTTTTTAAATTCATAGATTTAAGTGGTACTAGTACATTTTTATTATATGGATATATTGTATAGTGTTAAAGTCTGAGCTTTTAATATAACCATCACCTGAATAGTGTAATTTATAACTTATAGGTAATGTCTCATCCTTTACCTCCTCCCACCTCCCACCCTTTGGAGTCTTCAAAGTCTGTTATTCCACTTTGTATATATATGTGTATACATTGTTTACCTCCCACTTATAAGCGAGAACATGTGCTATTTGATTTTCTCTTTCTGAGTTATTTCACTTAAGATAGTGGCTTCCAGTTCCAACCATGTTGCTGCAAAATACATGATTTCATTCTTTTTTAGGCTGAGTAGTATTCCATGGTGTATAGCCCTTTTAATAATTATGCAAGGTAATATTGTGCATATATATATGCCATGGAATACTGCTCAGCCATCATATATATTATATATATATTTTTTATATATATAATGTGTGTATATGTGTATGTATATATACATATACATACACACACACACACACACACACACACCATGGAATACTATTCAATGTGATATATTAATCATGTTTTTTATGCAATCATCTCTTGGTGGAAACTTAGGTTGATTTCATGAGTGCTATTCTGAACAGTGCTGTGATAAACATACGAGTGCAAGTGTCTTTTTATAAAACTATCTCTTTGCTGGAATAAGGCACAGTTCTATTTTTATTTATTTGAGAAATCTCCATAGTGTTTTCCATAGAGGTTGTACTAATCTACATTCTGACCAACTGTCTGTAAGTATTCCCTTTCCTCCATGGATCCTCACCAGTATCTGTTGATTTTTGTCTTTCTAATAATAGCCATCCTGACTGGTGTAAGATGATATCTCATTGTGGTTTTAATTTGGATTTCTTTGATGATTAGTTATGTGGAGCATTTTTTCATGTTTGTTGGCTCCTTGTATGTTTTCTTTTGAAAAGTGTCTGTTCAGTTGTTATCTACATCACTAGCTACCTTTATATCTCAAACACAATTTCTGGAATTGTAAGTTATTGGGCTCTCCCTTAGCAATTAATAAAAGAGGACTCTATTTCTATTTGATAGTTATTTTTCTGAATAGCAATCACTGCCCTTGATTGGCAATCTTGAAAACGGGGAGTTTAGGATTGTGCAACAACACCCCAACTAGTTCTATAATTTACTTCTCAGAAACATATCCATTTATATTTTAAACAACTCTTGTCAGGGATTGTAAAACTGAATCAGTAGACATTTATTGGTGTCACAATAGTAATAGCTATAATTTGCAGGATCACCTTTTTGTGCCAGGACGTGTCTTTTCCATATATTCTTTCTAGCCCTTTTAATAATTATGCAAGGTAATATTATGCATGACTTATGGGTGAGGAATTAAGGTTTGGAAAATCAACAGCTAATAACTGGTGGAGCTCCTGTTCAAATTCAAATTTGATGCCATACTGTCTTCTGAAACTGTTATATACAGAAAGTGACACAGAACTTTGGGTTGACCACTGTGTATTACCTCTTTGTGGCTACTTCTATTAATTTGATGACAACTCTACATCTACATATTTCATTGTATTTTAGCAGCCTAAGAAAGTTAATGAGTTTCTAAAATATCCTAGCATTTAGAAGGAAAAGGTGGCAATAAAGAGGAAGCTAGTAATCTATTCAATGTTTTCTATGCTGCTAGGCACTTTATTGCACTTTATTAAGACATAAATTATTTATATTCACAACCTACTCTAAGACAGACCTTTTAATTTTAGTTTAAGTGTAGGTAACTAAGGCTCTACAAGGTTAAAACTTGCCAAAAGTCAAAAGTCAGAAGTCATTGGTGAAGACAGAATTTGCACCAAAATCTATCTTTAAACATCATACTCTATCTTTTCCAGCATATGATAAATCATATATTTAAAAATTTATATGGTAATTTATTTTTTATCAGAGCAATTTGAGAGTAGGTTATATGCATGATGCCCTTTATCTCCTAAAACCTTATTGTATATATCCTAAGAAAAAGGATATTCTCATATGTAACCATAGTGCAGATAACAAATTTAGGAAATCTAACATTGAGATGATACTTCAATCTGCAGTTCATACTTTAACTTTCCCCAGTGCCAAATAATGTCCTTAAAAAAAGTTTTCCCCTTTTAAAACAGGGTTGAGCCTAAAATTCATATTGTATTTAGTTGCTATGATCTTTTCCTCTCTTTTAATTTGGAAAAGTTACTTAACATATCCTTATCTTTCATAATACTGACATTTTTAAAAGAATATGGGCCAAATATTTTATAGAATGTCAATCAGTATGAGTTTGTCCACATATTTTCTCATAGTCCGGTTAAAGTTCTGCATTCTCATCCAGAATACCCCATAAGGATGACTTACCCTTCTCAGATTATCAAATGTGGAAGCACATGATGTTTGTCTGCTTCTCACTGGTGATGCTAATTTTGATAACCTGTTCAAGGTGTTCTCTGGCTTCTTCCACGTACAATGACTATTTTTTCTTATACAACTAATAAACAACAAGGGAGAGACATTTTGAGACCATGAAAATATCCCGTTTCTCATCAATCTTTAGCATTCATTGATGATTCTTGCCTATACCAATCATTACTAGTATGATTGCCAGATACTGATTTTTGAACTTTACTTTCTCCACATTTATCAGCTAAAATTTTACTACAAAGAAAAACCCTGTTTATCCTACTTATTTATCTATTTATTATCTATATTCACTCATTAAATCTTATTTTATTCAGTAGGTTATAATTTATTATTAGCCTTATTTCTTTTCATACTCAAATTATCACAGATTTGGGTAGTTGAAATCCCATTAAAATGGTTCCTGTGTCCTTGTGCTGCATTTCCATCATTTTTTGGAGCACTTTCTTATTTTTTGTCCCAACAAGATGGCCATGAAATCAGCCATTTCTGCAAGCAGCTCTGTTTCCTTTTAATGAAGAATAGTATTTAGAAAGTAAGAATAGGGCACTAGCTGTGCTCATTGCTATTAGTACTAATTTCCTTTAAGTCTTTTTTTCCTCACAGCCAGGCCAACAAAATGTATGGTCAAACATTTGAATTTTTATTAGTCTGATGGAAAAAAAAGTATTTCAGTGTAGTTTTAATTTGCACTTCTTTTATTATGAGTAAACTTGAACACCTTTTCATATGTTGAAGAACCTTTAAAAATGTTTTTTTGCTGAATTTTCTGTTCAAGTCTTTGCCCATTTTTCTATTATTTTCTCAATTATGAAGTTTTAAAAAATATTAAGACAAATTAGTCCTTTATTTGTGATCTATAGCAAAATTTGTCATTTGTTTTTGTTTTTGATTATTATAGGCAAAAGTTTCAAATTTACTAATATTTCTTTTATTGCATTATCTTTATAAAGCTTTTCTTTTCACTCACATTGTAGAGGAATCCACTCATGTTTTCTTCAAGCACTTGAGTGGTTTTGTTTTTATACACTTAGATTCCAGATCTATTTGGAATTTATTTTCATACATGTCACTAAGAATGGATCTGAGTTCATCTTTATTCCAAGTGGCCCTGTAGTTGTCCCAACATTATTTATTGAAGAGACCACTTTGTTCCAGTCATCTGAGGTACCACCTTTACCACAAATTAAATTTCCGTAAGTAGTTGGGTCTGTTTTTTGAACTTTCTTTTTTATTCCATTGGTCTTTGTCTAGTCATGTGCCAGTACCATTGGGTTTTATTTACAAATAGATCGTATTCTAACCTCATTTTTTACAGTTGAGGAAACAGACATACTAGGTCAAGTGTCTTTTCCCAAACGAGGGAGTAGCAGAGCCAGAGCTAGGAACTAGTCTTCCTGACTTATGACACAATACTTTTTTTCCCTATGCTGTGCTACTCTCATCTCTCTCTACTGTTTTTGGGAAGAGTAGAAACTCTAGCTACAGGGAAGAGCCTGCTTTGTCTAGAGAAAAAACCGCCACTGGATTATGCTCTTCCTGGAACAGATTTGTAGAAGGGGTCATGAGCGTGCAAAGAACACTCTGCCACATAGTGTTCTCTGGATAGTTTGACCTGGAAAGACAGGGTGAGCAGTAAAAAGATCATACACAAAGAAGCTGAGAGGCAGAGGGGTTAAGTGATATGGCCAAGGTCACACAGTGTACTAGTGCCAGCTGTCGTTTTAACTCAGATGCCCTCCCAGCCCTTCCAGCCCTGTGGCAATGATTTATTGAACACCTTTTTGAACAACTGCTTTTTTAAGCTGCTGTACATTTTTGTGTACATTAAAATTTGACTTTGTTATATAATGTCTGGCACAAAAAGTTATTGGTAGCCTGCCTATACCCCACTTAAGTTCCTGCTGACGTTTTTACCTAAAGAATGAAAAAAATTGTTAGACGGGTTTGGAGAGACAATTCTTCTTATATATAGTGCTAAAACTCTCTTTTTATATGGACCTGTTCAGCTAAAACCTAAACAACAAAGACATTTGATTTACTGCAGGCATTAGGTTGGAGTGTTAAGTGGTTGTTTTAATTTCAGAGTTTTTCTAAAAGAGCTGCTCTCACCCTATAGTTGATTACAATTTTAAAACAAAGACATATGATTTATTATAAACAATGTTTTTAAGAACTAAACTTTTTTTGGAAGAACTAAAAATATGTATTTCAAAAATTTTCAACCCCAGGAGATGGGGGGACCTGACTCCTTTTTTCTCCTCCTTTGGAAATTGTATGTGGCTGTGGAGTTTTAAATGGTCACAGAGTCTTCCTTGGTGGTATAAAGAATAAGAAAGACAAAATAAGAATCTTCTGGGTTCTGTCTTTGACTGGGCTGAAGATAGTGCTCCAAGCAAAAGGGTAAGAAACCTGTAGCTTGGGCTTGGTTTGGCTGGTCTGATCCTGAGTTGCTTGTCTCCTCTAAATATCCACCCCTTCCCACCCAATCCCATCATCCTCTTTCAATCTTAGCCAGCAACAGGAACATAACTGACTACAGTGGCAACAGAGGCATGCTTACACTACTAAAAATTGTACTTTCTAGCTCTCACCATAAAATTCTCTCGCATCTGGGAATGCTAGTGTTCAGTTTTTAAAAGGTATACAAACAACGTACAAAAAGAATACAGAATTTCAGTTAGGTGGGAAGAATGAATTCAAGAAGTGTGTTGTATAACATGGTAACTGTCAGGCATCTGAGCCCAAGCCTGCACGTATACATCCAGATGGCCTGAAGCAACTGAAGAATCACAAAAGAAGTGAAAACGACCAGTTACTGCCTTAACTGATGACATTACTTTGTGAAATTCCTTCTTCTGGCCCAGAAGCTCCCCCACAGAGCACCTTGTGACCACTGCCCCTGCCTGCAAGAGAACAGCCCCCTTCGACTGTAATTTTTCACTATCTACCCAAATCCTATAAAACTGCCCCACCCCTAACTCCCTTGGCCGACTCTCTTTTTGGACTCAGCCCACCTGCTCCCAGGTGATTAAAAGGCTTTATTGCTCACACAAATCCTGTTGGTGGTCTCTTCACATGGACACACATGATATTTGGTGCTGTGACTCAGATCGGGGGACCTCCCTTGGGAGATTAATCCCCTGTCCTCCTGCTCTTTGCTCAATGAGAAAGATCCACCTATGACCTCGGGTCCTCAGGCCAACCAGCCCAAGGAACATCTCACCAATTTCAAATCGGGTAAGTGGTCTTTTCACTCTCTTCTCCAGCCTCTCTTGCTACCCTTCAATCTCCCTGTCCTTCCAATTCCAGGTTCTTTTTCCTCTCTAGTAGAGACAAAGGAGACATGTTTTATCCATGAACCCATAACTCCATCGCCAGTAACGGACTTGGGAATACAGCCTTCCATTGGTGTCTAATCACTGTGGGGGCACCTGCCTGATTATTCACCCACATTTCAGAGGTGTCTGATCACCATAGGGACAACTGCCTTGATCCTTCACCTTGACGTCAAGCACCACCTTCCCTGGGGGGCAAGTACCCACCCCCATGTCTCTACCCTCTCTTTTCTCTGGGCTTGCCTCCTTCATTATCGGCAAACTTCCACCCTCTATGCCTCCTTCTTCTCCCTTAGCCTATGTTCTCAAGAAGTTAAAACTTCTTCAACTCTTGCCTGACCTAAAACCTAAATGACTTATTTTGTTCTGCAATACCACTTGACCCCAATACAAACTCAACAATGGTTCCAAATAGCCAGAAAATGGCACTTTCAATTTCTCCACCTTACAAGATCTAGATAATTCTTGTTGTAAAATGGGCAAATGGTCTGAGGTGCCTGATATCCAGGCATTCTTTTACACATTGGTCCCTCCCTAATCTCTGCTCCCAATGTGACTTGTCCCACATCTTTCTTCTTTCTCTCCTGTTTGTTCCTTCAGTCTCCACCACAAGCTCTAAGTCCTTTGAATCCTCCTTTTCTACGGACCCATCTGACTTCTCCCCTCCTCCTCAGGCTGCTTCTCACCAGGCTGAGCCATGTCCCAATTCTTCCTCAGCCTCCACTCTCCAACCCTACAATCCTTCTATCGTGTCCCCTCCTCACACCTGGTCTGGCTTACAGGCTTACAGTTTCATTCCACATCTAGTCCTCCTCCACCTGCCCAACTATTTCCTCTTAAAGAGGTGGCTGGAGCTAAAGGCATGGTCAAGGTTAATGCTCCTTTTTCTTTATCCGACCTCTCCCAAAACAGCATTTAGGCTCTTTTTCATCAAATATAAAACCCCAGCCAGTTCATGGCCTGTTTGGCAACAACCCTTAAATGCTTTACCGCCCTAGACCCAGAGGGACCAGAAGGCCGTCTTATTCTCAATATGCATTTTATTACCAACCCACTCCCAACATTAGAAAAAGCTCCAAAAATTAGATTCTGGCCCTGAAACCCCACAACAGGACTCAATTAACCTCGCCTTCAAGGTGTACAATAATAGAGAAGAGTTGCAATTACTTGCCTCTACTGTGAGAGAAACCCCAGCCACAGCTCCAGGACACAAGAACTTCAAAATGCCTAAACTGCAGTGGCCAGGCATTCCTCCAGGACCTTCTCCCCCAGAATCTTGCTTCAAGTGCTGGAAATCTGGCCACGGGGCCAAGGAATGCCCACAGCCAGGATTCCTCCTAAGCCATGTCCCATCTGTGTGGGATCCCACTGGAAATTGGACTGTCCAACTCACCCGGCAGCCACTCCCAGAGTCCCTGCAACTCTGGCCCAAGGCTCTGTGACTACTTCCCAGATCTTCTCGGCTTAGTGGCTGAAGACTGACACTACCTGATTGCCTCAAAAACCTCCTGGACCATTACAGACACTTTGGGTAACTCTTACAGTGGAGGGTAAGTCTGCCCCCTTCTTAATCAATATGGAGGCTACCCTCTCCACATTACCTTCTTTTCAATGGCCTGTTTCCCTTGCCTCCATAACTGTTGTGGATATTGATGGCCAAGCTTCAAAACCCCTTAAAACTCCCCCACTCTGGTGCCAACTTGGACAATATTCATTTATGCACTCTTTTTTAGTTATCCCCACCTGGCCAGTCCCCTTATTAGGTCGAGGCACTTTTAATTGTCTGCTTCTCTGACTATTCCTAGGCTACAACGACACCTCATTGCTACTCTCTTTCCCAGTTCAAAGCCTCCTTCACATCTTCTTCTTGTATCCCCCCTCTTTAACCCACAAGTAGAGGACACCTCTACTCCCTCCCTGGCAACCGATCACACGCCCATTACTATCCTATTAAAACCTAATCACCCTTACCCTGCTCAATGCTAGTATCCCATCCCATGACATACTTTAAAGGGATTGAAGCCTGTTATCACTCGCCTGTTACAGCATGGCCTTTTAAAGCCTATAAACTCTCCTTATGATTCCCCCATTTTACCTGTCCAAAAACCAGGCAAGTCTTACAGGTTAGTTCAGGATCTGTACCTTATCAACCAAATTGTCTTGCCTATCCACCCTGTGGTGCCAAACCCATATACTCTCCTATCCTCAATACCTCCCTCCACAACCCATTATTCAGTTCTGGATCTCAAACATGCTTTCTTTACTATTTCTTTGCACCCTTCATCCCAGCCTGTCTTTGCTTTCACTTTGACTAACCCTGACACTCATCATCCTCAGCAACTTACCTGGGCTGTACTGCCGCAAAGCTTCAGGGACAGCCCCCATTACTTCAGTCAAGCCCAAATTTCTTCTTCATCCATTACCTGTCTCAGGATAATTCTTCATGAAAACACACATTCTCTCCCTGCTGATTGTGTCCAGCTAATCTCCCAAACCCGAACCCCTTCTACAAAACAACAACTCCTTTCCTTCCTAGGCATGATTAGGTACTTTTGCCTTTGGATACGTGGTTTTGCCTTCCTAACTAAACCATTAATTCTCCCTATTCCCCCATATTTCCCTCTTTCCTGTTCTCCACCAAGACCAAACTTGGTTTATTGATGATAGTTCTTCCAGGCCCAATTGCCAATCACCGGCAAAGGCAGGCTATGCTATAGTGTCTTCCACATCTATCATTGAGGCTACCACTCTGCCCCCCTCCACTATGTCTCAGCAAGCTGAACTCATTGCCTTAACTCAGACCCTCACTCTTGCAAAGGGACTATGTGTCAATATTTATACTGACTCTAAATATGCCTTCTATATCCTGCACTACCGTGCCTTTATATGGGCTGAAAGAGGTTTCCTCACTATGCAGGGGTCCTCCATCATTAATGCCTCTTTAATAAAAGCTCTCCTCAAAGCCACTTTACTTCCAAAGGAATCTGGAGTCAGTCCCTGTAAGGGCCATCAAAAGGCATCAGATCCCATCACTAAGGCAATGCTTATGCTGATAAGTAGCTAAAGAAGCAGCTAAAGTTCCAACTTCTGTCCCTCATGGCCAGTTTTTCTCCTTCTCATAGGTCACTCCCACCTACTCTCCCACTGAAACTTCCACCTATCAGTCTCTTCCCACACAAGGCAAATGGTTCTTAGACTAAGGAAAATATCTCCTTCCAGCCTCACATGCCCATTCTATTCTGCCATCATTTCATAACCTCTTCCATATAAGTTACAAGCCTCTAGCCTGCCTCTTAAAACCTCTCATTTCCTTTCCATTGTGAAAATCTATTCTCAAAAAATCACTTCTCAGTGTTCCATCTGCTATTCTACTACTCCTCAGGGATTTCTCAGGTTTCCTCCCTTCCCTACACATCAAGCTTGAGGATTTGCCCCTGCTCAGGGTGGGCAAATTGACTTTACTCACATGCCCCGAGTTGGGAAACTAAAATACCTCTTGGTCTGGAAAGACACTTTAACTGGGTAGGTAGAGGCCTTTCCTACAGGGTCTGAGGAGGCCACCACAGTCATTTCTTCCCTTCTGTCAGACATAATTCACTTTCTTCTTCGGCCCCAACCTTATCCCAGACACCAGCCCTCTAGGCGACTATCTTCCAGTCCTCTAGCAGGCTAGACAGGAAATTCGCCAGGCTGCTAATCTTCTCTTGCCTACTCCAGATTCCCAGCCATATGAGGACACCCTAGCTGGATGATCAGTTCTTGTTAAAAATCTGACCCCTCAAGCTCTACAACCTTGGTGGACTGGACCCCACTTAGTCATCTATAGCATCCCAACTGCCGTCCGTCTGCAGGACCCTCCCCATTAGTTTCACTTTTCCAGAATAAAGCTGTGTCCATCAGACAGCCAGCCTGATCTCTCCTCCTCCTCCTGGAAGTTACAAGTACTCTCCCCTACTTCCCTTAAATTCACTCACATTTCTGAAGAACAGTAATAACCCTTATAAGCCTAATACATCCTTTCATTTTGTTAGGTCTATTCTTCCTTACCCTACTTTTTGCCACAGGGCTTTATGCAGTCACCCCCACTACTTAGACTGCATCCCAAAAACATTTCATCCCTGCTATCTTCTGTCAAGCCATACTCCTATTCTTCATTCTCACCCATCCATAAATGCCCTGCCCTTGTCTACACTGCTGGCTTATACTTTTCTCCAAACCATCGTAGCTGGTCTTATCTCCTAACCACCACTCTTAACTCCCTCTTGGAATGGATAAATGACCTTTGCTGGAAAAGCACACTCCAATTCTTTCACCCACTTTACATTTCCAGTTTTGCCTTACACAAGGTCTCTTCTTCCTCTGTGCTCCTCCACCTATGTGTGTCTACATGTTAATTTGGAAGGCACATGTACACTAGTTTTCCTTACCCACTAAAATCAATTTGCAAATAAGACCAAACAGCTTCCTGCTCCCCTCATGACACCAATACTTCACTACTATCTTGTTTTGTTTTTCATATTGATATAAGAAGACAGGGGTGGAGCCAAGATGGCCGAATAGGAACAGCTCCAGTCTACAGCTCCTAGCATGAGTGACAAAGAAGATGGGTAATTTCTGCATTTCCAACTGAGGTACCGGGTTCATCTCACTAGGGAGTGTCCGACAGTGGGTGCAGAACAGTGGGTGCAGTGCACTGAATGTGAGCTGAAGCAGGGTGAGGCATTGCCTCACCCAGGAAGCACAAGAGGTCAGGGAATTCCCTTTCCTAGTCAAAGAAAGGGGTGACAGATGGCACCTGGGAAATTGGATCACTCCCACCCTAATACTGAGCTTTTCCAATGGTCTTAGCAAACAGCACACCAGGAGATTATATCCCGTGCCTGGCTCTGAGGGTCCCCCACCCATGTAGCCTCACTCACTGCTAGCACAGCAGTCTGAGACCAAACTGCAAGGCGGCAGTGAGGCTGGGGGCGGGGCACCTGCCATTGCCGAGGTGTGAGTAGGTAAACAAAGCGGCTGGGAAGCTCGAACTAGGTGGAGCCCACCTCAGCTCAAGGAGGCCTGCCTGCCTCTGTAGACTCCACCTCTGGGGGCAGGGCATAGCCAAACAAAAGGCAGCAGAAACCTCTGCAGACTTAAATGTCCCTCTCTGACAGCTTTGAAGAGATTAGTGGTTCTCCCAGCATGCAGCTGGAGATCTGAGAACAGACAGACTGCCTCCTCAAGTGGGTCCCTGACCCCCAAGTAGCCTAACTGGGAGGCATTCCCCAGCAGGGGTAGACTGACACCTCACACGTCTGGGTACTCCTCTGAGACAAAACTTCCAGAGGAATGATCAAGCAGCAACATTTGCTGTTCACCAATATCCACTGTTCTGCAGCCTCTGTGGCTGATAATCCACACAAACATGGTCTGGAGTGAACCTCCAGCAAACTCCAACAGACCTGCAGCTGAGGGTCCTGACTGTTAGAAGGAAAACTAACAAACAGAAAGGACATCCACGCCAAAATCCCATCTGTACGTCACCATCATAAAAGATCAAAGGTAGATAAAACCACAAAGATGGGGAAAAACCAGAGCAGAAAAACTGGAAACTCTAAAAATTAGAGCACCTCTCCTCCTCCAAAGGAATGCAGCTCCTCACTGGCAATGGAATAAAGCTGGATGGAGAATGACTTTGACGAGTTGAGAGAAGAAGGCTCCAGATGATCAAACTACTCCGAGCTAAAGGAGGAAGTTCCAACCCATGGCAAAGAGGTTAAAAACCTTGAAAAAAAATTAGATGAATGGCTAACTAGAATAACCAATGCAGAGAAGTCCTTAGAGGACCTGATGGAGCTGAAAACCATGGCATGAGAACTATGACAAATGCACAAGCCTCAGTAGCCAATTCAATCAACTGGAAGAAAGGGTATCAGTGATGGAAGATCAAATGAATGAAATGAAGTGAGAAGAGAAGTTTAGAGAAAAAAGAATAAAAAGAAATGAACAAAGCCTCCAAGAAATATGGGACCATGTGAAAAGACCAAATCTATGTCTGATTGGTGTACCTGAAAGTGATGGGGAGAATGGAACCAAGTTGGAAAACACTCTTCAAGATATTATCCAGGAGAAATTCCCCAATCTAGCAAGGCAGGCCAATATTCAAATTCAGGAAATACAGAGAACACCACAAAGATACTCCTCGAGAAGAGCAACTCCAAGACACATAATTGTCAGATTCACCAAAGTTGAAATGAAAGAAAAAATGTTAAGGGCAGCAAGAGAGAAAGGTCGGGTTACCCACAAAGGGAAGTCCATCAGACTAACAGCTGATCTCTCGGTAGAAACTCTACAAGCCAGAAGAGAGTGGGGGCCAATATTCAACATTCTTAAGGAAAAGAATTTTCAACCTAGAATTTCATATCCAGCCAAACTAAGCTTCATAAGTGAAGGAGAATAAAATCCTTTACAGAGAAGCAAATGCTGAGAGATTTTGTCACCACCAGGCCTCCCATAAAAGAGCTTCTGAAGGAAGCCCTAAACATGGAAAGGAACAATGGTACCAGCCACTGCAAAATCATGCCAAATTGTAAAGAACATCGAGGCTAGGAAGAAACTGCATCAACTAAGGAGCAAAATAACCAGCTAACATCATAATGACAGGATCAAATTCACACATAACAATGTTAACTTTTAATGTAAATGGGCTAAATGCTCCAATTAAAAGACACAGACTGGCAAATTGGATAAAGAGTCAAGACCCATTTTATTCAGGAAACCCATCTCACGTGCAGAGACACACATAGGCTCAAAATAAAGGGATGGAGGAAGATCTACCATGCAAATGGAAAACAAAAAAAGGCAGTTGTTGCAATCCTAGTCTCTGATAAAACAGACTTTAAACCAACAAAGATCAAAAGAGACAAAGAAGGCCATTACATAATGGTAAAGGGATCAATTCAACATGAAGAGCTAACTATCCTAAATATATATGCACCCAATACAGGAGCACGCAGATTCATAAAGCAAGTCCTTAGAGACCTACAAAGAGACATAGACTCCCACGCCATAACAATGGGAGACTTTAACACTCCACTGTCAACATTAGACAGATCAACAAGACAGAAAGTTAGCAAGGATATCCAGGAACTGAACTCAGCTCTGCACCAAGCAGACCTAATACACATCTCCAGAACTCTCCACCACAAATCAACAGAATATGCATTCTTCTCAACACCACATCGCACTTATTCCAAAATTGACCTCATTGTTGGAAGTAAAGCACTCCTCAGCAAATGTAAAAGAACAGAAATTATAACAAACTGTCTCTCAGACCACAGTGCAATCAAACTAGAACTCAGGATTAAGAAACTCACTCAAAAACTGCTCAACTACATGGAAACTGAACAACCTGCTTCTGAGTGACTACTGGGTACATAACAAAATGAAGGCAGAATTAAAGATGTTCTCTGAAACCAATGAGAACAAAGACACAACATACCAGAATCTCTGGGACACATTTAAAGCAGTGTGTGAGAGAAATTTATAGCACTAAATGCCCACAAGAGAAACAGGAAAGATCTAAAATTGACACCCTCACATCCCAATTAAAAGAACTAGAGAAGCAAGAGCAAACACATTCAAAAGCTAGCAGAAGGCAAGAAATAACTAATATCAGAGCAGAACTGAAGGAAATAGAGACACAAAAAACCCTTCAAAAAATCAATGAATCCATTAGCTGGTTTTCTTGAAAAGATCAACAAAATTGATAGACCGCTAGCAAGACTAATAAAGAAGAAAAGAGAGAAGAATCAGATAGACGCAATAAAAAATGATAAAGGGGATATCACCACCAATCCCACAGAAATACAAACTACCATCAGAGAATGCTTTAAACACCTCTAACCAAGTTAACTAGAAAACCTAGAAGAAATGGATAAATTCCTTGATGCATACACCCTCCCAAGACTAAACTAGGAAGAAGCTGAATCCCTGAATAGAACAATAACAGGCTCTGAAATTGAGGCAATAATTAATAGCTTACCAACCAAAAAAGTCCAGGACCACATGGATTTACAGCCAAATTCTACCAGAGGTACAAGGAGCAGCTGGTACTATTCCTTCTGAAACTATTCCAATCAATAGAAAAAGAAGGAATCCTCCCTAACTGATTTTATGAGGCCAGCATCATACTGATACCAAAGCCTGGCAGAGACACAACAAAAAAAGAGAATTTTAGACCAATATCCCTGATGAACATCGATGCAAAAATCGTCAATAAAATACTGGCAAACTGAATCCAGCAGCCCATCAAAAAGCTTATCCACCGTGATCAAGTGGGCTTCATCTCTGGGAGTCAAGGCTGGTTCAACATACGCAAATCAAGAAACGTAATCCAGCATATAAACAGAAACAATAACAAAAACCACGCAATTATCTCAATAGATGCAGAAAAGGCATTTGACAAAATTCAACAACCCTCCATGCTAAAAACTCTCAATAAATTAGGTATTGATGGGATGTATCTCAAAATAATAAGAGCTATCTATGACAATCCCACAGCCAATATCATACTGAATGGGCAAAAACTGGAAGCATTCCCTTTGAAAACTGCCACAGGACAGGGATGTCCTCTCTCACCACTCCTATTCGACATAGTGTTGGAAGTTTTGGCCAGGGCAATCAGGCAGGAGAAGGAAATAAAGGGCATTCAATTAGGAAAAGAGGAAGTCAAATTGTCCCTGTTTGCAGATGACATGATTGTATATCTAGAAAACCCCATCGTCTCAGCCCAAAATCTCCTTAAGCTGATAAGCAACTTCAGCAAAGTCTCTGAACACAAAATCAATGTGCAAAAATCACAAGCATTCTTATACACCAATAACAAACAAACAGAGAGCCAAATCATGAGTGAACTCCCATTCACAATTGCTTCAAAGAGAATAAAATACCTAGGAATCCAACTTACAAGGGACATGAAGGGTCTCTTCACAGAGAACTACAAACCACTGCTCAATGAAAAAAAGAGGTTACAAACAAATGGAAGAACATTCCATGCTCATGGGTAGGAAGAATCAATATCGTGAAAATGGCCATACTGTCCAAGGTAATTTATAGATTCAATGCCATCCCCATCAAGCTACCAATGACTTTCTTCACAGAATTGGAAAAAACTACTTTAAAGTTCATATGGAACCAAAAAAGAGCCCACATTGCCAAGTCAATCCTAAGCCGAAAGAACAAAGCTAGAGGCATCACGCTACCTGACTTCAAACTATACTACAAGGCTACAGTAACCAAAACAGCATGGTACTGGTACCAAAACAGAGATATAGACCAATGGAACAGAACAAAGCCCTCAGAAATAATGCCGCATATCTACAAATATCTGATCTTTGACAAACCTGACAAAAACAAGAAATGGGGAAAGGATTCCCTATTTAATAAATGGTGCTGGGAAAACTGGCTAGCCATATGTAGAAAGCTAAAGCTGGATCCCTTCGTTACACCTTATACAAAAATTAATTCAAGATGGATTAAAGACTTAAATGTTAGATGTAAAACCATAAAAACCCTAGAAGAAAACCTAGGCAATACCATTCAGGACATAGACATGGGCAAGGACTTCATGTCTAAAATACCAAAAGCAATGGCAACAAAAGCCAAAATTGACAAATGGGATCTCATCAAACTAAAGAGCTTCTGCAGAGAAAAAGAAACTACCATCACAGTGAACAGTTAACCTACAGAATGGGAGAAAATTTTTGCAATCTACTCATCTGACAAAGGGCTAATATCCAGAATCTACAATGAACTCAAACAAGTTTACAAGAAAAAAGCAAACAACCCCATCAACCAGTGGCCGAAGGATATGAACAGACACTTCTCAAAAAAAGACATTTATGCAGCCAAAAGACACATGAAAAAATGCTCAGCATCACTGGCCATCAGAAAAATGCAAATCAAAACCACAATGAGATATCATCTCACACCAGTTAGAATGACAATCAGTAAAAAGTCAGGAAACAACAGGTGCTGGAGAGGATGTGGAGAAATAGGAATACTTTTACACTGTTGGTGGGACTGTAAACTAGTTCAACCATTGTGGAAGTCAGTGTGGTGATTCCTCAGGGATCTAGAACTAGAAATACCATTTGACCCAGCCATCCCATTACTGGATATATATCTAAAGGATTATAAGTCATGCTGCTATAAAGACACATGTGCACGTATCTTTATTGTGGCACTATTCACAATAGCAAAGACTTGGCACATCCTCAAATGTCCAACAATGATAGACTGGATTAAGAAAATGTGGCACATATACACCATGGAATACTATGCAGCCATAAAACAGGATGAGTTCTTGTCCTTTGTAGGGACATGGATGAAGCTGGAAAGCATCATTCTCCGCATACTATCACAAGGACAAAAAACCAAACACTGCATGTTCTCACTCCTAGGTGGGAATTGAACAATGAGAACACATGGACACAGGAAGGGGAACATCACATACCGGAGCCTGTTGTGGGGTGGGGGGAGGGTGGAGGGATAGCATTAGGAGATACACCTAATATTAAATGATGAGTTAATGGGTGCAGCCCACCAACATGGCGCTTGTGTACATATGTAACTAACCTGCACGTTGTGCACATGTACCCTAAAACTTAAAGTATAATAAAAAAAAATAAAATTACAAACATATTTACAAAAAAAAAAAAAAGATAGGAATATCAGGCCTCTGAGTCCAAGCATGTGGTATATATCCAGATGGCCTGAAGCAACTGAAGAATCACAAAAGAAGCACAAATTGCCGGTTCCTGCTTTAACTGATGACATTGCCTTGTGAAATTCCTTCTCCTGGCTCAGAAGCTCCCCCAATGAGCACCTTGTGACCCCCACCCCTGCCCTCAAGAGAACAACCCCCTTTGACTGTAATTTTCCACTACCTACACAAATCCCATAAAACTGCCCCACCCCTAACTCCCTTTGCTAACTGTCTTTCAGACTCAGCCCACCTGCACCCAGGTAATTAAAAAGCTTTATTGCTCACACAAAGCCTGTTGGTGGCCTCTTCAAACGGACACAAAGCCTGTTGGTGGTCTCTTCACACAGATGTGTGTGACAGTAACTGTGGTTAATAAGAATGTATTGGTGTGCTGCATCCACTAACTCATCATTTACATTAGGTATATCTCCTAATGCTATCCCTCCCCCCTCCTCCCACCCCACAGCAGGCCCCAGTGTGTGATGTTCCCCATCCTGTGTCCAAGTGTTCTCATTGTTCAATTCCTCTGTTAACTGCAAAGTCACAGGGGGAACAGCTGAGGGGCAGTCCAGTGGTCCTGTGCGGCTGCCCCAGAGGGGGCAGCTTGAGGAGGGATGGATAACTTGAGACTGCCACCTTGCATCCTCTCAAGCTAGACTAGAAGAATCTGATCATCAGGCATATGTACATAATAAACCCCACAACACCCTGCAAAATGTACTTTGTCCTTTCAACAGAAAAACTCAAATTCATGAGGTGTTGGGTTTTGAAATGATTAGTTTGTCGAACTGTCACAGATATAAAATATTTCAAGAAATTTTTGTGTGGAATAATTCCTGAAAAACAAAACAGTTTGAGACATTTTTCTTGGGAAGCTATTTTGAAGTTGCATTGAGCATCTCTACTGTTTAGAGGTTTTATTAAATGAAAAAAGTAATCACAAAAGTAATTCTGATCCAGGACTATATATTGGATAGAGCCCAATACAATGCCTTTTATATATAAACTGTCCAATTATTGTATTCTGTTTTCCATTTAGGCTCCCCTTGCTCTTCATTGCATCCTGTAAAGAAATTGCATCATCTCTAAAACTTGCACAAAATACTCAAAACAAAAATAGCCACAAGCAAATGGTGAAGTCCTAGTGCTAGACTCAGATATGAAGAGACCCCAAGAACTGGAAAGATTATTCTGTTCATCTCTCCTACCTCTAGTATATTTTTTAAAGTAAAAACAATCCTAAGCTCCCTGAAACTTAGAGGTATGCTGAAATTAAGATTGCTTCTTTCTAGATTTTCTGATAAATGCATCAAAGCTTAACTTTTTCCTTCTCTCTCTCTTAATCTCTTTCCCTTCCATATTTGCTCTATCCTTGTCTCAAGAGTGACTGAGCATGTAGTTAGTTGACCTGTTGGATAATGTAGCCCTGGGGGTATTAACAAACCTTCTATATATTTCCTTGGAATAAGTAGGGAATTATTTCAGGTGAAAAGGAGTTACTTTCCAGGTCTTATTACACCAGAATTAACCAAAACCCTGTTTAATCAATAGATATTAAGTAAAGAGTAATATAAATGTTTGCATTCTTATATATACTGACCACTGTTCTAAGTGTTTTACATGTATTACCATCGTGCAACTCCAAAGGGCTTTATTTTTAGTTTTCATTTTACAGAAGAAGAAACATGGGCAAAAAAATTAAGAAACTTATTCAAGGTCACAGTTGTAATAAGCAGCAAAATTGGACACTGGACTTCAGCAGTATGGCTTCAGGTTTTAATGCTGTATCACTGCTCTACTCAATAAAAATTAATAATAGCAGGCACTTTCATGGTGTTAGACACTACGCTATGTATATGAGCATTGTAAATCTTCACAAAAGCTTTATTAGGTGTGCTCATTTTTCATTTACCTCTTCAGACACTTTTCACACTTCCATACTCTGTGCCTTAAGAGACTGATCTTTGGGACTGGAAATTTTGCTTTATGTTTTCTGGTTGTTTTTTTTTTGCCAATGAGAGTTCCCAGCGTGAGATCAGAAGGTGGAAGCAAAGTGAGGCCATAGTAGTTATTACCCTAATTCCTTCCCTTTTGGGGGCACTGCAGGTTGGCTGCATCCCTCTCTCAAAGACAATAGCACCCATTTATTTGGTTTTCTCCAAGTCTGTCTCTCTGGATTCTGGTAATAGCTTCCCTCTCTTACCCATTGGGTCTAGCGGTGTTAAAATCTCTTTGCTGTTGCTAGCTCAGGGGTGCTCCAATGACCTGCTCATAACTTTATAAATAATCTCTTCATTAAACTTTCCACAAAAACTCTGTGAGTTATTGTTTTCCTGCTGGTACTCAGACCCCCAAGGTATATTCTGTTGTTATCAGAACCTTATTTGACTTAGGAGGCACAAAGGGAAGTTAAGTAAAGGACACAAGGTAATTGGTAGAATTGGGATTAAAACCCCAGCAGTCACTATACTTTTCTGTCCCTCAGCTTCAGTAAATGCTGGGCTTTCTACAAAAGGATAAATAACAGATAGTATACTGTAGCTAATGATAGTAATGCAAAACTTCATGGCATAGAAGTACTCTGGGGTAAATATAATAGTACATTCACATTTATTAAACATTTATCACAGTTTTTAAAGTGTCAAACACTTTGTTAGATTTGCAGGATAAATCACCAACAGAACAGTCTTGGTTTTAAGAAATTGTGGACAGTCCAAAGACTCACTTATTTACTCTCCAATGTTTTAGATTTGATTAGCAAGGAGTGATATAACAAGAAAGCCTTGGCATTCAATACACTTGTGCTGTTATTGCTCAAAATATATAACTTTAAAATTGTTTCTTGTGAATCATTAATGTTAATAAATGATTAGTATTATGTTTTCTTTTCATAGGAAGTAGAGATTCTTCTCTTTTATTATGTACATTTAACATGGCTCAATATAATCTAACTATAGAGTCTTACACAATTGAATGACTTTTAAAGTGCTACTTACACAATTGAATGACTTTTAAAATGCTAATTGGGATTCTATTCAACAAATAGATTTTTTGGCTTTAATTCTATTTATTCTACAAATAGAATCCCAATTAATACATATGTGAATTCCTTTTCCTTACTAATCAAAATATTACCTTGGTGGGGAATCATTCCACTATAAGCTTTTTAGAGAAAAGAGCCCTGAACTGGGAATAATAGTCCTGGATTCTGCTGCCAACTTTGACTTTAATTTGTGAGATCTGTTTTAAATAGTCTAGTGGTTCTGGGCTGCAGTTTTCTAATCTGTGTAATAATGAAGCTGGGCTAAGTGATCTTTTAACACTACGGTTCTACAATTATTTGATTAACTACTATTGTGTTTATCTCTAAAAAATGTTAAGAGATGCAAAGAAGTGAAGGAATACATCTAAGATAAAAATTGTATTCAGTGATACAATTGGATCAATTTCATTGACTCAGTTATATCAATACCAGTTGAGTTGCAGTGATATATGGGTCTCTTGATACCTGTTCTCTGACTGTAGTCCCTAGAAAAGAATGTATTAGTTAGAATAATGTTAGCTGCTATAATAAATAGACCCAAAATATATAGTAGCTCAAAAATAATAGGAATTTATTGATTCATGTGTGGCTCTTTTTTACTTAAGGACTCATGGATCTAGGCTCTGACATTTTCAAAACACGACTGTCAAGATCATTGTGGTTTATCCCCATTTCTGACAGCCAGAATGTAGAAAGAACAGAGAGAAACATATTCACAGTTGACATAGGTTATGTCTGGAAGTGGCACGTACCACTACTTCCATTCACAGTCCATTTGCCAGAACTCAATACATGGCCCCACCTAAATGCAAGGAAAGCTAAGGAATATAGCATAGGTGTATACTCAAGAAAAGAGAAGCACATGGATTTTAGTAAACCATTAGCAATCTTTGCTTTAGAATGGAAGTGACATATGCGATGACTTTTTTTTTTAATCTTCAGGGAAATTACCTTATTCTTTCTAGGTTGTCAGGTGTCATATTTTAATAAGTTGTTTCTGTAAATCCTATTCCCATCAGCTTTGTAATTTCTGTTTACAGCCATTGCTTTTCTTGAAGGCTCATATATTAGTTACTTCAATTAAAATAAAAAAGAGACAATGACCTAAGCAGGAGAGGAAGTATTTATTCTTGTACATGATTCTGAAGGAGCCAGTAAAGAGAAAGAAAAGTAAAGGGAAAACAAATATGAAGGAACAAAAATATTTTTTAAAAAGAGGGGAAAATGATCTGGGTGGAGCAGTGGCACCCATAATGGTGCTCTGAAGTGCCATTCTTTCAGGAGAAATGAGTCAAGAGTCAGTCATAAGATTATGACTGGAGTGGGATGTGCTGCCTTCAGGAGTATCCCTGGCAAAGGAGATCTGAAAACTATGGCTTTTGTGGTTTGCTTCTTGTTTCTTGCTAGGAAATAAATGGAACCACAAGCATACCAGTGGATCCTCTTTTCCCCTCAGTCTTCTTCACTCCCAACATTTGTTGCAGGCTCTCCTGCTGCGTTGCTCTCCCCAGCTATAAAATACTGAGAATGCCTTGGGGTAGCATGTTTTCCATCCAAAATTATGATTCATGAATTCTCTTTGTTATAAACTAACCTGCAGAATGAGGAAGGAAAGAAGAAAAAGGCAGGAGAAACATATTTTTGGCTTTAATTCTGAGACTTGGGTTGTGAGGCATTCCAAGAACTCCACTGAAATTTGACTTATCATAATAGCATTTTCAAAAATATAAACAAGAACACAACAAATCAAAATATGAGAAAGGTGACTGTTCCAGTGAAACTCAGAGGATAAGTGATACAGACGAAGTTAACTCGAGAATACGGTTTAATTGTTTAACTTATGAACAGTCATTTATGTAGTACATGTCTAATTATGTCCTTTGGGGAGGCAAGAATCATATCCTATGAAGGCTGGCTCTGATATTGTTTGCCTACACAGCATGGTATTAGTCCAGCCAATTTCTGTATTTGGTAACACTTGTAAGTTTATTTATTCATTCAGACATATGAGAAGAAGGATGATCCAAGTTACATGAAAGAAAGGGCATTTCATTACTAAATGGGAGGCCTGTGTTTTAGTACTGGCTTCTTATGTTATTATGTGACATTAAGCAAATTATTTAGCCTCTCTAGGGCAAGGTTTCCTCATTAGTAAAATATGTTGCTGTAGTTGATAATCTTTAAGGGTTCATTCAATGTTGACATTCTGCAACTGTTGGTTATCAACAAATATATATTTGGTTTAATAAGTTTTCCTTTAATATTCAACAAATACATGTTGAAATGAATGCATTCAGAATATTATTGTGCTTACTGTGGGAATTCATAAATTATTAAGGTATGGTTCTTGCTCATAAGATGCTTATAGGAGAGTAGGAGATATAAGACATTTATTTAAAAACTGCAATATATAATAGAGTGTTAAATGCTACTTACAAATTCACTTCTTATATGGTGAGGATTTACCTGGGGAAATTTCTGTCTCCATTTTCTTCTCCTTCCAGGCCAGATTATCTTTCCAAAAGTTCAGGTGAGAGGTAGGGTGATGGGAGAGAATGCACAGATCCTCCTGAGACTATAGCCCTGATTAAGGCAGCATGGATATATGGGAACCCCTATCCTTGAGACACAGCTAATGTACTTCAATATCAAAAGAGGTAAAACTAAGCTCTGGTTTCTTTATTTAATGCATCATCTGAAAAAAGTAAGTTTCCAGTAACCAAAGTGTATAAGAATTATTTCTCACTAGAAAATAACTCTGTCCTTATATGCAAGAGAAAGAAGAAGATAAACTATTTTCCTTTTTATGTGTGGCCCAATATACAGACTATGTGATTTCAGAATGAAGAACACCAGATTTTGAACCTGGACACTGTTTCTTCAACCTTAAGCCAATTGCGTAAATTCCCTTTATATAAAAGTAGAGGTAGCTGTACTTGCCTCACAGACTTGTACAGTTTAAAAATAAATGGCACTCAATAAATGTTTGTTTTCTTCTTTCATAGTCAAATAAATGAACAATAATTATTTATTTACCTAACATATATGTTTAGTCATCTGTTTTCCATTGAGGAAGTTACCTTCACTGCCAAGTTGACTGAAACTTAGATATTTTTTATTTCTTAGAAGATATATTGGATGAAAGTTCAAAAGTTTATGTAAATAGAACCCATTAGCAGGAAGAGTGAGGCTTCTGATGGTTTTTTTTTTTTTTTTTAAAGATACAGGGTGTCATTCTCACCTAGGGGATGGAGTGCAGCAGCACAATCATACCTCACTGCAGCCTTGAACTCCTGGGCTTAAGCAATCTTCCTGCCACAGCCTCTCAAGTAGCCAGGACTACAGGCATGCATCACCACGCCTGGCTAATTGTTTACTTTTTTGTAGATACGGGTTCTCGCTATGTTGCCCATCATGGTTCTGACTCATTTTATTCTTACTCTTCTTTTTTCTTCCTTTTCTTTTTCCAGTAGATGCCCAGAATGTAAGGGATTTTGGTTGTGATTCATTATCTCTCAGGTGCTATGTCTAAGATAAAAGGTCAGTTTTTGTTTCTATTCTACACAGATTCCTCCCAATAACATTAGCTGAGCAAGGCAAGAGCAACTAGTCTTTAAACATTGATGTCATGGGACAGTGAATGTTTAAACCAAGCAAAACTTCTCTCCCTCACATCTGTGTTCCTCCTTGTTATTCTCTTCTTCCTTAATAACTCTTGCAAAAGCCAGATTGTGTATCTTCTCACACTTGACTCTGAAAAGATATCTACACTCTTGTTTTGTTGACATCTAATGGAGAATTCCATTATATAAGAAAGAACCATCTGGATCATGAGAACATGGCCTATACCACACTCACTCTATCAGTTTATCATAGTTAGCATGATAGATACCAAAGGAGGTTATAGCAGCTCCTTCCTTAGAGATATTTAACTTTGTTATCATTAGGAACCATCTGACTTGGGTTCAGAAGATGGAACTATATGACATCTGGAGGCTTTTTCAATGCTGTTAACTCTATTTCCCAGATGTTGGTGTTGTGGTTTGCAGATACTGCAATCAGGAGCAGCATGCAAACAATAAGGGATTCAAATTCCTGTTGTGACCTGTATTGCCACATCTTAACTCATGCACCTTTTCTGGAAACACATAGAAAAGAGACAAATTGGGTGTGCAGCAAATAACAGCAAAGTCAGTGGGAGTAGATAAGTGGTATACAAAATGCCTTACTCTTGTAAGGCACTGAGATGAGTCTCCATACAGGCTCACTTTTTCAAATAGTTTGAAGTAATTGCTCTCATAGTTACACCATTTCAAGGTGGAAAATTATCTTCCCAGGAAGCGCACACAATAGCAGTGAGAAGATACTTGGTTTTTGTTCAGTGGGGTTTAAAATAAACTATGTTTATAAATTTGCGTTGAAGTTCATATCATATTTCAGTGTCCTGGTCAGTCTTAACAAACTACAAAGTTAAAAATGCATAAGGCAGCTGGACAAACAAAATTAGATTCAATAAACAAAGCCAGATTAAATGAAGCAGTTAGTTCAGGATTCTGTATTGGGCAGTGGTTGGGGGTGTGGTGAGGAGAGCACCAATCAATTTAATATCAGCAATTAAAACATGTTTGAGATGGAGGAAATATTCAATTGAATTAATATATCAATTGAACATACTTTTTAGGTTGTAAAGTGCGAATATTTATTCTTTGGAATATTATCTCTTTAAAGTGCAAACACAAAAAGGTTTTAGAAGACCCGTAAGACAAAGCATACTGTTGTGAAAAATGATTAATTGCTGCATTAGCTACCTAGCTGTTAAATTTTGGGCAAGTTCCCAAGGCTTTGCCAAGATAATGTTTCTTCTAGATTTTAGTTTCTTCATCTGCGAAGTAAGAGGTTGGAATAGATAATTTCTAAGGTCTATCTATCTCTTTTATAAGGTCGCATGATTATCTAACAATTGATGAATTCAACATTCACTGTGGATTGAGGGCTATGATGAACCAGAGTTACCCTAGGTGCTGTGGACACAGGGGTACATAAGGAAGTGACCCTGTCCAAGGGTCCGGAATTTCTGTCTCCGGCATGTCTGCACATCCTAAAGAGCTTGTTTAGGATTATAGTATCTCCTTTTTTTCATTCACATCCTAAGATCCACATGGAGTGTGTTACTAGAGGTGTCTCTGTATACATGAAGTTGGTCATGAATTACTGAATGGGAAAGGAGAGCATTAGTAATATTAGCAATATTGCTATTAGAAGTGGAATGCTCTAATGGATTGCTAACTATAGGGACATCTATTTTCTTGGTCTTTAGGACACAAAAGTAAGCACCAGGAAGATGAAGAAGAGCAATTACTTCAGTTAAGAGGAATGAACATGGGGAGGGAAAAAATTTATAAAGATGGGCTAGGAAGATTAGGGACATTTTAGTGGGGGCACATGCTTAAATCAGTGAAATTGTAATGGGTGTGAGTTAGGTAGACAGTGACAGGTTTACTACATTTGTGCATTTCATTGTATTAAAAGTGGGGAACCCCCGGGAAGAGTGAAAAAGAGAAACTTTAGGGAAAAAAGAGTATTTCCATGAATATAGCAGTAAGGTTTTAGGGGAAAAAGTGTTGAATGAAATACATGAACGGTTTTAAATAAGTTAATATGTAACAAGTAAATAGGTTAGTAAGGAAAGTTTGAATAATTAAAGCGCATTTCAAAGAATATAACTTTGTTTTAGGAGTGAAGGTTTTGTTACAGCTAAGCTGTGTTGGTTGTAGGCCTGATTCATGCTCTCTTGTTATGAACTGGCTTTCATTGTCTGGTTTACTGTATTTTGTATTCCAATATCTACTCTATGTTACATTGTGTGATGATATGCTCTTCCTTTAAGCATGTTTTTAAATGATGAGCATAATGAACTGGGGTTAGGTGTCTAAGGAATAAGTGCCTAAGTTTTCCAAATACTTGGTTATAGAATTTTCTCATGGTTTGAAGTATAGCTCAACAATTTGGCTGAGGATTGCAGAATTGTTAATTGTCTGCTGAACTTCACATTTTATCAATAAACAAATCGAGAGCTCATGACAAAAAGTTTTAATTTATCTTAACATAATCATTCACCATGAAAATTTGCTAAAAGTGTGCATCTCTCTAGGTTATGATGTATGAGTTTCCAGCTTTGAAAAAACTCTATAAATAAAATTCTGGATAGAGGAGATAAATCAGAGTATAATTATTCTCAGTGAGAGTAAGACCTTTCATTTTTATTAAAAAATTATAGAATTATATTTATGTTATATATGTATAACAAATTAAATATAAAAACAAATTTCATAATTATATTTATATTTAATTGGTTATATATAACAAATATAATTCTATAATTATATAGAATTATAAAATATAAAATAATATACAAAATATTATATAAAATATATGTATTATTTATTTATATATTTATGTATAATATATTCATATATATTTATGTATAATATTTATATATCATAAATAAAATACTATATAAAATATAAAAAGTATAAAAATAACATAAAAATAATTCCATAATTATTTTTATATTGGTTTTATATGTATAAAGATTTGCAAATCAAAAATCAAAATTAGTTATGGCTATGGAAGGCCATATTCATTATATGTGTGGCATAATATGTGCTCCAAAGAATTTTTCATTTGGTAAAGAATTATATAGTAAGTTGCCATTATCTAGTTTATTATTAGTTTATGATGCATGTATATTCAAGGTGTGGTGGTTTTAAAATATGTCCACAAATTCTTTGTCACATTTCCCATTGAGAAGTGGCATCTATGTCCCCTTCCCTTAGAACTGGATGGACCTTTGTCACTGCTTCAACTAATAGAGTATGAAACTGCTACGTTGCTTGCTGGAATACTTATTCTTAAAGCCATTAACTGCCAGGTCAGTGCTCTTGACTGCCTTGAAGCCACCATCCTACGAAGAAACTTAAACTAATCCATGTGGAAAAACCACATGGAAACAGTGTGAGACTCCATGAAGACGGAGATGATCATTTAGTCCCTAGACTCCTGTCTCCTGCTGTTCTGATTTCAGTCACCATCTGACTGCAACTACCTAACAGATTCTGAGCCATAGCTCAGCCAAGCCCTTCCTGAAGTACTGAATCAAAGAAATGGAGAGAGATAATAAAATGGTGGTTGTTGCTTTAAGCCACTAAATTTTGGAGTAATTTGTTATGCATTAATAGTAGCTGAAAAATAAGGAAACTGAGAGGCCTGCTCAAGGCCTCAGTTTTTTTAAAAATATACTTTAAGTTATAGGGTACATGTGTACAACAAGCAGGATTGTTATGTATGTATACATGTGCCATGTTGGTGTGCTGCACTCATTAACTCGAAATTTACATTAGGTATATCTCCTAATGCTATACCTCCACCCTCCCCCAACCCCACAAAAGGCCCCAGTGTGTGATGTTCCCCTTCTTGTGTCCAAGTGTTCTCATTGTTCAATTCCCACCTAGGAGTGAGAACATGCAGTGTTTGTTTTTTTGTCCTTGGGATAGTTTGCGGAGAATGATGGTTTCCAGCTTCATCCATGTCCATGCAAAGGACATGAACTCAACTTTTTTATGGCTGCATAGTATTCCATGGTGTATATGTGCCACATTTAATCCAGTCTATCATTGATGGACATTTGGGTTGGTTCCAAGTCTTTGCTATTGTGAATAGTGCCACAATAAACATACATGTGCATGTGTCTTTATAGCAGCATGATTTATAATCCTTTGGGTATATACCCAGTAATGGGATGGCTGGGTCAAATGGTATTTCTAGTTCTAGATCCCTGAGGAATCGCCACACTGACTTCCACAATGATTGAACTAGTTTACAGTCCCACCAACAGTGTAAAAGTATTCCTATTTCTCCACATCCTCTCCAGCACCTGTTGTTTCCTGACTTTTTACTGATCGCCATTCTAACTGGTGTGAGATGGTATCTCATTGTGGTTTTGATATGCATTTTTCTGATGGCCAGTGATGATGAGCATTTTTTCATGTGTCTTTTGGCTGCATAAATGTCTTCTTTTGAGAAGTGTCTGTTCATATCCTTCGGCCACTGGTTGATGGGGTTGTTTGTTTTTTTCTTGTAAATTTGTTTGAGTTCTTTGTAGATTCTGGATATTAGCCCTTTGTCAGATGAGTTGATTGCAAAAATTTTCTCCCATTCTGTAGGTTAACTGTTCACTGTGATGGTAGTTTCTTTTGCTGTGTGGAAGCTCTTTAGTTTGATGAGATCCCGTTTGTCAATTTTGGCTTTTGTTGCCAGTGCTTTTGGTATTTTCGATATGAAGTCCTTGCCCATGTCTATGTCCTGAATGGTATTGCCTAGGTTTTCTTCTAGGGTTCTTATGGTTTTAGATCTAACATGTAAGTATTTAATCCATCTTGAATTAATTTTTGTATAAGGTGTAAGGAAGGGATCCAGTTTTAGCTTTCCACATATGGTTAGCCAGTTTTCCCAGCACCATTTATTAAATAGGGAATCCTTTTCCCATTTCTTGTTTTTGTCAGGTTTGTCAAAGATCAGATGGTTGTAGATGTGTGGTATTATTTCTGAGGGCTCTGTTCTGTTCCATTGGTCTATATCTCTGTTTTGGTACCAGTACCATGCTGTTTTGGTTACTGTAGCCTTGTAGTATAGTTTGAAGTCAGGTAGCGTGATGCCTCTAGCTTTGTTCTTTTGGTTTAGGATTGTCTTGGCAATGTGGGCTCCTTTTTGGTTCCATATGAACTTTAAAGTAGTTTTTTCCAATTCTGTGAAGAAAGTCATTGGTAGCTTGATGGGGATGGCATTGAGTCTATAAATTACCTTGGGCAGTATGGCCATCTTCATGATATTGATTCTTCCTATCCATGAGCGTGGAATGTTCTTCCATTTGTTTGTGTCCTCTTTTATTTCGTTGAGCAGTGGTTTGTAGTTCTCCTTGAAGAGGTCCTTCACATCCCTTGTAAGTTGGATTCCTAGGTATTTTATTCACTTAGAAGCAATTGTGAATGGGAGTTCACTCATTATTTGGCTCTCTGTTTGTCTGTTATTGGTGTATAAGACTGCTTGTGATTTTTGCACATTGATTTTGTATTCAGAGACTTTGCTGAAGTTGCTTATCAGCTTAAGGAGATTTTGGGCTGAGATGATGGGGTTTTCTAAATATACAATCAGGTCGTCTGCAAACAGGGACAATTTGACTTTCTCTTTTCCTAGTTGAATACCCTTTATTTCTTTCTCCTGCCTGATTGCCCTGGCCAGAACTTCCAACACTATGTTGAATAGGAGTGGTGAGAGAGGGCATCCCTGTCTTGTGCCAGTTTTCAAAGGGAATGCTTCCAGTTTTTGCTCATTCAGTGTGATATTAGCTGTGGGATTGTCATAAATAGCTCTTATTATTTTGAGGTACGTCCCATCAATACCTAATTTATTGAGAGTTTTTAGCATGAAGGGTTGCTGAATTTTCTCAAAGGCCTTTTCTGCCTCTATTGAGATAATCATGTGGTTTTTGTCTTTGGTTCTGTTTATATGCTGGATTATGTTTATTGATTTGCATAGGTTGAACCAGCCTTGCATCGCAGGGAAGAAGCCCACTTGATCACGGTGGATAAGCTTTTTGATGTGCTGCTGGATTCAGTTTGCCAGTATTTTATTGAGGATTTTTGCATCGATGTTCATCAGGGATATTGGTCTAAAATTCTCTTTTTTTGTTTTGTCTCTGCCAGGCTTTGGTATCAGGATGATGCTGGTCTCATAAAATGAGTTAGGGAGGATTCCTTCTTTTTCTATTGATTGGAATAGTTTCAGAAGGAATGGTACCAGCTGCTCCTTGTGCCTCTGGTAGAATTCGGCTGTAAATCTATCTGGTCCTGGACTTTTTTTTGTTGGTAAGCTATTAATTATTGCCTCAACTTCAGAGCCTGTTATTGGTCTATTCAGGGATTCAACTTTCTCCTGGTTTAGCCTTGGGAGGGTGTATGTGTCTGGGAATTTATCCGTATCTTCTTGATTTTCTAGTTTATTTGCATAGTGGTGTTTATAGTATCCTATGATGGTAGTTTGTATTTTTGTGGGATTGGTGGTGATATCCCCTTTATCATTTTTTATTGCGTCTATTTGATTCTTCTCTCTTTTCTTCTTTGTTAGTCTTGCTAGCAGTCTATCAATTTTGTTGATCTTTTCAAAAAACCAGCTGCTGGATTCATTGATTTTTTGAGGGGATTTTTGTGTCTCTATCTCCTTCATTTCTGCTCTGATCTTAGTTATTTCTTGCCTTCTGCCAGCTTTTGAATGTGTTTGCTCTTGCTTCTCTAGTTCTTTTAATTGTGATGTTAGGGTGTCAATTTTAGATCTTTCCTGCTTTCTCTTGTGGGCATCTAGTGCTATAAATTTCTCTCACACACTGTTTTAAATGTGTCCCAGAGATTCTGGTATGTTGTATCTTTGTTCTCATTGGTTTCAAAGAACATCTTTATTTCTGCCTTCATTTTGTTATGTACCCAGTAGTCATTCAGAAGCAGGTTGTTCAGTTTCCATGTAGTTGAGCGGTTTTGAGTGAGTTTCTTAATCCTGAGTTCTGGTTTGATTGCACTGTGGTCTGAGAGACACTTTGTTATAATTTCTTTTCTTTTACATTTGCTGAGGAGTGCTTTACTTCCAACTATGAGGTCAATTTTGGAATACGTGCAATGTGGTGCTGAGAAGAATGTATATTCTGTTGATTTGTGGTGGAGAGTTCTGGAGATGTGTATTAGGTCTGCTTGGTGCAGAGCTGAGTTCAGTTCCTGGATATCGTTGTTAACTTTCTGTCTCATTGATCTATCTAATGTTGACAGTGGGGTGTTAAATTCTCCCATTATTATTGTGTTGGAGTCTAAGTCTCTTTGTAGGTCTCTAAGGACTTGCTTTATGAATCAGGGTGCTCCTGTATTGGATGCACATATTTTTATGATAGTTAGCTCTTCTTGTTGAATTGACCCCTTTACCATTATGTAATGACATTCGTTGTCTCTTTTGATCTTTGTTGGTTTAAAGTCTGTTTTATCAGAGACTAGGATTGCAACCCCTGCCTTTTTTTGTTTTCCATGTGGTTGGTAGGTCTTCATCCATCCCTTTATTTTGAGCCTATGTGTGTCTCTGCGCATGAGATAGGTCTTCTGAATACAGCACACTGATGGGTCTTGACTCTTTATCCAATTTTCCAGTCTGTGTCTTTTAATTGGAGAATTTAGCCCTTTTACACTTAAGGTTAATATTGTTATGTGTGAATTTGATCCTGTCATTATGATGTTAGCTGGTTATTTTGCTTGTTAGTTGATGCAGTTTCTTCCTAGCATCAGTGGTCTTTACAATTTGGCATGTTTTTCCAGTGGCTGGTACCGGTTGTTCCTTTCCATGTTTAGTGCTTCCTTCAGGAGCTCTTGTGGGGCTGACCTGCTAGTGATAAAATCTCTCAGTATTTGCTTGCATATAAAGGATTTTATTTCTCTTTCACGTATGAAGTTTGTTTGGTTGGATATGAAATTCTGGGTTGAAAATTCTTTTCTTTAAGAATGTTGAATATTGGCCCCCACTGTCTTCTGGTTTGTAGGGTTTCTGCCGAGAGATGTGCTGTTAGTCTGATGGGCTTCCCTTTGTGGGTAAACCAACCTTTCTCTCTGGCTGTCCTTAACATTTTTTCCTTCATTTCAACTTTGGTAAATCTGACAATTATGTGTCTTGGAGTTGCTCTTCTCGAGGAGTATCTTTGTGGGTTTCTCTCTATTTCCTGAATTTGAATGTTGGCCAGCCTTGCTAGATTGGAGAAGTTCTCCTGGATAATATCCTGCAGAGTGTTTTCCAAGTTGGTTCCATTCTCCCCATCACTTTCAGGTACACCAGTCAGAGATAGATTTGGTCTTTTCACATAGTCCCATATTTGTTGGAGGGTTTTTTTGTTTCTTATTACTCTTTTTTCTCTAAACTTTTCTTCTCACTTCATTTCACTCATTTGATGTTCAATCACTGATACTCTTTCTTCCAGTAGATCAAATCGGCTACTGGAGCTTGTGCATTCATCACATAGTTCTCGTGCCATGGTTTTCAGCTCCATCAGGTCATTTAAGGACTTCTCTACACTGTTTATTCTAGTTAGCCATTTGTCTAATCTTTTTTCAAGGTTTTTAGCTTTTTGTGATGGGTTCGCACTTCCTCCTTTAGCTCAGAAAAGTTTGATTGTCTGAAGCCTTCTTCTCTCAACTCGTCAAAGTCATTCTCTGTCAGCTTTGTTCTGTTACTCTTGAGGAGCTGCATTCCTTTGGAGGAGGCTAGGTGCTCAGATTTTTAGAATTTTCAGCTTTCCTGCTCGGTTTATTTTTTTCCATCTTTGTGGTTTTATCTACCTTTGGTCTTTGATGATGGTGACATACAGATGGGGTTTTAGTGTGGATGTCCTTTCTTTTTGTTAGTTTTTCTTCTAACAGTCAGGACCCTCAGCTGCAGGTCTGTTGGAGTTTGCTGGAGGTCCACTCCAGACCCTGTTTGCCTGGGTATCGGCAGTGGAGGCTGCAGAACCATGAATATTGCTGAACAGCAAATGTTGCTGCCTGATCGTTCCTCTGGAAGCTCTGTCTCAGAGGGTTACCTGGCCATGTGAGGTGTCTGTCTGCCCCTACTGGGGGGGTGCCTCCCAGTTAGGCTACTCAGGGGTCAGGGACCCACTTGAGGAGGCAGTCTGTCTATTCTCAGATCTCAAACTCTGTGCTCGGAGAACCACTACTGTCTTCAAAGCAGTCAGATAGGGACATTTAAGTCTGCAGAGGTTTCTGCTGCCTTTTGTTCAGCTATGCCCTGCCCCCAGAGGTGGAGTCTACAGAGGCAGGCAGGCCTCCTTGAGCTGCGGTTGGCTCTACCCAGTTCAAGCTTCCTGGTGGCTGTGTTTACCTACTCAATCCTCAGCAATGGTGGGCGCCCCTCCCCCAGCCTCGCTGCTGCCTTGCAATTCGATCTCAGACTGCTGTGCTAGCAATGAGTGAGGCTCTATGGGCGTGGGAACCTCTGAGCCAAGCACAGGATATAATCTCCTGGTGTGCCATTTGCTAAGACCGTTGGAAAAGCACAGTATTAGGGTGGGAGTGACCCAATTTTCCAGGTGCCTTCTGTTCCAGCTTACCTTGGCTAGGAAAGGGAATTCCCTGGCCCCTTGTGCTTCCCAGGTGAGGCAATGCCTTGTCCTACTTTGGCTCATGCTCGGTGGGCTGCACCCACTGTCCTGCACCCACTGTCCAACAAGCCCCAGTGAGATGAACCCGGTACCTCAGTTGGAAATGCAGAAATCACCTGTCTTCTGCGTCACTCATGCTGGGAGCTGTAGACTGGAGCTGTTCCTATTCGGGCATCTTGGAATCCTCAAGACCTCAGTTTTAATAGCAGTTGAAAAAAATTTCTTCAGGTACCTGAGATAAGATAGTTATTGTGATTGAGTGTGAAACTGAACTCTCTGCTAGTTGACAAAGAGGGAAATAAGATGGATTTTACAAATTTCTCATTGTCTAGTAAGTAGAACTTATATATTTGTGAATACCTGCCTTTCTATGGCACAGAATTCTGAAAGAAGTTTATAGTTTGGAAACTTATTTGATCTCATTAACCAATGAACAAGCTCATTAATTGTAAGTTTTCATGAAAGGTCTTCAAATGGTTGCTTTTTACATGGGTTGGTTGATACGGTTTGGATCTGTGTCCCTACCCAGATCTCATGTTCAGTTGTAATCCTCAATGTTGGAGGAAATGCCAGATGGGAGGTAATTGGACTTTGGGGGTGGTTTCTAATGATTTAATACCATCCCTGTGAGTGCTGCTCTCATGATCGTGAGTGTATTCTTATGATATATTGCTGTTTAAAAGTGTGGGCCCATTCTTCCTGTCTCTCTTCCTCCTGCTTCAGCCATGTAAGATGTGCCTGCTTCCCCTTTATCTTCACCATGATTGAGTTTCCTGAGGTGTCCCTGGAAGCTGAGAAGAATCCAACATCATACTTCCTGTGCAACCTGTGAAACCATGAGCCAATTAAACCTGTTTTCTTTATAAATTACCCAGTCTCAGGTATTTATTTATAGCAGTGTGAGAACAGCCTAATGCATAAAATTGGTACCACAGAGTGGGGCATTGCTGTAGAGATACCTGAAAATGTGGAAGCAGCTTTGGAACTGGGTAATGGGCAGAGGGTGGAAGAGCGTGCAGGGCTCAGAAGACAGGAAGATGTGGGAAAGTTTGGAACTTCCTAGAGACTTGTTAAATTGTTGTGACCAAAATGCTGATAGTGATATGGACAATGAAGTCCAGACTTAGGAGGTTTCAGGTGGAGATGAGGAACTTATTGGGAACTGGAGCAAAGGTCACTTTTGTTATGTATTATGAAAGAGACTGGCTGCATTGTGCCCCTGCTCTAGTTATCTTTGGAACTTTGAAGTTGAGGGTGATGATTTAGGTATCTAGCAGAAGAAATTTCTAAGCAGCAAATAGTTCAAGATATGGCCTGGCTGCTTCTAATAACATATGTTCATATGTACAAGCAAAAAAATGAACTGAAACTTGAAATTATATTTAAAAGGGAAGCAGAGCATAAAAATTTGGCAAATTTGCAGCCTGGCCATGTGGTGGGAAAGGAAAGCCCACCTTCAGGGGAGGAATTCAAGGAGGTTGCAGAAATTTGCATAACTAAAAGGAAGGCATTTTGGAGAGATATGAGGCAGCCCCTCCCATCACAGGCCCAGAGGCCTAGGAGGAAAGAATGGTTTTGCAGCTAAAGACACTGGTCCCTGCATCCCAGCTGCTCCAGGTCCAGCCATGGCTTAAGGGGGCCCATGTAAAGTTTGGACAGCTGTTTCACAGGGTGCAAGCTATAAGCCTAGGAGGCTTCCACATGGTGTTAAGCCTGAGGCTGCAAACAATGTAACATTTGAGGCCTAGGAGCTGATGCCTAGATTTCAGAGAATGTATGGAAAGGCTAGGACATCCAGGCAGAATCCTGCTACAGGGTGAAGGCTGATACAGGGTGAAGCCCTCATGAAGAGCCTTTACTAGGGCAGTGCAGAGGAGAAATGTGGGGTTGGAATCTCCACACATAGTCCCTACTGGGGCACTGCCTAGTAGAGCTGTGAGAATAGGGCCCCTATCCTCCAGAGCCCAGAATGATAGATCCACTGACAACTTGCACTGTGTGCCTGGAAAAGCTGCAAGCACTCAATGCCAACTTGTGAAAACAGCCATGAGGTCTGTACCCTGAAAAGCCTCATGGATGGAGTTGTCCAAGGCCTTGGGAGACCACCCCTTGCAGAAGTGTGCCCTAAGTGTGAGGTATAAAATGATAAGAGATTATTTTGGAGCTTTAAGATTTAATGACTGCCCTTCAGTGGTTCAGACTTGCGTGGGGCCTGTAGCCCGTTTCTTTTGGCCTATTTCCCTTACCCAGTGCCTGTAATCTCATAGTATCTTGGAAATAACTAACTTGTTTTTGATTTTACAGGCTCAGAGGTGGAAGGGACTAACCTTGTCTCAGATGAGACTTTGGACTTTTGAGTTAATTCTGGAATAGTTAAGACATTGAGGGACTGTTGGGAAAGCATGATTGTATTTTGCAATATGAGAAGGACATGAGGTTTGGGAGGGGCCAGAGGCAGAATGATATGGTTTGGATTTCTCTCTCCACCCAAATCTCATGTTCAATTGTAATACTCAGTGTTAGAGGAAGGGGTCTGGTGGGAGGTGATTGGATTTTTGAATGGTTAACACCGTCCCTCTGTGTGCTATTCTTATGATAGTGAGTGAGTTATCATGAGATCTGGTTGTTTACAAGTGTGTGGCATCTCCTCCTTCTCTCTCATCCTCCTGCTCAGGCCATGTAAGATGTGCTGCTTCTCCTTTACCTTCCGCCCTGATTTCACATTTTCTGTGATCTCCTCAGAAGCTGTGCAGATACCAGTGTCATGTTTCCTGTACAGCCTGTGGAACCATGAGCCAATTAAACCTCTTTTCTTTATAAATTAACCAGTCTCAGATATTTCTTTGTAGCGGTGTAAGAATGGCCTAATACGTTGGTTGACTTAATTACTGGCTACATGGATATGGTCTTAGGAAAATGGAGAATTTTCAGCTGGCTGAAACTTCAAGTTTTGAAAAGTGTTTACTTTATTATATTATCAATTAAAGAGAAAGAAAAACCTTAATCTTTATATTCTTTATTAATAAACATTTGCTTTTGGCTTCTGAGAACCAACTATAAAACCAAATAGGTGTTTTATTTTTATGGTGTCATAGGCTGTTATGTTTAACAGCATAAGGGTTGGTTTAGCAAGTCAAGTATGTTAGAACTCAGGTCTCTGTAATTCTTTGGGCTTTATTTCTGTAGTTGCAAGCTGGCTGCTGCAGCTCAGCCATTAAATCCATGTTCCAGGTGGGAATAAGGAAGAAATGTAGGAAAGGGGTGGTACCTATATTAGTGAAGCAAAGCTTTCTCAGAAATCCTTAACTCAGGTTTCCCAGGAACACTGGCTAACTCTTGTTGGCAGAACTAACTCTGTCACAAGGGTATTCCTAGCTGCAAGGGAAGTTGGCTGATGTAATTTATTTTTTAAAGTTGGGCACCTTGCTATCTCTTCCTCTCCACCCTCTAAATAGGGATTATCTTGGAAAGGAGGAAGGGAAGTGTGGATATTGGGAAGGGAACTAGTCATATATGCCAATATTTAATTAGTGAGAATGTTTATAACTTTTTAAATGTCATATTACCTAGTCATTGAAACTATTGTGTCTTTGATTTCACTGGTGTTATTTCACATATAAATGCTTTTGATTCCTTGATTGTGGTATTCTCTAAAGTTTTTTTTTTTAAGAGATGGGATTTTGCCATGTTGCCCAAGCTGGCCTTGAGCTACTGGGCTCAAGCAATCCTCCCACCTCAGCTTTCCCAAGTAGTTGAGATTATAGGTGCTTTCCGCTGTGACAGGTCTCTGTTCAGGCTGCATAGATGGAAATAAACATGTACCATATCTTTTTATTTGAAGAATCCTTTAGAGACTTAAGCCCAAGACAGAACAATTTACTTATCTACCTCTGTTTACCTACATATATATTTTTATTATGGAAAAATTTAAATATTGGTTGTAATATTGGCAATATACAATGAATATTCATAAAGTTTTCCTAAATATTCTAATAGTGAAAATGGTTCTTAATAAATAATGACTGTCAAATGAGTTCTGCTATACTGCCCATCAATGAGTCTGGCTATTGGTATATAATTCCTGTGGGAGCTGACCAGGCACTTTCGGCATCTATTCATGAAAGGTTTTCTTGATACTAGATAACTAACATAAAATATTAGAAATAATTATGAATCCTATTCATTAACAAAAATATTATTATTCAAGAGAAAACATTTTTATGACAGGAAGGAACTATGAAAATTTAGCTTGATGTAAAAATATAGATAATTGAAATAGCAGTTTGGCATCTATACTTTTTCAAAGCTTATATTGTACTTATGTATGTTTCTAGCAAGCCCCTTGGCTAATTTGTGAAATTGGTATTCAGTTACTAACATTTTCTTTCTTTCTTTTTTTCTTTCTTTCTTTCCTTCCTTCCTTCCTTCCTTCCTTCCTTCCTTCCTTCCTTCCTTCCTTCCTTCTTTCTCTTTCATGGAGTTTCACTCTTGTTGCCCAGGCTGAAGTGCAATCTCAGCTCACTGCAATCTCTGTGTCTCGGGTTCAAGTGATTCTCTTGCCTCAGCCTCCCAAGTAGTTGGGATTACAGGCATCTGCCACAATGCCTGTCTAATTTTTTGTATTTTTAGTAGAGATGAGGTTTCACCATGTTGGCCAAGCTGGTCTCGAACTCCTGACCTCAGATGATCCACCTGCCTCGGCCTCCCAATGTGCTGGGATTACAGGCATGAGCCACTGCACCCAGCCAACATTTTCTTATTTCATTAAAATATACCTTCCCTGTTCTCTGGTTTCTGTGGTTCTATTAGTGCTGGTTATTTAATATGATGAACTGATTTCAAACAGATTGTTAATAGCTTTTAATGGCTGAATGTGACTCTCTCTTTTACTTCTTACTAGAATCTATTAAATGCAGCTGGGTGTCAATGAACAAAGTTTTCTTTACTTGAAGGTGTAGGGAGTGGGAAGTGTAATTTTGTCATATCTGTCCATCACATATGCAGTTGTCAACTCTATATATGTATAAAATTTAGTCATCATTCTTAACAATATTATATTCAGATGCCATGGATGTTAAATATATCATCAGTAAAATATTCATGTCACTATACATGGGGGAGAATTTTAAAGTGCAAATTTATAAATACCCTAATGCATCAAATGATTTAATATAGTAACCACAATCTTAAAATATATACGTTATTTGAGATAGATTTAGCAACCTGCTTCCTTTGGTCATAGTTTCCAATATATTAAAATAAAAGCATCAAGATTAGATAATTGGTAACATTACTTTCAACATGTTCAAGGATTCTAAGGTAAACTATATACTTCAGAACACAGTTAAATGTTGCTACAATGATATGCAGATAATTAATAATCATAAGACATGATGAAAATAAGCATCACAGACAGGATAGTGTAAAAATAGGCTAAGGTAGTAATGAGTCAAAGAGATATGTGATCATAATTATTGATATCATAATAAAGATTTTTCTTTGTTGGAAATTTATTTGGCCTGGGTGCTAAGGCATTAGGACCAGATTTTAATGATCTCTTTCTATTCCTTGACCTAATCTCCCCTCCACACTTTGTGAGTTTTTTTTTTTTCTGACAGATTTGCTGAAAGCAAAATTAACAATTTCCTACACTAGTCTCTTAAACAACAGGGTAATTACTTTTAAGTAATGTAAATTTTGTACTTTAGAGACCTTTTCAGCAGTCTCTGTCTTTTCCCAACTTTAATTGTTTGGCCAATGTCATATGTTGCCGTATTAAAGAAAACCACACACAATTAAATATGATTCTGGTAGTTTTGAAGGTTGTTAGGTCTTTGTGGAAGGTTTATGGGAAAATAAGAATGTAGCTAAATTATACAGCAAGATTACCTAAAAATCCTCAAAAGATCTTCCCTGACAAAATTGCCATCAATCTGGGAGGGTTCTATTAGCTAAGGAAGATGTATATGTGTATGTGTGTGTGTGATTATTGATCAATAGAATCTATGACATCTTTGAGGGTTCAGTATCCAGTCCGGGAGTAAAGTCAAGAAAAGGAACTCAGAAACTCATTCTCTCTAGACTGTGTTCCAGGTGACCTCTTTGGTTTATCTGGATTAAGAGTGAGTGCTAGAGAATCTGAAGGCTTGAGTCTTGGTTCCACCATTATTTAGTTATGTGACCCTGGACATTTTACTTAATCTTCATATATTCCAGTTTCATCACTTGCAAAATTGAGTTAATGGCAGTCTCATTTCAAATGGTGGTTGTGAGGATTAAGGGAGGTTGTGAATTTGCACACTATCCTCAACATGCTGCATTTCTCCATTAGGCCTGAAAAAAATAGTAGCTTCTAATGGTACTGTTATTTATTATTATTAACCAAAAGCAGTGTACATGTTTAACAACTGGCTCATAGAAATAAAGTCCTGATTTTTAGTGTTTGCCAATTTCTGTGGTATGAACACTCCCGCTATGCCTGATTCAAGCTACCAACATGATGTTAGCCAGATGACAAAATTCCTGAAGATTTAACTATTGGCTCTTGTGAACTGGTATGAGCCAGCTCCAGAACATCTTTTGACTGTCATTCAAAATGACATCTGGCCATTTATTTATTTATCAGTTCAAGTTGCCATAAGATTGTTCTTCTAATCGTTGGCAAGTGAGGAGAAAGCTAATGATGAATCTATTTAGCCAGATTTCAAGAAGATGTGATAATGCTGGCACTGGCTATTGTTATAATTGTACATCTATGTTTAAAGCATCATCCAAGGAATTAAATGGATCTGGAGAAAAATACATCATTTTTTCTTTTTCTCCTTTTTAAAATCTTTTGTTAGATTTCTGGTTCCAAAATGGCAGTGTAGAAGCAAGCTGGCTTTACTCCTCCTTACGGAAAATCAGAAACAAACATAAAGCACTGAGATTATCACAAGCAATATCCCAGAACTCAAATATGAGGAGGAGACAGTTCCTGGGACCACAGACATGAAGATACTCTGAGAAGATGGTAAGAGAATCAGGCACCCCTTCTCACAATCTGCCTGTCATCAAGCATGCAGAAAATCCTTTCTGCTACTCACTGTTTCTATATTGGAAAAAGTGAGAACAAGGTGGATAACCAGTATCCCCACCACCGTGAGTTCCCTGGCAGGATATCTGTCCCTGCCTCAACTTATAGGAAGCATTCCGAGTACTTGAAGGGAGAAATATCCCTGAGGATAGCCAGAGGAAAAGGGGAAGGCAGAAATACCACCTCCAGCCCTGGAAATTCTGCTCTGTCAATCCACCAAAGGAGATTCCAAATCAGAGTGGCTGTTTAGCAGCACCACACAGTAGAAGGTTCATTTCACAGGGCCCCTAGGCACAAATCTTGAGCCACCCTTCCCCTTTGGAACCTCCCCCATTCAAGACAGGCACCACTCCTTTACCAGAGCCAAGGTCAGCCTGGGCTTTAGGCATCATTTACTGCTGAAAGGAGGTAACAACCTAGTGGGAAAAATAAAAGAAATAAAATCAATAGGTAAATTACAAAGAATCTCTAAGAAAACATATTCTATCATAACCAAAACAAGCCAGACATAGAAGACTGGAATAAACAACGAGTCCGTCGATGCAAGACAAAGATGTACATCTACAAGAAACAATAGCAAACAGGGACAACAACCTCCTCAAATGGACAAAGCAAGGGAACAGGGACTGACATTACTGAGATGGTGATATGTGAGTTCTCTGACCAGAAATTCAAAATAGCAGTTTAAAGGAAATTCAGGGATCTTCAAAATAACACAAAAAAGATATTCAAAATGTTTTGTTATTGTTGCTGGGGCTTATCATTTTTGTTACTGATACAAAATATTTTACATATTTATGGGGTATGTATGAGTATTTGCTACATGAATAGAATGTGTAATGATCAAGTCAGGATATTGGGGTATTCTACATGTTGGTGACATTTCAAGTTCTCTCTTCTAGCCACTTTGAAATATATAACACAATGTTGCTCACCATAGTCACCCTACTCTGCTATTGAATATTGGGACTTGCTTCTTCTATCTAACTGTACGTTTCTGCCCATTAATCAACCTCTCTTTATCTCTCTGACTCTCACCCACATACCTTTCTCAGCCTGTGGTATCTGTCATTCTATTCTCTATCACTATGAGATCAACTTTTTAAGCTCTCACATGTGAGTGAGAACTTGCAGTATCTGCCTTTCTGTGCCTGGGTTATCTTACTTAACATAATCACCTCCAGATCCATCCATATTGCTACAAAAGACATGATTTCATTCTTTTTATGGCTGAATAGTATTCCATTATGTATGTATACCACATTTTCTTTATCCATTAATTTTTTTTACAAATTATAAGGTATTATGTATCAATGATAATGAAAATTTATAAAATTTAAATAATACAAATAATCTTACTGAGAGAGAATATCATTAGCTACATTTTACCCGTATGAAAACTAATTAAGTAACTTACTTTAAAGTTGTATAGCTAGTTTTTGGCAGAAAAGACAAGAATTTTAGTTTCCTGAGTCCACATCTGATTTTCTTTCCATGGTACTAAATTGCCTATCTTGCAAAGTTAGGGGCATGTCCGCCTATGATTCCAAGCCCCTAAATAGTCCATTCATCTGTTGTTGGACACCTAGATTGATTCCACATCTTGGCTACTGTGAACAGTGCAGCAATAAACATGGGAATGCAGATGTCTCTTTGACGTAATAATTTCTTTTTCTTTGGATATATACCCAGTAGTGGGATGAATGAATCATATGGTAGTTTCATTTTTAGGTTTTTGAGGAACCTCCATACTGTTTTTCATTGTGGTTGTGCTAATTCACTTCCCCACAACAGTGTATAAGAGTTCCTTCTCCACAACCTCACCAGCATCTGTTATTTTTAGTATTTTTAATAGTGCTATTCTAACTGGGGTAGGATAATATCTCATTGTGGTTTCGATTTGCATTTCTCTGATGATTAGTGATGTGGAACATTTTTTTCATATACCTGTTGGCCATTTGTATGTATTATTTTGAGAAATGTCTATTCATATCATTAGCCCACTTTTTAATGGGATTTCTTTTTAAATGGAGGAGTTGTTTGAATTTCTTGTATATGCTGGATATTAATCCCTTTTCAGATGAATAGTTTGCAAATATTTTTCTCTCATTCTGTAAGTTGTATCTTCACTCTGTTGATAGTTTCTTTTGCTGTGCAGAAGCTTTTTAGTTTAATATAATCCTATTTGCCTATTTGTTGTGGTTGTCTGTGCTTTTGAGGTCTTAGCCATGAAATCTTTGCCTAGACTGATGTTTTGTTTTTTCTCTTTATTTTTTTTTCTAGCAGTTTTATTGTTTCAGGTCTTACATTTAAGTCTTTAATCCATCTTCAGATGATTTTTGTGTATGGGGAGACATAGGTGTTCAGTCTATTCTTATGCATATCGTGAATTTCAAATTTTCCCAAAACTATTTATTGAAGAATTTCCTTTCCCCAGTGTATGTTCTTGGCACCTTTATTGAAAATCAGTTGGCTATAAATAAGTGAATTTAATTCTGGTGTCATTATTCCGTTTCACTGGTCTATGTGTCTGTTTTTATATCCTTAACAATCCTGTTATTATAGCTTTCTAATACATTTTGAAGTGAGATAGATGATGCCTTCAGCTGTGGTCTTTTTGCTCAGAATGGTTTTGGCTATTCTGGCTCTTTTTCTTTCTTTCTTTCTTTTTTTTTTTTTTTTTTTTTTAGTATTTATTGATCGTTCTTGGGTGTTTCTCGGAGAGGGGGATTTGGCAGGGTCATAGGACAACAGTGGAGGGAAGCTCAGCAGATAAACATGTGAACAAAGGTCTCTGGTTTTCCTAGGCAGAGGGCCCTGCCGCCTTCCACAGTGTTTGTGTCCCTGGGTACTTGAGATTAGGGAGTGGTGATGACTCTTAACGAGTATGCTGCCTTCAAGCGTCTGTTTAACAAAGCACATCTTGCACTGCCCTTAATCCATTTAACCCTTAGTGGACACAGCACATGTTTCAGAGAGCATGGGGTTGGGGGTAAGGTTATAGATTAACAGCATCCCAAGGCAGAAGAATTTTTCTTAGTACAGAACAAAATGGAGTCTCCTATGTCTACTTCTTTCTACACAGACACAGTAACAATCTAATCTCTCTTTCTTTTCCCCACATTTCCCCCCTTTCTATTCGACAAAACCACCATTGTCATCATGTTCTCAATGAGCTATTGGGTACACCTCCCAGATGGGGTGGCGGCCGGGCAGAGGGGCTCCTCACTTCCCAGATGGGGCAGCCGGGCAGAGGCAACCCCTCACCTCCCAGAGGGGGTGGCTGGCTGGGCGGGGGCTGCCCCCCACTTCCCGGACAGGGCGGCTGGCCGGGCGGGGGCTGCCCCCCACCTCCCAGATGGGGCAGCTGCTGGGCAGAGATGCTCCTCATTTCCCAGATGGGGCGGCTGCTGGGCAGAGGGGCTCCTCACTTCCCAGATGGGGTGGCTGGTCAGAGACGCTCCTCACCTCCCAGACGGGGTGGTGGCAGGGCAGAGACACTCCTCAGTTCCCAGACAGGGTCACGGCCGGGCAGAGGCACTCTTCACATCTCAGATGGGGCGGCAGGCCAGAGGTGCTCCCCACATCCCAGACGATGGGCGGCCGGGCAGAGACGCTCCTCACTTCCTAGATGGGATGACGGCCGGGAAGAGGCACTCCTCACTTCCCAGACTGGGCAGCCGGGCGGAGGGGTTCCTCACATCCCAGACGATGAGCGGCCAGGCAGAGACGCTCCTCACTTCCTAGATGGGGTGGCGGCCGGGCAGAGGCTGCAATCTCGGCACTTTGGGAGGCCAAGGCAGGCGGCTGGGAGGTGGAGGTTGTAGCGAGCCGAGATCACACCACTGCACTCCAGCCTGGGCAACATTGAGCACTGAGTGAGCGAGACTCCGTCTGCAATCCCAGCACCTCGGGAGGCCAAGGCTGTCAGATCACTTGCAGTCAGGAGCTGGAGACCAGCCTGGCCAGCACAGCAAAACCCTGTCTCCACCAAAAAAAAGAAAACCAGTCAGGTGTGGCGGTGTGCCCCTGCAATCCCAGGCACTTGGCAGGCTGAGGCAAGAGAATCAGGCAGGGAGGTTGCAGTGAGTCGAGATGGCAGCAGTACAGTCCAGCCTCGGCTGGGCATCAGAGGGAGACCGTGCAAAGGGTAGGGGGAGGGGGAGGGGGAGGGAGAGGGAGAGGGAGAGGGAGAGGGACTATTCTGGCCCTTTTTTGGTTCCATATGAATGAATTTTTTTTTTCTGATTCTGTGAAAAATGACATTTATATTTTTGATAGAGGTGGCATTGAACATGTAGATTACTTTCAGCACTATGGTCATTTTAATGATATTCTTCTAATTCCTGAACATGGGATGTCTTCCAATTTGTTTGTATCTTCCTAAGTTTCTTTACTTAGTGTTTCATAGATTTCCTTGTAGAGATCTTTCATCTCCTTGGTTAAATTTATTCCTAAGTATTTTATTTTTTGTAGTTATTGTAAATAGGATTGCTTTCTTAGTTTCTTTCTCAATAAGTTCATTATTGGTGTATAGAAGCACTACTGATTATTCTTTATTGATTTTGTATCCTACAACTTTAATGAACTTATTTATCAAATCTAGCAGTTTTTTTGTTGGAGTCTTAAGATTTTTCTAGATAAGATCATATCGTCAGCAAAACAGGACAATTTGAATTCCTCTTTTCTAATTTAGATGCCCTTTATTTCTTTCTCTTGCCTGATTGCTCTGGCTAGAACTTGTAGTGATATGTTGAGTAGGAATGGTGAAAGCAGACATCCTTGTCTTGTTCCAGATCTCAGAGGAAAGCTTTCAGTTCTTCCCCATTCAATATGATGTTAGCTGTGGGTTTGCCATATATGACCTTTATCATTTTGGGTATGCTTTTTCTATTCCTAGTGTGTTGAGAATTTTTATTGTGATGGGATGTTGAATTTTATCAGAGGCCTTTTCTGTATATATCGAGGTGATCATACGGCTTTTGTCCTTTATTCTATTGATGAGATAAATTATGTTTATTGATTTGTATGTTGAACCATACTTGCATCCCTGCTGTAAATCCTACTTCGTAATAGTATACTATTTTGGTAATGTGCTGTTAGATTGGTTTGCTAGTATTTTCTTGAGGGTTTTTATGTGTATGTTCATCAGGGATATTGACCTATAGTTATATTTTTTGCTGTGTCCTTTTCTGGTTTTCATATTAGAGTAACACTATTCTTATACAGTAAGTTATGGAAAGTTCCCTCTTCTTCAATTTTTTGGAATAGTTTAATGAGGATTGGTATTAATTCTTCTTTATAAGTGTGGTAGAATTTAGCTGAGATTCCATCCAGTTCTGAGCTTTTCTTTCTTCCTTTCTTTACTTTTCTTTCTTTCTTTCTTTCTCTCTTTCTTTCTTTCTTTCTTTCTTTCTTTCTTTCTTTCTCTCTTTACTTTTCTTTCTTTTCTTTCTTTCTTTCTTTCTTTCTTTCTTTCTTTCTTTCTTTCTTTCTTTCTTTCTTTCTTTCTTTCTTTCTTTTTCTTTCTTTCTTTCTTTCCTTCTTTCTTTCTTTTCCCTTCCCTTCCCTTCCTTTCCTTCCTTTCTTTCTCTCTTTCTTTCTTGACAGAGTCTTGCTCTGTCACTAGGCTGGAATGCAGTGGTGTGATCTTGGCTCCCTGCAACCTCCACCTCTTGGGTTCAAGCAATTCTCCTGCCTCAGCCTCCCAAGTAGCTGGGACTACAGGCGAGCGCCACCACGCCCAGCTAATTTTGTATTTTTAGTAGAGATGGGGTTTCACCATGTTGGCCACGATGGTCTTGATCTCTTGACCTCATAATCTGCCCACCTTGACCTCCCAAAGTGCTGGGATTGCAGGTGTGAGCCACCGTGCCCAGGATGAGCTTTTCTTTTATTGGGAGACTTTTCATTACTGATTCAGTCTCACTACTTGTAACTTCAGGTTTTCTATTTTTTCTTGATTCAATTTTGATAGGTTTTATGTTTCCAGCTGTTTATTAATTTTGTTTAAGTATTCCAGTTTGTTAGCATATAGTTATTCATAATTGTTTCTAATAATCTTTTGTATTTCTATTCTATCAGTTGTAATGTCTCCTTTTTCATTTCTGATTTTGTTTATTTGGATTTTCCTTCTTTAATCTTCATTAGTCTAGCTAGTGATATGTCAATTTTATTTATCGTTTTGAAGAACCAAGCTTTTGTTTCATTGATTCTTTGAATTTTTTTAGTCTCTATTTCATTTAGTTCTACTCTGATATTTATTACTTTTTGTTCTGCTAATTTTGGTTTGTTTTTTTCTTACTTTTTTAGTTTCTTAAAGGGTATTAGATTATTTAAATTTTTTTTCTACTTTTGCTATGTTATATTTGCATTTTAATTTGTTTTAAGAAATTTTTGATTTCCAACTTAATTTCTTCATTGACCCAATGACCTTTCAGGAGCATGTTGTTTAATTTCCACATTTTTGTATAGTTTCCAAACTTCCTCTTGGTACTGATTTTTAGTTTTATTACATTATAGTTTGGGAAGATACTTGATGGGATTTTGATTTGTTAAATTTAGTGAGACTTATTTTGTGGCTTAACAGGTACTCTATCCTGGAGAATCTTCCATGTGCTGATAAGAATAATATATATTATATAGTTGTTGGATAAAATGTTTTGTAATATCTGTTAGGTCTAAAGCCCTGTTTAAATCCACCATTTCTTTGTTTATTTTTCTGTCTAGATGATGCTGTCTATGGCTGAAAGTGAATATTGAAGTCCCCAACTATTGTTGTATTAGCATCTATCTGTCTCTTTAGATCTATTAATATTTGCTTTATGAATCTGGATGCTCCAGTATTGGGTGCATATATATTTATAATTATTTCCTCTAGTTGAATTGATCCTTTTATCACTATATAATGACCTTCTTTGTCTTTTTTTAACTTAAGTCTGTTTTATATTATAAAAGTATAGCCAATACTGCTTGCTTTTGGTTTTTGTTTGTGTGGAATATCTATTTTCATCCCTACTTAGAGTCTATATGTGTCTTCACCCATAAAGTGCATTGCTTGTAGGCAGTATATAGTTGGATCATGCTTCTTGATCTATTTAGCTATTCTATATATTTTAAGTGAACAATTTAATCTGTTTTTCATTCTTGGTAATTATTGATATGTCAGGGCTTTTTGTCCTTGTCATATTTTTTATTGTTTTCTATATTCTTTGTTTCTTTCTTTTTTCTCTTATTGTTTGTCATTGTGGTCTGTTTTTTTCTGTAGTGGCATAATTTGAGTCTTTTCTCTTTCTCATTTGTGTGTTTGATTTACCCATGAGGTTTATACTTTCATGTGTTTTCATGATGATAAATGTCTTCCTTTCACTTTGAGGTTTAGAACTCCCTTTAGTATTTCTTGTAGTACCAGTCTAGTGGTGATAGATTCCCTTAGCATTTGCTTGTCTGGAAAAGAATTTATTTCTTCTTCATTTATTAAGGATATTTTTGTTGGTTGTAGTATTCTTGGGTGGCAGGTTTTTTTTTTTTCAGTTAGCCTTTTAAATATTACACTCATTCTCTTGGCCTATGAGGTTTCGGATGAGAAACCTACTGTTAGTTTATGGGAGTTCCTTTAATAGGCGACTAAACAATTTTACCTTGCTACTTTTGAATTCTTTCTTTTTCTTTGACTTTAAACAGTTTGGCTATCATATCGGGTGAAGATACCTTTTTGTGTTTTATGTGTTTGAGGATCATTGAGCCTCCTGTATCTGGATGTCTAAATATCTTACTAGACTTGGGAAGTTTTCATTTACTATTTCATCAAATAGGTTTTGTAACCCTTTTGTTTTCTCTTTGGTGTTGAGGACACCAATAATTTGCATATTTTGTCATTTTATGTTGTTGTAAATGTCACAAAGACTTTGTTCAATCATTGTTATTATTTTTCAAAAGACATGTCTTCAAGTTCTAAGATTCTTTCTTCTGCTTGATCTAGTCTATGGTTGAAGTTTTGAATGTATTTTGTATTTCATACAATAAATTCTTCAGTTGCAGGATTTCTATTTGGTTCATTTAAAAATTATTGATCTTGTTGGCAAATTTCTCACTCATATCTTGAATTAGTTTTCTGATTTCTCTGTATTGTATTTCAGAAGTCTCTCATATCTCACTGAACTTCTTTAAAACAGCATTTTTAATGTTTTATCTGAGATTTTTCACGAATTTCTTTTTGATTGGGATCTGCTGCTGGAGAATTATTGAGTTCCCTTGGAGGTGTTGTATTTCCTCAATTTTTCATGTTTCTTGTGTCCTCATGTTGAGGTCTACCCATCTAGTGTAACAGTCGCCCCTTCTAATTATTTGGATTTGCTTTTGTAGGGGAGGACATTTTCCTAAACATGGATATACATTGTTAGTTGAGTAGCAACTTTGGCTTTGATTTTATGTCTATGCAGTAGTTTGGTCTCTGTATGACTTCTTTAGCTTTAACCAGCTTTAGTGGTTAAATCTAAATCACAGCTATCTCTGATTTCCTTGGTGGTTTATGGTGCAGTTGTTAGTGGAGGCTGTGGTGAAGTTTTGCTGAGTCCATTCTCAGTGGATATATAGGAAGGCAGTTGCAAAGGGCACAAAAATTCAGAAAAAAATTTAAAGACTTTTAACGAAGACATAGAAATAATAAAAAATCAAGTGGAAACCTTGGAAATGAGAAATACATTGGCTGACTGAAAATTTTATTAGAGACTTCCAACAGCGAAATGGATCCAGCAGAGGAAAAAATCAGTAAGCTAGGACACAGGATATTTGAAAACACACAGGCAGAGGGAAAAAAAGAAAAAGAAGATTGCCATATAAAAAATTACCTCAAAAGACCAGATTTAAGAATTATTGGTGTTCAAGAAGGAGTTGAGCAAGAGCAAGTGGAAGAGCGCTTATTCAAAGCAATCATAACAGAAAACTTTTCAAAGCCTGAGAAAGATATAAATATCCAAGGAGAGGAAGATCAGAGAACACCAAACAGATCTGACCCAATTAAGAGGCATATAATAATAAAATTCTCAAAGGTCAAAAACAAAGAGAGAATTCTAAAAGCAGCAACAAATAGAAGCAAGAAACATAAAGGAGCTGCAATTCATCTGGCAACAGTCTTCTCAATGGAAACCATACAAGCCAGGAGGGAGTGGGACAATATTTTCAAAGTCCTGAGAAAAGAAACTGCCATCTAAGATACTGTATCCAACAAATTTATTCTTCAAATATAAAGTCTTTCCCAAATAAACAAAAACTGAGAAAATTCAACACCACTAGACACACCTTACTACAAATGCTAACTCTTGTTGCCAGTACTCAGAAGAGTAAATTTTTCACAATAAGTGCTCAGTAAATATTTTATGAATGAGTGAATTAATAAATATCTCAATATACTGAATAGTCATTCTACTTTATGTAGCCTCTGGGCACTTGGCTTTCATTTTCTTTTCCTTTAGCATTTTATACCTTTTAACAGTTTTATTCATGAGAGAATATAAGTATAAGCTTAATGAACACAGAAATGTACAGATAGAAATTATAGTTTTGCTACTGAATTCTTACTGGCTATCTGTGAAATCCTTTTAGAGAAGGTCAAGTGGGTGTAAGCGACCAATTTTTTATGCCCACATGTGTAATTGTTTCTTCAAAGAAGTCAAAAGGCAAAGTTCTATTGCAAATTATATATTGTATTGGTAATCAACTAGGAGGGCAGGATTTCCTAGACCAAAATGTGCATGATTTATAGGAAAAGATGAACAGTAAGCCCAAAATACAGTTTTCTTTTTACAAAAACAGATTCATGATAGGATGCTTCAGATTGTCTTGAAATCTCTATAGTCAATAGACTGATGATTGAAATTTTATAGACAATTACATTATTTCTTATTTATTTAAGACTGTCTAGCAAGCTCAATTACCCAGATTGCTAGCTCCCTTCTTTCCATTTAATTATCCTGAAATGATCAAGGTCTGAAATTCATTTAGGGACTTTGGGACATTTTTATTTGTTGGGGAATCTCTTAGTGTATGACTCTTGAGTGCATTAAATGGTCACTAGGGACCAAATGGTTAAAGCTGCTTATCAATATTATGGGTTCTCTCTGAGATTGAAACTCATTCCCTGAAGAGTTTATGTTCTAATATGAAGCTAACCAAAAACATAAATCCGTAACATTTAGAGGCATGGTGATGGTAACATCAGATTTGAATCTTCTAATCTTAAAATATCTCAAGGGAGGACACAGAAACTGAAGTTATCTGATGCCTTAACAGCTAATGACAATTAAAACCAACTTTTATGCCAACAATGCTAGCTTAATGTATAGAAAAGTGAATTTAGATAACTGAAAATATGTTTCAAAATAGCACACATTTCAAAAGTGAAAAAATGGAAAAATAGCAAGAAATACTGGTATGAAAACTATAAAACAATTACCATATCTTTTATAACTTGTTTTTTTCAGAAAGACCTATTCATTTTCAGCTCTTTCAAAGATTAAAAAAGGATTTGTAACATGTATGTTGAGTTGAATCTTTTTGGAATCAATGAAATTTTAATTTTTAGCAATACACTATGACTCCTTTCAAAAGGTAAGCTCTTCAAAATGTTCTCGATCCACACTTGCTAATTTGGAATTCTAAATGAGCCTTATTGAATCATAATGCAATCTTTGAACTCTGTCAGATCGATTTTTAATAATGTATTTTTTTCCACAAGGAAGGGAGAGGTTATTTCTTTCTATCTATCTATCTATCTATCTATCTATCTATCTATCTATCTATCATCTATCACCTATCCATCCACCCACCTACCCCACTTATCCACTTTCCTTTTACCTCTCACTTGTATATACATATTAAACTAGTAGTTCATTGGTGTAGATGATTTCGAGTATAATAAGTCTCATGTTGAAAAATTATTTTATTGTTTGTATGACTATGTTCAGATATTATTTCCCCAAGACACTTGATATCTGTTCTGTGGGTGATTTTGATCCTATAATGTCAGAAATAAACTTTCTGCATAATCACCAGCTGAGTAGATATGACATTTTAAGTGTATAATTTGAAATTACTACTTGAAAGTAGTAAATTGGAATCTTGAGTTTTATATCCTCCTTTAAAATCAGATATTGAAAAAAGTTCTTAAATTATTTGAAAGCTTATGATTTTTAAGTTAAAATTATTTTTCAAATGGTGACATTTAAATGATATTTAGCTAAAATTAAAGATGGATTCCACAAGGCACTAGAAGGAGTATCTTGTTCTCTAAACTTTATGAAAGCAAGTGACCTTACCCTTTCCCTTCCTCCAGCCCAAGTTTACCATCCCAGCAAGACTCTCTTACTATGAGCCCTCTTGCCAGTGCTCTGCTGATCCCCTTAGTTTGCCGCTCCCCACTTAAAACTCGACCTCAAGCTTGGACTAAAACATTTTTCCTAGCTTCCCCTGAATCCTGAATGAGGCAGGCTAGAATTTTTATGAAATTTCAGGAGAATTAAAACAAATAGATAAAGCTTAAAATGTTCAAGCTTACATAAGTAGCTTTCTGAGTTTACAGTACTTAATGCACCACCAAGGCTCATAAAGTCTATTTCATTTCATAACCTAGCTCTCAAGGTAACAACCCTTTAGCTCCCCAAAAGGTACTGTAACATAAGAATAACGTTCTTGCCATTTTGCAGTTTTGTGATCAAAATCCAAAGATAGTTCTAAGATTTTCTCATGGCTCTTTTTTTTCTGTTTATAGTGATGTGCTAATTCTAAGGCCTGGTATTGTTGAGATTCTAATGACTGACAGAGTAAAATAATCTCTATCTTTAGTGAGATTCTGTGTTTTCCATACTGTAAATTTCTAGGTTTCCATGAAGTAAAACAAAATGTTAACCTGAAATTAGTCTATTGTTGATACAACATCATTAACATGGTTTGATCAACAGGAGTCATTCTTTTTCAGAACCATGTAACAGTATTTTTATGATGTGTTTATGTGTATGTGTAGGAATCTCTTAGGGGAAGCATGATAAGAGCTATTCTCTATTATTTTTATTTCTGTACTCATATCCTGTTTTTGGGTCTTGTGCTTCATTCTAAAGAAAAAAAAACAAATACATTCAACACTTATTTATTATTCTATAATGCCTAAATAATGCTTTTAACTTTTTAAAGTATTACTATTAGATTGGTGCAAAAGTAATTGCAGTTTTTAGCTTTACCTTCAATGGCAAAATTGCAATTAATTTTGCGCCAACCTAACATTTATTAATTATTTAGAGACAGAGTCTTGCTTTGTCACCTAGGCTAGAGAGCAGTGGCATGATTACCACTCACTGAAGCCTTGACCTCCTGGCCTCAAGCAATTCTCCTAACTCAGCCTCCTGAGTAGCTAGGACTACAGGCATGCACCACCACGCCCAGCTAACACATATATATATGTTTTTTTTGTGGGGGGAAGGGTAGAGATGGAGTTTTTGCCATGTTGGCCAGTCTAGTCTCGAAATTCTGGGCCTAAACAATCTTCTTGCTTTGGCCTCCCAAAATACTGGAATACAGGCATGAGCCACTGCACCTGGCCTCCTTTTATATTTAAGTATTGATTTGATATAACATGTTCACCAAATGTTAATAATAGTCATGAAAGCAAAAGCAATTATTTACCTACTTTAGGAAAAACATGAATTAGCAAATTTGCAGAACATATTAAGAACGTTGTTAAATTCTTTACATCATTTTGAAGAATGATTAAGACTATTTTGAACAGAAAGTAGAGACTATAGGAAGAAAGGAATAGTTGCAGGGCAGGGTAGTTTCATTTTAAGCTTGTTTGAAATACTATAATTGAGCCAATTCAAATAAATAAAATTTCCAAAGTAAACTGTAAAGTTTTGGATAACCAGCTGTTTAGTCTCAAACTCCTGGCCTCAACAGATCTTCTTGCCTTGGCCTCCCAAAGTGTTGGTATTACAGATGTAAGCCACTGTGCCCAGCTGCACTTACTGTTTGGAATCATCCTTCCCAGCTTCCTCCTATTCATTTGGCTGTTGGAGACATGCATTTTCTCTTTTTCTATTTTCTTAAAAATAATGTCTTCTTAATTGGTTTAAATAAATGAGTCCCACGTCACTAGGTCTCAAAATTCAACAATGTAGTTCAAACTCATTAATTTGGATCCCAAATATCCAGAATTTGTGACAATGTAGTTTAAGACTGGGTTGAGTTTATTTTGTACCATCTTTGAGAGAGTGGTTGCTGAGTAAATTCTTAGCCTTAATGGCATCACAAGGAGAATTATGTTTCCAGATTAAGACATAGAAGTTAAGATTTAACTTTCTCAATGCCACACATTAATTAATGGCAGAGCCAAGACTGTAGCCCAGGACTCCTGATTCCCATTCAGAGGCAACTTATGAGAAGATACTGTTTTCAGGCAATTTAGAAATTTCTTTTGTATATAGAACGTGATGAACGCTTACAATTTTTCTGAGTCGTGTATACATTACTATGTGTGCATGCTTCTCCCCTCCTCTATAGCAGGATGGGAATATTTTGCCTAATTTGGGGGTACAAATTTCTAACTAAATGAAGTTTGGAAATAATTGAGAGAATGAGAAGACCTTTAAAGAACTGTAGTATCATTGTTAAGCAACTCAAAATTAAATTTAGTCACAGGGTAAACTGATATGAGGAATGTGGCTAATGCTGTCTGGGCAAATGGTAAAACAAGGAAAGGGTTTGTGAAAAAGTTAAATAAGGGGTTATGGAAGTGTTCACCCCCTTGGACATAAACTGGCCCACAGGATGTTAAATCATTTTAACTACAAGTTTGTGTACATGGTGGGGAACTGGTTGGTTATCCAATATGGACTTTAAAGGAACAAACAAGAAAGGAAACAATTTATGTCGGTCTTTTGAGTAACACAGAGGAAATGATCAGCGATGACATAAGGGACTGCTTAACGGAGTGATAGCCATCATAATTCAGTTAGATTGTAATTCATAATCAAGTGAGACCCAGGAAAGTAACACTTAGAATGATGATTGCCAAATTACAGCAGAAAAAATGCTGAAAGAAACACAATACTTAAATATAAAGTTGAGAGAGAACGCTCTGGAGGACAAAATTGAAAAGTATAAGAAGGAATGGTCACTAAAAATATGCATCAATTTTGTTTTTAAAATTCTACAATGGCTAAATCACTTTTTATAATCTAGGGAAAGAAAATATAATGTGTAAATAAATATAAAATGCAAATGAGGTCCAAGAAAGATTACAGAATGAAATTAAAACTGTGAAGTGCTAATGAAAGCTATGTTGGCAAAAATAAACATTGTTGCAGAAGAAGGTAACATAATGAAATACAACTTTTTTTCTCAAGATTCTAACATATAAAATATCAGAGACAGCTTGTACTAGCCCTAGAAAGATGGCAAGGAAAACCCATGGGTAGAAGAGATGGATAATTGTTAAAATAGAAGAATTTTAAATTTGAGTTGACAGCAAATACGGCCTCACCTGATTACTTAGCTTTGATGAGATAAGAATTTATTCTGCCTAGGTATAGACAAAGACCATGATTTATTTGAGCTTTAGGGAAATTCTGTGTAAACGTTGCACAAAGACTGACCTGTTACTAAGCTTGAAGACTACAGCCCTGGCTCAAGAAGGTGGTGTTTTCCTTTGGCAGAGCTGAAATCATGGAGCAAGTGTGAACCTTGAAGTCAGTGGGCATGGGTCTAGTCCATGTCTGCCCTCAGTAGCTGGATGAATTTCGGCAAATCACGTTAGTTATGGAGTTTGGTTGCTTCAAAATTATTAGATAGATAAGACCATTTCTCAGTTCCTTTTAAGTTGAGGTGTATGAAAAAATAACACAAAAATAACATGAAAACTGCCCTTTCTTTTATTCCTGAATCTGCACAACAAAAACCCAGGGCTTAGGAAAGGGAAGTAACCTAATTTCTTTCTTTATTCCTGACCTCTGATCCTAGTAATGATTTTAAAAGCAAATGCCAGGTGGGAGGATTTCATAATGATTTGAAGTGATCTGAGAATAGAAATACTTTGTGAGATTCTGAAAGTCTTGCTGTTCTGTTGAATCCTTGCTTACAGATAGGACTGAAAAGCTTGGGTGTCATTGTGATTTACCGGTACATGATGATTGTATTCACTCACTCGTTCAGCAGGGATCTTTTGAGAGACTACCATATGCTAGGTATGCTCTAGGGTGTATGAGTACAAAGTAATAAGGCATCACTCCTATTTTAAAGGACTCACTATAATGAATTGATTTTCATGTTTTGCATTGGTAGAAATAAATATAGTATTGTTGAAAAGCAACTTGGATACTTTTATGAAGGACATTTAAAAAATAATTACTTGACATCAGTGTATTTGTTTTTTAATAGCTACTATATGCTGTATTTTTATGAATTTAATATATTTTATCAAATTTAAGATATCAACAGTTAGTAGATGCATCACTAGTATCACAAGTACTTTGTGGGGGGAAAGAAGAAACTGCTATACACAGGTATGCATTGATTTTAGACATCCTATTTTATGAACTCTCAAAATTTGAAAGAAATTTGATTTATAATTGAACAGATAGAGTTGGTCAGTACATAATAAAATACTCTTGGAGATGAGCAGGACCTGAATAGTGAGAAAAATAGCAAATTATCCATAAACTGGGAATATTTAGTAATTTCCTCTACTTACAGTAGTATAGAAAGGTATTTGACAATCAAGACATCTGTAGCTTTTCAAACAAATCACAAGACCTTTAGCAAGGGTCTCATTTGTGAGGAGCTAGAAAGGGATACATCTTCCTCACATCAACCTGTGTTATTTATCCCAGATACACATTCTGCACCGAATAGGCCAAAAGCTTGTTGAATGGGCTAAGCTGAATTGTCACTTCTGGGTTCTTATTTATAATAGAAAGTGGAAATATGAGTGTAGGGGATAGAATAAATATTATTTCTTTTTAATCCTATGTATACATCATGGGTAATTGCAAGTTATAGGTGTAAATAATTGAATACAGTTGCAACTGCAACTGTAAACTGGCAGAGAAGTACATTTCCAAGCTGTTGCCTTGAAAATAGTAACATCAACCAACGCACAGAATGCTTGGATGCATTTTTTTGTTTGTATGTGAATGTTTTACATAAATCACATCTTGCTTCCCCAAAGAATATAGCACACATGTAATTACACATATTTACCTATTATGGGGCTAAGATGTATGCTCATACAATTTTTAAAACATCATAATTTATTGAAAAACTAGGTTTCAAGTGATATGTACAGTCAACTTTGGGCCAAGAAGATGTAGAAATTGATCTTGGGTGCCAAATCTGATTTGGACGGTCAATTGTCTACAGAAATTGCTGCCAAAAATATTTGTTGTGAGTCAGAATTTCTTATTGTATAAATTGATGAAAAATTTCTGTATCAGGTATGTGGTGTGCCATATGAATATTAATAAAATCATTTTGAAATAAGCCAATAAACCATTTGCCTTAGAATATATACATACTTACTATATTCTAACTTAGTCTGTGGGCTAGAATTATACCATATCTGATTCTGTAGAATTTTTTCTTGTGTAAATCATTTATGCATTGTAATGGGCTGAATGTTTATGTTTTCCCCAAATTCATATGTTAAAAATCTTAACCTCCAAGGTGATGATATGAGGAGGTTGGATCTTTGGGAGGTGATTAGGTCACAAGGGTAGAGCTTTCATGAATGGGATTAGTGCCCTTATAAAAGAGACCCCAGAGAGACCCCCTTGTGCCCTCTGCAAAGTGAGGACACAGCAAAAAGATGGCCATCTATGAACCAGGGAGAGTACCCTCACTAGACACCAAATCTGCCACAAGACACCCTAGACTGTCACCAGACTGGGGAGCACAAGAATGGCTACAAGAATTTAGGTCAAAGATAATAAATAGACTGAACCAAATTAGTGACATAGTGACCGTAGGAATGGAAAGAATGGCAAAAATTACAGGAATATCCAGGAGGAAGAACATATAGAACTTGAAAGAATAATTGGATATGAGGATGAGAATAAGCAAGATAGTAGTTGTGTATTCCAAAATTTCTGGCTTAGGCAACTGGTATTCATCAACATAGGCATACATGAAAACAGGCTTGGTAGCAAGATGGTGGGTTAAGTTTGGAACATATTGTGTGTGAGATAGCCTAGTAGATATTTGGAAATATGAATCAGGATGTCAGGCAAGAGGTCTTGGATGATAGATTTAAAAGCCAATGGGATTAATAGTGGGTGAACTATTGGTTGTATGTGAGATTACTCAGGGAGAGTAAATAAAGTAGGAAGAAAAGAGAAGTGAGGATTGTATTTAGGGAACAACATTCATGGGTAGTTTTGAGGGGAGGAATCATGAAGCACCAAGAATGAGCAATGGAAAGGAATAGGAAAAATAAGGACAATACTAAAAGCCAAGAGATTTCTGCAGTATGCAATATATCCACATAACACAACTGCATTTATAGCCCTAAATATATTATATATATATATAAATATATATATTTATTTATTTTAAAATGAGGAGGATGTTATTGGGGCTCATGCTAAAAAGGGTTTCAAGAAAGAGAAAGTCAATATAATCAAATTCTCCAGGTGATGATTGCAAAAGTCACTGGATTGGGGAATTTTTCATATATTTGAAAGATATTTACTGAGTCCCTATTATAAATGTGCTAGATGCTGGAGATTCAATAATGAACAAAAATGGATCTCTTCTTGTTCTCATGGAACTTGTAGTCTTATAGAGGAAAGACATGTTGATCAAACAACTGCTGAAATAAATGTAAAATGGCAACTCTGATAACTTCTATGAAGCAAAGATATATAGTGAAATTAATAAAAATAGGCTTGATGAAGAGGTAAAGAGCAAAATCTAGATTAGCAAGGCCCTTCCTTGACCTGTAGTTTTTATTGGTTTTTAACTACATTCCCAACTTACCCTCAAAGACTCCAATTCCTTCATAAATGTTCATCTGTGGCTGTTAGTAGAAGACTCATGGCTTAACCAAAAGATCATCATCCTCACATGTCTTGAGTCCCTGATTCATCACTTAAACAGTTGAACAAACTTGGAATAAATCTCTGAGCCTTAAATTTCCTTATAGTGTTTTTATGGGTATTGAGCCAGATGATGCATTTGAAATGACTTCATAAGATAAATAGATCAGAACAAATGTTGGTAGTTGTTATTTTGAGAAGCAGCTGTGTTGTGTGGAAATTTCACTGGACTTGGTTTTTAGTCTGAATTATTAGGTGTGTTCTTGGTTCTATGACTAATGGTATAAATCTGGGCAGTCATTTAGCTTCTTTTGCTCTCAGTTTACTCATTGGTGAAATAGGAGTAACAGTACTTATCTCACCACCTTATGGAAAGTAGAGAAATGCTTATCAATGCCTCAATCATGGGTTGGTCATCAGACCCCAGTATTAGCTCTTTCATATTTAGGGTTAGTAATTTGTAAATGGTTGTTTAAGTTTAAGTAATGACAGAGAAGAGTTTGCGCACATTGTACTGGACTTAACTTACTGAAGTAGCCAGAAATTCAGGGTCATGTACTTGCTCATCTTTCCAGTCTTGTTCTGAGCTATTTCCCTACTAGCTCCCTGAGTACCAACTGTAACCAACTAGTTGTGTTTTCTTACTCTTGCTCCTGTGCTTCTGGACATGCTATATATTTTGTGCAAAATGAATTTTCTCTTACATTGCTCCAAAGAACTCCTACTTATTCTTTAAAATTAGATTTAGAGGTCACTTTTCCAAGGTGGACTATGTGTGCCTTCTCACAGCACTTACACATTGTATCATTTGTTTCATCTTCTTCTTCAGAGATTAAGGACATGTCTTAGTTTATACTCCCAGTATCTAGCATATAATATGTGTGCAGTAAAGAAATGTGGGAGTAACAGCTGCTTCTGAACTCAATGTTTAGAAGTACAGAAAAAGTTATTGGTCATAGGGATAATTACCATCAAACACAGAGGCATTTGAATATTGAATTATTGGCACCCTTACCTCCTATTTACAGGTAGTTACAAATGCCTATGGTTTTAATAATTGTTTCTATAACTTAAAATGATCTCACCACCAAGGTATAAAATAGAAGTATTTTCAGTTTTGGTATTTCTACTTAAATATATCTGAATTCACATAATTATGAAATGTTATCAATTTATTTGATACAGGAGCTTGCTAGTTTTGGCTTTGTGACCTTTGAAAAATTCAGCATTTTCCATTTGTTTAAGGGAGCAAAAGATCAGCCCGCCCTTTAGGAATGAGCTATTATTCACAATGAGGGAAATAGCAGTCATATTGAGAGTTGCATGGCTTGTTGAATACTTGGCTGGAATCCTATAAAAGGAGAAATCATTAAGTGTCAGTTAATCCCTGTAGCTCTTTGTTATTGTTCTCATCATGTTCTCTGCCAAATGAGAAGATAAAATTTGTGTGGAAATATAAGGATAAGGGACTCTTGACCAAGGGCATCTGGAAATAAATAAGTGAATGGAGATGGGGAGAGGGCTAGATCGCAACCTGTGCCCTGGCAGCAGCTACCAAAATGCGTATGTGAGCAATCTCTGGAGAAGCGGTGGCATGGGGTGGGGTGGATTTATGGGGCTTTGACATTTGGATTAAATTTAAAGGGCTGTTTTTCTCTTACTACCAATGCCTCATGTCTGAGTGAGTGTGTAGTTGGAGTCTCAAGTTTGATAAGATGCAGAGATAAAGAGGAAGAGGGAAGAGAGGGATGAATCAAAAATGAACTGAGCACAGCTGGAAGCAGATGGATTCCCCAAGGCCCTTGAAGCCTTTAAAAGAGTTAAAAGAGGAGGGAACATTAGAATGTGAGCTTGGAGGGCAGATTGGGATGGCGCTGTGTTTGACCAAGTGTTTTGATGACAAAGCTCAGCCATAAGCTGGGCATATGGTTGAATTGGGCAGGCCTGAAAAAATATTGCAGTACATGAAATTTTCCTTGCTTTCTATTTCTTTTTTCCTGAATCTGCATATCTCTTTTTTTCCTCCTTAACTTTATTTTGGGCACATATCTGTTAGGAGGAATTCATGTGAAAATTTCTTTTTGTGTCACCCTTCATAGAAATATTCACATGTTTAATATTTTGATTAGTAGAATGTATTGATTATCTAATCAAGAATGGTTTAGTTGCTATAATAAAAGTTGAAAACAGGCTTTAAAGAAGATAAATTTTTCTTTTTCTTCTAAAAGTCTGGGGAGCTGTAGTGACTCTGCATACAAAGTCCTCAGGGGCCTGGTTTTTCTATGTTGTTATTCCATTCTGAGTGTTGCTGTCATCTGTTCACCACCTTGTCCACATTTCTGTCCAGCATGGAGAAAGATGAAAAGAGGAAGATGCGGGTGTGCCCCTTCCTTTCAAGGGCATGTCCAGAAAGTTGTATTTGCATCGCATTGGTTCAAACTTATTCACGTAGTTTCCTTGGGATGCAAGTGAGACTGAGAATTGTGGCTTTTTTCCCCCTAAGTGCCTGTCTTAGCTCAGGCTGCTATAACAAGACTTATTTGTTAAACAATATAAATTTATTTCTCAATTTATTTATCGAAGGCTTGGAAGTCCAAGATCAAGATGCCAAGAGATCTGTTTCCTGGGGAGGGCCTTCTTCCTGGCTTGCAGATGATTGCTTTCTCACTGTGTTCTCATGGCAGAGAGAAAGATAGAGCTCCGGTCTCTCTTCTTCTTCTTATAAGGATGCTTATCCCATTATAGGGCCACCCCTCAAGACCTCACCTAAACCTAATTACCTTCCAAAGATTCCACCTCCAAATATTATCACATTGAGAGTTAGGGCTTCAACATATACATTTTGGGAAGACACAGACCTTCACTCCATAACAGTGCCTATTCCTCCTACAAACTGGGGATTCTATTTTGATAAAAACAAAGAATAGATATTAAAAGATAATTATCAGTCTCTGTGGCATTATTTGAGAAGCCAATGCTTAAATTTGGTGGGGTAGGGTTTTTATGAAATTTTACTGGAAGATACATTCTGGGATGGGTAATACCCTAGCATATCAAGTTTATCCATTCATTCAACAAATATTTACTGAGTATGGCAGGTACTTTGCTAAATATTGGCATACATTGATGAACAAAGCATACATGTTTTCCACTCTTGTGAAACTTACATTCTTGGGGGGTGGGTGAGAGAAATTGATAAAATAACCACATATATAAACATATAGGTGGTGGTAAGTGTTATACAGGAAAAAGTAGTGAATCATAAGGGATTTTAAAATACGGCAACCTGCTCTTGTCTAGCCATCAGAAAAGACTTCCCTGGGTGAAATGTCAGCTGAGATCTGAAGACTAAGGATAGAGGGAAGAGCAACCTAGGCAAATGACACAGTGTGTGCAAAGGCCCTGAGGTGGAGAGAAGTGTGGCTTGTTTGAAGAACTTAAGGTGGGACATGATAACCAAAGGGAAGAGGGATATGTAATGAGTCTGTAGACATAGAAAGGTGATAAATTAGGCAAATGTGTAGAAGCTATCTTAAAGATGCTGACCTTCATCCTAAGAGCAATGTGAAACTACTGAAGTGTTTTAAGCTGAGATTAACACAATCAGATTTACAATTTGGAAAAGCTCACTCAGGTGGCCTGTGGGAGAATGGATTCCAGGGGACATACAAAGATGAGTGAAGAAGTTATTGGAGGGGTCCAGGTGAGGAATGATAGTAGCTTGGAATTAGGCAGTAGTAGTAGATGAAAAGAAGTGGATGTATGCAGAAGACATTTAGGACACAAAAAATCAACACATTTAGTGATATATTGGATATATATCCAATGGGTATCAGATGAGTAGAATGTCAGACAGTAGGGGTCAGAGATGACTTTTGTTTTCTGGTTTAAGTAATTGGATGGATGGTGGTGCCATTCACTCATAGGGTACTTTGGGAAAGGACTAGGCTTTAAGAGGAAGATCATGAGTTGGATATGTTGAGCTTGAAGGCCTTTGTGATATTTAAATGCAAATGTCAAGAAGGCAGTTGTTTAAATGGGTAGAAATTTAGACAGTAGTTTAGCTGGAAATATAAATATATTTGGGAAACATTTAAAAATGAAGAGAATTGAGGCCACACCTTGGATGGTGCAGAGAAAGAAGTCTGTTTTGGGAAGGGTCTGGGGGAATGAGAACATATAAAGGCTGATTAAGAAGTGGGTGAAACAGCAAAATCAATGGAACTAGAAGGTGGGCAGAGAAGGAAAACTAGAAGCCTGTGGTGTTAAAGAAGACAAAGTAAGATAAGTCAAATGCAGGGAGAAGTCAGATAAGATGAGAGCTGAAAATGTTCTTTGAATTTAGCAAAAAGAATAAATAGCTGGTGTTGTTGGAATCGTTTTGGATGTATGAAAGCCACTGGATTGAGAAGTGCACTGAAGGTGAGGAAAGAGAGACAGCAGGTTGGTACCTGAGGATCGAATTGGATTGATCTTTTGTCTTTGGTTCATTGTCTTATCTTCATTTTTGGCCTCAAACTCACTGCCTGTTTTTCTCATTGGCCCCATTTTTATAAATTTGATTTACATCATTCATTTGAACTTTTGTATTTTTAATCACCAATGTGTTTACACATGAAAAATATGTAATATGATTTTGAGTCTTTCTTTTAAAAATTATCTAAATTCTGTTGCACTACACTGCGCTTCTGTTTCTTGAATTTTTTCACCCAACCTCTCAACATGTTGTTTTTTAAGTCTATCCATGTGGACCTAGTTTGTTTCTTTTTTTAATGGCATCTCAGTTTTTCTAAGATGGGAATTTAAGTTGTTCTCAAACTCTTAATACCACATATGATGAAATAAGAAGCACTATTGTATATGTATTTTGGATTTGGTACGTAAGTTTCTCTTGGGTGTATGTCTAGGGGTGTATGTTTTATTGAATTTTAGAATATGCACAGACTCACTTTCATAAAATATTGCCAGAGTACTCTGTAGGATGGCTGGCCAGGTTACATTCCTGCCAGCTGCACAAGTGAGACCCCATTTCCTTGTATGCTTCCTAGCATTTGATTCTGATATTTTGATTTGGGGCATTTAGTTTTTTTGTCTAGCAGTAATATTATAATGGTGACTATCATGAACATAAATGATTAGATCTATATCGTGAAGTTTAAGGAAAATAAAGACTATACATGGAATTAACTCTCAATATTTAGTAATGAAATGATTAAATTTAGGCCAGTTTTCCATTCTTGGCCACACCTCTTCCTGCTTCAAGATTGCCATTCCCCCTCATTTGTGTAATATGCTTAAAGAATCCAACAACTAAATAAAATATTTATAGAGAAATTTATAAAAACTAAATCCTCTGAAACCTAAAGTGAGAAATTACAAGTTAACAGTAACCTATTTGTCAGTTGTAAGATAACCTACTCTTACTCTGAGTTACTGGAAAGATACTCTTAGAGACAGACCATTTTCCAGTTGTCTTTCTTTCAAAGTTTGGAAAGTTTCAGAAAACTTCTGAAGTTTCTGGGAGCACTTTGAAATGAAGATAAGGTTCTGAGTCACCAAGTTCCATGGGAATTATAAAATTAAGAAAAATAAATATGTAGTTTATATTTTTGTTCCCTATTTGTGTGCCTTCTGTTTGTATTTATATTGGCATTCATGATAACTTTATAACCCCAACCTTCCTCTCTTCCTATTAGCTATGAATGCAAATATTTCCAATCAAAGTACTTCATTTCTGTTTATATTCCATGGTATCTATCAGTAGGTTATTGGAGTGTGCTCACTCAAATTCAGGTATTTCCACAACAAACAGGATTTTAAATAACTCTTTAAATAGCAACTTTAAACTACAAGTGATGAAATAACCAAAAAATATTTTTTGGAAAAAAAGAAAAAACCAAACAAGCACATGTAACTCAGAGATGGCTGTGAGTAAGGCATAAGACTGTGGATCGTTTGGCCTCTAATCTCTCCTCACCAGGGATTTGTGATAGTTTGATAGTCAGGGAGCTTGGTCTATCTCTCAGCTTATTTTATTTTTTTTGACTTTTTGGTGTTGGATCTCATTTTTTATCCCATTAATCCTATTGACTGAAAAAATAATGATCTACTAGGTTCTTTTAACTTCTAAGAAATATAGACATGCTCAGATTACCTTATTTAATGGGGTTTATTGTAATGATACCCCGGGAAACATGGAAGCATGAAACAGTTTCAACCACTAATCACTCAAGCTTCAAGGAAACTGCAATGTATTTTAGGATACAGTTAGGATACAGTTCTTAATAGCTCTGACATCCTATTACTCAGAAACTGAAAAACCTATTGCTCCCTATTCCATGGGCCATCTTTATGTTAACATCTCTTGCTATTTCTGCATCTACTTCTCCTGACACTTCTCCTTGAACCTTCTTTGTAAATGTCAAGTTCAAGTCTTTTCTCCAACAGGGTGGTATAGTTAATCATCATCCATTTTAGGCTTCACCTTCCCTTATCTACATATGAAGCTGGGTTCTTATATGAGTTTGCTTTCTAATTTGCTAACAGCCTCTAGTGTCTGCCTCTGGTTCAGCTGTTCATGCAGGTCCAAACATTGTGGCCACTGTACCAGCAATGCTTATGTGTGAACAAATGGTCATGGCAGGACTCTGAGACTGTCTTGAAGTAATCAATATAACTAGGAAGTATCTTGCTTGACCAGATGAATACAGACTACATCTGACTATTTTGTTAAACATGTAGGAGAGACTTACTTTAGCTGCAGGCATTTTCATGTCCAAGATGATTGTTTTCTAAGGGTTTCCTTCAAAGCTAGTATGGTCAATTTGAACTGGTTTTCCTGGAAGTTTCCAGGTTCAAGCATTGAAGGTTTCATATACTGGGAAATTCCTGTCCCAGGCATCTGGGGGGTGGGGGCGGGAGACTGGTTATACTAAAGCATATTCTTTCACATTTTTCTTCCTTCCTCCCTCCCTCTTTCCCCTCCTCTCTCTCTCCCTCCCCTCTCTCTCCCTCCCTTCCTCCCTCTCTTTTTCCTTCCTTCCTTCCTCCCTGTCTCCCTCCTTTCTGCTCTCCCTCTCCTCTCTCTCCCTCCCTTCCTTTATTTCTTCCACAAATGTTTATGAAGTACCTGTTATATCAATCTCTGTACTGGGTGGTGGAGAAATAGTGGGGAAGGGGACAGATATATCCTGTATTCTTTTTGAACTCACAGGTCTATAGTGGCAGACAGAACCTGAACAAGTAATTCTAAGTGTGATGAGCAAGTGGAAAAGCAAAGTGCAAGGTATCCTGGGGGAGAAGACTGGAACTTGGAAGAATCTACCTGGAGGAGAGTGGATAGTGAGGAAACAACTGAGAAAAGGACACTCTCATAAATTATATTCAAATGTGTGTGGGGGGCGGGAAGGGGACAGAGTGCTAATAAACAAGTGAACAAAGTGAGTGCTCTGAAACAAATCAAACTGGGTGATGAGGCAGCACCTTGACAAGCGGTCAGGTAGTCAGGTAGTCAGGGAATTTCTCTTAGGGGAGGCAATATTTTGGTTAAGACCTGCTTGGGAGGAAGGAGTTAGTCATCCGTAGTCATGAGAATGGAAAGGGGGCCAGTGTCACTGGCCTTAATGAGTGGTAGGAGATGAGGGAAGAGAAATAGACAGAGTCCAGATCACATAAAGTATCGAGTCTTAAAAGTCCATGATAAAAACTTGGATTTTATATTTTATAGCAGGTGTGATGGGAAGGGTTTTATGCAGAATAACCCGATCTCAATTCAAGGGATATTATTTTCCTTTATGTGTGAGACGGTTAAAGCCTGAAGAAGTAATACTAACTATAATACTTAAGCTGGAGAGATTATGAGGTTGACAGTATCAATGCCATTGAGAATTTAGGGAGAGGTAATAGCTTACGGAGAAAGAAATTTCAACATGTTAAGTTTAAGAGGGATAGTGAAGCATAAGAATTCCTGGTTAATAATTTTAATTTGAAGCTGGTTTTTAATGTAATATTTAGAGGTATTGTGTACTTCTACCAGTGGTTAAAGGTATGTGATTATATTAATTCCCCAGAACAATGTAAACAGAAATGAAAAAACAGAGAACCCAGGACGATATGAGAAGACAAGTCCAATTTGATGGTGTCAAATGTTTGAAATGTGTCTTTGAGGCATTTAAAATGGCAAAAATCCCTTGAGCTCAGCACATAATTATTGTCTAAAAATAATAGTCTACGTACTAAAACACTTTTAAGTCCCATATAGACCAACTATGAACAACCCTTATCTTAGGGAAGAGTCCCTGATTCTCAGACTTTTAAAGCAATACTAACTAGTTATCCCTGGAAACACACAAATTTCTACTTGGCCAATTACACAAAGTAGAGGACTACAAAATATTTTTTCAGAATGGAAAGATTTTATTTTATTTTTAAAATGAAATCTTTTCTCCATAAAAAGAAAAATATATTTATATGTGATTTAAAAATTAGTTTCTTTCTTTTTTATTTCAGTAGTTTTTGGGAAACAGGTGGTGTTTGGTTACATGGATAACTTCCTTAATGATGATTTCTGAGGTTTTGGTGCACCCATCACCTGAGCAGTATACACTGCACCCAATGTGTAGTCTTTTATACCTCACCCACTCCCACCCTTGCCCCCGAGTCCCCAGAGTCCATTATATCATTCTTATGCCTTTGTGTCCTCATGGCTTAGCTCCCACTTATAAGTGACAACATTCGATGTTTGGTTTTCCAGATTGGAAAGATTTTAAATGCAGTTTTAAAGAACACGTGCATTTTTAGTTTTAAAATGCTTCTTATCAGATATATAAGAAGAATAAGTTCTAGTATTCTGTACACTGTAGGATGACTCTCGTTAGCAAAAACATATTACATAATTTCAAATTGCTGCTTTTCTTTGAACAGCCTATTTTTGGTGAAAAGTAAAGTCCCTTTAGCAAGAAAAATTGGACAATTGACAATATCTTCCATTTCATGTGCACATGAATCAGAAAGGTCGAGCTGATGCTCAGCTCATCCTTCAGAAGGTTGACAAGGGAGCAGATCGAGAAGGAGAAAACATGGTAAATGAAGAAAGAAAAGAGGAACAAGTGAAGAGTGAAGGAATAGGGTTCTCAGCATAGGGAGAGCTAGCCTAAGGGGGTCTTCATGATCCACTTGGAGAGGCAGGGAGTGATTAATAATGGACTCATCCAAGAAGATTAGTAGAAACTAGGGCAGTCACGGAGAGAGGAGTGATAGGAAACTCCCCAACTTCCCATACTATGGTAACAGGTGCTCTGAGGACCATAAGGTATAGGTAGCATTTCTTCTGTGCAGATGATACAGGGGATGATATAACTTGTAAATAATCTCAGAGATAGTAAATACTGGAACAAGAGCTACAGCAATCATGTGTTCTTATTCTTAATTTTCCAGCAGAGTCACAATTTCAGATTTCTACTTAGTGGTACCCAAAGAACATTTTTATTTCTGAAACCATGTGTTTCAACTTACTAGAAGCTATGTGTTTTGGGTCCTGGTCCAGCACTCTTTTCACTATACTTACCACCTTATCTCTCAGAGGGAGTCTGTCAGATTTTGTAACTTTGACAGATATTATTCCATAAGAGGTTTACCCAATGGATATCTAACAGGGAAGTGAAATTCTTCTCACAGTTGGTATGATTTACTCTTAAATTATGAATGACCACTGGGCAACATATTTGAGATGGAAACTTATGTAATATGATTAAGCTATGTTCTCCAGAGTGGCATTCGTTTTACTTCAGCAATAAATACCAGAGAAAAACAATAATTGGTTTTGTATGGAAGAACAAGGGAAGTATTTTATCTTCCTAACTCAAGTGTTGGAACATTTTGGCAGTGTGGGCGAGAAGGATATTAGAAATAGGGCTGAAATGTAGTATATGTTAGAGAGAGAGAAAAGCCTTGGCCTCTTGCTAATCTACTTATCCTTCCGAGTGAGAATGCCACCACCTGTGATTTAGTATTTAGAAACTACTTTGACTTAAAAAATAAAAATTTAAGGAGCAGTCATTAATAATTTGGCCAAGAGGAATATCAAAGTTTGAAAATGATTCAAGAATACAACACAACAAAATTTGAAGCAAAGCATCTTGATTGGTGAGAAATTCAAATAGGTGCAGACCATATTTGTGAATAGTAGGCTGAGGAGAGGTAGCTTGTTTTGAATGTAGGTAATACACAAAATGAAGATGCTGATTATGAACAGTAAAAGCCTTTAGAAGTTTGGTAATTTTGAACTGAAAATTACATTAGTGGGCATACTCTCTGACTTTAAAAATATGCCTTGTGGAGAATGCCTTATCTAATGAGCTTTTTGCTAGAAACAGAGTGTCATGTAAGCTGGGAATAATTAGAAAAATAGGTCTTGTAGAGAATCTCTGATTTATAGGACTTTTTGCTGAACACAGATGGTTGGGTTTCTAGAAGACTCTTATTGAATGTCTTACTAGATAATGTAGAGGATTAAAAATTATCTCAGAGGTGCCTTTGCTCTCAAGAAGCTTATAGTCAAGTAATGAAGATAAGTCATACATGATGAGCTGATCAATCACTTTTTGACTTTTATCTTCTTGTATTTTCTGTGTTACATATTATGTAGCCAAAATGTGTTATCTAAATTTCTACCAAATACTAAACACATTTGAACCTTTTCTCAGATTTTTCACTTAGGAAACACTTTCTTCCCCCAATCTCTGCAAACCCAAATCCTACCAAACTTTCTGGGCCAGCATGCTGTTGTATTTGGCTAAGTTAGAAGAAAAGCTTTCATCATTAAGGAGGCTGAGAAATTAGACATTGTGTTGTCAGAATCACTGTCAGCCTGGATGCTGAAGTCACTGAGAACAGTGGCTGATTGTGGAGTGAAAAGGATGGCTATGAGCAAGTGGCTGATAAAATGAAAGAAGATGGAACTGTTTTAGAAACTAGTAGAGGATGGAACACAGCGAGGAAAAGGTGACTTAAATGGAAGTTTTCCCCTTAGAAGAACAGAGGTAATTGAGGGAGAATTGCAAGTGAGTAGTTTGAGAACAATGATTGGGAAGAAAGAGAAACTATTTTATCAGAAGCCCCAGGAGTGGGATATTCAAAACTGGATATGTGGCCGGGCGCAGTGGCTCACGCCTGTAATCCCAGCAATTTGGGAGGCTGAGGCGGGCGGATCACGAGGTCAGGAGATCGAGACCATCCTGGCTAACACGGTGAAACCTCGTCTCTACTAAAAATACAAAAAATTAGCCAGGCGTGGTGGCGGATGCCTGTAGTCCCAGCTACTCTGGAGGCTGAGGCAGGAGAATGGCGTGAACCCGGGAGGCGGAGCTTGCGATGAGCCGAGATCGCGCCACTGCCCTCCAGCCTGGGCAACAGAAGGAGACTCCGTCTCAGAAAAAAAAAAAAGACTGGATATGTAGCCATCTGCTTTGTGCTATCCCCAGAGGGTGGCCTGGTTACATTTAAGAGAGGGAGGTGGAAAGACCAATCAAATAAAATGTTCAGCCCATAGCTGTGCTAGGAGTTTGTTCCTGAATGAACAGGGCTTCCATAGAACAGAGTGGGAGGGATAGACTGGGTGGTTCAAGTGTTGGCATTGGAGGGACCTTGTGGTACAGATAAAAGAGGATGGAGGAAATTGGAAGGGGTGGAAGCATGCTCTGAGGATGCAGATAGCGAATAACTGGATTAGAAAGTGTAGTGGATTAGGAGAGAGCATAAAGGGATTTAATAAGAAAAGGAAGAAGTGAATGTGAAAGAAGTGACGTACATTTTTAAGTATGATTATTTACCAGACTTGAAATCAGTGAGCTGTAGATTTCAGTAACAACTATCAGCTAATAGAACTTTGAGGCTAGTGGCTTAATATGTTTAAGTCTATTTCTTAATCTGTAGAATGGAGATAATGACACTTGCTGGATATTTCTCACAGGTTGTCTTGAGAATCATATTAAATATGATCATATTTAATATTTAATATGATTTGATCATATTTAATATGATTATGTTAAACACATATTTTCTTGGGAAAAGGAATGTTATCATTTAAGTGAGATGACTTGATACATTATAAATTGCTGTTTAAACGTAACAATTAGAATTATTTTTATTGGAGAAATAAGGATTTATCAGCCCCAGAGTTCCAAGTAGATCACGAGTATGAATCAAAATTTTATTTTATGATGATATGCATCTGAAGAAATGACTTCCTCTACTCAGTAAATCAGCATTTCCTTCTTAGGTGAACTACACTATGTGAATAAGATTCAACCAAATTGCCACAGAGAATTGAATTCTGGAATCCAATGAAAGAAAGGAGATTAAAATTAGGGGGCTTTAAGAGCTGTAATTGTCTTTAGACCTTAGGGTCTTCTGGTAAGAAAAAAAAAGGAAAAAAATTATATCAATCTGCAGCTGTCTGCTTCATTCTTCCATAGACAGGCTGTTCATGTTATTGAAAATTGTTTCCAATACTATGTTCTGTGTTTAGGAAAAGGGTGCTAGAGGGGAGTAATTACAAGTACTCTGGCCTTTCATTTCAACCCAAGAATCTTAAGTGACAGCTGTTTGAGGGACTTGTCATTCAATTAAGTGGTTTGAGACTTTGCCAGTGGTTAAAAACCCTGTGGTTCATAGGAGTTTGCAGCCATGGGGCCGCGTAGTCTCACCAGAGCACTCGTGTTTCATTGCAAACCATTGCTTTCTTGGCCACAAGGATGCCGGACAGACGTCCTGACCACGATGTTTATTTCTTGAGGGCAAAAATCACAATGAAAATTGGACCCGAGTCTAAGAGTAAATGATTTTTTTCCCCTCTGAAATGTATAACATGGTAGTTAGAAATGAAATGATTGTAAATGTTTTTCATTCAGTGAGAAGATGCAGAAAGGGTTAGTAGGAGAGTGAGATTTTCTTTTTACTCTTTCTTTCCTCCCCATCAAATGGTGATTCTATTTCTAAATGATTTAAGTTTATCTTTCATAAATGATATTGCACTAGGTATACGTGGGATGAAAAGAAAGTGGAAAGCAAAGTACTTTGGAGAATTTGCAATGAGTAGGGGAGTTACAACTGATAACAATTTCAAGGCAATTCATAAGCCATGGTGGTACTGTTAAGTACCAATAGAGTTCAGAAGCGCCTGAGAGTTACGTAATGACCTCCCTCAAGTGAGATTCCTAAACAGCAATGGGAGAGAATGCACTCAGCGCATGCTTCCAATGGGATAGATATCCCTCCCCTGAACTAGGTCTCTAGGTGTCAGTCTGATCCATCTCTCTTCATTTCCTCTGTTTTGGTTGTCTTCTGCTTGGCTTTTTTTTTTTCTTGTGTAATACATATTAGAAGCCTAGTATTATTTATTAAGTCATTAGTCCTTTTATTTTCCATGGATACAATCTTGCTTTTTCCTTTGAGAACTAGTTAGGGTTGTCTTGACAAGTTCTATTTCATGGAATAAATTCCTAATCTTAAGGACTTTTAGAATATTATGCTAAAATCTTTTAAAGCAATATTACTAAGACCTTCAAAACCATTATAGATGTAATAAAGAGATTGATTTTGAGAACTTGTCCTATAGGCTAGTAGTGACAACACAAAATTTTCTTCCCTCAATTTTATGCAATTGCAATGTAAACATATTGGGTGAGTGTGATGGAACTAATGTAAGATAAAAATATTTAAGTATGAAAAGGCAAAATGAGGTTAACTTGCCCTAATCTTTTATGTCCTGCCTTGATGTCATCCAAATGACCTATTAGAATAAAATCGCCTTTATTTAAAATTTGGTGGTCAAGCAGGAAGCCTTTCTTATCAATGTCTGTCCTTGCACCAGGAATTAAAGAAGCCTACTCCCTCAGAACAAAGGACATTCCCATTCAAAAAATTGCCCCCATAACCCTAACCTGATACCTGTTTGCCTTTAAACCTTCCACAGTAGGTCATTCCTCAGGCACATGAAGGCATCTCCTCTCCCAGCTCCACATTTATCAGCAAAAAAAAGCAAACACCACCATTTCACAGGTACACAGTGTCTCCACACCTATTACAGTGGGGGCAGTGGTGACCTTACCCTGGCCCAAGCCACCCGTGAGGAGCCTTTGATGTGACCGGAGCCTCATGTTTTAATACAGTCTAAACATCTCACATTCAAACTGCATGAGTCCTCTTTCCAGCCATATTAGAAGTGATATCAAAGGCAGTCACATTTTAATGGTCTTTACCCTAAGACAGGGCAAGGGACCAGGGTAAGCTTGGTGAGGCTGTGTTTCTTCCCTGTTTTTACCTCTCCTGCCGTCTACATCCATCTTTCTGTCCCCAATTTATCTGCATGCCACATGTCTATCATGTGCAGGATAGACTGGTTCCGTGAAAAGAAAGAGCCCTCACAGAAAATAAGCCCACTTCCTTTTACAAGTTAAAAAAATATGCCACAGGGGGTAATTCTACATTGTCTTTTCCCAGCAGAGTGGGTGATGTTCATATTTGGGGTTAGGCACTTGGTGGATTTATAGCGCAGTGAGAGAGTTGTCACAAGAGGATGATAATTAGCAAGTGGACCAAGGAAACCAGGAGTTCCAACTTTCATTTTACAGGCTTATAGCTGGTGCTTGTTTGAGCAGGAAGAAAGTTTAACTGTCATATGGTACAAGAAATTTATTTTACAGATGAGGTTATTCTTGGTGTCAAATAGAGTGAAACTCTTAAGGAAAAAGATTCAGTGATCAAATTATGTCATGTATGGGATGGTGTTGAAAAACTTTGAGGAACTATCTTTCATTATAACACACACATGCACACGGAAGTTAAATCTTATGTAAAGACACCTTGAAGGTCATTTTTACTTATGGACTCACAGTAATAATAACAACACACATTTACTACCTGATTATATGCCTCATACTCTTCTAAGCACTTGATAGATTTAATTTATCTAGCCCTGATAGCAACTCTCTGAGGTAGGTACTATTACTCTCATTCCAATGGAAAATTGGAGGCAGAGAGAAGCTGAGTAACTAACTCAAGGTCACCCAGCTGGGAAGTGGCAGGGGTAGGACCCAACGCAGGAACTTGGCTGCTGTGTCTGTGCCCTAATCTACCACATCCTATTATATCTCTGGCAGTCTCTGACCAGATATGTAAGTTTTGTATTTTTTTACTAGTTTTAAAATTGAAATTATTAGACTCGATTTTTTTAAAAGAAAAATGCACTTCTATATTTGTGTTGCTATCATTGTGTCGGCACAATGACATACACGTATTAGACTGATCAGCTTCCGTGCTTCCCTGCCAAGCAACAATATTTACAAGAAAGAAAACCCATACAAAGTTCTGACTAAATTGTCCCATTTGTGTACTTCTCTGAGGGAAAAATGTCTATGGAAATTTCTTAACATGAATTTCTTTGAAATTGTTAAAGCCTTTTATTTATCAAACAGTGTAGACTGTTAAAACTTCCTCTCTGCTCCAAATTTTGGCCCAGTTGGTTAATCTTTCAGGAGTGTTGAAAACAGAGCTTTAATTAGCAATTTTATCAGTTAATCCAGTCACTCAGCTTCAGTTCTTATCTGAATCCTTGGTAGTGCCAGCACTTTGGGACATCAGAGAAAAGCCGGCTTGTCAGTGTGATAGTTGAGAGGACTTCTGTTGAGGAGAAAAAAGATCTCAGAAATGGACAGTATTAAATGGAATCTGATACCAATCCAAAAGAAGTGACCTCACCAACAGAACCTAGAATAGAACTTGGTTTCTCTTGCATGTCTCTGTAATCCTCTGTGGTATGTCACCTTTGTTAGGCAAGACAGAGTCTGCAGTCTTGAGGAGTGTGAAGATAGGACTTAAAACAAGTGAAATTTCCAAGCCAGTTAGTCACTGAGTTGAGCATAACCCTGGAGTGGCTCTTCACTATGCAAAACCAAAGAAGAGTTTGGAAAATTAACATAGGGCTCATAGAACTCAGTTTCCTGATGGAAATGAGAAAAATCTCAATGACATGAAGTCATTAATTTTTTGCCTTCTCTAATGCAATCCAATCAGGGAGGCTTGAATCTTCTTCCAAATTCATTTCATTTTTCCCTCTGGTATCCTTTATTGATTGCATTTCTATGAAACATCTTGTTTTTCTTGTATTTGAACTGTATTAAAATATATTATTACCTAGAAAGAAACCTTTACTTCTTCAGAAACAAAGAGCACTTAAGCTATAAAAAGAAGATCCATAATTTCATTATCTCAGCATGCGCCTGTTATCATTGCAACAGCAGAGCAAGTAACAGGGAAAAAAATTCCATAAGGGAGACATTGGAGCCAGGAGATATTTACGCTTGCCTAAGCAGTTCTGATGATTTGATAGTTGAAATGTTTATGCTTTTGTTCACTTAGATAACGTTCTTAGGACATCTATTTTAAACAACAGATAATCGTAGTTAGTACTGAGGGGGCTGACATAGTGGTCGTTTGTATCTGAGGATTATTAAAACAAACTTAGATGATTGTAGCATAGGGTGACTATTTTTGGTGAAGCAATACTTAGCATTTCATGCTAAAAATGATAGCGTTTTAGATTTATTATAAAACTACAGAAAAACACATTTTTCTTCAAAAGCAGAAGAGTGGAATATTAGAGCTTAAGGAAAATTTACTTTGTTTTTATTTTTCACTGGACTATGCTTGAAAAGTAAAGTTGGTATATGACTTTATTTTGTCTTTTGTTCAGTGTTCTTTCTTCTTCTTTATTGTTTGACCTAATTTTGAAGTGGCTAAAGTGCCAAAATCAAAGACCGGTTAAATTTTCTCTGAAGGCTATTGAATGTCATGCCATTATTCTAATAATAAGAGGTTTGTTTAGCTGCTTTGATTTCCACAAGCTCAATAGCCTTTTTTTTCTGAGGGAAAAAACACCTCTTGCCTAAATTTTTCTCACAACTAAGCAAGCTAGATATCATGCCAATCTCTGACTTGGAGCAAGTTGGAATGGCTGCTGCTTTCACTTACTTATTGAGATATAGGAAATTATGAGCAAATAAAATGCAGAACTCAGCTTAATAGGCTATATTAAGCTTGTGTACACAAACTCTATAGGAGATTTGAATCTTACACTTTGCTAGTTCCAATAATGAGACACTGGCAACACAATTCTTGGCTCTTTGTGGAGCTGAAGGTTTATCAGGATTTAATAAAAAGTACCAATTATATATTATATATCTCTATATAATGCTCTCTCTCTCTCTATATATATATGTGTGTGTGTGTGTGTGTGTGTGCGTGTGTGTGTACATAATTACCAATAACTTCAACCAGTTCTGAGCGAGTTTCAAGCATCTCTTTCGCTAACCATCACCTCATAATTTCCCAGCTCATGCCCTCTGGTACCCAGACTCCTCCATCTAACTGGAATGTATACTATGTTGATTCATCCACCTTTTCTTGTTCTTCCCTACTCATGTCCTCCCTTTCCTCCTTACCTGGCTTAAATTCTACCATTGTAATCACTTTCTTACATACACCTTTTCCCCTTTTCACTTTGATGTACTAACTTCTTGCCTGTTCTGATCCTGTGCAGCTATTGTGGCTGGAAAAATAGTCATAAGCAAGCTGACTGACTTCATTCAAAATTCATGCCCACTGGCCTCGAGTGAAACTTTAGATGACCTAGGGTCACCATCTTTTTACATTTCTCTACTCCTTTCACCCTCCCCATTGCCTAGGGAGGCAGTAGTTTTTAACCATGGAGATTTTGTCCCCGGGGGACATTTGGCAATACTGGAGATGTTTTTGGTTATCACAGTCTCGGGGAGGGAGTGCTACTGGCATCTAGGTGAGTAGAGATCAAAGATGCTTCTAAATAACCCCACGACAAAGAATTACTCTGCCCTAAATGTCTATAGTGCCAAGGTTGAGAATCCCTGAGTAGAGCATTTCGTATCTTCTCTTTCTTTAAACTTCCAACACTCTTTACTGTCTACACTTTCAGCTAATGATCTTAATTCTTTTTCAATCTGAGAAAATAAAAGCAGTTAAAAGAGACTTACTCGCTCAAACTCCCACTGGCATACTTGCCTACCTTCATATGTCTATGCCTTCCTTCCTGTTACGCTGGATACCCATCTCTGGTCCTACAGAGGGCTGATCCTTTTGCATGAGTACTCTTCAATCAGGGACAGAGTTCCAAGCTCTGGAAGGGTGACACTCTGTGTTTGCCAAGACCACCCTGCTTTTAAACCCAACAACATTGAAAGGCAGCCCACAAATCTGAGGGGCATCACTTTGAGAGACATTCTGGTTATACAAGATGATGGTGACTACTGGACTGCCTGTTAATGACTAAACTGAACTCTAGTAACATGCTACTATCTTTTGACTCCTATTTTTCAGGTTATATCTACTACAAAGAATATAATCTGGGAAGGAGTTTCTGAGAACTACTAGGAATCTAGGAATTCAAACTGTGTGGTGTAAGTCTCAGTGTGCAACTGTAAATACTGGTGATCAAATGCTTTGAAAGATTCCTGGTTATAACAGACAAGCTATAATGGTAGCATGCCCAACATACCACAGTGTACTCTGCACTAATGCATGTTACCATCACTTTTGTGGATGGAAAGCTATTAAGCAGAATAGGGAAAAATTCTGAAGTTCCTGATGGGATCAAAATAGTGGGCATTGCATGGTAGATCTGAGTTCCCCTGAGGAGTGGCCCCACCCTGAGACAGGAATATTGTGGCCTTATGGCACACTCAAACTGAATGGTATTTTGATCTGACCACCACTCATCTAACCCCAGGATTATGTTGCACCCATCATTTTGGGGTACAAAATATGTACTCCAATTCTACTCAGGCCATTAACATGATTTGGCAATAACACGCATGGTAGATTAAACAGCACTGGCCCACAAGACAGAAAAGGGCCTTCGAGGAGACAGGTGCTGGTCTAGGTATCTTGGGACAAAGATAATTTGCTTTTAATGAGGAGTGGTATTTTGAGGAAAATGATTTATTAGCTAGAATAAACAGATTAGAGAAGTTTCCTTCCAGGAGGAGGCAAAGGATGGAAGTCACCCTGGAAAGATAATTAGCAAAGTGGGTCTGGCAGATTCAACAACTAATGCCAGATAGTGCTAAATCTACTCTTGGGAAACAGCTTGTACCCTGACCCAATAGGGCCTCTTGACTATTTTAATTCAAATGAAGGATGAAGTGTTCATGGGGCAGTGACCCTCTATTCTAGTTGCTGAAGCATGAGGGCCTCACCTTTGGGAATCTTATGGCCCTCCAAACTTATGGAAGTTCTCTGGGGGCACTCGAATTTGCATCATTATAGTGTGACTGACTTTGCCCCCAGAATAGGTTGAAAATAAAACACTATTTAGGATAGGAGCTATTCTAAATATCACTTGTGTCCTGCCTGTGGGAGGGAGGTGGCCCCTGCTACATAACAATACAAAATGGTAATCAGACTCAATATAGTCTGTGGGATGAGACAGGGTGGTTGACTTTGTCCCCAGTTAACTTGGAACCGAGAAATAACTGAACAATGGCCAATTGTAACAATGTCTGTTTTTAATAAGATCTAGTATATGGGCAAGTGTTGATTCTGTTAAGAAGATAAAGCAAATGCCTCTGTAGTTCTTACTGATCTGTTCTGTAATGAAACTGAAATATACTGTGACCATACTGCAATATGGTATAATACTGGTGTTGTTGGTAATATTCAACTACCTCATGTAAACAAGTCTTATGATAATACTGATATTGATGATTAATTATATTGAGAGATTGAGTTACATCCTGCTCAGGATGTAATACCTATAGAAAATGGCTGATCTGAGGAAGAACTTGATACAGCTAGCCTAAAGCTGATTTCTAGGATAAATAGTTCAGTACAAGCTTATCATAAGATACAAATAGCAGTAGACCAGGGGAAAACAAGAATAACAAATTAGTACAAGCATACAAAGATATAAATTATGGTTTTATAGGTCAAATTAGTTGTTTCTTTGAACTGGCTTCTCCAAATGTGAGCCATATTCATTTTGGTACCATTGCTACATCTATTCTATGAGTGCTGCATCAAATATAAATGTTCTGACAGGCATAATCAGTTTGCTGTAAAGGATATGTGTCAAAGACCAGGGGGTGACCTGTGGTATGATAAGAAAAATATTTGGTCTTTGTCTCTGGTTCCTGGCACAGAGCCAAAACCCTTAGAATTTTCTGAGTGATTAGATTGATAGGAGCATCTTTTGTTCTAATGAAGTGCCTCTTGAAGCTTCCCTAGAGAGATTTAGGATGGGGCCTGTAACCTGAAGGACTAAATCTTGATTAGAAGCTTGGAACTTTCAGTTCCAACCCCCAACCCCTGGGAAGGATAAAGGGGCTGGAGACTGATTTAATCACCAATGGCCACAATCATGGTTGGGTAATGAAACCTCCATGAAAAACCCTAAATGATGGGGTTTGGGAGCTTTGAGTTGGCAGACACACCCAAGTGCCAGGAGGCTGGTGCACCCCAACTCCATGGGGACAGAAGCCCCCTTCTGTGCTTGAGACCCTTCCAGACTTCTTCCTATATGCCTCTTCATCTGGCTATTCATTTGCATCCTTTGTCATAAACTGAAGTAGTAAGTGCAGTGTTTTCCTGAGTCCTGTGAGTCTTAGCAGATTATTGAACCTGAAGTGGAGGGATTGTGGGAACCTCTGACTTTGTAACCAAGTCAGACAGAAGTGTGAGTGAGCTGGGTACCTGATATATGTGTAAGCAGCATCTGAAGTGAGGGCATTCTTTTGGGACTGAGTCTTTAAACCTGTGGAGTCTGACACTAGCTCTGAGTAGTTAGTGTCAGAATTGGATTAAATTTTAGGAAGCCTAGTTGGTGCTAGAGAATTGGACAATTGGTTGGCATGAGGAAAAAACCACCCACTCTGCATCTGTGCAACCTCTCAACACTGAGTGCCTTACGGCTCAGCCCTGGATCTCCTAAGTTCTCTGCCAACACTTGTTTCTAACTGGAGATTGCATCCCGTATCATGGTTTTAATTATCATCCATATGTTCTGGACTCCCAGTTTTGGATTACTGGCCTGAATTTTATCTTCACTTCCAGGCTCTTTATCCAGGTACCTTCTCTGTATATCCACTTGGATTTCTAATATGTATCTCAAGCTTAGCAAACCAAACTCCTGTTCTTATCTCCCTAAACGTCTTTCATAGTTTTTCTCAAAAAATGGTATGTTCATCCTTCCAGTTGCTATAGCCTAAAACCTTGGTGTTACTCTGGTCCTTTTTTTTGTGATCTCACATGCCACATTTAATCTATCAGCAAATTCCATGAGCTCTGCCTTTAAAACATCAGACTTTGACAACTTCTCACCATCCCCACTACTACCATTCTGATCAAGCCTCCATCATCTTTCACTTTTTTTTAAACAAAAAAATCTATATTCCTCTATAATCATATAAGCTTCCTAAGTCTTATAATCTTTTTTTGGGGAGGGGGGGGCTCTGTTTTGTTCACTGCTATGTCCTTTGCATCGAGAACAGTTCTGGGCACATGGTAGATATATGGCACATGTGTTAGAAGAATAAATGAATAAGAAAATTGTATCTTAATCATACAAACCATTCAGTGAAATAACATCTTGCTGGCTTAAGAAAAAACCCTAAGTGACAGTATTAAGGCAATAATGCTTTAGTAAAAACAGTGGGGAGTGGGGAAAAAGAAAACAACAGCTGTTGACAATTTACTCTGTTCAGGTACTATGCTAGTTTCTTTATATACATATTAAATTAAATATTTACGTTTATTCCTGTGATGTGGGTATTCAATAATTTTATAGAAATAGTAACTAAGACTCACAGAAGTAAAACTATAGCTAAAGGTCACATGATTGCTAAGCAGAATAGACACATCTTAAAGCTAATACTGATTCAAAATATCATAAACTTTTTATGTTATCATGCATTTTAAAAAGAAGCTGGGAAATGCTAAGAGATACTGAGATGGGTTATTAGTGCCATACCACCCTTTGATAGGCATTATTGAGTTCTGATCTTTTTTCTATGCTTTCTTAAACATATTTTTATCTTTAAATAATCATGTATCACAGAATTTAGATAACATTCATAGGAAAATAAGAATCAAGTATTTAATGAGCATTAAGTGTCCTATTAATTATATTACATTCTTTATTTTAGGTTCTCTTGTTGGGAAAACCTTTTCAAGCCTATATTATATACAGTGAAATAACATTGAAATGTGGCAGGATCATTTTTTGAAGCTGTAGAAAAGCTATTTTTGTGACTTAAATAGTTTTCTAAAGTTGCATTGAATTATGTATTTTGATAGCCTCTGTTTTCTGTCTTACTGTAAGTATGCACTATACAAACTATAGTGTAACAATATTTACTTTCATTTGAATTTGTTGCTGGGCCCATGAAGATGTTTCCTGACCCTTACCCTTATAAACTTCCAAAGGAGTTTGTGTGTACCCTATTAACAGAGAAAGTGAAAAAGTAGATAGTATTCAATTAGTTCAGTTGATGATGAAGACATGTTCCCCTTTAGAAGAAGGATATTTTATAAGTCTTACAATAAATTAATTTATATTTTATTTTTGACTTTATCATTATCAATTTGGGGCAAAAATTAATCATTTTGTATGCTAATAGAGGTCAATGACTAGATGCCAATATCCGATGATTCACACTAATCCTTTTATTTTGTAATGTTTTAAAGGACATTTATTACCTTTCACAGTATATCTTTCTATGGGATATGAGAAAGGTTTATCACATGGAAGACACTCAAAGATATTAACTTACATGGGGTTGAACAGCACAAAATCAGTGGTTCATTACTTTGAATATTAGCTGTAAGTCAACAAATAACTGTGATGAAGAAAAATGCTCTTTTTCACAATAATGGCATCACAAAGGTCTTTGGATCATATACTGTCTAATATCAAAAAATGAAAGTTATATAAAATAGTAAAAATTTGAAAGCATGGTCTAACCACAGCTTGGGATCCTAGTCATTAAAAATTATAATATTGGAGGATTCCATGAACATGAGAAATTGTTTACAATATAGTGCCAAGTAAAAAGGCTATAAGATAATGTGTGCAATAAGGTATGCCTTCATATACATATGAAAATATATATTCATATTTGCACATAAAAATGTTGAGTGCTTATGCTTGAGATGTGATGTATTTCTTCAGGTTACTGTGGTAACTCCATTAATTTTGCTGAGTTTAATTTGCTGAATTGCCAGCTGTGAGGTGGCAGGATGGGGTGGGGGCTATTCCACATAGTCATTCAAAGATTCAGGCTGATGTAGACTCTACAGTCATTAGCTTGGGATTTTCAGTGTTTGCTGGGCATTGTCAATCAACTGCAGACGGGAAAGGAGGGAGAGAAGATCTTTGGAGGGTTTTATGGGCCAGGCTAAAAGTGGAGCAAATCACTTCTGTTGCATTAGCCAGAACTCAGTGGCATGGCCACAAGTAATTGTAAGAAGGATAGAAAGTATGGTCTGTTTTTATGCTCAGGAGAAAAATAAAATGGATTTTGGTGAGCACATAATAGTCTCTGCCTCAGGTGAGATCCTGAGTAATATGTTTAGTCATTCTCAGGCTTTGCTCTGTTTATAAGTGGTTGTTGGATTTCTGTTTCTCTGCTTAAGTGACAGAGCAACATATATCATCACTCGATTTTGTATCAGTTCTCATTACTATTGCTACCACCAGAAAGTGAGGCTGACATCAGGGTTCTATATGAGGGACCTACCTCAGACACTACCTGGGATTGGCTTTTTAATATGACATTGGTCCACTCATACTCTGCTGTATCAACCATTATTTCATTGTACATAGGAATCTTTACAACTTGCCATCAATCTCTTGAACATCATAAACCATGAGCCATAATAACATGTGACCACAAGAATATGATGGCCAACTGCAGGCACATAAGTTTTCTCTACTTAGTGCATAGTAGGTGTTAGAGTAATATCGATTGATTGATTGATTGATTGATAGTCTTCCTGAATTTTTCTGAGTGCTTTTCTTTCCCTAGTTTATAAGCTGGGATCCCCTAAAGGCAGAGACATTACTTTTGTTCTGTAAATCTCTGTTGGTATATACTTGGCTGATTGACTTTTTAGACTCCTTCTGCTGTATGATGGGCTTCTGTTGCTCAGACCAACAACAAGCTTATGTGGATAAGGCCAAATGGAATGATCTCTGGGTTTAGAGGTAGAAGACCCAGGTTCTAGTTAAGCCTGGGAAATAATCAGCTTTCTGACAGATCCATGGACACAGTGGTGTTTTCTAAACTTTTTTGGATGATTTAGGCAAGTAATATTTCCTCTCTGTCTTCTATTTCTTAATCTGTAAAATGAGGCTAATAATACTAAAACACCTACTGTTTCTCTGATATAACTGTGAAAATCAAATTGCTCCTAGTTTTCACTTATGAACATAAAGGATGTATGTAACATATCTAGACTTTAGAAATATGAACTTCCATAGTATTCAATTAAATCCTGCTGGATAGTCTCTCTAGACACATTCTTTAGGCTTGTCCATTTGGCTCTGTCATCCAGAAGGCTGATCTCTGTGAATTATTTATTGGCTAGGCTCCCTTGACCTATGGGTTAGCTCAAAAGCACCAACAAGAGATTAGATGGCTAGAGGAAAGAGAATTGGGGTATTTATTCCACAGCTGTATCTTTGCAGGATTGCAGGGTGTCAGTTGCTGTGTTCCTTTACCAAAAGCCAAAATTCCTATTTGGAGGGCTCTCCTACAGTTACAGCTTTCACCAAGTTTCTAGAATTGTTCTTTCCCCTGACCTTGCAAGCCTAAGGGTGGTAGTGGTCTTAAGGTTGCTAACCCTTGGGTGTTTTTCAATCATCCCTTATGGTTGTCTTAAACCCTGCTTACATATTTGTAAGTGGCCGCTTCATTAATTTCAGATCAATCACCCCTTTTGTGTGTGCTATCTGTATCCTACTGAGATTCTGACCCATGAAGAGATTTCTTCAGAGCTGGAAGGAAAGTTCATATTCCCTTATGTGCATTATACAGTAGCAACATGTGCTGAGTCTACATACAGGAAATGGAAAAAAATTCCTGACATTTAGGGTCTTAAAATTTCATAGATGTCATAAACTTTGAATAAACAACGAAAAAGCATATAAATACTGAGACATTTCAGATGCAAATTATTTATAAGTTGTGCAAATATTGTGTATGCCCAATAATAAAAGACATCACACACCGGGACCTGTTATGGGGTTGGGGGAGGGGGGAGGGATAACATTAGGAGAAACACCTAACGTAAATGACAAGTTAATGGGTGCGGTACACCAACATGGCACATATATACATATGTAACAAACCTGCACATTGTGCACATGTACCCTAGAACTTAAAGTATAAAATAAACAAATAAATAAAAGACATTAACATTATGCATGCAACTGTGTATATTCAGGCCAGCTCCTAAACAGAAATCTCTCCAATTTTTTCCTGCTTGGGAACTTTTGGTCAGCTCCTCAAATAAGTTGCAATTTTCCTCTCAAGACTTCACCTTTGGTGCCCTTTCTTCAAAATGTTTCTCTGACATAATATAGTGGTTCAATGTATAATTAGGTTGACCCTACATCCCAGTTTGACTGAGAATTTCAACTTAGTTAAATACCAGTTTAATTATTAGGAGTACCCCCTACACTCTTAGAAGTTTCCCAGTTTAGAAGATAAATTGTGTACAATGGTCTTTTACTAAGACCATTGAGAGATCTTGGAGTATAAGCTTGTATAACCTGGGAAGTTTCAAATACATGGTCTCATTTGGCTATGCTGCTTCTTGATGATCTGTGGTATTTGGTTTGTTTCCGTGGTTGGTTACCAAAGCATGGTAGACATAATTTATTGGTCACTTAATTTTTCTCTTTTTTTGCCCCAGTTTTAACAATTCCAGGTTGAAATAGCTTTTTCTGCAGGCTTATATAAGTCCTGCATTCTTTCGTAAAGCAGCAAAGTTCTTTGCTTTCTTAACTACAAGCTGTTCTCTCATAGTTTGAATTAGAGTACATTTTTCTTCTTCGTGTAGAAGTTGCTCTGAATCATTTTTTTCTTTGCTTTCTGTGTCGCATCCTGTTCTCCAGGTTTAAATGTATCAGGATGCTTCTGGGTTTCTCTGTGCAGCATGTAGCATTTGTTTCTTACTTTCCAAATTCCTCATGTTTTTGAACTCTATTTCTCTAAAAAGCCTAAATTTTACTTTATGATTGTACTCCCTCCTTAAAGTCATAAGTACAATTATCCCACATTTTGCTCAATATAAACATTCATAAATTTAAAGCTAACTTTGTATTATAATTGGGTCAAACCTGGGAGATGGTAGAATTTTGATCCCTTTTAGGATTCTGAGGAGAGGAGTTTTCCCCAAGATACCTCATTGAAGGTTTCTGAAATATGAAGTCATAGGTAGAATTTTATCTTTTACAGTCACTACCACCTAGTCAGAGATAGAAAGCTTATTCTAAGATAGAATGCATGGATGTTAAATAATCTGGCAACTGCATGGAGTTTTCCCTCTAGCAAATAGCAAGTAGTCATGAAACAATATCATCGATAAAATGTTTTATCTTTTCAAAGATATTGATGAAGCATGAAAATATCTACTGCCATCATTTACCTCAGCTTTTATGTATTTTTAAAATAGTTTGATTAGTTAAAAGGCTTATTTTGTCATTTATTTATCCATTTACTCATATAGTCAAGAAGTATTTATTGAGCACTTAGAGTATGTCAGGCACTGTAGTGGATAGTGAGGATACAACGGTGAATGAGAAATATACAATCATTGCTCTCAGGGAGCTTATAGGGTCATGGAACACAAATAGATGCCAAAAGAATAGTGTGATGAGGAAAGTACAGATGTAAAAGATGCATCTTTCTGAGAGCTAGGGATCAGACAAAGCTTCTTGAAAAAAGTCCAGTCCAAGCAGTGCCTGAGAAGTGTGAGTTATCTCGGACAGAAGTGGAGAGGCCTGGGAGAAGGAAAAGGGCAGAAAGTGTTACAGGGAGGGAGGATAGTATATGTAAAGGTTCTCTGGTCAGGGTGGTCAGGGAGAACAGGGCACATTAAGGAAATAAATAGTTTGGCTGGAATATAGAGGGTAACAGGTGGAGAGAGGTGAGAATGAGGCAGAAGATAAGTAGGGGCTATAGGATGTAAGTCAAGATAAGGAGATGGGACCTAGTGGTGAGGGTAATACAGACCTATGAGTAATTTGTCATTCAGATATTCTAGGATCTGGCCAAACGTACTTTTCTGGGATAGAGTCTTACCATTTATCAATATGTGCTCCAGGGTTCAGTTGAAGTAGACCAGGAGTTGTTGCTCTTTGAAAGGGCTTTCCCATCCATGTCTGTAGACTGTCTTCTCCATTCAACTCTCATTGATTTTCATGGTCAGGAAAGACCTTCTTTCTGTTTTGAACTCCCACAATTTTGTGTACTTCTTTTATGAGCCTTACTCCATAGCTTTTATGTTTATGACATAGCTTCCTGCTAGATAGCATCTTGAGGGCAAGGGTTTGTCTTATTTATCCATTTTACCTCTGATAGTGAATATCTAAGAATTAATATAATTTTATTTGGTTCATACTCACCTCCATTGAATTTGTTACAGTTTGGAAGCGTCAACCTCACACAATCAAGACACCGGACTTTTTAGATCTTCTTCCTTTTCTCTAGCCTAAGTATAGTTGCAATATTCTTATTCTTGGTAGACAGGGAGTTAAAATGATCATCAGGCCTCTGTGACCTCAGTGGAGAAAAAGATAGACCAGTAGCAACTGGGCCTTTAGGGAGCAGTGACAGTAGGTTACTCTTTTTCTATGGCAGTGACTGGCCACATCACCACCTTGAATTGGAGCAGGGGGAGGAAAAAAGAACTGATGCAAAGTATAGATAAGCAAACTGGTAGAGAGCCCACTGAGCAAAGTCTTTGGACTCCCAGATCTATTTGGGAAGAATTGGAAGGAGACTTGAGTTTTCGTGAAACAGGTGAGGTTAAGCTGAAGAAATATTTTTATAAGGCTGCATTTGTGTTCCAGGTTTTACCCCTGGCATGGTGTGCATGGTAAATATAAATCACCTACATTATATTTTATTTGTTTCCCAAAATGCACTATAAATGTCCTCCAGGAGAGAGATCCTAACCCTATAAGACTTTTGAGCTGCATGGTTAGGGAAGCACAGGTCCCTCCTGGAGTGGGATTAGGAGCTGGGGTGCTATAGCAATATGACATTGCAGAACCTGTCACCAGGTCTAAAATGCCAGCTCACCTTAACAGCTGTGGTAGGTGGCACCAGCCTTTTTTCCAAGGGTAATTGGTTCTGGGGTTCAAACTGCAGTTGCAACTGTGAGAAGTGGCAAACTCTCAGCTAGATTAACCTCATCAGCATTAACGAGAGCACCAGGACTTTTCCAACCTGATAGGGAGCTAGGGTCCAAATCTTGCCATTAATTGTTTTAATTGTTTTCAGCACTTGGCCTAGCTATTTTCCATGGAGCTTTTCAGGAGGCCAATCTCATCTGAAAGGTCAGCCTACAGGAGTCAGATCTTAGACAAGTCATCCCCTATCTCTCTTGCTTTCTAAGCACATGAAGTTAAAAATGTTGAAAATGCTTTATTGCCTTTTTATCTAGGATTTAAATATTTCATTCTGCTTGTACAATGCTTAGCTCTGTAACAGTCACAACTGAGTTCTTAGTTTTCTTTTAACTTAAAAACTTGTATTTTTTCTTACTACAAATGTAATAGTGCTCAATAGAAAAACTGAAAAATTCGGATAAGATTAAAGAAGAAATTAAAACAGAAGTAGTATTCTTCAACAGCATTTTTCCCTCTTTCTCTCTCTCTCTCTAGAAAAAAAATACAAATATACACACAAATGTATAAATGTGTATATATACATTTGTGTGTCTATTATAGACTGTAGGCTTCATATAAAATGATATCAGATGTTTGAATATTGATGGTTACACATAGGAATTTCATTCACATGGATGTGAATAGATATGACAACCTTGGATAATATTAGGAGTTATTTATGGTTAGATTATTTAATTAGATTACTTATGGAATTAGGTGAGAAGCTTTTGCAACCCAAAATAAAGAAGGCCCACATAAATAGTAGAACAGTTTTGGTGACAATCAGTTAAATATTAAAAGAATTATAAAGCACTGAGATAATTCTATCAAATAATAATCTTACTAATTAAGAAATTGTGTCTAATGATACAGAAAGCCCATACTATCTGAAAAGCAATCATATGACAAGGGTTACCATGAGATAATGACTTGCATCATGCCAAATAGGTTCAATAATGTAGTGGACATCTTTTTCTATGTTGGCTAAGGCTCTTAGGTATGTCAGCATAACTGAAAAGAACCTCAAACTGGAGTTTTGCTGTTCTGTTTGGGGAGAAAACACTTTGTTGGGCAGAACTCCTGAGAGTTAGCTTATTAAGCCTTATTAATAAGCATATAATTAATTATTTATAATAATTGTTTACTGTTAATTAATAGTTAATAATTATTAAGCATATTATTAATTAATGCCTAAGGAGTTACGATTCTTTTCTTTAAGGAAAGGAGTTTGGGCACAATTTGTGTTGGATAAAAGCATGTTGTTTGAGAAAGCATAATTAAAATGAATTTCAATTTGTCTTTCTTATAATTGAAGGTTTTTAAGAAAAATGTAAGTCACAGGAAAAACACTGACTTCCAACTATGTAAAAAGAAAATCACATGAATGAATGAAAGGAGTAATTTGTTGGGGGAAGATGAGGCAATTCTTTGACAATGCAGAGAAATCATCAAAATGCTGTTCTTGAATGGCAAAATTTCTTGGTGGCTGCCCAGCTTATATGGCATATCATTGATATTTAAGATTATTGTTATTGACAGTGCATGGGTTCTGGACAAAAGCACTGCCTTGAGAACTGAAATTTAAATTAAACCACTTCCTAACACTGAAGAAATGATGGCTTTTAAGAGTGCCAAAATGACTCAAGATGAGCTGCCTACAAAGAACTTGAAAAAAGCAATTTCAAAGTTGCCTTCAAGATAAAATTTTGCAAAGGATGAGTAAGATATTTTAGATAAAAAGTTCATTTTCTTGAGTAATTTGACATCTGGTATGTGAAGAGCTTATTTATATAGAATGCGATATGTAGAATTAAGGTAGTGTTCCATATAAGAACATTTTAATATGTCAGTGCTTTTAACTTTAGACATTTTTATTATGCATCACATACCTAACTAGTGATTTCAAGTACAAAAACATTGGAAAATGATTTAATTCTTTTTGATTAAATCTTTTGGATTTGGAGCCACAGTGTGAATTAGCAGCTATTACTCTAGCATAGAAACAATGCTCTAGAAAACTACTGAAGTAGATATTTTTATTTTTTAATTCTTTCCTAGAAAAATGAGAACTTACAGACCGTATCTTTCTTGTCTTTATTATCAATATGATTTATCACTGTTGCTGTGGTATAATACTACCACTAAGGTACAGTTTCTAGGAATCAAACAACATTTTTTTTCCTAAGAGATTCTGAGAGCAATATTGCCTCTCTAGGAGAGTAAAATGTATATATTTTTGGTATGTTTTGCTGTTTGAGGCCTTCCAACTTTATGTATGTGTTCTGGTTAACTAAAGAGTTACAAGCAAAAATAAGTTACACAAAAATAAGTGAGTCTTTTATTATTTACCTTTTCCAGGAAAAGCTTCTCTATAATTACTTTGAAAATCTTAAAAAGGTCCAGTGCCAACCAGCTGTTAAGATTTTTGGCCATTGTTAGATAAATCCACAGAAAAATGAGAATATTGTTTGAACCTAATTTAATATTTAAATCTATTTGCAGTTTATTGACATTGACAAGTAGAAAGATTATTTGGAATTTTTCTGAATTGATGATATAAGCAAACACAACATAACTAAGTGCTCTTAAATTTTAACTTGTTTGTATTGTACTCTGTAAAATGCTGTACACTATTTTCATTGTGTAATGCTAGATTTCACTGGCACTCACTTTATCTGTGGTATCTGAATAACACTAGCTGTGACATATCATGGTCGAATTTATTATTTTTTCTTTTACATGTGGTGAAAATTTGATTACATGGGTTTGAATCCAAATTTTTTGTTTCTTATTCCTCATCAAACAAGTATTTGTATTTTAATTTTTTGCTTAGCAAGAATCTAGCCTGATTAATTTACTCTGGGTTCTTGTGTAATATGTGAGGCCTAGATAATGAAGTTTGCTGACTTTGTCACAGGTCTGCTTATTCTAGTGCATCTTTCCTGCTGACATTTGTCAAATCTCTGCCATTAGGTCGTTCTTTAAGTATCATTATCAGCTCATGTTGGTGACTCCACATTACAAATATTGTGCCTATGAGTGTTAACAACTCATATTTCTGAATGGTGCAAGTTTTGTTAGTGAGCATGGTCCTGAGGAAATGGATGGGAGAAGAACTATGTTTTGATCGGGATTTGAGATAGGACAGTTTGGACATAAGTGGCTGCCCCAAAGGCTGTTGAATGTGGCACATTTGCATGAGCACATAACCCATTTGTGTTTTTTTGTGACCCCCATCTTCTTTCTTCCCTGTCTCCTCTCAGAGGTAGCTGTTATCCTGAAATTTGTGTTTCTCATTTCCTTAAGGGTTACAGCTTACCATGTTTAGTTTTGCATGCTTTTGGATTTTGTGGAAATGGAGTCATAATTTGGTAACTTACTTTTATAACTGAACATTATGTTGGGTTCCTGAGATTCATTCACGATAATGTGTATAACTGTGGTTTATTCATTTTTAATGCTATTATTGTATTAATTGAATATGCAACAATTTATCTATGAACATATTTAGATTTATCTATAAGTATGCATACTTATAGATATAACCCTTGATATTTTAGGCTTTAAGATTTTTGGTAGTCTGATGGGTATCTCACGGTGGTTTAAATGTTCAGTTTTTCAATTATAGTTAAAATTGTGATTTGTTTCATGTTTATTGTCAAGTTGTGGTTTTCTTTGTGTCCTTCATAAACAACAACTTTTGCCTCATTTCAAAAGGAATAGTTTTATAACAGAAGTTTGCTTTGGAAAATTGCTCATTCTTTTATAATCTTATGCTTTTCACAAAGAAGTTTCTTAAAGAAGCTTGATGAATTTTTAACTCGAAAATACTGCCAGCATGGTAAGTTTTGTTAGAATTTTTTTTTTTTTTGGTGATCTTTAAGTTCAATTTAGGTTAATTCTCAAGTAAGTATGTTGATTAAAATGAAAAATTTTAAGTTGAAATTGCTTTTATGAGTTTCTTAAGATGTGTTTTGATGCATTTACTTTGTGAGATACGTTTGATGTAAGAAGTGGTTTTCACGGGATCAGTAACTGCAATTCTGGCACCCTTTTTCTTCTCTGTAGTGTGAATAGAAAAGTAGCTGCTGTTTCAATGTGATGTAAATATGTCACTGGGGATTGTTTATTGTTTTTCTATTTCTTTAATATGTCATATTAAAGAGACATCATTATGTGGACAGCTGAGTGATGTCCTCAGTATTTCTATATGGTTGTCTCAATTTGTACTAAGACTTACCCCACCACTCCTTGTTGCTTGTGTCATTTTTGCTTGTTAGAATGAGTGGTCCTCTTATAAGAAACTCTAGCTGAGTATGCTTTAATTTGGCAGGTAAGAGCTCATTAGCTCTAGAACAAAAATTATTTGGTTTTAAGTCTCCCCAAATCACCAAATCAAAGCCATTTAGGCAGATTATTCTTGGCCTTTGGTCATGCTTCCTTAGTTCTGAATTGCTAGAAATCCCTTGTGTATGCTCCATCTCTTGAAGAAGGGCAGTGAAAAAGAGAAATCTTTTTCTCCTAGATGATCTTTCTTGTATAAAAATGACTTTCAAATTTGCCTATGTTTGGCAGCCAATTTCTTTCTATATATTTAAAAAAAAACTCCGAAAATATCTACATCCTCCAATTTTCATCTTTATTTTGTTATAATCTGTCCCATCATCTTAGAGCAGTCTTCTAAATTTCTAGTAGAAATTACTATTTACTATTTCTAGTAGTAAAATCTTTTCAGCCTTTATTCTATAAAATACCAACACTTCAATATAAATTCCTTATATGGAATCAGGGCACATATGTTGTAAATAAACTCAGAATTGCTATTCTTATTTGAAATATAGAAGGCGATTACATGAAGGAATCACATCTTGTATATTGTTTAGATGATCTAAACCACAGCATCTCATATGTAGTTTCATAAAAGTTGTGGGTACATTAGATCGCGTTGATGTCCTGCTTTCAAACTGCAGACATGAGAAGTAGATGCTTAAATAAGAAAACATTTACTGTAATTATAGAAATAGAGGATGAGAAAACCCCGGGTGGCTGCTGTGCTCCTCACCTGGCCCCTCCTGGGAAATACAGAAAAAGAAAAATGAGGGATCAGGAGAGAGCCTGGACACAGCCCTAGGCTAGGATTTACGAGAAGTAAACAGCTTCTGACCTGAACTTGAAATTCTAGCATCTGTCTCTCACAGAGAGGCAAACACGTTCGAGTTCTATAACATTTCTTTACAGTTCTCTTTAATAGGCAGGCCTCTCTCATTTCAGTATCTTGACACAAGCTCAATTCTCAGTTACTCTTTATGTCTTAGTTCAAATATTACTTCCTCATTGAGATATTCCCTGATTACTGAAGAAAGGCTTGGGTATCCCTTTTCTAGCTCCCTGGGCATGTTTCATATACATCTAATGATCAAAGGCACTCTTTCCATAGTCTTTTGCAGAACTCTACTTGAGTTTCTTCTCAAAACAAAGCAACAAACTCCCAAACCTGTTTTGTGATCAATAATTAGAAAAAACTCTACACTCTAGACTTCTATTACATATTTCTTATGCACATTTGAGTATTAAAGGCCCTGAGAAGTAATTAAGGAAAGAAATTTGTTTTTATTCAATGTTTCCAGAATTAATTGACCATGAAACATGTCTTTTGAGAAATATCTGCCTACAGATTCCTCTGAAACAAGGGTAGGAAATGTCTTATTGTGTTGTGATTTGTTTTCTTTGTACTGCCTCTCTGCTAGACCATAATTATTTCTATCATCAGTGCTGGGTCCAGTGACTGGCACATAGTAGGCCCTTAATGAAATTATTTGCTAAATAGAAACATGGGAGAGAAGATGGTAATGATTCCTATGTTTGAAGCTAGGGTAGCTAGCATGGTAATTTGTTGTTGCATAACAAACCACCCTAAAATTTAGTAGCATGAAACAACTTTTGTTTTAAATGCTCCTGTTGTTGTGAGTTTGGAATTCATAAAACGCACACTGGGGACAACTCCCCTCTGCTTCATGACTTCTAAGGTTTTTCCTGTGAGGATGCAAATGACAGGGGTACCCAGAATGGGTGGAGGCTGGGAGGGTTGGGCTGGAAGAACTACTTCCAAGATGGTCTCATAACTCACAGGAGAGGCTGGACCACCTACCTATGGCCTCTCCAGCATGGCAAACTTAACATTGTTGGACATTTTGCCTCAGGGCTCCAAAAACACGTGTTCCCAAAGACCAAGGAAGAAACTGCAGAATTTTTTTTTAATTACTAAGTCTGAGAAATCTCAGGTATGTCAAAAAATCTGTAGCAAAGGTTCAAACTGCCACAGAACTTCTGAGGATAGGGATGCCACTAATTGACATAAGGGATTCAGGAGAAAAGAGACTTTGCTGAGTAGCAGAGAGTGTGTAAGTGTGAGACACACATGAGCAACCAAGTGGAGAGACCAGGGGCAGTTGGGAGAATGTATCTGGAGCTTGGGAGAGACATGGGAGTTGAAAATGAGGGCTGGGTTTATACCATGTGGGTTGACACTGCAAGCATAAATGAAATTCTCTAGGGAGACTTTGCAGAGAAGGAGAGGAAAAAAGGCTCGGATACATGGGTAATGCCAACATTTATGGGGAAACTGAAGGAAATGGAGCAGGGAAGGGAGCTTAGAAACTGCAGCCACAGATCGGGGAGCAGTAGGACAGAGCGGTTCTGAGCAACCCAGGCAAGAGTTTCAAGAGCGCGCTGGTCACCAGCGTCACATGCCTCAGAGAAGTCAAGAGACCTGAGAAGTGTCCATTGGATTGATCCGGCAATTATGGAATCTTTTATTAATAGTAAGGATATTTTGGTGAGGAGGGATGGGTGGGGACCAGAGGCGGCAGAGGTGGGTGGAGATAGGGTGGGATGGGGGAGTTGTAGGAATGGGGTTTGTGGCTGGAAGATGCAGGGTGGGGCTGAGGGAGGAAGCAGATTGAGTGAAGATGGGCTCCACTTTCACAGTTGGGCTCCATTCTGGTGGTGAGAGTGCCGTTTCTCTCCCTGAAAAACCCTTTCCTTGTGATTTCGCTGGAGAGTCACATGGCACCTCATTCACAGTTGTTCAAAATGTGTAAAAGTCATTGAATGGAAAAAAGCTTTTAGGAGCACAAGGCAGCCAGGACTGATCACATAATGGCCCAAACATGTGACACATCTGTAGATAACACTGAAGCCACAGCCAGTAACAGCTCTGGAATCTGCCAGGGAGTAGCCGCTGTGAAGAGCAAATACATTTCCTCTGTTTGGCATCTGCTGGCTGCTGAGAAGGGCAGTTAGCAAAGTCAGTTTTCCTGAAGGGTTAAGAGTCATGAAGGCTCTGTTATTACAGAGATATGTTCACATATGGGGAGTGAATAAGAACTGTTGGCACAGGGAAATGTTATGTCACCTTACACATCCTACTAGTCCTCCAGACATTTCTCTTTCAGGAAAAGGCAAATGCAATCCTACAAAAGAAACAATTTTTTTTCAATATTTTCAATTTTGTGGGAATTTAATGTGACTGTTGGAAAAAATGTGTTACAGTTGATAAACTGTAATTAAACAAATGAATATACATAAAAGAATTAGAATAGTGCTTGTTCTAAGAACAAAGACCACATGAATGTAAAGCATTATTATTAACATCATATTATTATTATGTTCTAGCTTTAAATACAGGATTACAGTTCAATTTGAAGGAATTTTTTCTTTTTTTGTTTTCTGCATTTCATGATAGATAAATTTCATATTTTGGGCTTTTTCAAGAAATATTTTAAAGATGGGAGTAAAATTAGTTTACCATGAAGTAAGAGCCATTACCCGAAAACAGAGTAACAACAATCCATGTGTACTCAAAATAAATACTAAATTTGACAACTAAGTGGGTGTATCTAACCTAAGTGGATGTCTTTTGTGGCTGGTGGGCTTTGATTTCAGTGACTTGTTTTTTGACTCTGAATATCCAGCTTGAGAAGGCATCCCTTTAGGAAGAGTGGTGTGCTCAAATGATAAAATGTATGGGTGTAAAGTGATCTGACTTGAAGGCCTACTGAAAATTAGGAGCCCCATTGTACAGCTCTGGTCTCTTTTGCTCTCTTGGAGAGAGAGAATGCTAGCAAGTTCAGGTCAGAAGCTGTTTACTTACTAGCAGATCCTAGCCTGGGGCTGTGTCCAGGCTCTGTCCTGATTTCTCATTTTTCTTTTTCCTGTGTTTCCCAAGAGGAGCCAGGTGAAGAGCATGACAGCCGCCTAGGGAGGTCTAAGGTGGGATCTAAGGGGATTATCTTAGTCCTTTATTCTTATTCTGACAATAAAATCTTGTCTTACCAAAATCTTCTTCCCATGCCTTTACTTTGAAAGTAGGATTCCAATTTGATTCAGAGCTCACAAAAATTTGATATAAATCCACATCAAGCTGTGGATTACAAGCTAGGGTAAAAGTAGAAGATGTGATTTTTGACTTCAAGAAGTTCACAATATATTTCAGATAAGAATGAAGACCACAGCCATATATATAATATATTTGTAGATGAAATATATGTTCACTTGGAAACATAAAGTGTTTATTTTGAAATATAAGTTGTTTTATCTGAAAAATAGTAGGAGATTTATATAAGCTTGGAAGGATGTTTTAGGAAGGTGGGATAGACTATGGTGGAATAAATGTAGATGTGGAGTAATTATATGTGGAGTAACTATATGTAGAATAATTAATTAGAGACAAAGGCTTGTTTTAAAAAATTGTTCCATTAGAAATAGGCTTTCAAAGTATTTTGGACAGAAGTAATTTTGGGCAAACTAAAAAGGAGCATAGGTACAATTAGTCAATCTCATGAATGCAATCACTGTTTTTTCTTTTACTTTAAAAAAAAATTTTTTTAGCACTTTTCTAAGTTGAGGACCAAGTTGAAATGGTCACCTGTTGTGGTAAGAAGGGATGTTTTGGCCTGACAGATATATGGACTTGCAATTCTAGAGAACATAAGTAGGGTGGTCTCTGATCTTTAAGTATAGAGGATTTAATTTAATCACAGGGACAAGCAATGTGTTTTGCACATGGCAGGTGTTCAGTAAGTGCTTGTTGTTCATAATGTAACTCACTTCTGAATTTGTAAGGGTTTCATTGATCCTAAATTCCTAAAATGCCTTTTTGTTCTCTTGGTTTTTGTGCTTTCTGACATTGAACTGAGTCTTAGATCTTCTTCGGGCTGTGCATGCATGTTTGAAAACCTCCTAGGAGCTGTAATGCTATGCTTATATTGGGAAAATGTCATAGATATGGGTATTTCCTTCTGCTGCCTAGAAAAATAAAGCCTGCAGTAAGATTTTCTGTCTTTACGTATGAATTCAGGTGATATGTCTCTGAATATTGGTCTTCAGTAATTTTCAAGACTAAGGTCTCTTACCTTCCATAATGATATGGAAGTCAGCTGTTTCTAAAACTCAGTTTTGTGAGACTTAGAACAGAACTAGTTTCTAAGGAATTCTTATGTCTCTGAAACCCATGTCCCTGTTGGTCTAGCAATTAGATTTGGGGGTCTTTAAGTAATGAGGCAAGACCTATTGGTGGTTAGTAAGCATTAGTAGTAAACTCAACTGTTGAAGTGAAATTTTGGCAAGATCAAATGGAGTACCAGATTATTTCTAAATTAATTTTTGATTATCCAGACCAATGGAAATGCACCAAGAGACCAAGGAATATTACAGGGGAAAAAGAAACTCACTCACTCATTCTATCAATCGATCATCTATATACATATATGTATATATTCCACACACATACTCTTAGAATTTGAGTGACTCCAGAAAGAAAATAATGTACCATATTGGGCTTCACATCTACAATATTTATATCCATATTAGCCATCATTAATAGTAGCAATATTTTACAGGGGGCAGGAAATTGGTGATCAATGAGATAATTTTTACCATCATGGTGGACCATGTACAAGATGGTGATACAAGATACTATACTCAGTTAATGGTCCAAAGAAAAGTAAGTTCAATGTAGTAGTCACTAGCCTTGTGTGGCTACTGAGCACTAAAATGTGGCTAGTGAAATTGAGGAACTAAATTTTAAATTTTATTTGATTATAATTATTTTAAATAAAAAACCTGGCAGTTGGTTTAGTTATTGGAAAATTTTTATGCATGTTTGAAACAACTTGGTCATATCAATTTATTTTTTAACTGTAAGTTTTATGAAATCCAAATATAGAGCAAATATTTCCTATGAAAATTTAGTATCTGAATTGAGGTGTGCTATATGTGTAAAACATGCCCTGGATTTTGGAAACAGTACAAAAATATAAATTATCTTATTAATAATCCTTTTACATTTGATATGATAATATTTATCATCTCAATTTACATATCTTATTCACTAGGAAATGACGGAGCAACTGAAGATTTTTGAAAAAGGATATTTTATGGGGGCTAATTTTGTTTTATTTGAATGGAGATTATTGAACAGCCAACCAGTTAGGATAATATGATATTCATGGTGTAATGAGGGCCTGATTTCAACTGAGTGGTGTTACTGGAAACAGATCTAATGATAATAATGAGAATAATGATGGCTAATACTTATTAAATGATTATTTTGTGCCAAGAATTATGCTAAATATTTTGTATGAGTTATATAACCCTCATAATTCATCTTTGAGGTAGCTGCTATTGTCCCCATTTTACAGCTGAGGAAAGTGAAGAACATAAGTTAAACAACTTGACCAAGATCATACAACTGGTAAGAGGTGATGCTAGAATTTGGCTGAACTAATGATATTGCCGGTAATGATTACTGATAAATAAACATTGTTTTCAACTTAATGTCACTAGCTGCATTAACCCCTAACAGAAAGGTCAGCCTGTTCTTTGAAACTCTGAAGCCAGGCATTAACTTCTCTCTAGCTATGAAAGTCCTAGACGACATCTTTTTCCAATAGAAAGCTATTTTGTCTACACTGAAAATTTGTTGTTTGATGTAACCACCTTCATCAGTTATTCTAGTTAGGTTTTCTAGAGAACTTGCTGCAGCTTCTCCATCTGCACTTGTTGCTTCATCTCCACTTTTACATAATGGAGACAGCTTCTTTCCTTAAACCCCATGAACAAACCTCTGCTAACTTGCAACTTATCTTCTGCAGCTTCCTCACTTCTCTCAGCCTTCATACAATTGAAAACAGTCTTCCTTTGGATTAGGCTTTGGCTTAAGGGAATGTTGTGGCTGGTTTGATTTTCCCAGGCTGCTCAAACTTTCTTTGTATCAGCAATAAGGCCGTTTTGCATTCTCATCATTTGTGTGTTTACTGGAGTAGTGCCTTTAATGTCCTTCAAGAACTTTTCCTTTGCATTCACAGCTTGATTGTTTGGCTTAAAAGACCTAGCTTTTGGTCTGTCTTGATTTTGACAAGGCTTCCTCAGTAAGCTTAATCATTTTTAGCATTTCTAGCTTTTGATTTAAAGTGAGATATGTGCAACTCTTCCTTTCACTTGAACATGTAAAGGCCATTGTAGGACAATTAATAATTGTCCTAAATTCAATATTTTTGTATCTCAGGGAATAGAGATCCCTGAGGAGAGGGAGAGAGAGAGACAGGGGAATGGCTGGTTGGTGGAGCAGTCAGAACAAGCACAACATCCATGGATTAAGTTTGCTATCTTCTACGGTCACAGTTTGTGGAGCCCCTAAAAGATTACAATAATCACATCAGAGATCACTGATTACAGATCACTGCAATAAAAATAATAATGGAAAAGCTGGAAATATTGTGAGAATTGCCAAAATGTGACACACTGGCACATTGATACAGAGACACGAAGTGAGCACATGCTATTGGAAAAATAGGCCGATAGACTTGCTCGATGCAGGGTTGCCACAAACCCTTAATTTATTTAAAAAATACAGTATCAGCAAAGGTTAATATAACAAGGCATACCTTCATTTGACAATACTACCAAGATGACTTGTAAAACTTTAGGGTGATTCCTTTTTTTCTCTGTATGTGTATGTTAAAAACAGAGGTATCTTTTAGTGACAAGAACAAAGCCTTCAGTTTCCAGGCTTGCCATGGGCCAAGCTTCAGATTCTCTGACTTTTGTTATCTCTAAAATGGGAAACTATTTATATATTCCATGCCTACCACTAAATTGTTTTGAGAATTGAATAAGTTAATATACATGATTGTGTGATTTTAGTTTGAAAAATGATACAATTAAATATAAATATAAATTGATGATATTATTAAGTACATGAAGTTCTAAAATATGATAAGGTAATTCACTGGATATTCAAGCAACATTATTCAAAGGAAGATCAAAATAAACAATTCAGATTTAGAAAAAGGACCTTAAAAACTTAAGTGATATTGTCCACAGTCACATAATGTTCTAACAGAACAGAATTTTGGCATTTTGGGGTTCCCAGTGGTTCCTTTAGTCAATAGAGTCTTGATGCCTCAAACATCAGATAATATAAAACCTGCACCTACTACCATGTTTAAAAAGACATATACCATATAGAGTGATTTCCTGTTTCACTTTGTGTGTATACATGCACGTGCATTTATGTGCATATACATGTGTGTCTGAATTCTTTTATGAATGAAATTAAACATGGAATTAAGAAGCTCATATTAGGGATTTATCATTAATCAGAAACTTCCTACGAAAAGGTCTATGCAGATGCAGTCCAACTTTGACAGCTGTTTTGTGTACAAATCAGTATGAGGTAATTTAATTTTTATATCATAACACAGAAGAACTGTAGATCATGGATGGCCTCCTATATTATAAAAAATTACATTTTGTAAAATTATGTTATTGAATGTGTTTCATTATATTTTACTGAAAACTTATAATCTATATATATTATTGCTATGATTTTGTTTACAACCAATATTACATTTTTATTTAAAAGTAATTTAAAATTTATTCTTTTTAGAAATATTCTTTCATTTGAACAAACTGTTTTCTGTGTTGGCTGAGCATTTTGTAATATCAAACTTTCCCTACATGAACAATATCAATTGTATGAGAAACAGTGTAGTTTAGATGAGTCTCAGTGTAAAAATTAAAGAAAAAAAAAGAAAAAGAAGCTAAGGATGAAGGCCTGAGGAGTGGTAGGGGACACTCTGATGTGCTGTGTAGAAGCCCCCTTTTGGGACCAAACACTCATCCCATCAGGGATCTGCTGAGTACCTGTCTGGAAATTGTCCTCTGCCAATATGTGCCACTTTATTCAAAGTTACACACCTTGCCGTGGGGCAGCCCACGTTCAATGGCTGATCAACACAGGATGAAAAAGCTCAGCCTCCTTTTCTCACTTTGGGACCACTCCGAAGAGATGATTTCATCTTCAAATCTTCCTGAGGCATTGGCTACAGCCTTTCATCAGCTGCATCACAGATCAATGTTTCTTTCTGCCCAATCTTGTTTCCCTCATTCCTTTGCAGGTATTGTCCTTGAGGTGCTTCTCAATAAGCCTCCTGCACAGGAATCCCTCTATCACAGTCTATTTCCCCAAGTTACTCAATCTAAGAGACAGAAGAATACGTTTTTAAAACTCAATCCTGTCAAGTAAATGGAAACTTCTGAACTGAGGAGAAAGATACTCATAGAGGTTTTGGAAACCTGCTTAATCATCATTATGGTTTTGATCAGTGTCCTCACCCAAATCTCACGCTGAATTGTAATCCCCAATGTTGGAGGTGGGGCATGGTGGGAGGTGATCGGATCATAGGGTTGGATTTCCTCCGTGGCACTGTATCACAATAGTGAGTGAGTTCTTGTGAAATGTGGTTATTTAGAAGTGTGTGGCACATTCCCTCTTTTTCCTGCTCCAACCATGTGAGACCACTTGCTCCTCCTTGCTTTCTGCCATGATTGTTAATTCCTGGAGGCACCACCAGAAGCTGATGCCACTATGCTTCCTGTACATCCTGCAGAACCATGAGCCAATTAAACCTCTTTTCTTTGTAAATTACCCAGTCTCAGGTATTTCTGTATAGCAATGCAAGAAGAGACTAATACAATCATGCTGATAGTGGATATCCTTTTCTCTTTTTGGAATACCAGAAGATGGAGGCTGTTATTTTGCAAGGGTGGTTAGGGAAGTTTTTTTCTGATAAAGTGAGAGTTGAGTAGAGACCTGACAAAAAGGAAGGAGCAAGGGTTATAGCTTTCTGGAAAGAAGAGTGTTCCAGAGAAAGAGAATATCAAGTACAAAGACCACTAGGTCTTTGGTTGCATACTCCAGCAATGGCAGAGACTCATTCCAGTGTGTGGCTGGGGCAGAATAAGCAAAGAGGAGAACTGTATAGGAGATACAGTCCATAAGGCAAGTATGTTAGACCATGTAACACCCTATGCCATTATATGACTGGATTTTACTTTGAGATGGGAAGACATTGGAGGAATTTGAATAGAGAATTAACTTAATCTGATTTATGGTTTAAAAGTTCCCACTGGTTAGTATTTGAGATTAGATTTATGGAACAAAAATGAAAGGCAAATAGGAAGATATAAGAATAATCCAGGTGAGAGATGTTTCTGCTAAACCAGCATGATAGAGGAAAATGTGATAAAAAGTGTTTGCATTCTGAGTATTAGAATCAACAGGATCTGCCGATGGATTGGATGTGGGGTGTAAAAGAAAGAAATGAGTCTAGGATGACTGTAAGATTTTTTGGTCTGAACAATTAGAAAGATGAAGTTTCAATTTTTTGAAATGGGGAAGAACAGAGCAGACGAAATGGGAAAGAATGGTAAACACACATGAAAAAGGGAAGATCAGAACAGATTTTCTGGGGAGGCCAAAATCAGGAGTTTTGTTTGGAGCATTTGGAGAGTCTATGTAGCCATCCAAGGGGAGATGTCAAGTAAGCAGTAAGCGATGAGTCTATACAGTTCAGGGCAACATGCAGGCTGGAAGTATAACTTTGGGGTTATTGATAATATACTTGGTATGCAAAGCAAGAAACTGGATGAGGTCCTTAGGACATGAGTATAGACAGAAAAGTCTGGACACTGAGCCCTAGGGTGCTCCAACATTTACAGGTTAGGGAGATGAGAAAAAGCAAAAATACTAAAAAGAAGTTGCCAGTATGGTTGGAGGAAAAAAAAATGTAGTCTCCTGGAAACCAAGTGAGAAAATTGTTTTAAGGATTAGGGAGTGGTCAAGAATCTCAAATACTACTTTTAGGTCAAGTAAGATGACCTGGAAAATGTCCATTGGATTTAGCAACATGGTGGTTCCTAGTGACTTTAACAAGAACTGTGTCTCTGAAGTGTTGAGGAATAAAGACTGACTACACAGTACAGAAGGGAATTTTGATAAAGGAAAGGAAGACAGTGAGTATTGACACATCCTTTGAATAGCTGTGCTGTAAAAGAAAGCAGATAAATAAAATCTGAAAGGAGACATGGGGTCAATAAAGTTTTTTGATTTTCTTTTGTTTTTCAAAGGGAATGTAAGGTGCTTGTATGCAGATGTAGGAGAGAGGGGAGAATTACTGGAGCAATATTATCAGGCAAAAAAGAGAGAGTGGGATCTTGTGCACCAGTCGAGGAGTTGGCCTTTGGTAGGAACAGCTGTAGTAATAAGAATGGTATTAGATTGAATAAGCTGATACCATGAAATAGTAACCTATATACCAAATTGTTACTTGGGTTTTTAAAATTAAAAAAATGCATCCTTTAACATATTAAGCACTGTCATTATCAGTAGAAAATAATTGGAAAACAAAACTGCATTGAGGTACCATTTTTCACTCATCTGACTGGAAAAGATGGAAATGTTTGCTAGTACACTGTATAGGAAGAATGTGGAGAAACTGTTACTCTCATATGCTGTTGGCAGGAGTGTAATTGGTAATTTTTCAAATATTTATTAAATTTACAAATGTAAAATGCACCCGGTGCCAGAAATTACACTGCTAGTTTGTTCTACAGATATACTTACATATGTGGGAAGTGGCATTTATTCAAGATTATTTATTGCAGCACAGTTTGTAATAGGAGAGAATGACAGACAATTTAAATATTTATCCATAGCAGACTGATGTATAAATCGTGGTGCATCCATATAATGAAATTAGATATAGCTATAAAGCAGGGATAGGATAGCCCTTTATCTATTGATAAAAAGAGACCTCTGAGTAGTATTGTTGAGTAGTAATAAAACAAGGTATAGAAGAGTGTGTACAGCCTAAATGATTTGTGAAAAAATCATATATATATGTGAGTCACACACATACAGATACATATATAGGCTTGCATATGCCTAAATATCTCCAGAAAGATACACAAAATCTTTTAAAAACATATTACATGGAGGGCACTTTACTAGTTCATTTTTCATATGATGACCTATTTCAATAATAATGTCTATTTCTGTAAAATATATGGGAAATAAATAAAATAAAATGTTTGTGACAATACTGTTCAACTAGCAGCTGAATATTTTAATTATAAACAGCTCCCAATTTTAAATCTAAAGAAGTCAGATAATTAAAATGTTTTATATTTGATGTATCAAACAACCTATTTCACATTTTAAACAAGAGTTTACAATGTTATCATTTGTAACTTTTACTTTGAGTGATACATTTTAATAAAGGATAACTGAATTTCATAATACATGGTCTGTGCTCTAAATACTTTAATAAATTCTCTATTAATGTTATCAATTACATTTAAACTATGCTCAATAATATATTCAAATATATTATTCCTAATATAATACTAATAAAATATTAAATATATTGGTAAACAGCATCAATTTTAATCCTCCTAAATTTATCTTAGATTTAGATTTTTTACAGATATCTATCTATATCTATCTATCTATCTATCTATCTTTCTATCTATCTATCTATCTGTCTAATTCCTTTATTGTTGCAATCTTACATGGAAAACAGACTATATAGCTACTTGAAAGTGTAGTGCAATTCTTCCAATTTAAATCTGTTTTTTGATTCAGTTACATTTCTTTCAGATTCTGGGCAATTGAAATCTTGCTTTGTTCTATATATTAAGCCTACAGAAATGTAGAAAAGCCATGGCCATTTTGTTTTTCCTTCAGTTACTTAAGTTTGCTCATAGTTTTAACCCTTTTTTTAGGGGTGGGAAACGGGGACTTTACTATGATGAATATGTCACAACAAATGCATGTTAAAAATCATATTTGAGAATAATCCTGTTAGATTAAGTGATATCAAATTAGACAATGCTAAATATTTACACATTTTGGAATGTAGGATTCTGTTTTTTTAATGTTATTGACTATACTTTCTAAGGTGCCACTTGTCAAACTTATTTCTAGGAGTCAACAAATGCTGTTAATTTCCAGATTTATAACATACAGTCTTGAAACACTATAGTGGTATCTTTTGTCAGAACAAAGTACTAGTTGACAATTCAAAGAAATACCTTTTTCTGAATGGTGTATTGTTAAGAGGAAATACTTGTGAACAAAAGGTGGAAATCACCGAACTAGGAATCAGGTATCACAGGTTGAGAACAAGAGTAGTGAATAGAATATATGGGCAAAGTCTAACGGCTTGAATGACAGCTCAAAGACAAGATGGGATTTCACCCATTTTCAAAACATTACTTTTGTGTTCTACTTTAAAGTACCTGGCTGTCTCTCTTTAATTCAAATGATAGTAAATATTCAGTGCCTCAGCATATATATGAGCTTCCATTTGTTCAAGGGTGGTAGAAGTATTCATGTTTTACTGGACTTCATTCAGGAACTAGATCCTTTAAAAAGATTCACATTCTAAGATGTATTTTACAGATTATAGATCTATAATTTATAGATTAGTTCTTTACATGTATATGCTGTAACTGTTTTATTTTTCCTCATTGAAAATACTAGGATTGTGAAATAGAGACAAAATATAGTCAAATCTAAGGTAATCAAATTATTAATCTACCTCTAATAGCTAAGGTCAAGAAATACAAACACCTGTTAATATGTTAAGGTATGTAAATAATCAATTCTGCCTATTTAATTCTGAAAATATTCATAGAAATATTTTATACTCCCCCTTTGTAAAGGTGCTCTTTAATCAAATTCATCTGTAATCATCTATCTAAGTATTACTAATTAGGGCAGTTCTAGAGACCTGAAACACCCTTGCAATACTACTGTAAAAAATCACTAGGTAATTTAAAGACACGTATTATTTTGAGTGATGACTTTGTGAATGAAAGATAAATATCACATTATCAGGAAGCAAATACCCAGGAGGAGATAATGCAAAGTAGGGAAAAAGACTACAAATTTGAAAGCTATCTCAAAAACACAATTTGGGGCAATTATAACCTATAATTTCTCTTTTGGGGCAGTGGCAAATCAAACTAATACAGGACCAGGTTACACAAAATGAAATAACATGGGTTTTGGGTGGAAGTTGAGATAAGATTTTGGAGTTGAAGATTATTTTTATAATAGGAATTTTATTTATTTTACTGAATAATTAGACTACAAGAAAAGTTGGCTTAAATTATAGTCTATCACAAAATTTTAATAGATGAAATTAAATAGAAAATTAGTATAATGAGAGATGTCATCCTCAAAATATTTAAACAAATAACTTGTGAATGTTTCCTATAAGGTAGATTAAAATGAAAGTAACAACAAAATTATTCTTCTGTGATGAGTTTAAACACTTCAGCAATTACTTTATCTGAGTAAACTTCTATTTCAGTGTCTGAATATTCTCCTTGCAGGGAACTAGGATGGAACCTACATATGACACTTATTTGAAAAGAAACCCATCTTCAAACTATAGATTTACTGAGAAAAGGCTAGTACTCTGTTGGACTTTGGAAGACATGACTTTTGGTACGTATGTATTTGTGAATTTTAGAGCAAACAAAAGGAAACTTTGAGATCCTAGAGTCACTGCTGTTGGAAATAACCTTGGTAGACATGTACTATGCCTCATTTTGATAAGGGAAGTAAACTCACTCCAGAGGGATTAAATACTTTTCTCAGGATCATGTAGCTAGTTAACGGCAGTTCTAGTTTTAACTAGGACTTCCTAACTGTCTTCTGAGATGGTGGCTCCTCCAGAGCATCACTCAGATTTATCTGCACTCTTGCATTCTTGTGATTGTCACCCTGCCCATGCTTTCGCCATTTCTTATGGGGTCGACTGCCACAGTGCTGTTTCTGTGACGTAATAAAAAGGGAGGTCATTGTGCATTTCATTCTTTGGCGGCCTGTCCTACTGTACCATTAGCAAGCTCAGTAAGATGGAAATGAGATGGCAGGATGAAGATAGATGGTCCTCTAGGCTTTCATCTTCTCTTCCATCCATCCATCTGTAAGACATTCTTCCTTCCTGCTTTTACACTCACCCCTCCAGTGGCCTGCACTGTATGCTTTCCATCTTTTCCATTTTAAGACTGTCTGAATGTTCATTTTCACTTGATTCTATATCATAAAATGCCCCATATTTTTTGGAAGTAGAGATGACAGGATGATTTTAGTTAAAATATGTCTGAGGACTCATCTCTTCCAAGTTTGGCCCCATCTGTGATGTCCACATATGCTGATACCCCATCTCCAAACTATCCCCTACAGAACTCTCAGGTTAATCTTAAAGCACAGATTTCTCTGGTGTCATTCTTATTCTTAAAAGTATAAATTTACTCTCAATACTTATAGACATAATTCCTTAGTTGGATATTTAAGATTTTCCACAATTTCTTCCCTAAGTTCTGTGACATCTCTAGCCACTCATCTCAATGAACACACTATTCCAGTCCTAGTTGTATTATTACTTCTGTCTATTCAATAAACTATTTTTCCAGGCTCTTTTTTTAAAGACATTGTTCCTGGTGTTGAGAATGTCATGACAGGTGAATATTAACCACTAATGTTGGCGATAAAGAACCCTACCCAGTCAATATTGCCAACAATATCTCCATTACTATTATTATTTACCAGGGTAGGTAAATAATATTAACACATACTATAACTTACATGTGCAGAAAAATGTAACATTAATTTTATCTATAATTAATCTAATCTCCCTACTGAGCCCTACTCTTCAGATAGCAGAAAACTCTCTGAACCTGGGTCCCCCTCTCTCCAAAGTAATGAGACTAAATGTTCAAATGTGTTTAAACCTTACTCTGGTCCTATAATTTAAATACTCCACTTAGGTAAAGTTCAATCTTTCTAGGAGCAAATGCTCAGTCTCTTAAAAGTTTAAATCTTCTGTTCTTCCTCCTGGTTCCTTTCTAAGATGGTATCTGTTCAATGGGTGAGGACAAGGGAGTGGTATGTATCAGAAAGAAAAACTAGGAGTCCTTGGGCAAGGTGTCCCTTGTTTCTCTGGTCTGTGGGCTAATGTCCCACGCCTACATGGTTGTTATTTGTCTTGCTCGTATTTGCAGCTGAAATCAGTGGTTGGTGTTCCTCTTGGTACTCCCAGGAACATTCACTTGCATCCTATCTAATGATGGTGCCCCAGACCCCTTTAAGTCCACTCTGGGTGATGTACTTTGCCTCCCTTAACAGAGAGCCTCCCAACTCCCCAACATCTGTAAATTCTCCACTCAGATTCAGTTCTATTTTTGCTACTTGGAATGATAGCCGAGGAAAACCACACTTCAGGATTTCTCTCTGCCTGACTGTAATGCATTAATTTCTTCACTTTTCTGGGCCACCCTCTTGTTGTGGGGCTCCCTGTACTGAGTCCTAAATTAGGAATGTACACAAAAGACCTGACCGAGCTTCTCTATGCTAATTCGTTTATCTAACCTGTCTTCCATTTCCAGGGCAAAATTGGGACCATGTCTTGTCTACTGGTATGTCTCTCTCTTTCTCAGTTCATACATTGTAGTCTGAAGAGAATAGCTTTCCTCACACCTTCTCCCTCATATGATTTTGTTGTGAGCTACAGAACAGCATGCCTCATGACCTAGCCATTCTGTATTATGCAGAGGCTCTATGAACATGGTCTCCAAGTTTGGTCCTGATATGGGACAAATGAGAGGCAGAAGAAATGAGCAGATGCTTTCTTAAGACAATAACTGGCTTGTAAGATTTTCTTCTTATAAAAAGATTTTATTTTAGAATATCAGAGGCTGAGTATTATACAAGCCTGTCTTTTCACATTCCTTCCATAACAAACTCAATCTCTCCCTAGGTAGATGAACGCTTCAGGCCAACAAGGAGGTAGTTACATACTCATACAAAAGAAATGAGCACATTATTATCTTTCAAAAGTAATATACTGATGTTACATTATTATTTTGCTGTTAGTAGCTCTGGATTTCATGGATTGCCTGCAATCAATTTGTTTTTCATTGTTCTCTATAACTACAATTTCTTGGGTTTATCAGTTTTTCTTGTGAGGTCATGCTGCCTTTTCATGGACTCTTGTTTTAGCCCATGTTCTCTAGATAACAGAGCCTGAGAAAAGAATGAAAAAGCTGACATCTTGTTTGGGAGGTACATATATATAAAAAGGAGGGAGGAAAAAATAGAAGTTAGTGAATTGTGACTGGTCAGGAAATAGAGAAAGAATGCTCCTACAGGGGGAATGGTTCATGTAAAGATTTAGAGATGACAGGGAGAATGTGACTTATGAAGGGAATTGAAGCGAGGCCAAGATGGCTGAAATACCAAGTTGGACTGAGAATGACACAGACATCACTGGAGAGATAGGCAAGGGCTGATGTATGTAGGGCCTGTGTTAGTAAGCTAACACAGTAAGCTAACTGGGAAGCTCTTAAGTAATAGGAAGAAAATATTTTATTTTTAAAAGTATTCTGGCTGCTGTTTGGGGAATAGATGGGAGATGAGCAAGAGGAAAGCAGAGAGGCCAGAAAAGAAGATGATGTGATCTGGGCAGGAGATGTGATAGCTTCAATTTGGGCCATGGTGGGGATGGAAAGAGAAGTAACAGACTTGACAATATTGAAAAACTTACTATTGTATTGCCAGTACCTACTATACAAATGGACTGGAAAGAAGGAGGAAATTGTAGATGATCTCTAGGTTAAATATTACATTTACTTTTATTTTAAGTTCCAGGGTGTATGCGCAGGATGTGCAGGTTTGTTACATAGGTAAACATGTGCTATGGTGGTTTGCTGCACAGATCAACCCATCACCTAGGTATTAAGCCCAGCATGCATTAGCTATTTTTCCTAATGCTCTCCCTCCTCTTACCCCACCCTGCAGCAGACCCCAGTGTGTGTTGTTCCCCTCCCTGTGTTCATGTGTTCTTATTGTTCAGCTCTCACTTATAAGTGAGAACATGTGGTGTTTGGATTTCTGTTCTTGTGTTAGTTTGCTTGTGTGCTAGACCCACTCAGTCTGATTCGAAGTACCAACCGGTCCTTGGAGGCAACTTCTCACACTCACACTCTGTATCTTGCCACCCTCAATTACTCACTGCTCCGTAGTGAACTTTTTCATACCACCTTTGATTTGTATTATTCACTAAGCCAGAAATGCCCTTCTAATTACCACTGTCAAACTCATTGTTTAAGATTTCTAAGAAATATATCTTTTTTTCTCAAGACTTTCCTCTTCGTTTTAGTTGAAACAAATCACTTTTTCCTTGGAGGCTCATAGTACCTTAAAAAAGCAAGCTAGCTTTTGGGGAACACATACAATAGATTGCTATGGTTAGATTGAAGGTCTGTATCTTGATCTAGATTTTAATGACTGAGGAAAAGCATCCTATTTTATTTGTGTACCCTCCTCAAAACTCAGTTTCCTATTGTATGTGGTAGCACTAAATGGATATTTCCTTTTCCTTCCTTGTATTATCTTTACTAAAGATATTAAAATTGTACAATCTAACCTACTTAATCAGACATTTTTAGGAATGAAAGTTATTGGTTTATGATGCCTTCTGCCTGCCTTGGCTCTTCAAGATCAATATCAAAAACCCAGGGCAACTGGAATAGGAGATCCATGAGTTGGAGTGATTTTAGGAGTCTCCAAAGCTTCCACTTTTCCTTGATTGTTCCTGAAATTACTCATTAGTTTAAGTCAAGGCATTTAAAATGCAAATATTAATATAGTCATTAACACCTGGAAATTAGCTCACTAGAACTGATAACCAATTCTTGATAACTTCTTGGGAAATTAGATAGAGGAAAGATAAGTTTTGAAGAGAAGGGAAGCAAATTGAGGATATCGTCTCAGAGAGGAGTTTCCGTCATTCTTTGTTTAAGATCATTAGAGGATTGGGAAAGAAAGTGCTGAAATAGAAGCCTAAGTAAAAAGGAAAACAAGGCTGAAGAGGGGGAAGAGAAAGGAAACTGATATTTATGAGCGCTTATAGTAGGCCAAGTTCTGTGCTAGACCTCTCTTTGTTTGTTAGATCATGTTGCCATGAAGAGAGTGATGAAGAGTAACTGCCTAATTTACAATTTTACCCAATCTTTCCATGAATAAATCTGTCCCTCAGAGCCCTTTACTCATATAACAAGAATTTATTGATCATTTCCTGCAATACATCACTTTCACTCATGACCTTAGTTTTTCTTACCTCCCTGTATCCAAGCCCTTTGATAGCGCCTTCTCACACTGACTCTGACCTTGGCCATGGGCCTTGCTTTTGCCAATAGACAAATGTGACACAAGCAGAGGCTTAAGAAGCACCTATGCATTTTCACTTGTCCTTTTGCAAGATTGAGATTGCTTGCTCTTGCATCTCTGCCTGGTCATGAGTAAGTGCCTGAACCAGCCTGCTGAAGAAATGTGAGATGCACATGGAGAAGAGCTGAGACCAGCTGACCCTGAAGATGTGGTAGAATAGCCAAGGACAACAGAGCCTATCCAACCCATTGCACGCTACTGATGCATGAATAAACCAAGTCACGACCCCCAAAAACCACTCAACTGATCTTCAGACTTTTGAGAAATAGCAAATTGTTGTTTAACCCACTGAGTTTTGGGGCGATTTGTAACACAGCATTGTTGTAGTAATAGATAATCTGCTACATACCAGATACTGTGATATGTGCCAGGAATACACAGATAAATGGCCTTGTCCTCAAGGTGTTAATTTTCTTGTGTGGAAGCCAGCAACACTGAGACCACTGGTATAACAATAATAATAATTACTAATAATAAGTAATAATAATAACAGTAGTTCTATAAAAACCAAGAGGAGAATGCTTCCAGCTACCTAAGAGAGTGTGGCAAAAGGAGGTGACATTTAAGCAAGTTCTTGAAGAACAGGGAAGAATTTCCCCTGTGGACAAGAGTGAAGGACAACTGAGGTAGAGGGAAAAATGTGTTTAAAAAGAGGGAAGCATATCAAAGGAAAAGTCAAGAGGAACTGTAGGAAGTGGGGCTAGAGTGTGGTTGGTTGGGACCAATGGGAAGAATCTTGGGCACTTTAGGCATTCAACTTACTTTTTATGTACTCAGGACACATTTGTATATAAGCCCATGCTTATCTACGGGTTCTTGGAAACTGATACTTCAAGTGAAATGACATACAATGAAACAAATTTTATTATAGGCTAATTGATTGATATAAGACTTAAGTTCCTATGGCATATTTCTGGTTACAAAAACATCAACAAATTCTTAAATAAAGACCAAGACACTTCTAACATTAAAAATTTAAATAAATGTGAGCTATACACAGAGTTAAGAAAGATGAATAAAAACAAGTATGATAATTATTTATCCACTTATTCCAGTTCAGGGTCATGAGTGGCTGGAGTCTATCCCCACAGCTCAGGGTGCAAGATGGAAACCAGCCCTATACAGGACTCCATCCCATCGCAGGGCACACTCACTTACACCCAAACTCACACTCACTCTATGGGGACAATTTAGATATATGCATTAATCAAATGTGCACATCTTTAGGATGTGGAAGGAAACTGAACTACCCAGAGAAAATGCATGCAGATATGAGGAGAATGTACAGTTTTCAACATGTTCTGCCTGGGAAGAGATTTTTTTCCTCATCGAAATTATAACAGCATGATGTTGAAGGAAATGACGTTATTTGAAGACCTGCTTTAATTGTTCATGATAACTTCACTATGTATGTCCTTGAGTAAACTGTGGTCAATTTGTCCCTTTTATGAAGCCATCATTATTGACAGTAATAAAAACAACAAGTGAAAAATACAAATAATGGGTAATTGTTATAACCAAAATCAATATTAATCAGTATTAGGGGTATAGATTTATATATGAAAAAAAGAGATGTCCCTCTGTGATTGGGTAGTATTGTTAATACATTAATTACTTAGAAAGAACATTTTTTCCTATTTTATTACTTCTATGAGGAACAATGATTTCCCAGGTATCTCTAAAACTCTATTAACCACTGTCTTTCACAAGGCACGGCTTCTTTTGGAATTCCTCTTTTTGACATCTAATAGGTCACCCTTTCTTCCTTTATCTACTGTATTTGTTAACTTGGCTATTAATCTTTATTACCCAGTATGTATAGTCCTCTCAAAGTATTTCTTATAAAGGAATTAAGATGAATATTAAATGGCATGTTATTAAAATGGAAATAGTAACAGGCCTAGTTAGAATGTGGATTCTTAAAAAAAAGTGACTGGGTTTAATGATATCTGTTCTACTCTCTTCTCATAATTTACCAGGTTAAACAATCAATACTAATGGTTATTCAGTCCTTCTCTCAAAAGTTCCTAGAAGCTTAAGAGCTTGATAATCACCCAAGTATATGTGACATAAGAGGAAGAAATAAGTGAAAACCAGAAGATTCTACAACAGTGATGAACACTGTTGCTTTTGAAGCTAGGTGAACAACTACCTCTATTAGATTTCTTCTCTACAAGCTGGAACTGAAACTTCCCTCATGGAAAAGGAAAGCGAAGATTCAATGGGATAGAGTGCTAATGTGCTTTTTTGGTGATAAAATGCAATAAAGTCCTTCAGGGGATCTTATGCTTTGTAGCAGGTATCAGAGGAAAAATTCACTATACATTTCTCAGCACATATTCCATCAATTCTCCTCAAACAGTCACAATAAAACACAGGACAGCTTGAATGGTGGAGAGCAGCAAAACATAATACTCTTTGTTAAGTGGGTTGGTGCTGTGGCAGTATTTTAGTACATGAGATGTACTCACTAGTTTTATCTATCTCTGTTTTTTCAATGAACTTAGGATACAAAGAATTTAAACACATATCACTTCTGTTAAAGAAACAAACAGTAGCAGCAGAAGCAGGATTGGAGAAATCAAAGAAGAAAAAGGGCGTTTTCTCTTCCTTCATAGATTTTTGTTATACTTTAACATGGTAGCCATTTAATTCTGTGGGAAGTTTAAGAATGCAGTTTATCTGGAGAATGCATAGCCGTTCAAGTTGTGCAGTATTATTTATGTCTATTTAAAAAAATAGTAGGTAGCATGTACTTTGGACTCAAATGTTGACTGTATTGTGTGGAATAAATTTAGTAAACTCATTGCTTTGCTTCCTTTTAAAAAGCTTTTAATCTTTTTTATTTTTTAAGGAAACTTTGGAACAGCATATCAATGATAGAACCTAATAAAATCTTACCTTGGGGCAAGCCTCTTGTATATAAAATTGGAGTCTGTAGTGCCAGGGCTTTCTATTAGTACCATCCATTTTGTTAGCATTTTTCCAATTTATCTTACGTTACTAACTCTCAGCGTACTATGCCTATTGTAAATATTTAAGCATTACTGTTGACATAAAGATAATACTGACAAATTGAGTTAACATTTCTGCTGAGGATTACTGACCATGTGTAGACCAGAACAACTTTGACACCCACACCAAACCCTATACTCAGGCCAAATTGTGTTTAGTCTACAATACAGTGCTGCTCCTTAAATTAATTTTTAGCTTTGATTTACACAAAATGTGAAACAACCTTTCTTGCATCAATTAATTGTTTGACTTTCCTAATACATTTCCATTTTAACTAGGTTATTTCTCTATCAAAGGAAAAAGAATGCGTGCAAGATGTCAGTGTCTTGGGTGCACACACCCACCCATCCTGGGGTATTATAACTTTGTGTGATCTAAGTAAAAGTGAAATCTGTTCTGCTTCTTAGCAGTTTCACCTGAGACTGCACTCTCTTTTGAGGTACCTCAACTGATGTCTGTTTCACATGGTAATTGACCTTAACATATTTAACTGAGCAAAAGAAAAATAATTTGGAGAATTTTATCTCATGGAATAATCCCGTACTTCAAAACAAAAAATTACCAAGTGAAGTAAAAAAGACTAACACTAGTTGAAATCTCCATTTACATATATTGATATATTTCTGGTAACCTATTGTTGTCTTGTATTGCCCAAGTAACCAGACAATGGCCATTTTGATCTTTAATTGAGCCCAGACTTGGCTCCATATTTATAACATAGTCATCACTGTAAATATATTTTGAGGGAAAGTTTTATAAAAAGAAATGCAACTGTATTCCTATACTTAATTAGGTAGGTATTTTGGAATCCTGGTCCTTTCAGACTATAATATGTTAATACATTAGCATGAACAATTCTCTTTGAGGATTTGATGAAATTCAGCTTCCATAGAAAATACTGATACCAGATTGATGAAGTTAAAAACAAACATTATTTTGAGTTATTTCCTTTTTCTTAATTCACTGACTTATTTGAGAAAGCAGTAACAAGAGCCTGGGTTACATCAAGAAGTCAAATTATATTTTGGCTAAATTACATCTTTCGTAATTACTTTGCAATTTAATTTCCCCCATTGCTTCAGTTCAGAGCCTCAGGACTCTATTTACAATTATAACTTACTCTAAGAAAAATAAAACTATGTTCTACAGCTTATTCTTATGAAGTGATTTCTGCATTTACTAGTTAATTTCCTAGAAATTTCTAAAATGATTATTTGGTCAAAGACAGCCTTTTCATTGTTGTTACCCTTTTTCCCTGTATGTTATTTCTCTCAAAAATCTATTTCAGACCTGTCGTATGACGTTGCTATTGTTTTGTTTGAAAAGTGTCATAATTACAGGATTAAAGTAGAAAATGTAAATATTTATTGCAAGGTGTTATTTCTTCAGATAGAATGTTACCTATTTGTGACAGAGTTCTTAGGATTGAAATGTCCTGAAAAGAAAAACATGAGCTGGATATTACATTTTGAAGTGTCTGGCTAATGAGGCTGTTGGGAGCGATTTCCTATTGAGATGCTCTTCAAAAAGAAAATTCAAGCTGGGAGAAATTTTAGAAATGTGATAGATCTGTGAGGTCTAAGATGCCTGAGGTTCTAGTTTCATAATTCCTTGGAGAGATCTATAGCCTTCTATTGGGAAGCAAATGGCTTTGTTGAGACTCATCAGGCTTTGTGACATCAAATAGTTCTTACAAAACAACAGTGTTTTGAAGAATCAGAAACAGATGGATTGAATTTTTCTTGAAACAAAATAGGGTTTAAAAATGGAGAGAAAAACTAATGTCAAACCCTCAACATTCAGAAAAGGGTTTGAATCACTTTCTTGCCTCAGAGAGTTGTCAGATTCACTTACCGCAGGAGATAGAGAATCATGCAGGGCTCCACCTGTTCCTGAAAACACCACCACTAAGTTAGTTACTCAGATTCCACGATCTGGGATTTAGTCTCTGATTAGGCCACAGACATCACATGCCAAAAGAAATTATACTCATACCTGATACTGACTCCAGGCTTTCACAGTCAAAAGTGAATGATGTGAGTAGGACTTTTAATGCTTTAGTTTAAGAACAAAATGCATCCAAAGTTGGTATTTCCTTTTTTGGTTTTGAGTGAGAAGAGGGACCCAAAAAGGTTATTTTCAAGGCCCTGGGTTCTTAGAGTTATTGATGACAAAGTAGGGAAGCATCTTGTATGATGTTTCAATACCATCATAAGCAAGAGGTTTTATATACAAATAATACAAATTTCAGGAGGAAAAATTTGGATAAATATATTCTGATGATTTAGATGAATGATAAATGGAATTTCAGCAAAGGAGTGTCATGATCTAAGTTTAATTAAAGTTAGTTTGGCTATGATAAGCAATGCATTGGATCTGGGTGAAGTAATTATGATACAAGTAGCTAAAATATACTGAATTCTTATTAGTTGCAGAGTATGGTGCTATGTCTTTTTATATGCATATGTCATCTCATTCTTTTGGCCACCCTACAAAGCCATTACTATTGTCATCCCCATTTTATAGATGAGGATACTGGAATTTAGAAATTTAAATTTGCCTAAGGCCACACATTTTGGTCAGAGCCAGTCTTGGTTTTTTTTTTTTTTTTTAAATAACATTTTGCTGTGAAGTGTATGGTATAGTATACACAACTATTACACATTCTAATCCAGATGTGAAGTCCCTCAAGGTAAAGGATAACATACATTTGAATGGAAATGTTATAGGAACAAATAAAATAGAGGAGTGGGAAAAGATGATGTCAAGATTTTCCTTTCCTTTCCTTTCATTTCCCTTCCTTCCTTCCTTCCTTTCTTTCTTTCTTTCTTTCTTTCTTTCTTTCTTTCTTTCTTTCTTTCTTTCTTTCTTTCTTTCTTTTTTTTCCTTTCCTTTCCTTTCCTTCCATCCTTCCTTCCTTCCTTCTTTCTTTTTTTATTATACTGTAAGTTCTAGGGTACATGTGCACAATGTGCAGGTTTGTTATATATGTATACATGTGCCATGTTGGTGTGCTGCACCCATTAAATCATCATTTACATTAGGTATATCACCTAATGCTATCCCTCCCCACTCCTCCTACCCCATGACAGGCCCTGGTGTGTGATGTTCCCCATCCTGTGTCCAAGTGTTCTCATTGTTCAATTCCAATGATGTCAAGATTTCAAGATTAGAAGAATGATGGGAAAATGTACTGCTTTGCAAATAGTGGTGATGGAAGGGTGAACTGATTCAGAGGTGGAAGAGAGAAGATGATGGATTCTGCTTTAGATATATTGAGTTTGGGGCACCTGCAAGAAATCTATGTGGAAATTTCCAGTAGACGAAAAAAGAAACTGGGTTTCAATTTAGTAGGGGTAGCAGGCCTGGAGCTATAGAATATTGAGATGGTAAAGAAAACTGTGGGAATAGAGGAAATCTTGGAGTGGACATGAAGATAATAGAGTCAAGGGCTAAACTGAGACTTAAAGGATGCTAAAGATATGATAGCCTTGATTTTGTTTTAGAATATTTCTCTGAAGCCTAAATATGGAGAAACAAATGGGAGAGGAGAATTTTAAGAATTGCTTTATTGTGTATAGGTGATTTTATATTTGAGTAGAAATATGTTTGCTGTTCAAACAATCTTCAATATTTTTGCTTTTAACAATCATTGATACTATCATAACAACCTCTTCCATATGATATTGATTCATCTTGTATTTGTATAATTATGTTACCTTCTGTTCCCTTGTTTTAAAAGCAGAAAGAACATTTCCTACTTTCACTCATTTCATTTTCAAAGAAAGTTTATGTAGAAAGTGAAATGGGATGGAATCATGTTTGAGCCATGATTATAGCTTCAGTTCTTCTTTACAAAGATTTCGATGTTTTCCTTATTGTCTGATGTAAGACAGAAAAACCACACTACATTCTTTCTAACAGAGTGATGATCACCATATGATTTTATTGAAACATGCATTTCAGAAACTTTTCTGAAATGGAGCAATAATGGGTCAAATAGACATTTTGTTTAATTATTTCTAAGTAGGAAATGTGCCAGTAATTTGCAAAGAGTAGTAGTATGGTTTAGGAGAAAAATCAGTAAATCTTGAGCTGAGAGCAAAGATTTCTAGGTTAACAATTATGTAACCCACAACAATTTACCCCAAATTTTCTGCTCTTCAATGTTACTTCTAGACTTAATGAGCTGTTTCCATTTGTATTTCATATTCTCTAGTCTTTCGTGTTTGTTTCTTCCTCTTTGTGTTCACTATTTTAGTTTTTTTACCGGGACAGTTGTAAGGATTTTGTGCCTACTCTTCTTCCCTCATCTTTCTATAATTTTGAATTCATTGTTTATTGCTCCAATAAAATTTAAAATTTTATCTGATCATTTCCTTCTTCTGTTTGGGAAACTTTCATGATCTACTATTTCCTATCAAATTATAAGCAAATAAGTTAGTTTGTATGGCATTCAATTCTCTTTATTATCTGACTTCAACTCAATCTCTAGCCTTGTCTTTCTGCTACTTTCCCTCATGTACCTGAATTCCTGTGTATTTGGAACTCTCCAAACATCACTATTTACAGTCTCTGGACTGTAATTACTGCATCACTATTTGCAGTCTCTGGACTGTAATTATTGCAGAGCCAGCCTCCTGCATTTTCTTTCTTCACACATAGGCTGGTGTGATGTGGGAGAAACATCGATGAGAAGGATTCTTGAAGGCTTTTAGATTTGAGAAGGTATATTTGCCCAATGGAATATGACATCCTGAGATCATGTGTAGATGTAGAAATGTTGCAGGGCCAACATTTTCTGCATCTCTATCTTCCCATTTCCAACCATAGTTTCCAACACATAGTAGATGCTTAAGAAATACTGGTTGGCCTAAGCTGTGATTTTTAACTAGTTCTTGATCCCCGGAATCAGTGTGACAGCATAACAACATTAAGGGCAGTGAAGAACAAAGAACGAGATGGTCATGACAGTTCAGAAAGATCATTAGAGGCTGTACTTTCAACAGGATTCTGGTCTATGTCTGATCAGAAGTCTGGTACAGCATCAGTCAGGATCTCAACAGAAGACAGATGGTATGGTCAAATTAGAAAGAATTGAATGAAAGGACTATGAACAGAGGTGTGGACAAGGTTAAGGACACCAACAAGAAGCTGTTATTATCCTTTCAAATTATCAGAAGAAAGAAATGGGCCTTGCTAGCATAATCCTTTGCCATGAAGGGATACTTGATTAGTATAGAGAGTCTCCCACCAACAACTTTCTTACCCTTAATAATTTCAAGAAAAACATTTAAAGAAGCTCATCCCTTCAAAAACATTTTGGTGTTCTTATTATGTCAACACATCCTTTTGAGGCATTTGTTTTTTGTGGACACATTATTAAAGGAATACATCCAACAAAGACCCACTGAGAGATTAAGAAATAACATTCATTGGCCTGTAAAAAAGTTTCTATGGTCTTTTAAGTTTTCATTAAATCTACTAACAACATTTTAACATCTCCTATGACAAGTCAAGTCCTCTTAGCTCTTCTTGAGATTACATGGTTTAAGGAGCTGTAGTTATACGGAAGTTTCTCTGAAAGTCTAACACAAGATAATGGAGAGGCAGAGGTTAATGGGTTGACTTTCAATATTGACTTCTTTTAAACTTCTGATCTCCGGGCTGAAAAACTGGAAGATGGTGTTTATTTGACTTGTTTGTGCTGTGAGGTTGGTAAAGCACGCCAAATACCACCTTATTTTTTAAATATACATTCTGTTTCCTAAAAGCAATAAGACACTCATTTCCTACAATGTGTTGTTAGGATGTGACTGAATACTTTAAGTGGTTAAAACTAGTTGGTTTGAGCTTGGTGACTCCTAACACTCAGACCATTCATCAATTAAGGCAGGACTGCTGTCTGATTGTAATTTGGCAAGCAGCATTTTGTTTTCTAGAAGCACTCTGTGGAATTCTTCCATCAGAAGTAAAGGATGAGGAAATGTGTTCAATGAAATCAGTAAGGCAAGATACTTGCCCTCATTAGATTGCTATTAGGATGCATCATACATGGTGTGATGGTCATTATTACCTGTAGGGGTTGGAAAATGAATTAATCTTATTGTGTCTCAATCCTGAGCTGTAAAATGAATAATGACATCTATGTTGGTAAAATAAAGTAGATGGTGATTTCCAAAGAAAATCTATGGGAGAAAGCTACTCTACAAATCCAAACCAGGGATTACATCTATTTTAATTCTATTTTTATACCCAATAATAAACAGTTTAATTGTTTCAATAATATTGTGGGAGCTAATTTTCTTTACAGTACATATCATGTCCCATCATTCACCTCCTTATTCCCTTGTTTCCTATTGCAATTCACATTTAAAACCAAAGGTCTTCATGTGGTCAATAAAGCACTGAGTTGGCTCTTTCCTACCTGTTAAGCCTTATCTACTCCTGTTTCCCTCTCCCTAGAACACTCTGCTCACACTGGCCTTTTTCCTTTTCTTTGAACTGGTTAAGCTCCTTCCCATCTTAGAGACTTTGCCTGCAATCCCCCCTCACCTGGAATTCTCTTCCCTAGATCTTTGTGGTGTTGACTCCTTATTTTCTTTCAGCTGTTAATTCAGAGGCCATCATCTCAAAGTAACTTCCCCTGACCACCCAATTTAACATTACCCTTGAGATACTCTTTCTTAAGTTAGACTCTCTTAATGACCTTGTATTACTTGACACTATCTAAAATTAACTTAATGACAGAATGATTTATGTTCCTTTGGATATATAACCCATGATGGGATTGCTGGTTTGAATGGTAGTTCTGTTTTTAGCTCCTTGAGGAATTGCCACACTGTTTTCCAAAATGGTTGAACTAATTTGCACTCTCACCAACAGTGTATAAGCATTCCTTTTTCTCCATAACATCACTAGCATCCGTTATTTTTTGACTTCTTAATAATGGCCATTCTGACTGCTGTGAGATGATATGTCATTGTGGTTTTGATTTGCATTTCTCTAATGATGAGTGGTGGTGTGCTTTTTTCATATACTTGTTGGCCACATGTGTGTCTTCTTTTGGAAAGTGTCTGTTCATGTCCTTTCCCCACTTTTTATTTTTTATTTTTTTTTTGAGACGGAGTCTCGTTGTGTCTTCCAGGCTGAAGAGTAGTGACGCGATCTCGGCTCACTGCAATCTCTGCCTCCTGAGTAGCTGGGATTGCAGGCAGCTGCCACAATGCCCAGTGAATTTTTGTATTTTTAGTACACACAGGGCTTCACCAGATTGGCCAGGCTGGTCTCGAACTCCAGGCCTGAAGTGATCCGCCCCCATTGGCCTCCCAAAGTGCTGGGATTATAAGCATGAGCCACCGTGCCTGATCTTTTGCCTACTTTTTAATGGGGCTATTTGATTTTTCTTGTTTGTTTAGATTTCTTATAGATGCTAGATAGTAGATCATTGCCAGATGAACAGTTTGCAAAAATCTTCTTTCACTCTATAGATTGTTTGTTTATTCTGTTGATAGTTCTTTTGCAAACTAACGCAGAAACAGAAAATGAAATACTGCATGTTCTCACTTATAAGTGGGAACTAAATGATGAGAACACATGGACACATAGAGGGGAACAACAGACACTGAAGCCTACCATAGGATGGAAGGTGGAAGGAGGGAGACAATCAAGAAAAATAACTAATGTGTATTAGGGTTAATATTAGTTATTTACTCCTTAGTTAATATGGGTAAATACTTATTAGTAAATATGGGTTATTTACCCATTAATAGTACTTATACATTGGTGATGAGATAAACTGTACAACCAACTCTTATGACATGGGTTTACCTATATAACAAACTTGCATATGTACCTCTGAACTTAAGTAAAAGTTAAAAAAACCTTACTTATTAATTTGTGTGCTTGTTTACTGACTGTCTCCTCAGGAGGGTAAGCTTCATGACAGCAAGAATCTTACATGTCTTGCTCACTGCTATATACATGGCACCTTGAGTAATGTCTGGCACATGTTTGGTGTTCTATAAATAAGTAGTTTAGTTATTGAATGAATGACTGAATCAATAGATATCTTCTAGGGATATGGCAAACATATAAAAACATTATTTTCTCTACTGATAATGAAAAAGGAGAATCACAAGTCCATGGACTCTAACCAATGTACATAAAGCAATAGGACATTTAGGAAACTGGGTTTTACTTTACATTTCTAGGTTACTTTGAGCCGATTAAAAAAACACTTAATTTTTAAAATAGAGTAGCATTCCTTTAGCAATGTTTCTGTTAAATATTTAGGTGTACTAATATATTTATAAATATATTCTTGTATTATTGAAAGGTGGTAAATTTCTGGAATATTCTCAGAGTAGCATTATTTTTCATAAATATACACGTATATATTTTGTAATTTGATGTAAGTGGCAATACTTATAACATTTTTCTTGCACAATTATTTTGTTTTCATTTTCAGTGACTCTTACTGGCATAATATAATTTATTATTTTCAGCATTTGTATCAAGTTATATTCAATCACTGTAAACTTTATTTGCATGGTATAACTTAAGTTTTGTGTGATCTTAGTAGTTTTTCATAACAGGCTGAAGATGCAAAAATTCATCTTCAAGACCTGCCTTAAAGTTGTCATGAATAGTAATTGAATTCTAAACAAAATCAAATCTCTGAATAATACCAGCCCTGCAAATATTATCATTAGCTGAAAAAGTAATTTATTGATGTCTATAAAATGCAGATTGGTATGCCAAAAGCCTCCAAATTCCATAAGAAATAAAAATGAGATTTAAGATAATATCCTTTGGTATTAGTATGTTAGGACTAATCTACACTAAAGTGAGGTAGATAAGAACATGAACCTTGATAAGTCTGAAAAATACAGGTTTGGATTCTGGTTCTGCAACTTTCTAATTATGAGGTATTGGGAAAGTTATTTCACCTTACTAATTCTCAGTTTCCTCATATACAAAATGAGGATAATAATACTCCTCTCACAATGTTGTTGTGAGGATTAAACAAAAATACATGGAAAACTCTTAGCACAGAGTCTTACACATAGTAGGCACTAAATAATTGGAGGCTATGATTGTTATTAGGTTGAAAATTTCTAGTCATATTTTAAATGAAATGTGAAGCAGATTGACTAAAGTTTGGAGTCTGAATGAGTTTTACAGAAAAGCTCGAATAGAGTCCCTCTTTCATTGTCTTTGCCTGTTTTGAACTTTGGTAGTGTAGCCAATTTTTTTTTTCCGTGTGCCACCACGTCCAGCTAAGAATATCTTTTTATAAAGTAGTCACATGTAGCAATATACAGTATTAGATTTTTGAAGATTATTACATTCATTCAATAAGTAATTTTAAGAACCAACTTTGCTTAAAATATATTTGAGAATAAAACACAGACAATACAAATTTTCTTGTACTATAGCAAGAAAGGCAAGACTTACTTAGGAGTAATTACAATACCAGTTATTTTCAGATAAAAACTGAGATTGGTGCAGAATGCTGTTCACATTCAAGAAAGGAAGATGGGATGTTTATGAAAATTTTAATGGAAGATATTCTATTAAACTGAGTGATATGGAGTAGGGCCCGCAGGAGAAAAGAACAACAAAAATAAAAATGGCACATGTATACATATGTAACTAACCTGCACAATGTGCACATGTACCCTAAAACTTAAAGTATAATAAAAAAAATAAAAATGGAATAAAGATAAAGGGAAAGGTCAGCTTGGGGAAAGGTATTCTCAAATATGGGGGTGCTTAGGGGAATCAGATGCCACTGAAGCAAAGACCAAGAACCTGTTTCATTTTAATTGGCCAGGAGGAGCTCTTATTGGTTATACTAAGTCAGAAGTTAATCTATTACAGTAGCAATGTGGAGAATAGGACATAGTGGAGAAAATTCAGGCAGGGTGAGCTGTTCCAAGGCAATTTTAATAGTCCTTTAATAAGGTAATAAGTTCCTAAACCAAGTGTGAAGGCAGTGGGCCTGGAAAAGAGAAAAAAATTATCTGGGATGTTGTGTCTGGTTGAATGGATGGATGAAGAAATGGTAGCGTTCAAGAATAGTCTGTGAAATTAAACTTCCACAATGAGAAAAATTTTTCCATAATTAGTAGTGAAAAGGAAATCAAGACACAAGGTTGGACTGAGGGCATGTATGATAAGATGAGTCAAGAGGTTAGCCAAATAATCTTTAGCAGATGCAAAAAACAAAGTTTATTTGATTAATAGTATAGTTAAAGTGGCTATTATTTGGAATTTAGCCTTGATAGCTAGATTCAACTGGTCTGGAACTTTGACTCAGAACGAACCACGTCTTTTTTTTTTTTATGTAGCTTTTTCCTTAGTACACTCAGAGTCACACCTTTCTCCAGATACTCGTTATCCGGGAGATTAGACAGTGTTTGTTTATCTGCTATTGCAGAAAGTTCCATTTTTTAAGTGACTAACTTAAATCTCTATTTTGATCTTATTTCAATAATATAATTATTTTATCACTTAATATAATTATTGGTGACAAAATGTCTATAAATAAATGTTTCTAGCATCTTGGATCATTTGATCTGTTTGAGAATGCGGAATTGGGTATTTAAAAATTCACATGGATCTCCTAAAATTAGCTTTTGGGGAAGGAAATTTCTATGCATTTCTTAACCCAAATATAAATTTTTAAAGTTAGATTTGTGGATCTGAAGCAATGTAATTTATGTTTGGTTTATAGAGAACTAAGAAATGGGAACAACTTAAAAACTGTAACTTTCCATGTGGTTTGTGCTCACTGAGAAAGAATCTCTTGGCTAATTTGGGAAAAAAGAATGTTTAAATAAGGAAGTTAGAAGTAAATCAAAAATAACATTTGAATTTGAGAAGCCAGAAATGCCCACTTCCTTTAATTATAAAACTACTTCTGTTGACTATAAAGAATTGTAAACATGCATTATGATGATGAGTTGCATTGTGTAGTCTGTTAGTGGTTCATTAGTGTCTCCATATTTGGACCCATTATTTGCAGCAGTATAAGTGTTCTGTGAGAATGTTGGAGAAATAGAAATCATCTTTCTGTCTCCTCTTATTTCTTTCCCTTTCTCCTCCTGTGTCTGCTAAATTGAATGGTTAATACTGTAACATTATTCTTATTAAATTACTTACATAAAAGAAGGTAGGAATGGATAAAATTATTATTTCATTCCTTCTAAAAATTTTTTTATTTCCATAGGTTTTTGGGGACCAGGTGGTATTTGGTTACATCAGTAAGTTCTTTAGTAATGATTTGTAAGATTTTGGTGCACCCATCCCCTGAGCAGTATACACTGGACCCAATTTGTAGTCTTTTATCCCTCACCACCTT